>NC_000008.11:127589222-128214222 GCF_000001405.40 Homo sapiens
AACGTTGTGTAAGACTCAGAACATCATATCTCCTTCTAAACTGGTATAGACAAACTTACAAATAAAGTCACATTGTCTTAATAAGAAAAACCAACAGGAGCCTGAATGACCGTCAGCCCACAGGTATTTGGGGGATGCCTTCTGCATGCCTAGCATTGCACTAAAAACTAGGATAGCCCAAAGAGGTACCCAGTGAAACACTGAAGGTAACACTTGACCTCAAGAAGTTTCCCCTCTGGCTGGGAAAATAAATTAGAAATGCCTGAAACCGTTGAAGAACAATACCTCTTTTCAAGTCTTATCTTAGTGGCTTTCTTTACAACTTTGTCCCTAGTAACCTTACCCTTCTTCCTGAAACTCACCTCGCCTTTAATTTCCAGGGCCCTACTCTCAACACTGATGGATTTTTTTTTTTTTCATTCTCTCTTCTTGGTTCTTCTTCCATCTCTCTTTAGTTGTTGGCGACCTCCAGAGTTCCTTGGTACTCTTGTCTTACTGCACATAGCTCCCTGAGCCACACACCCAGATCCATGGCTTCAGCTACCCAGACCTCTGTACTGAGCTCAGTGCTAACCTGCTACACTACCTTCCAGGTAACAGCTCCTGGGTACCCCCACACACAGGCCAGACATAACATCTTCAATGCAGAACCCATTGTTTTCCCTTCAAACCTATTCCTCCTTCAGGCCGTACCTGAGTTAATGATATTACTATCCAATTAGCTGCCCAAGTTCTGTTTGCTAAGTGATTGTAACACAGTGATTAAAAGCACAAGTGCTAGAACTGAGCTGTCTGTTTTCAGATTCCAGTTCTTCTCATTTACCCCGTGACCTGCTGGTTATTAAATATCTCTGTGCTTCACTTTCCTCACCTATAAAACAAGTACTTCAATAGTGCCTACTGTATTGAGTTGTTGTAAAGATAGAATAAGTTAATATTTATATAAAGTGCATCAAACAGTGTCTGGCACATCATAAGTAATATAAAGGGTTTTATTATTATTATTTTCGATTTCTCCTACTCCCTCAAACCTCTGCAAATGGTTTGCCCTCACCTTCAGTAAATTCGTCCTATCAGGAATCTCACTTCTCCATCCCAATTGCTGCTGCCTGTGTTCAGGCCTTCATGATCTATGACAGACATTTTCAAAGCCACATCTACCCAGTTCATGTCCCCAGAGTTGAGGCCCTGGTGACTTCCAGGTGATGCTCACATATCTAATGCCAAGACTTAGCTCTCAGATTCTGTGGTTCCAGAACCCTGGTGTCCACTCCAGGGCAGCATGAGTTCATGTAGAGTCAGCGAAGTTTCCCCCTCCACACTCACACTCCCCACCCACAAAATTCCACTATCTCTTCAGCATTCCTCCTACTTTGCATTCCTTTCTTCAGTCCTTACTTATTTCCTGGTCCCTTTTAGTCCACAGACAGGTAGGAAGCCACAAGCAGCCTGGCCTTTTGACTCTCCACTTGTTCTCCCCTAGGGTCCCTCCTTCTGGATTGATAAGGGTGGGAACATTCAAGCTACCGATAAGACCTCTGCACCCAGCTCCTGTCCCTCCACTCCCTACGGCTCAGCTTTGAAGTTCCAAAAACCCTGCCTCTGTGACCTGATTGTGTTATCTTCATAACCAAGGTGAGAAAACAGAGAATCACTTTATGGTTTCCTGTAAGCAGCCTTCTCCAAAGCCATGATTTCCTATAATGGGGGTGGAAGAAGATCTGGGGTTTCTCAGAAATTACAGCACTATCTGGCACAGGGTAGGTGCTCTAGGAGCTGTTAGAGCAGTGGTTCTCAACCAGAGGCGATCTTGCTCCCCAGGTGACATTTGGCAAATTCTGGAGACATTTCTGATTATTACAACTTGGGGGATGAGTGCTGAAGGCATCCAGTGGATAGTGGCCAGGGATGTTCCCAAGTGTCCTGCAATGCATAGAACAGTCTAGCAAGCAAAGAATTATCTGGCTCAACACATCAATAGTACTGAGGTTCAGAAACGCTGGTTTAGAAAATGGAGAGAAGAGGAATGGAAAGAGAGAAAGATACTTCCATGAATATAAAGAGTGAGGCACCATGGCATTTTTGCTCTGCTGCTCTTTTAATCTTCACGTATCCACACTTCAAAGAGATGTCAAAAATCCGTCATGGTTCTAAACAGTATACAGGAAAAGTAAGATCTATTTGTCTCCTTGTTTTACATGAGCTGACAAACTCACTTGAGAGAGGGCACAAATTCATGGTTCATGGTGCCCAGAGACCTTATAGGTCCTGGCTGGGTAGCTAAGCAGCTGGCATGTTAGGGCAAGTTGCCTCAGTGGGCTTATCTACAAAGTGGGCAGAGGGGCTTAGGGTTCCCTTGGGAACAGTGAATTCTCTGATACCTTAGAAAAGGAAGGGCTGACATCAGCAAGAGCTGGAGGACCTCAGGGAGGAGGGCAGGTGGGCTGGATTGTGCACTGGCCTTGGAAAGAAGAGATATCTGAGCCCAGGACAGCAAGGGGTGAACAGAATTCAATAAATCGAGGTGGGAAAGAGGGTTTTAAGAGAACCACACAAGCAAAGCCTTGAAGTAGAGATAAAATGTGTGTCTGACCCATTGTAGTTGCTCATAAATGCCGGCTCCTTCACCCTTAAGAAAACTGAGGTGAGCAGATGAAGCTTACTCTACTGGGACCCAACCCTAGTTAGACCACCTGACAGCGTCCTTAGTTACGGAAACCTTAGGGCCTTCAGTGATACTTCAGAAGGGGAGAACTGGGAGAAAGCACCAGAACCATCTACTTGAGTGATTCAACACATTTTCTGGTAGGAAAACCCCTTTCCAGGATAATTTCCTCAAAATTATACTGTTTTTTAATAGGATCAGTTTATTGGGAAAACACATAATGGCAATAATTTAAGAAGCTCTATAAAGTGTAAGTGAATGTGTTTTAGTCTTCTCAAATGGTGTTTATGTACTTTTTTTTCTTTTAATAGACATTTTTAGAGCAGTTTTAGGTTCATAGCAAAATTGGGCTGAAAGTACAGAGATTTCCCGTATACCCCCAGCCCCCACAAATTCCCAGCTTCCCCCATTATCAGCATCCCCCAGCAGATTGTTTCATGTGTTACAATTGAACCTACATTGACACATCATTATCACCCAGAGCCCATTATCACCGAGAACCCATTAGGGTTCACTCTTGGTATTGTACATTTTATGGGTTTGGACAAATGTATATTGACATGTATCCATCATTATAGTATCCTACAGAGAAGTTTCACTGCCCTAAACATCTTCTGTCCTCTACCTCCCTCCCTCCTGACCCCTGCACACCATTGATTTTTTACTGTCTCCATAAGTTTTGCCTTTTCCAGAATGTCATATGTTTGGAATCATATAGTTTGTAGACTTTTCAGATTGGATTGTTTCACTTGGTAATATGCACTGAAGGTTCTTCCATGACTTTTTATGGTTTGTAGCTCATTTATGTTTAGTGCTGAATAATATTGCATTTTCTGGATGGACCACAGTTTATGTATCCATTCACCTACTTAAGGACATCTTCCAAGTTTTGGAAATTGTGAATAAAGCTGCTATAAACATCTGTGTTCAAGTTTTTGTGTGGATGTAAGTTTTCATCTATATGCTGAGAAATGGCCATGGACATGGGAGGCAACGTGTGTTGTGGTCTCTGGACAATGTTCAGAAGAGAAACAGATGGATTAGTTTCCTGGAGAGATTCTGCAGGCTCCTTGGACTCTTGGCTCTTAAAAAGTGATAGCTAGAGAAACACATCATGTAGCAGATCATGCAAACCAAGCTTCAAGAGGGAAGATGACTTCTCAAACACCCAGAGTTCTTTACTGACAGATTCAAGATGATAGCCCTGGGTCCCCACCTGCCTGCTGGCTTCTACCTCTGCTGCTTTCAGATACCGTTATCTAAATCTCAATGTCCTTCTCTAGATTAGGGGCACGTCACATCCACCCAGAAGTACCCATCAGTACGACTGTTTCTATGTCATACTATTCAGTGGAGTTGAAGAAGAGTCACACAACTTTTCCAAACAGTTAAGTCCCAGAAGGACTTTGCTAGACCTGAGGCAGTGAAGCATGATGACACAGACCCTGAAGTCAGATTCAATCCTTTGCTTAACAAATATTTTGGAATGTCTACTTATGCCAGACATCATTCTAGGAGCAGGGTTACAGGAGTGAGTAGGGTGACTTATGACCCCTGATCTCCTGGCTGCCACTTACTGGTCAAGTGGCCTTGAAATATCATTCAACGTCTCTGAGTGTTAGTTTCTTCATTTGCAAAATGAGATTTTTATTTTAAAAACTACCCTAAAACAGAACTGAGACAACATCTGCACATCTCTCAGTCGGCTGCCTGGGACATGGTGAGCATGCAGTACAAGTTACCTACTGATGTCGCCAGGCTAAGGCAGAGCCCTGGGGCTGTCCAGATAGAGATTTATGTTAAAACTCTGGGACAAGTGGATCTTTTGCCTGACCTCTACCATTAAATGACAACAAGATTGAAAGCAGGTGCCTTTTCTCCATGTAGGTGCTTATCCACCAGTACATGCCCTTCCTTCTCCCAACCTCTATGCAATGGCCTCAAGGAAAAAATCAAAATAAACCTTTTTCCTAGAAGCCAGCTGACCCTTCCTTTGTTTATTAAATATTCCTTAATTGTGAGTGCCACCTGTCCATTGGAACTCCACTTGTCTCTAACATGGTTACAGTGGTCAGGACACCTGAGCCTCCTTAACTGCAGCTCAGAGTCCTTGACTCCTTCTAGGTCAACCTCTCAGCTTCAACATTTACAGGCAGACCTACAAAGGGACTAAGATTTAGCCTGAAGCTGCTACACCTTTGACCTTTGCAATTGTTTGCGTTTCAAATTCAGTTTTCCAAGACATTGGAAAAAAACACAAAAAAACCCTCCTTCTATTAATTGAGCAGTGGGTCTCCCAAGGCCTAGGCTAATGGAGCACTCAATAGCTTCTTCATCAGATGAAGTCTGCCCCCCTTTCTGCTTGAGATTCTTGTACCCATAGAGAAGTCTTGTTTTGTGTATTCTAAGTGGTTATGAAGGTCATGAAGAATCAATGAGGCCTTCATAAAGCCTCTGGGCTTCCTTTGTCATGGTACCAAGGTCCCCTGAAATTATTGGCTTGACTTTCACCTGAAGATTTTCAGCAATAGTCTGGCCAAAGGCTTAAGGCATAGCTAACACCTGGTCAATGGTCCTTAGAAAGCCACTGAAGAGGCCCTACTAGGTGGTCTTAAGAGGGCAAGCATCTTAATGGCAGCTGACAGTTTGGTTCTGTGCAAAATGAGGTCACAGACCCCAGGAGAACAAGAACAAATCTCTGTGTTCAGAGAAGGTTGAAGGACACTCTCAGCACATGTGAAGAGGAAAGTTTAAGGAGGACAGTGAGTTGAAGCTTTGGAGATAAGTATGGAATTACAGAAGTTCACGGCTTCCTAACCCCGGGAGAGGAAAGATAGAAGCCAGAAAATGCTCCAGGGAAGTTATTAACAAACCCAGTCTTCAAGAGTCTAGTGGCCTTCATTGTCTTTGAAGTTTCTCCTTCACCTACAGGGTCAGGTCCAAATTCTTCAGCCTGGCTTTTGAAATCTTTCAGAGTCTGACCCCAATGTAGGGAACAACTTCTGATGGCAAAAGTTTAGGAACAAGATTATAGCACCCAAAGTGGGGAAGCCAAGTTTGAAGTAAAACCTTCATATTTTACAGTTCTGAATGTTCAGGTAAGTTACAAATTGCAACCTTATAAGATGGGTCTTATAATTATTTGTTAGAGAAAGAAACAGAGGCCCAGAGAGATTAACTGGATTTTAGGACTCATGTGATAGAAAAAGGCAGAACTGGGGCTAGAGCAAGAGTCTGCTTCCTGAATCTTGGTTGAAGCATGGGCTCCTGGTATTATGCCACCCCTGCCTCTTCCATCCTTAGGACATTCTAGAGACACACTCTGCAAGGCTCCTTTAATCACTTTATACACTTTTGAAAGTTTCTGCTAATTAAAGTCTTGAGCTTCCCTTATTCTATGCTGAGATGCTGTGTCCCTCTTTGCATTCATCTGCTGTCCATGTTTGACTCATTAAATATTCATCGGACAGAGTATGCAGGAGAATGATCTTCCTCAGATCATCTTCCCTTTCTGTCCTCTCCTGAGAGAATTTTCACTTATTCTGTCAATTTTACTTTGTATTGTCTTTTCCCTAACCATAAACCAAACTTCAGCTTACAAAAGCCTACTAAACAAGGCTCAGAGGGGATGTTACACACACACAGCATATATATATACGTACATATATGTATATACACATACATACATACAGAGCGAGAGAGGGCAAATCCCAAAGTCAGAGTGCATATGTCATCAACTGTAAATCATAAGCCCGACCCCCTGACTTCCTGACTTGAAAGTCAACTCCAACACACATGAGAAGGAGCCTTCCATAGTCAACAGACTGGGAAAGTTGGGAAGCAATTCTCTTTCTCCATTCTTCAAAACAGCCTGGAGGTGGGGGGTAAATATTTGGGAAGGAATGAGGGAAAAATGCAATAATGATAGAAACAAACTTAGGTGTTTTTCTTTTCATCCTCAAAGACATCTCAGTTTGGGTGATCATACCTAGCTGCTTAACAAACACTTCCCAAATCTCAGTGGCTCAGCACAATAGAAGTTTATTTTTTTCTCCAATAAAACAATGCAAGGGGCAGGGCGTGGTGGCTCAAGCCTGTAATCCCAACACTTTGGGAGGCCAAGATAGGCAGATCACAATGTCAGGAGATCGAGACCCTCCTGGCCAACATGGTGAAACCCCATCTCTACTAAAAATACAAAAATTAGCTGGGCGTGGAGGTGCGTGCCTGTAATCCCAGGTACTCAGCAAGCTGAGGCAGGAGAATGGCTTGAACCAGGGAGCTGGAGGTTGCAGTTAGCTGAGATAGTGCCACTGCATTCCAGCCTGGTGACAGAGCACCTCAAAAAAAAAAAAAAGAAAAATGCAAGGATTCATTGGGCAGCTATCTGTACTGTATGTGATCTGTGTGTGATTCAGGGGCCCAGGCTAAATTATTTCCACCTTAGGGCTCTATAACCGTCATCCTTCACAAGGATCTTTGAACCCTCTGCACTCAGACTGCAGATGGTGACAAAGAGAATGAAGAGGATTGCCTGGAGGGTTTTTCTGGGCTAGGCCTGTGATTCCATTGTGCTTACATTCCATTGGCCAGAAACAGGCACCTGGCCACACCTAATTGCCTGGAGACTCGGACAGGAAACCTAGCTGTGTGCATTTTTATGAGCACATTGCAGGTTCTGCTACAACAGTCTGTTCCACATGGGGTCCTTGAGTTTCAGAGAGGTTCAGGAGAGCCTGCCAAACACACTGAGCAGCCTTGAGGGGAGGCCAGGCTGGCCCCCCCAGGCTTCCAAAGAGTAGATCGACATCAAGGTTGGATTTCATATGCCCGGAACAAGAGCAATTTAGGCCCCAGGAGCCAGAGGAAAAGCCAAGCCAAAGGCTACTGGATAGAGAAAACTGAAATTTGAATCCCAAAAAGACCAGCGAGGCCAGAGGCAGAAATCAAAGTTGAGTTGCAAAGCCAGAAAGTTTTTAAAAAAAAAGAAAAAAAGAAGTGAAGAATTGGATGAATAAAATAAGAGCAGTTCAAGAGGGGCTATGGGAAAGGGTCTAAGAAAAATTGGCCCAGACCCTAGAGGGAGTACCTGGGTCATCATTAGAGATTAGTGGGTGTGTAGTATGTCTGTGGATTGGCTTGGCTTAAAGAGGCAGGAGCAAGAACTTTCCAGAAGAGTGAGAAGGAAAACTCATAGTTGACCGTTATAGATTGAATTGTGTCCCCTCAAAGTGTATATGCTGAAGTCTTAACCCCCAGTACTCCAGAACGTGAACTTACCTGGAAATAAGCATATTGCAGATATAATTAGTTAATCTAAGATGAGGTCATACTGGAGTAAAATAGACCCCTAATTCAACATGACTGGTGTCTTTACAAAAGAGGAAATTTGGACACAGACACGCACACAGAAAGACCAGCTTATAAAGATGAAGGCAGAGGTTGGGGTGACGAGTCTACAAGCCACAGCATGCCAGTGACTGCCAGCAAACCAGCAGAAGCTAGGCAGAGGGCATGGAATAGGTTCATCCTCAATTTTAGAGGGAGCATAGCCATTCAACATCTTGCTCTTGGACTTCTGTCCTCCAGAATGGGAAGAAAATAAATCTCTCTTGTCCAAGCCACCGAGTTTGCAGTACTTTATTCTACTAGCCCTAGCAAACAAATACTCTATGATGCTATAGAGGCAGCATCAAGGGGAATATTGCATCAAGGGACAATGGGAGCACAGTGATGTTGCTTTCTGTTCACACCCCATGAATCCAGCTTGTTCAGCACCCTGGATATCAAAAAATGATATATTTATTAAATTTATAATCTGGGCCTTTGAGTGAGTGAAAGGACACGTAACAAATATAAAAGAAGGGCTAAGTGCTAGAAGAAAACCTAGGCAATACCATTCAGGACATAGGCATGGGCAAAGACTTCATGACTAAAACACCAAAAGCAATTTCAACAAAAGCCAAAATTGACAAATGAGATCTAATTAAACTAAAGAGCTTCTGCACAGCAAATAAACTACCATCAGAGTGAACAGGCAACCTACAGAACAGGAGAAAATTTTTACAATCTACCCATCTGACAAAGGGCTAATATCCAGAATCTACAAAGAACTTACACAAATTAACAAGAAAAAAAAAAAACTCCATCAAAAAGTGGGCAAAGGATATGAACAGACACTTCTCAAAAGAAGACATTTATGCAGCCAATAGACATATGAAAAAATGTTCTTCATCACTGGTCATCAGAGAAATGCAAATCAAAACCACAATGAGATACCATCTCATGCCAGTTAGAATGGCAATCATTAAAAAGTCAGGAAACAACAGATGCTGGAGATGATGTGGAGAAATAGGAATGCTTTTACACTGTTGGTGGGAGTGAAAACTAGTTCAACCATTGTTGAAGACAGTGTGGTGATTCCTCAAGGATCTAGAACTAGAAATACCATTTGACCCAGCGATCCCATTACTGGGTATATACCCAAAGGATTATAAATCATGCTACTATAAAGACACATGCACACGTGTTTTTATTGCAGCACTATTCACAATAGCAAAGACTTGGAACCAACCCAAATGTCCATCAATGATAGACTGGCTTAAGAAAATGTGGCACATGTACAGTGATAGACTGGATTAAGAAAATGTGGCACATATACACCATAGAATACTATGCAGCCATAAAAAGGATGAGTTCATGTCCTTTGCAGGGGCATGGATGAAGCATCATTCTAAGCAAACAATCACAAGGACAGAAAACCAAACACCGCATGTCCTCACTCATAGGTGGGAGTTGAACAACGAGAACACATGGACACAGGGCGGTGGGGGGCTGGGGGAGGAATAGCATTAGGAGAAATGCCAAATGTAAATGACCAGTTGATGGGTGCAGCAAACAAACATGGCACATGTATACCTATGTAACAAATCTGCATGTTCTGCACATTTACCCTAGAATTTAAAGTATAATTTTAAAAAAACAAAAAAAAGAAGGGCTGGGTGAATGTTATGGTAGTTCCAAGGAGAGAAGGTTGGATGTGATCAGGGATGGAGGAAATGAAAATTAGCCTGGACCTTGGAAGCTGAGTTCATCTTAGGAATGAAGAGAATAGAAAGATAAAATTTTAGGTGGCAGAAATAGTGCTGCTCAAGCACCCCCATGGTGCTATGCAGTACCCCCTCACTCATGGAACATTTCCCTCCTAGATCTCACTTGTAACTAAAGCCAGAGTGTTGAACAAGCTGGGCTCGTGGGGTGTGAGAAGAAAGCAACATCACTGTGCTCCCATTATCCCTTTAAAATGTATTCAATTGGGAAAGGTCATCCTCTGGCCTCAAATGAAAACTTGTACAATCCAGTGAATTTTCTACTCACTGGTAATTAATAAAAGTCAGTGTTCCTTTATATCATGAAGTATCCTGCATTCAGATATTGGAATGCTTCTTCATACAATAATCTGCAATCCAAACTTGATTCCAAGGTCAATCTTCTCCTGTTCCCTGGGTAAGGCCCATGCTAGCTGAGAAGCCTGGAGCTCAGACTTCTCCTTCATTGAGTTACTAAGTGGTTTCTGCCACTATGGAGTTGGAGAAGGGTAGAAATTAAGGCAAGGGGCACATGAAAATATTTGCTTGCCTGGTATTCTTGTAAGCTGGCTCTATATTCTTTGAGCACAGCAGATATTCAAAAATGCCTCTTTAAGAGACATTTTTGTGGGTTCTTTGGGGGTCCCTCCAAAATTGCTCTGACCTACAGCTCCCTTGATGCAGAGGGTGCACACTTCTGTTTCGGCTGATGGTTTATTCCTTCCACATCTCCCAGGAATGTGGCCATAGCTCCAGCTGAGATCTGGGCTCCACTCTAGGCAACTGTACGGAACGGACAGACTACAATCCCACTCTGACTCTCTTGCATATAGAACATGGAAAGAGTGTTCTATTTTTATCCCTGAAAAGCTCTCAGAGGACAAGCTGCACAGTGTAGCCATCTCTCCTTTGGATCTTGCAACAGCAGCTGACCAGGACATCTCTTGTCCCTCAAATGTCTCGGGTGGGAGTCAGGCTTAAGTCCACTGCAACCTGCAACTTCAAGAGATACACACTCTGCTCTCTGAGTGGTCTTGCTGAAACCCTTCTAGGTAGACTCCAATGAGGGACATGTTCCCTGCCCCTACCCACTGAGCTCAGTGGAGAAGCAACCTCTACCAGGAAGTCCTCTTTCTTCTAAATCATCTTGCCTCCTGACACTTTCCTATCCTGGTGTAGGTGAGGCACTTAAGAGGGAGCTAACTACTCTTGACCACTGACTTTTCACAAGTTCTTCTGGGTGGTCAATCTCACAACACATTTTGGTGTGTGATAATCTGTTGTCATAGGATCTCAGCCAAAACATCCATGTTAACTTCCTTTCATATAATTCTTTACTACTCTGCAACTTTCCCAAGAGTGAAATCCCTGTTTTTTTTTGTTTTTTTTCACGTTAATAGCCCAGCCTCAGATACAGTATTCAAGAGTCATTGCTTGAATGAATGAATAAACTAATAGATACTGTAGGATTATATAAAGCAGGGTCCTCAAAATTAAAGATATCAGCTTGACTGAAGAAGAGAGTTTGTTTAGGGAAGGATCAAGATCTAAATAGGAAGGAAGGGCTTAGATAATTGAGGCAGAAAAAAACTTTATGGACCATGAAGCATAGTGGAAAAAAAGATAGGTTTCAGGGACAGATGGATCCAGGTGAACACTCAGCTCTGCCATTAAAGTTGACTCTGGACCAGGAGCAAGGTTCTTAACCTCTCTGGCACTCAGCATTCTCACTGTAAAATAAATATCATCAATGCTATCTCATAAGATTGATATAAAGTTTAATTGAGACAGTGTATGTAAAACACCTGGAATAGGGCTTATCACACAGTGGGTGGCTGACAGAGGGTAATAATGACTTTAAATCATATTTGAGTACATCTTGTGGGTCAGGGACTGTGTTAAATGCTTTATTTAATTATTTTATTTAATTTTTACACCAAGCCAATGAGACAGGGAGCAAGTTAGCCTGATTTTAGCACAAAGAATTAAAGTTAAATGCCATGCTCAAAGTCACAGAGCTGGTGACAGGCAAACCTGGGATCTGGACTCATATCTCTCTTCCTACAGAGCCTGCTGTATGTTACCCTGACATCTCATGCATCTTTAATGAAGGATCATTGTGTAGCTGGCATTAAGAGACTCTAGGAAAGAAATGGTAGCAGATATCAAGGAGCAACATGCTTCAGTCTCACGCTAAAAGCAATTATAATTTTCTTTTCTTAATTAAAATCAAATCTGTGATTTGAAGAATAAAATATTTGCTGGAAATTTCTCAGGAAATAAAACATGTTAGTATGATTGGAGTACACACTGTGGATCGTGACCCACAGTGAGGGTCAGCTGACAGAATGTGTGAAAACGCTTGGAAACCTATAAAGTTCTTCAATAAAGGATGGCAGTAGGTTTTCAGAGGACTTGGGAGAGCATGATTACTCTCTTGAAGGCTTGAATCCATCTCTCCCCACCAAGGTCTTCCTCCCACTAAAAGAACAAGAATGATGCAGAGACAATGAAGAGTCAAGAGAGGTGAGAATACTGTGGGAATGCACCTCACCAACTTTGAAAGGCCCAAATCCCAAAGGAATGACCATCACTCTTGGAAAGACAGAGAAGGCCTGGGGTAGACTTTAGGGTGATTCGGGGCTTGTTTTATCTGACACTGGGACCAAAGCAAATGTGACCTGAATATTCAACCCTAAGAAGATTCCAGGACACATTATTAACAAGTAGATTGTGTACACCTAGGAATATAAATGGTGAGTATCAAGCCATCCAGGTCAAATTCATGAGGTCTGATGGATAGGCAAATGCAGGGCTGGGACACCTTTGGGGCAGCCTAGAAGGAGAGTTTCCCAAGGTCCTGTGGAGCCAGTGGGGCAGGGGAACACCTCAAATACCTCCACTGGAGCCTCGGAGCTTTAAATAGACCCATATCCTACTTCAGTAAGAACAAAGACAATAACAGCAATAATATCTGCTGTGTAGGTGCACTCAGTGTGCCAGGCACTGTGCAGAGCATTTTCTACACATGACCCAACTTAACCCCTAACACAACCCTGTAGAGTAGATATTTGAATCACCAGCATAACAAAAATGTGGAAAACGAGACACAGAAGGATGTGGTGACTTACTCAAGACCACACAGCCCCCTTGGTAAAATTTGAATTTGAATTCAGGTCTATGCAATTTCTAAATCAATGTTCATGATAACTATGGTATCTTAAACATATTAGGAGGTTGAGAGCTAAACTGGAGGCCAAGATGAAGATATAAACAGAGAATGGAAAGGTGTGAGCAGCAAGCAAAAAAGGAAACAGATACTGGGCTCTGAAAGTGGAGTGCCCCACCTCTATTTCTTGTTAGCTCTATTCCTTCAGTAAGTTATGCATGTCCTCAGTTTTTTCATCTATAAAATGGGGATATTAATAGCAGCTACCTTCTACGATTGTCGTAAGGATGTGATGAGATAATAACCCGCAAAGCCCTTAGAACAGTGTCTGGCATGTAAGAAGTGCCATTTTAGCTACAATTACTCTGAAGTGTGGGTGGGCTAGGCTGTGTGTTTGAAACTATCTTCCTGACTGCCAAGACCAGATGGTTTCCCTAGGAGCTTCTTCAAGAAGCTACAGTGAACTGGAAGAAACTAACATTGGTTTACCCACAGCAAGGCTTGGCAAATATATGGATTTCCCTTTCTTAATAGGGATTCAAACTGGGAATGTTCTAGGCATAACAGATGGTGATGTCAACAAAGCCATTAAGGTCTCCTGTGATTTTTTTTCCACATTTATTGGTTTATTTTAAAGGATATTACAAAGGATACAGATGAAGAGATTCATATGGTGGGATACTGGGGAAGGGGTGTGGAGTTTCCATGGCCTCCCTGGGCAAGCCACCCTCCGGGAACCTCCATGCATTCAGCTATCCAGAAGTTCTCTGAATCTTCTTCTCTTGGGTTTTTATAGAGGTTTCACTACTTAAGCATGATTGATTAAACCACTGGACATTGATGATCAACTTGACCTTCAGCCCCTCTTTCCTCCCCAGAGGTTGGGGAGTGAGCTGAAAGTCCCCACCCTCTAATCTTGCCTTGGTCTTTTGGGTGACCAACCTCACCCTGAAACTATCAGACAAAAGACACACAAAAGATAGCAGTGTGGAGAACCCAGGGATTTTAAGAGATCTGAGCCAGGAACCATGGATGGAAACCAATATATCATAACACCACAGTCCACTCCCTGGTTTTCGACATGGATCCCTTGCATCAAAAGAATATACATAATCAGTAATAATTAGTCCACTCCATCATATTGCATGAATATCTTCCCAGGGTGAGGCCACTCAGGTTTGCAGGCTTCCTTTTGATCTTGTCAGGTTCTACAAGCAGGAGAGGCCTGGGTAAATACACAGCTTCACCCTCTCAGGCACCTTGAATCACTGAGCTAAGAGACAGTGTCATCTCTTGCTCTGAAATTCTTTTGAGTAGTTAACATAATATTGAATTTCCCTCAATTAAGAACCCATGGTTTCATTTCTTTACTCTCAGTTGCCATTTCTCCTTCTCTCCATGAATACCCAAACTTTTTCACCTTTGGAATGGACATTAGAATGGTCACTGTGCTGATCTAGATTATAGGCAGCAATACAAGTCTACCAAGTACGTCCTTCTCAGTCCACTTCCATTCCGATAGGATGAGGTTATATAAGTGCAGAATTAGTGAACTATTTTTACCACCAGGCACAGTAGCTGCATTTATTCTTAGACCAGTTTTGCTAGATGAAGGCACACGCCCATCAGGCCCTTGGAATTCTGATATAAGGTTTAAAAACATAGGCCGGGCGTGGTGGCTTATGCCTGTAATCCCAACACTTTGAGAGGCTGAGGCGGGCAGATTGCCTGAACTCAGGAGTTTGAGACCACCCTGGGAAACATGGTCAAGCCCCATCTCTACAAAAATGTAAAAAAATTAGCCGGGCATGGTGGCGCGCACCTGTAGTCCCAGCTGCTCGGAAGGCTGCTGCACGGGAATTGCTTGAGCCTGGGAATTGGAGGTTGCAGTGAGCTGAGATTGTGCCACTGCACTCCAGCTTGGGCTACAAAGTGAGATTCCATCAAAAAAAAAAAGACATTGTCATTGTTACACTTTCTTATTTAGAAGCCATCCCTGCTTCTGGTACTTGTACTTGCAGCCCTGGTCCTAGCAGCACTGTGTCAGGTAGCAGAGAAGACACAATTTTTGGATGATTTGGAGAAGAACAAAATTATAGCCAGGTGCAGTGGCTCACGCCTGTAATCCCAGCACTTTGGGATGCCAAGGTGGGTGAATCACCTGAGGTCAGGAGTTTGAGACCAGCTTGGCCAACGTGGTGAAACCCCATCTCTACTAAAAATACAAAAATTAGCCCGGCATGATGGTGCATGACTGTAATCCCAGCTACTCGGGAGGCTGGAGACACAAGAATCCCTTGAATTCGGGAGGCAGAGGTTGCAGTGAGCTGAGATCACGTCATTGCATCATTGCACTCCAGCCTCGGTGACAGAGCAAGACTCCATCTCAAAAAAAAAAAGAAAAGAAAAGAAAAGAAAAAACTATAGTTGTTATACCAGCATACTCTCTTGACAAAAACTGTATAGCCATACCATCATCCTCCCCAGCTCCTCTTCAACCAGAAAAACAGAAAAAAATCTAGTGGGGACACTCTAGTCCCACTCATGCTTTTATCTCCAGCATCCCCAGCCCTTCATGCTTTTATCTCCCCGTTTTAGACAACCAATGTTTCCATTGCCCAGGCTACTTCTCTATTAAACGATTACTCTCAGGAGGATATCTCTCTGCCCATTTTTGGACATTATGGACTATACAGTGTGCTCCTTGGTCTGAAGAAATGATGGTCAGCTGTCCAAGTTGTCCAAAGCCATGCTACACTTCTCTGTTTTTTATGGTACCATGAGCATTTACATCTTCCACCAAGTAAGCAAAGCCCACTCCACAGTCAGTGTCTGTGCCTGACAAGGCCCATTTGTCACCCCCAGGGCTGCTAGCACAAGTCTCACTTCCTAGCTATGTTCAGGGCCTTCGCACCAGAGAATCTGCCCGATAGCCATTAGCAATCTCTATCTCTTTTCTTTGCATACAAAACAGCTTTTACTGACATTTTGTGCCTGAGAGGTGCAAGAGGACTGTGTCTAGATTCAGTCTATCTCTGCACTGCCCACATATCCACTCATCTTATGGTCCCAGGTGGCCACCTCAAAGAAGCACGCAGGAATATCTGCTTGTTGATGCTAGTCACCTTCTGAACTTGGAAAGGGGTTCTTCTGACGGGCACTGACTTGTTCTACGTTAATGCCCCTCTCAGATTTCCATAGGGCCATGCTCCATATGGGCATTTCTTTAATTGGACAGGTTTCCATTGACCTTTTCCCTGACCATGGAGCCAGGTCATTGCTCACTGCTAGTAAGTCAATAAAAACCCAAATACAGGCCAGGTGCTGTGGCTCACGCCTGTAATCCCAACACTGGGAAGTCAAGGTGGGTGGATCACTTGAGGTTAGGAGTTCGAGAGCAGCCTTGCCAACTCGGTGAAACCCCGTCTCTACTAAAAATATAAAAATTAGCTGGTCATGGTGGTGCCTGCCTATAATTCCAGCTACTCAGGAGGCTGAGGCAGGAGAACTACTTGAACTCGGGAGGCAGAAGTTGCAGTGACCTGAGATCGTGCCACTGTACTCCAGCCTGGGCAACAGAGTGAGACTTCATCTCAAAAAAAAAAAAAAAAAACAAAAACAGAGGCTTCTACTATTGTTTAATTCTTCCATGACTTTTAGGAAAACAGCATGCAATTCAGCCCACTGAGCTGATCTGCCTTTACCTTCTTTGATCAAAATAACAGCCTTCCAAACAGGATGCTGTCCATTCACCTTGGAGCTGCCATCTGTAAACCACGCAGCTCCTTGTTGGTCAGTCAGGAGCTGTTCATACTGTACTGTCCAAGTGTTGATAGAATCTGGCAGCACCTCCCACAGTTCCAGAGCCAGTCCTGGGAGAGAAACGAGGCTTCGTGCTTGTGAGTATCTCCTCCTTGCATTCCCCTAGTTGCATGATCTTGTATAAACCATTTCTATTTTATTAGGAAATACTCTGGGCACTTGCATCCCCATTAGAGCATTTTTCTGACATCACCCAAGATATCATGGGTATTTCAGATTTCAAAGTCATTTCATGTCAGATGCAGCGATGCATAGGACAAGGTGTGGGGGAAGGAGCACGAAACCCCTTCCTTTTCTTAAAAGCCCTTTCCATGTCAATACATATCAAGCATAAAGTAACTGTTTAAAAAGAAAAGAAAAAGGCTAGAGGATGGGCTCCTTGGGGGTGATTAAATGAGATATTTCTGGATATATACAGCCATCAGAGAGAGTTGCACTAGGTGGCCTCACAGAAAAAATTCAAATCCAAGACCCCATCTTTCTTTGCCATGGTGACATGAGCTTTTCCCAAAAGGCAGCAACAATAAGTACTGAAATTTGCAAGGCTTTTTCTAGTTTACTTTTCTCTTTCATATACATCATCTAAAACAGCACTCTGCAAACTTGGCCTAATGCAAAGAGGAATCTTTTCTTTGATTTGCTTGCTTATTTACTCATTTAACAGATTCCTTTTACATGCCTATTATGTCCCAGTCACTGTTCCAGGTGCAGAGGATACAACTGTTTAAAAATATAAATTATCCTCTACCACTGCCCCTGGCTCCTCCTCCTTGGGGAGGTCCCCAAGGGGGTATAGGACCAAAGGAGAGGCTGAGGATCCTACGGTGCTCTCACCTGAGGCAGGAAGGGTTGCCTCCAAAAATATATATATAAATTAAAAATGCAGTTCCTGCATAATAGGGTTTATAATATAGGAACTAAAGGTATATAATAAATACATATGTCAGGCTGTGTTAACCTCCAAGAAAAAAAAAAAAAGCAAAGCATCAGGAAAAGAGAAGGATCTTTCAGTTGGGAGTTCACAGGAAGTCTTTCTCAGAGAGGGACATGTGAACAGAAATACGAACAAAGTTCGAAATAAGCCACCGAGGGAAAGAGCATTCCAGGCAGAGGAAACAGTAAATGCAAGGCCCTGAGGAATGGCAGTGGAGCCCTGGAGCCCTGTGGCTGGAGCAGAGTGAGAGCAGGGCAGACGCTGAGGGATCTGGTCAGAAGTGCAGCTGACAATCAGAGGCCTCTGCTTTGAGTTGTTGTTTAATTTTTTTTTTTAAAGGAGAATCAGAAGTCTATGTCAAATTTACAGACCACTATGAGAACTTCATTTATTTATTTATTTATTTATTTATTTGAGACAGGGTCTCACTCTGTTGCCCAGGCTGGGGTGTAGTGGCACGATCTCGGCTCATTGCAACCTCTGCCTCTCAGGTTCAAGCGATTCTTCTGCCTCAGCTTCCCAAGTAGCTGGGACTACAGGCGTGCACCAACACCATGCCTGGGTAATACTTGTATTTTTTGGTAGAGATGTTTCACCATGTTGGCCAGGTTGGTCTCAAACTCCTGACCTCTGCCCGCCTTGGCCTCCCAAAGTACTAGGGTTGATTACATACATGAGCGACTGCACCTGGTCTAGAAATTTAGTTTTTACTCTGAGTGAGATGAAAAGCCACTGAGAGGTTTGGAGCTAAGGAGTGAAATAATCTAACCTAGCATATGATTTTAAAATATCACCAGGAGAATAGGCCACAAAGGGACACAAATGGAAGCAGAAAGAAGAGTCCGCTGCAATAGATGAGGTGGGAGATGAAGTAGCTTAGAACAGCATGGTGGCAGTGGAAGTGGTGAGAAGTAGACAGATTGTTAATGTATTTTGAAGGTAGATCCATCAGGACAGGAGAGGACAGGAGTCAGGGATGCCTCTAGACTTTCAGGTTGCTCACTTGGAAGAAAGCAGTAGTCATTTTTTAAGAAAGAAAGATTGGGGTAGGAGTAATCTTGGGAGATACCAGCAGTTCCGTTTTGAACATGTTAAGCTTGAGATGCCTACTAAGCTGGTAGTTGAATGTAAGAGTCTGGAGTATAGAGGAAAGATTCAGGTTTGAGAGAACAATTGAGGAGTCGTTAGCATGTAAATGGAAGACTCATCGAACAGATGAAGAGATGCTAGTGAGGTGGAGGAGGGCAACAGAGAGTGAGGTTCTGGCTGCCAAGTGAAGAAATGATTCTACCAGGAAAGGATGACCAACTGGGTCATATAGTCAAGTGAGGCCACTTGAAGATGGAGGATGGAGCTGAGGATGTCAAATCAATGGCTGGATATAGCCACATGAAGGCCACTGGTGATCTGAATAGAAGGTGGTTTTAGGCTGGGCTTGGTAGCTCACACCTGTAATCTCAGCACTTTGGGAGGCTGAGGTGGGCGGATCACCTGAGGTCAGGAGTTCAAGACCAGCTTGGCCAACATGGCAAAACCCCATCTCTACTAAAAAAAATAATAATAACAAAAATTAGCCGGACGTGGTGACGAATGCCTGTAATCCCAGCTACTCGGGAGGCTGAGGTAGGAGAATCGCTTGAACCCAGGAGGTGGAGGTTGCAGTGAGCCGACATTATGCCATTGCACTCCAGCTTGGGCAACAAGAACGAAACTCCATCTCAAAAATAAATAAATAAATAAAAGAAGTTGGTTTCAGTAGAACAGTGTAGACCAAGTTCTGCTTAAAATGAGTTGATGGAGAACGGGAAGAGAGTAAATGGTGACAAGTCCAGACAATTCTTTCAAGAACTTTTCTGCAAAATTTGTTCTATAAACTTTTCTGTAGAGTTTGTAGAGAGATGGAGTGGTTGCTGGTGGGCATCTCAGATCAAGGACAAACTTCAGTTTTTCATTTTTCAAAGACAATAGTTGTAGAGAAGAAACATTAATTTCTGAAAACCAGAAATGATCTATTGATTGATCCATGCTGACTATTTAATTATCCAGGAGTCTATACTAATGAGACACTTCCCTAGATGTGACACACTCGACTGCCCACAGTTACAAAGACAAAAGAGGCCATCCATGTTGAAAGCACCCCATGCTGAGGTGGGCATAACACCAATTATCTACAATATTCCTAAAGAGGAAGCCAGGAGCCTTCCAAGTTTTTAATGGAGCAAATACATAGTACAAGGAAAACATAAAAATTAAATTGCTAGAAATTTGACCAAATCATTAGTTAAAAAAAAAAAAAAAAAATTCTTCTACTTAGCAATCTCCATTCCTAACCTGGAAAATGGTTGGAATCATTGAGTTTAAAAACATTTAAATTTGTAATCATTAACTCATTTAAGCCACATAATAACCCAGCAGTGATGTGGATTCCTGTTGCCCTTTGTCTACTGCTATGCAACAAACAGCCCCAAATGTAGGAGGGACAAGACAACTATTTCATTATGCTCATGGAATCTATGGGTTAGGACACTCAGGGCACAGTGTGGAAAGGTGCATCTCTGCTACACGATGTCAGTGCCTCAGGAGAGAAGGCACAAATGACTGGCAGCAACTTGCAGAGCAGGGTGCTGGAACCATCTGCAGGCTCATTCACTCATATGCCTGGCTTCTGTGCTGGGATGACCTAAAGGCTGTTGATCAAAGGCCTCTCCCGGATCCTTAGGGTAGTCGCCCTTTCTATATGCACCTCAGGGTTCCGAGAACAAGTGTTCCAGCAACAGAAACAGAAGCTGCATGGCTTTTTATGACCTCACTTCAGAAGTCCCAGTTTCATTTTTGGTGTACACTCTTGGTCAAAGCAGTCAGAATTCCACTTAAATTCAAAGGAAGGGGACCCAGAGCCCACCTCTCAAAAGTAATAGTGTCAAAGACTCCCAGCCATGTTTTAAAACTACCACACCCCATCTGGCAGAGGGAAGAAAATTCACACAAGGTGTTAAAATAAACACAATTATTAATAACAAGGTGGTTAAGTAACTTGCCCACGCCATACAGGTAGGTGGCAAAGGTGAAGTCTGGTTTCTTAACCACTGTACCCTTCTCCCTCCTGACCACCCTTGATATAATGGCTCTCCCACTCTTCTCCCCTGCAATACTTATCCTGGTTACACTGCTTTCTTTTCTCTATAGCACTGTTTACTTCTTGGTCATCAATCTCCCCCTCTACAATGGAAGTTTTGTGAAGACCAGGACTTCAGTTCATTCACTGTTATGTCCCTATCCTCTGGGACAATGTGTGGCGTGTAATCTATACTCTAAAAGAAAATTGTCAAATAAAAAATATATTTTCTTTTTATTTAGACTAATACCAAATATTGAGAAAAAAAACTATAATTCCTAAGACAGCCCTGGAGGTTGAGGCTGCAGTGAGCCGTGATTAATTGTACCACTGTATTCCAGCCTTGGCGACAGAGCAAGATCCTGTCTCAAAAAAATAAAAATTAAAAAGCCTCAACCTCCAGGTCTCAAGCCATCCTCAGCTTCCCAAGTAGCTGGGACTACAGGCACGTGCCACCATGCTCAGCTATTTTTTCACTTTTTTTTTTTTTTGTAGAGGTGTCTCCTTGTGTTACCCAGGCTGGTCTCAAACTCCTGAGCTCAAGGAGTTTGAGCCCCAGCCTCTCAAAGATAATCTGATGCTGAGATTACAAGCATGAGCCACAATGCCTGGCCTGAGATCAACCTTCCAAAATTAAGATCTGCTCAACTACAAACCAAGGTGAAAATTATAATCCCTACACATACTTTCAACTCTATCTCTACAGATTATTGGATTTGTCTCGAGGAGGCATTAGGTAGCTTTTGCTCTCACAACACTGGGAGGCCACATATTTGGTAGTTGTACATTTTTACTAGTGATATAGTAAAAATAAAAGCCACCAAAAGAAATAAATGCCTTTGCTAAACCCATTTTAGCCTTTCCAGGAGGCTGCTCAGGTTGCCCATCTTCACCTGCTCAGGTTGCTCATTTGCTGAGACCCCAATCTCTCCTCCCTCCCCTGCATCCAGCCCCAGCCCCTACTGTCTTCTCCTCTGGCCCAAGGCCCCAGTTGTCCCAAACTCCTTGCAGTTATTTTACTTGCAGACCTTTCCTGAAATGTCTTTCCCTCCACTCTTTCTTGTCATCCTCAAATTAAGCATGGCTCATGAAGTGGGGGCTGAATGGTACCCCCCAGAGATATGATATCCTAAGCCCTGGACCTGTGCATGTTACTTTATATGGTAAAGTTTTTGCAGATGGGATTAAATATTTTGAGAGGAACAGATTATTCTGGATTCTCTGGGTGGGCACTGGATGCCACTAGACGTATCCTTGTAAGAGAAGGGCAGAGGGACAATAGACACACAGAGGCAGAGACTGGAGGGATGTGGCCCCAGTCAAAAAAAAAAAATATGTCAGTAGCCCTCAGAAGCTAGAAGAGGCAAAGGAAGAATCCGCCCCTTGAGCCTCCAAAAAAGGCACAACTATAACAACACGTTGATGTTAGCTCATTGAAACTGACTTTGAAATTCTGGCCTCCAGAACTGTGAAAGAATAAATTTCTGTCTTTTCAAACCACCATGTTTGTGCAAATTTGTTATAGCCACCACAGGAAACTAGCATGCCTCCTCTAGAAAGCCTGTTCTAACTACTTTTTCCTCCGAGCCTTGGCTAGAGAGTCCCAGCTGCAACTTGTGTTTCCTTCCAGCAGAACTGTTCTACCAGTGGATGCAAACTCGTCCACTTCCAAGAACCAGCAAATAACATCAATTTGTGAAATGAGTAGAGACTGGTACAAACCAAAGGGCATATGTCGCTGCAAAGCACCAAGAAAGAGATAGGAACCGCCACAGAAAGATGGGTGAAGGATATGGAAGGTAATTTACTAAAGAAGGTAACCACCCAAAGCCCAATAGACATGTGAAGAGTGCTCAAACTCATTAGTCATTAGAAAAAATAAACATAACATGAGACAGACATAAAGCTGGAAAACACCAAGAGTTGGTGGGACTTGCAGATTTGGGAACATCTACATGCTTCTGATGGGGGTGAAAATGCTGAAATGAAAAATCAGTTATGAATGCACCACACAACCCAGCTCCCACTCCTAGATGTGTTCCATAAGGAATCCTCCCCAGTAGGTCCCTCAGGGGAGCATGGGTTGCTTTGTTTCTCACAGACGGTGGCAGAGTAGGGAAGCATCCATCCACGTGACCATCTTTGGAGGAGGGAATAAGACTACGCAATGGACATGAACGGAGTAGCCAACAGCAGTTAGAAACCATATGTATACACAACAACAGGACAGATCTTCAAGTACCAGGCTGAGTCCAGAAAATAAGAAACAGAATGAGATATCTGAGATAACTTCATTTTGTAAATTAAACTCTACACGTACAAAGCACTATGGATCTTACCAGAACACCTACAAACAGAAAGATAAATGTCAATACATTAGAATCTTGCCTATAGGAAGAGGAAGATGGGCATTAAAAGAGAAATAAATAGAAGCAAAGATAAATGAGACGGGATCATTTATCTAATGATAAATTATCTAAGATAAATTTATCTAAGATAAATTGCAGGGACTGATGGTGTTAGGATAACACTGTGTAATTGGCTGAAGAGTTTTATTAACTCAACCATCTGAGTTGTCAAGTTTAAAAAAAAAAAAACATGCTCACCTATGCTGTTTGGAGATTTTGGAGAGAAAGAAGAGCCTCAAATTCTTTGACACTTCTTCCACCAAAGCAATAGAAGTAATGTTGCATGATATCAGAAGCTGGGCCATAAAAGGAATTTTTCCTCCCAGAATAGTTCCTCTCATACTCATCTGCCATGGCCCCTGGAGAGAGGACATGGAGGTATTCAGGTCAACAGTCCCAACTGAGCCCTGCCTTCAATTCATCCCAGCTCAGGAGCTGAACATACCAATGAAGAAGGCATGCTGCGAGTGGGCCTCTCAGCCACAGCTCTGCCAGCCCCAAGCTGTTAGAGTACCTCCTAAGAGTCTTCCTGGCTCAGGCCCCAGACATTGCAGAGCAGAGACAAGCCATCCCCTCTGTGTCCTATTCAAGTTCCTGCCCCATGAAATCTGTGAGCATAATAAGATAGCTGTTTTTTTCCACTAAGCTTTGGGGTAGTTTGCATCACTGCTGTAGGCACCAAATCATGCCTTATCTAAAGGAGCAATTACTTCCTAGCTCGTGCCAACTGTTTCCCCATGGAAATAAGCACTCAGGTTAGCTAAATATTCTTTTTTTCAAAAGAAATGGAAAAATCCAGATTGTCTTCTGATTTTTCAATGTCAGCAACTATTAAAATAAAAAAAAATTCCCAAAATAGTGAAGAAGAAACAAATCTCATTTGCACTTCCTAATTGGCCTTGGAGCCACTGATTTACAAACTCCTAAACTGTGTACTGTTTGTCTCTCTCCAGAGGGTCTGTGGCTCATGGCTGTTTATCTCTGTGTCCCTCCCACCTTCATAGCCTCAAGATGGGCCCCCTAACCAGAGACTCCATCTCTCAACACTGGCTTGGGTCAGGAGTCCGCCACTAACTGGCTGCCCAACCTTGTGCCTCACCTCACTTCCCGTAACTGCTGAATGGGGGCACCAATATCTACCTCGGCTGCCTCAGTGGCTGGTGTAGGGCTTGTTTCAAACAACTGTGTGTCTAAAGAAGCAATTTGTAAGGAATGAGGTGATACAAAAATGTACTGGTCAAAATGGTGGTCCCCAAAAAGATATGTCCATGTCCAAATTCCTGGAACCTGAGAATGTAAACTTATTTGGAAAAAAGGTCTTTGTAGAGGAGATTAGGTGGGCCTTAAACCCAATGGCAAGTGTCCACATAAGAGACAAACAGAGGGGCCTGGCGCGGTGGCTCACACCTATAATCCCAACACTTTGGGAGGCCAAGGAGGGTGGATCACTTGAGGTCAGGAGTTCAAGACCAGCCTGGCCAACATGGTGAAACCCCGTCTCTACTAAAAATACAAAAATAAGCTAGGCATGGTGGTGTGTGTCTGTAATCCCAGCTACAGGGTGGCTGAGGCACAAGAGGCAGAGGTTGCAATGAGCAGGGATCATGTCACTGCACTCCAGCCTGAGCAACAAAATAAGACTCCATCTCAAAAAAAAAAAAAAAAAGAGAGAGAGAGACACAGAGAGAGAGACAAACAGACACAGAGAAAAAGACAATGTGAAGATCGAGGCAGAGACTGAAGTGATGCAGCCACAAACCAAGGAAGAGTGGAGCCACCAGAAGCTGGAAGACCCAAGGAATGGAATCTCCCTTTGGAGCCTCTGGAGGGAGCACAGCTTTGCTAACACCTTGATTTTGCACTTCTGGTCTTCAGAGTTGTGAAAGAAATAAATTTCTGTTGTTTTAAGCCAGTTTGTGAAAATATGTTATAGTACCCATAGGAAATTAATAAAAGATTAAGTCGGTGCAAAAGTAATTGCAGTTTTTGCCATTAAAAGTAATGCTTATAATATAAGCATTATTTATACCATTTAATACTTATATATGCAGAATTATCATGGCCTCAACATTGAATCCTTTAGTAGTACATCTTGTGGAGCTTTGTAACTCATGGGTCATCAGGCTGCTGGCTAATCTAGCTCGTAAAGACCCCTCCCTGAAACCACTACATGGTCCTTAATCCATAATAACTGTGAAGTCACCACCATCCCGGAAGAGTTACTTAAATCTTGCATTATTGTTTAATATTCTCATTTCCCTCCTGGTGATGAATTCCCAAAGGTGGTGAGCTCTTCACTCAGCAGCGGTCCTGGAAAGTTCATCCTCAAAATGCCAGTTTCAGAACCACCTAGATCACGTCCTAAAGATTCCAAATCTCAGGCCATGCCCTAGACTTAGTGAGTCAACAGCCAGGCATGGGAAGGGTGGGAGGAATTGAGAATCAGTTTTTTGAACAGATTGAGCAAGGTGCCTGCTATGCACACCAAAACTTGAAGACCGTCAACATGAGAAGGGGGTTAAGGGGCCTTGAGCCACACAGCCTGGGGCTGATTTTCAGCCCTGCTCTTCCTCATCAATTAGAATCTTAAGCAAGTTTAAGGTCTGTAACTTTTAGTTTTCTTATCTGTAAAATGAAGGTCGTGAGCATGGCTCATCAAGGAGTTGTGGTAAAAGAGGGTTTAGATGAGATTATGCATGCAAATCACCCAGCATAGTTGCATAATAAATTCTGGATATTGTAAATATGATGGGGATGGTGGTGAATGATAATGGTAATGATGACCCTTTCCCCTAAGTACATGGCCCAAGGGCCCCCATATTTAGAACTATGTGAGCCTTCCGGGTGGTCTTCCCAGAACTAATTTATCATTCAATGGGGTGAGGCACTCACTGCAAAATTCTAATCAGATCATGTTGAATTAACAGAATCCATATCACCTTCTCAAAGGAGGAAAATATAGAAAATGAAAAGATAATGGTGACTATCTCTTTATTTGGGCCTTCCAAGACTATTAAAAGACTTTGGTATATGTTCTTCTTTAAAAAAGAAAAAAATAGTAAATTTGACTTTGTTAGTCCTCTGCTTAGTCATTTGTGTCAGCATGGCACACAGTGGCCCACAAGACCCACGCCTTCCTACCTCTCCCATCTTGCCTCAGCCTTCTTCCTTTAAACATGTGCAATTTCCCAATAATGGTACAACGTTAACCCCCAATGCCTTTCTGCATGCTGCTCCCTGTGTCTCCAATGTCCTTCCCCTCCCCTAACCCACCCCATCATCTGTAGCACTCCTGTTCAACCTGCAAGACTCAGCCTAATCATCACCTCCTCTGTGAAGCCTTCTCTGATTCCCTTGCTTCACCACCATCGTTTCTATAGCAAAGTTCTTCATCTCCTTCTCTGTGCCATCTTCTTTTCAATACATACCCTGCATAGCATAAATGTCAGGGACATCAGATGGCCTGGGTTTAAATCCCAGGACTATGACTTACTAGCTGTGTGACCTAATCTCTCTGGGTCTCAGTTCCCCCATCAATATAATATGAATTGTTACAAACCTTAAGTGAGGTGATTCTTAAGTATCAAACATGGTTCCTGGAACTCAGTAAGCAACTAACAATATCCACTACTCTTATTATTATTCTTCAGAATGGTCCAAAAATACAAGTAAGGTAATCTCTTCCTTTTGATCTCCAGACATCCACAGAAAACTTATAGAGACAGTCGATAATTACATGGGTGAACTATAGGGGCTCAGACTTGGGAGGAACCTCAGAGATAATTTGGCCTAACTCAGTTTTAACCACAATAAGACAATATCACTGTGACTTGGGATGGAAGCCAGAGGGCTCCGTTTATGTGACTGAGGGACCCAGAACAAGATAAAACACTTCGCAAACCCTATCCTCACAATGTCCTTGAGAAACAGGTCGAAGCTAAGAACCCAGGGCCTCAATTTCTAGATGAAAAACCTGAGTCACAGGGCTACGTGACCAGCAAGGAGGGTCAGCACCTCTATGGCCATCCAGGCCACTCTTCCATGCTATCCATTGACAATCGCCAGACGAGGAAGCTGTTTGGGTCCCCAAAGTGCTGTCCTTATGGGAAATGAATGTGAGGTGATAAGCGTTAGGTTATAGGAACGAGGTAATGTTCAGGTTTTTGTTGTTGTTCTTAAGTGTTCACCATTTATGGTGAGCATTTGTTTCCTTTAATTTCAGAAAAGCCCAGTCATGAGAATAGGCAATGAAGCATTCAGGAGGCAGCACAGCTTTGTAGAGAGTAGGGCAAGTTTCAAATCGGTGGGGCCCAGGGCTCACCTGTTTGTCACTAGCTAGAAGAACTCTGACAGATCTGTGAGCTCTGAAAGCTTCATCTTCATCAGTAAGGTGTGGGCAATGGTAATGCCTCCCTTATGGGGCTGTCATCACCACCCTAGGTGATATATACAGAACTCCTGGCCCATAATGAGCACTCTATAAATACTACTATGCCATGATAGGAGCTGGTTGGAAAACTGTAAATATAAACTCTCCAGGAGGAAGTGCAAAGTGTTTTCAGAGACCAGCTGAGTGTTAAATCGTCCCTAAGGGAACAGACATTCCTTAGACACCTGCTTTGTACCAAGCCCTGCGCTAGCACTCTACATATGTACCTGCATCTCTGTACCCTCCATTCCAGGTACAGCACCTTGGAAGCAGTCAGTAAATACTTATTGGTTGTATGTATGTATGTATACAGGAATGAACAAACAAATTTATTTAATCCTGACAATATTGCCAGATAAATATTGTCATCTTCATTTTATAGATTAAAAGAACAGAAGCTTTGAGTGGTAAAATCATTTCTCTAAAGTCATAGGGTTAGTAGAGTTAATCAGCGAACCACATGAGGCCTCTCTTAACAATGTTTGTAAGGCCGGGCGCAGTGGCCCATGCCTGTAATCCCAGCACTTTGAGAGGCTGAGGCAGGTAGATCACCTGAGGTCACGAGTTCGAGACCAGCCTAACCAACATGGAGAAAACCCATCTCTACTAAAAATACAAAATTAGCCAGGTGGGGTGGTGCATGCCTGTAATCCCAGACACTCGGGAGGCTGAGGCAGGAGAATCGCTTGAACCAGAGAGGTGGAGTTTGAAGTGAGCCAAGATCGTGCCATTGCACTGCAGCCTGGGCAACAAGAGTGAAACTCTGTCTTAAAAAAAAAAAAAAAAATGGTTGTAGCTTAAACCCAAAAGGTAAGAAGGACACAGCTAAAGCAAGCACACAAGGAGGAGAATTCCAGGTGAAACAGCCCATATGAATGGCATGAGGCAGGGTGGAGAGAAGGCCACAGTGGCCTGAGCATCTAGGATGAGCTCGGGGGCCAAGGTGAGCTCAGAGCACGCAGGGATTATGGACTGCATTAAGGACTTTGGATTTTGTTCTAGGCACAATGGAAAGCTTTTAAAGCATTTTACACAGAGGAAGGATGTGATTCCAATTTCATCTTGGTGGTGTTGCCAAGAATGGCCTGGAGGAGGGGGACAGGTAGGGAATCCAGAAGGTGATCATAGCTAATGCCCAGGCAAGAGAAGCTGTGGCTTAGTCCCAGGCTGAGGCAGGTGAGATGTAGTAGAGTGGACAGTCTGGGGAAATATGTGTTCAGTGCAGCCAGTAGACCACGCTGACAGATTGGTGTGGCAGGTTAAGGAAAAGAACAATATGAAACTCAGCCTTCTGGCTTGAGCCACTCCCTGAGACTTTAAAGCCGAGATCAGAAGCAGGTGGAGAGAAGATCAAGAATCTAGTTGGGGAATTTCAAGGTGGAAAGGCTTGAGAGATATCGCAGTGGAGTGCCTGGATGAGATCTGACTTGGAGAATTCTTCACATGGGGTACCATTTAAAGCTGTGGGAATGTATAAAATTACCATGGCTTCAAGTGGAGGACAGAAAAGTGGTAAATATAACATGAGAAGTAGAGCAAGCCTGAGGAAAACCAATATTTAAAAGCTGGGTAGAAGAGAAGGAGAATAAGAAGGAGTAATTAATGACCAAGGAAGAAAACCAGGAGAATAAACTTGTATTGATTCAAAGGACAGAGAAGCTTAGAATTAGGAGGTCAGGTCTGGTTCAACTGCTTCATTTTCATATGGGAAACTATAGCCCAGATAGGGGAAGTGACTCACCCAAGATGGTACAACTAGATAACCTCAGAAGAACTTTCTAACGATGAGCAGTACTGCCCAGCAGTGAAATAGACTTTCTCCTCAGGCAGTGGACTCCTCACTATGAAAGGACACAAATAAAAGCTGAAAGGTACAGCTGGATGCTAGAGAATAATTGTGGGTTTTTTTTGTTGTTTTGCTTTTTTTTCTTCTTCTTTTTAGAGACGGAATCTCACTATGTGGCAGAGGCTGGTCTTGAACTCTTGGGCTCCAGTGATTTGCCTGTCTCAGCTTCCCAAAGTGCTGCGATTACAGGCATGAGCCACTGGCCAGCTAGAGGATAATTCTGTGTGTGTTTGGGGTGAGGGGCGGTAGCCGTGGAGGGAAGATTTTCCCTAGACAGAAGGTTGTAGAAAAGGTGACCCTCCGGTATGGCTAGTATACTTTGTATCTCAGGATTCCCAAGGTCTATTTATTAGCACATGAATGGAAAGATAAAAACTCGTAAATGTAAACAATCATTTGATGAAAAAAGAGGAGAGAAAACAAATCCATTTACAAAACACATACATTGCAGAAGTTTCTTGCTGAGGCTCTCTAACTATGCCAAGAAAGAGATAAAACGTATCAGCAGACTTCCATAAAGAGATAAAATGTTATCAGCCGACTTCCATAGGGTTCCCTTCCTCTGTGGATTCTTCATGACAACAAAGTATCAAGAGCTTGAAGATGGAAGAGTCTGCATATCCCTCATTTAGTAGACCACAGTGTGAGTGCCAGATCCCCCCACCACCCCTGGGAGCATAGGTCTACCTTCCCCACCAGGACCCATGGGCCAGATCTCACCACCACCCCTGGGAGCACAGGTCTACCTTCCCCACCAGGAACCATGGGCCAGATCTCACCACCACCCCTGGCAGCACAGGTCTACCTTCCCCACCAGGACCCATGGGCCAGGGTTTCTGTGTGGGCATTTGCACGACAGAGTGTGAAGCCTTTTGTAAACATTACCTTCATGACTTATTTACAAGGCACTGGGTAGAGCAATCTGCCCCCAGTGCTTGGAGGGAAGAGAGGAAAGATAAGGTCACAGAGAGAGCACTCAGAGGCAAACCCACAAAAAACCCTCAGAATATTTGAGGGAGGGGCTATGTACTTCTCCCACTTTTATTCTCTCTGCCGCCACTTCTCCAACATTCATACTGGCTTTCTGTTTCTCCCTTCCCTCTCCTTCCTCCCCTTACCCTCTCTCAGCCCTGCCTGCCTTGCCATTTGGCCACTCTGTTTAGTCCGAGATGCTGGGAGCCACTATGGCCTCCAAATAATAAGGGTCTTGTGGCCCCTAACATGAAGGAAGGGGGTACAGGTGGGTACAGATGGAGGAAAATTGTACACAAGGGTGCAAGAACCACAGGGGAATCACGCTAGGGGCAGAAACTCTATTTTCTCCCAAAAGTAACAATACAGGATGTGGAGGAGGAGGAAACTGAGGAAGAATTGCCGAGTGGAATAAGAGCAAGAGCTGGTCAGCGGTTTACAGGAGGAGTCTCAGGTGGCACAGGGATTCGGGCTGAGGTGCTGTGATACTAGGGTAACCCCAATCTGCACAGTCGTGTGGCATCCTCCAATAGTGCTCAGAAGCCGGAGTGCTGGAGGAGAGGGCTGTAGCAGTGACCACATTTGGGGTTTGGCTGAATGCTTCTGGCAGGAGGGTCAGAGCTCCACAGAAGCAGGAGCATCAATAAGAGAATTATTTTGGTGATCAACCAAGTGGCCTAAGTTAAAAGGGAAGCTGTGAATCCAGTAGCCACTGACTAATGGGGAGAAGATGGAGGGGAAAGCAGGAAGGAGGCAGACAGGAGGAAACTGGTGTCAAAGCAAGGGATATTGAATGCGAAGTCTTCAGAGATGAAACCAGGCAGTGCTGACATTCGCCAGAGTATGGCTACAGGGTAGGGTGGCTGAGGTGGAGCGGGGATGAAGGTCACCAGAGTTGGCAAGGTGAGGAATGAAAAAGCAATGATGCTACTGTGTACAGTCAATGTTCTCAGGGACACTGAGGTCAGTCATGAAGACAAAAAAAAAAAGTGAGGTAAGAGAAAGATACTGAGCCAGGACCCAAGTCGCCAGGGAATGCTGGGGAAGGAACAACCACAGCTGGGAAAGGCAGAGGCGTTTACTGGATGGCACAAGCCTCAGAGGAGAAGGCAGCACCATAGGGAAAAGGAGCAACAAGTCGGAAAAAAGCAACAAAAGACCAAAAGCTGCAATGAGGAGCTGTGAGGGAGCCAGTCAGCCCTGGAATCCACCCACAGCCTGGAGCAAGTGGAGCTGTGAGAGAGCAAGGGAGACAGATGAGGGAGATGGGCCAGAAGGAGCAGGTCTCAGGAAAGAGTGCTGGCTGCTCCCTAAGGTGGGAGGAGGATGTTTCAAGCAGCGGGTGATATGGAATAGTGAGCACAGGTGAAAGGTTTGTGAGAAAGGGGGAGCAGCAAAAGCAGAAGGCAGAGGAAAATGAGGAGTGCACCAAACACACAGAGGTCCAGAAAACCTATATTTGGGGATTCAATGATAAAATCAAGATTGAAGTTCTGGTGTGGTGGCTCACACCTGTAATCCCAGCACTTTGGGAGGCCAAGACAGGCAGATCACCTGAGGTCAGGAGTTCAAGACCAGCCTGAACAACATGGTGAAACCCTCTCTCACTTAAAAATCAAAAATTAGCTGGGTATGGTGGCAGGCACCTATATTCCCAGCTACTCGGGAGGCTGATGCAGGAGAATCGCTTAAACGCGGAAGGCGGACGTTACAGTGAGCTGAGATCAAGCCACTGCACTCCAGCCTGGGTGACAGAGTAAGACTCCATTTCAAATAAATAAATAAAATAATAAAAATAAAATAAAATTAATATTTAAGAGACTTTAATGAGAGATGTACGGACATTATGTGATTTTTATAAAAGTGTTTTTGTCAAAAAATCAAAATCACAACCCAATTGTCCCATCCACCAATGAATGGATAAGCAAAATATGTCAGTCACACAATGAAATTCTGATACCTGCCACGACATGGATGAATCCTGAAAATATTATGCCAAGTGAAATATGCTGAACACAAAAGGACAAATACTGTATGATTCCACTTAAAGGATACACCTAGACTAGTCAAATTCGTAGAGACAGAAAGTAGACTGGTGGGTGCCGGGGCTGGGGGAGCAGAGAATGGGAGTTGTTGTTTACTGGATGCAGGGTTTCTGTTTGGGATGATCAACAAGATCAACAAGTTCTGAAAGTAGATGGTGGTGATTGTTGTACATTGCAAATATACTTAATGCCAGTGAAATATACACTTAAAACAGTTTAGATGGTAAATTGTGTGTTACATATATTTTGTCATAGTAAAAAAAAGGTATATTAAAAAATTGAAACCGAATCTGATCAAGCCTCTGAATTCTACTGCCAATTTATAGGGAAAAAAAGGAGACAGAGTAACATGTTAGATGACACTACTGGGAATACAATCAGTAAAGTTTATGATTTGAGAAACTTAACCAACAACAAGGAAACTTTTTTTTTTAATAACAAAAACTCAAGAGAAAAAAAGGAGAGATGAAGGAGAAACCCTAATTAATAGGGACTTAAAAGACATATCCATAATGAATCCTAATTTAAACAAAAACAATTGAGATAATTTGAACACTAGATATTTGACAATATTAAGAAAGTATTGTTGGCTGGGTGCAGTGGCTCACACCTATATTCCTAGCACTTTGGGGGGCCAAGGTGGGCAGATAGTTTGAGCTCAGGAGTTCGAGAGCAACCTGGGCAATATGGTGAAACCCTGTCTCTATAAAAAATGCAAAAATTAGCTGGGCATAGTGGCTCCTGCTTGTAGTCCCAGCTACTTGGGAGTCTGAGGCTGAACGATCACTTGAGCCTGGGAGGAGAAGGTTGCAGTGAGCCGAGATCGTGCCACTGCACTCCAACCTGGACAACAAAGGGAGACCCTGTCTCAAAAAAAAAAAAAAAAAAAAGAAAAAAGAAAAAAAGTATTGTTAATTTATTTTGGTGTGATAATGATCTTATAAGTATGTTTTTAAAAGAATCCTTATCTTTTAGAGATACATACTGCAATACAAGTGAAGTGGTATGAGGTCTAGGACTTGCTTAATTGAAAACATTCAGGGCAGGAGAGATGCAGCGTCATAAGTGAACAAGCGTCTTCACAAAACAAGGTCGTCCATGAGCTGAAAATTGATGAATTTCATGAAGGTGATGGGTTTATGCAGATTCATTATATCACTATTCTCTCTGCTTTTGAATAAGTTGGAAGCATACCATAATAAAAAGTAGGGAGAAAATGGACTTTTGGTGGACTAAAACCAAGTAGAAGATATTTTAATGGGCATATATATAAATCCTATGTTTGGGCTCAGAATGAAGAAGGGATACCAGGTGTCAAGAATTTACACAAAAATGATCTGGGATTTAGTTGGCCCTGAGATCTGCATGAACTAGTAAAGTGGGGTATCTACTACAAAAGTTAATCCCACCTTAGGCCAAGAGCACAACAGGATCCTCTGTGTTTAGGTTTGCTAAGGAATGTCTGGAATAGTGTGCTCAATTCTCAACCCCAGAATTTATAGAAGACATTGTCAAACTATAAACTATTTACTGCCAAGTTCAGCAGAGAGAAAAGAAGACTTAGTTAAGGACACAGTGGTGAGCATTCCAGGGAGGCAACTTTTGGCTAAATACAGGGATTTGTGCCATATCAGGAAGTAGCATGAGATATCACATACTCTTCAACATTTTTCACTCCATTATCCCGAAGAGCAGAGAAGGAGGATAAATATGTCATCTGAGGTAGCAGCACAGACTGGAAAAGTCTCAGAAATTTGTCTAGTCTTTAAAAATTATATGAATTTGCATTCTAGGTAATAATACTTTAAGCTGGTAAAGATGATGTTCTAGAAGTATGCAGTCGGTCAGGGGCAGTGGCTCATGCCTGTAATCCCAGCACTTTGGGAGGCCAAGGTGAGTGAATCACCTGAGGTCAGAAGTTCGAGACCAGCATGGCCAACATGATGAAACCCCATCTCTACTAAAAATACAAAAAAAATTAGCCGGACGTGGTGGTGTGTGCCTGTAATCCCAGCTACTCTGGAGGCTGAGGCAGGAGAATTGCTTGAACTTGGGAGACGGAGGTTGCAGTGAGCCAAGTTTGTGCAACTGCACTTCAACCTGGGTGACAGAGTGAGACTCCATTTCAATAAGTAAATAAATAAATAAACAAGCAAATAGAAGCATGCCGTCATCCTGTGGCTTCCTCTGCCACTAGCATACTATGCCATAATAAGGTGTAAAAGGAAACTTACTCCAGGGAGAGACACATAAAGGGGTGAATAGAGCTCCAGCATTCATAGCTCTATGCCCCTCAGTGAGTGATTTTACCTCTTTGAGCCTCAGTTTTACTCATCTGTAAAACGAGATTATTTACATGTACCTAATAGGTTTAATGTATGGATGTCAGATTCTCTACAGAACAATTACAACTATCATTTATTGAGCATTTGCTATGAATCCTATAAAGTCACTTCTGTTATGCTGCTTCTTTTGAAAACGTGAAATTGTTCCAGCACAATTGATACAATAGGAAACAATTTGAGCACAACATACATTTCATGTTTGCTTATGCAATATTTCATCTGTGAGAAAAACTAGGTGCACCCAGCTGAACCGAATTATGTAGGAGTACACAAAACACACCTCAAACATCTCCCAGTCACCTCAGCTGGGATGTTGTATATTCAGCATAATACACAAAGGTGTGTGTTATGAACCACACCCATCCACATCTGGTATAACAACTTTCCATCTGATTTCAAATAACTCTTCTATCACAACTTCTCAATAACTCACAAGGTACAACCCTTCTGACACTCACTTATACAAGTAAACTTTGAATTATTCCTAGTAAGATAAAGTGCAATATTTTTGAATATTTATGTATTTTTAAACTAATGTGGAAAACTGTGCTACCATTTTATTTGGGGTATATATATATATATTTGAGGTATATATATGCACCAAATTAATTAAAAAGTGTATGATTAAATATATATATATATATATATATATGTATATAACTCGTGACATTTTTGAGTATTTTCCCCTTACCCCATTCTCTCCATAAGCCCCGTGGCTTTTGTGTGACTTTTAGGAACACATGTGAAGTACTATAGCAGAACTGGCTGTGCGAAGCAATTTGCATGCTTTCAGTTGTCCCAATAACTCAGGGAAATGGATGTTATTATCCTCACATTGTAGGTACTCAGTAAATGACAGCTGCTGCTATTACTAATAATAATTGAATAAGTCCAGCATTGGGGAAAGGCCTCTTGTCAGTTACTATGGCACTTTTACTTATTGATGGTCAAGCAGTTGAATGATGGACAATACGTTTTTGGTGGGCAATGTAGTCCCTTCTATTTCTCATGGTCTCCAGTTCTGGACTCTTTCGGCCAGGAGTGTCTATCAGAGGCCTCAGTTGGCCAGCCCCTCCCCGGCTGCCATTTACCCACCAGACAGGTCAGGCAAGCCCATGCCCTGGCTGTTCCCTGTTCAGTCATGGGAGGTGTCTTCTTAATACTCCCTTTCCTCTGTGACTCAGTACCTTCACTGAAAGATCAACTGATCAATTTGCTCGAGAAGCTTATTACAGTTCGGCCAAATACTTTCTATAAAATCTGCATAATTACTTGTGGCCCAGATGTCTGGAACATCTGTCACTTCCTGCTCTGTGTTCTCTGTGAAATGAAGGCCTAAAATGAGTCACTGGAAGCTTCATGTCACGGATGAGGGTTTGCCTTAGATGTCCTCCCAGGTCTTTGCAATTCTTGGTGTCTAATTCTACAGGTTTCCCTTCTGGATAGCTTGTCTTTCTTTTTTTTTTTTTAATAAGTTACTTCTTGAAATCAAAAGCTAAGAAGCACATTTATTCTTCAGTCAATACATTAGATTGAGAATCTCCTCTGTGTTGGGTGCAGCACAAGATACTGGGGATAGAGCTGGAGGCAGCCCAGATGCAATCCACCATTCATCCACATGGAGCACACAGACAGTTGGATTCATAGAAATAACCTAACACAGGTCTACATATTTTAGACATGCTTTCAAATTAAATTTTGAGAAAGATGCCCACAATTCATCTCTTCACTCAGATTTCTAGGGCAAAAGAAAAATAGCAAGTTAAAAATCTCAGCTTTGCCACTTTATAGATTTATCACCTTGAATAATGTGATTACCCTCTCTAAGCCTCAGTTTGGTCATCTGGACATGGGAACTCTGTAGATATGGAAGAGTTGCTACATGGGATTACAAAGCATATGTCATATAAATAGCCAGAACAGCAGTACATGCTTTTCTCTTTCTTTCAACTCTATAGCCCTTAGCCTTCAAGGTAGCTAGCGCTTAGCCCAGGGGGCTTCAAGCCACTGTTTTCTGGAAGCAAGCTCATTCATCACAGAACCCTGCAGTTACACCTAGAGCTTCACACCAGTGTTGGTCCTTGTGGTTTGGGTTTGAGGACACAGAGAAGTGGCCTTGAGCTGAGTCTAGGAGGGAAAACTTGCCAGAAGGTCTTGGCATGAGGTAGCCTCACCACTCTGCAGCCCCTCAGATTGGCCCCTTGAGGAGCCTCCAGATGTGTGGGTATGATAAAAACCAACCACATCTTAATGGAAAAAGAGGCAACCCAAGCCACCCACCTTTCCCACCCACGTCTGCATTTGCTTCTCTGAAATTGAGTTTTCTTTATCCTTGTTAAATGGTCATTTTGATCCATTAATCCACTTCTTGACTGTGTGTGACAGAAATACTTAGTTGTTGGCTCATTTTTCGCCGGGGGCAAAGGGAGGGAGTGATTCTGACATCAATCAAATTCACGAAGGGTTTTTTTTTCATCGTGAAATATAATAATACTTTATATTTCCAGTATTGTCAAGAAATGAGTTGTGAACAGCCAACACAAATTAAAAGCAGTAGCTGTAGGTTTTGGTCCAGGCAAATTAATATGCAAGAGAACACCAAGATGAGGTGTGGCCCCACATAAGTGACTTTTCCCGAGGATTTGCCTGAGCTGCATTAAAAAATATTGAATGTACTACATGCTAGAAACTTTACATATATTATTTCTGACCTCTCAACATCCCCTGGAAATAAGAATTATTATCCCCAGCTTACAAATAAGGAAACTGAGGCCCAGAGAGGTTAACAACAAAAAATCCTCACTGGCCCCTTTTTCAGGATTATCTTTTCTGACTTGGTTGAGTATCCATGGAATTTGGTTTTCATCGAAATTGTGTTTATTGATACCTTTCTCTTTTTGTTAAATGCCTATCTCTCCTCCTCCATCCACAACAGCCAAGAGCGCAAGGATGCTATTTGTGTTACGTATTTGGTCAACAAACATGTGAGTCCCCAGGGTGTTAAGCTCTAGGCCAGCTTCTAGGAGTCTCAGTGGTGACCACAACAGCTTCAGGCTCTCAGGAGCTTACAGGCCAGCACTCAACCCTGTAACCTCAGCTTCTAGCTGAGTGCCTGGCACACCACAAACATTCAATCGATATGACATTGAGTGCATGAATCCATGAGGTGAGAGTCAGATCAGCCTACTCCTGAATCCTGATGCACCCAAGCCTCCCTTATGGTGCCTCCTACATGTCCTTCACAGTGTCCTTTACATCAGGCTATTTCCTCCTGCTTTGTTCTCACTGTCTCATCTGTCTCCTTTACAACCCAGACATGTGCCAAACCAAACAAGCCTTAATCAAGCAATGCCCTATCAGATCCTTTGAACCCACCCCACCTGGATGGCAAAGCCCATCTCATTGAAAGTTCCACCCAAAAAGCCACCTCCTCGGAGAAGCTTTCCCCAACCCTCCATTGCAGACCAAGATCATTCTCCTGTGCCATCATGAAGCACCTGGCTTATACCTGGATTTAGGTACATATCAAACCATGCTGGCATTATTTTCATGCTGCCGTTGCAACTAGGCTGTGAGATCTTTGAGGGTAGACTCCACAAGTTGCTCATTTTTGTGTCATCTTGTATTTGTTAGGAAACTTCAACACCAAGTAATAGAAAACCCAACTAACAGTTTAAACAGCAAAGACCATTATCTCACAGAAAAAGAAACTTTGGGATGTGGAGGCTTCATTTGGAACCTCCATGAACACTTCAAAGAACCTGCACTTTTCATTGTCCCACTCTGTCCTCCCCATTAGCAATGTTTTTTCTTATGTTTCCAAGATGGTAGCCACAGTTTCAGGCATCACATGTAGACACAACAGAAGCAAAGGGAACATGAGGAGAATAGGGACACGTCCCCTCTCTGATGTCTCTTTTAGAGATGAAAAACACTTTCTCGGTCATTCAAGCTCAATTCCCCTCATACCTATGAGCCAGAAGTGTGTCATATGTCCATACATAAAGTAGTCTTGAGCAAAGAGAATGAGACCACCTTGATGGCTGAGACCAATTATTTCTTTCCTCCAGAAACACAAGGCTTCGGTGGAGAGTGAACAAAATCAGAGCTTTCTTCACAAAGGAAAAGAGTGAGGAATGAATGAAGTTGACAACCCAGTGACATCTGCAATTCCCTTGTGACTTTTTACTTGCCAGACTCACTCTTCTCCTAAGTAGCACAAAGGAATTGTTGCTTACGGTAGATCTAGGTAAAAACTGGCTGGATTTTTGGAGGAGTTACCAGGTCATCTGTAGCTGGCCTTTCTCTATGCAGACCCAATACCACCTAGATCCTTCTGCTCACCGTGGGCTAGTGCTGTGAATTCATTCATTCACTCATGGAAGCATGTTGATTTCTATCACCTACCAGCCCATCAAGTAGGTGCTAGGGATATAGCAAATAAGCCACAGATCCTATCCTCAAGTGCCTCTGTTATTGCTCAGTCTCATTTGTTTTTTCTTCCAAAATATGAGATAGGCAGAGAAGATGTTCCTTTTGTACAGAAAATGATATTGAGTTATGAATTAGCAATGTGATATTCCTGCTAACACAGAAGCTCACCTCAGAAAGAAATGGTCAGAAATGTAAACAGCCAACTCTAAGCCTAATTCTCATTCCAGTCAGCTGCAGACCATGACCCCACTAGAGACCTATTCCATGGGACAAGGTAGCAAATGAGGCAAAACACTAGTGCCTGTGTTCTCCATTCCCCAAACCAGCATTTTCCAGAATGTGTTTCTATGAGATGTTCCTAGGAAGAAAAGAGTTCCATGGTCAGATAATTTTGTGACCTATTAGCCCTGCCCTCTCTCGGAGAGTCACAATTTGCTTCAATGCACTGAAGTCTCTGAGGAGTCCTAAAGTATGTAAGTGGTTTATTTCAGCTGGTTAAAATTTTAATCACTCACAAGGCTGGATGTGGTGGCTCACGCTTGTAATCTCAGCACTTTGGGAGGCCAAGGTGGGTGGATCACCTGAAGTCAGGAGTTCAAGACCTGCCTGGCCAACATAGTGAAACCCCATCTCTATTAAAAATACAAAAAAAGAGAGTTGGGTGTGGTGGTGGGTGCTTGTAATCTCAGCTACTTTGGGAGGCTGAGGCAGGAGAATTGCTTGAACCCGGGTGGCAGAGGTTGCAGTGAGCCAAGATCGTGCTGTTGCACTCCAGCCTGGGCAACAAGAGCGAAACTCTGTCTAAAAAAAAATTAAAAAGAAAATCACTCATAAAACACTTTTTCATTGCAAAACCCCTCCCAACATAATTCATTCATTAAGTAATTATTGAGTATCCACTATGTGGCATGCACTACATAGTTTTGAGCAAAACAAACACGGTCCCTACCCTCCATGGACTTTATAAAGTAGTGGAACTAAATTCCGTATCACCAAGAACAGTGCTCACTGGGGTAATAACTACTAACATAAAAAGTCATGGTTGACTTGAGTGTTTTTGTAGCTAATTACTTAAGTTGATCTCCACAGGTATGGTCATCAACCCATCCATGGTGACACAAATGAGAATCAAGTTCAGGACTATCTTCCTGAGATTATTAGTATCTACATGAACCATATGTTTCCAAATATCCTTTGATGTATTAGCCCAATTTAGATGCAATAACAAAGAGCGCCAAAATCCCAGTGGCTTAAAAAAACAATTTCTTTCTAGCTCATGTTGCATGTGGATGGCTGCAGCTCAGCAGCTGTAGAATCTGCACCACCTGTCTTATGCTGAGATCCAGCCTGGAGGAACACCCCTCTGTGGAATGTGGCACTCTCTTGGCAGAAAGAGCAAGAAAGCAGGCAGAAACTCATGAAGACTCTTAAAGGCTTCTGCTTGGGCACGGGGTATGTTTCATCTACTCACAGTCCACTGGCCAACACAAGTCACATGGTCAAACCCCAAGTCCATCCGTGAGTCAGGAGTTGTATCCTCCTCCCTCCTATGGGAGACACTGCAAGTCACATGACATTACAGGGAAAGGGGTCACGTGTAGTCCTCTTAAAAGGAAGGGACAGGCCGTCCGGGAGGTGAGGGGCGCCTCTGCCCGGCCGCCCCTACTGGGAAGTGAGGACCCCTCTGCCAGGCCAGCCGCCCCGTCCGGGAGGGAGGTGGGGGGGACAGCCCCCCGCCCGGCCAGCCGCCCCATCCGGGAGGTGAGGGGCGCTTCTGCCCGGCCGCCCCTACTGGGAAGTGAGGAGCCCCTCTGCCCGGCCACGACCCCGTCTGGGAGGTGTGCCCAGCGGCTCATTGGGGATGGGCCATGATGACAATGGCGGTTTTGTGGAATAGAAAGGCGGGAAGGGTGGGGAAAAAATTGAGAAATCGGATGGTTGCCGGGTCTGTGTGGATAGAAGTAGACATGGGAGACTTTTCATTTTGTTCTGTACTAAGAAAAATTCTTCTGCCTTGGGATCCTGTTGATCTGTGACCTTATCCCCAACCCTGTGCTCTCTGAAACATGTGCTGTGTCCGCTCAGGGTTAAATGGATTAAGGGCGGTGCAAGATGTGCTTTGTTAAACAGATGCTTGAAGGCAGCATGCTCGTTAAGAGTCATCACCACTCCCTAATCTTAAGTACCCAGGGACACAAACACTGCGGAAGGCCGCAGGGTCCTCTGCCTAGGAAAACCAGAGACCTTTGTTCACTTGTTTATCTGCTGACCTTCCCTCCACTATTGTCCTATGACCCTGCCAAATCCCCCTCTGCGAGAAACACCCAAGAATGATCAATAAAAATATAAATAAATAAATAAATAAATAAATAAATAAATAAATAAAAAAGAAAGAAAAAAAAAAAAAGGAAGGGGCAGGAAGTGAGTAATTGTGGACAACACAATGACCTGGGGAAAGGAAGAACAGCCTTGTATGGGGTTATGACAATGGACTCTGATGTCACACCCGTCTGAATTTGAATCCAGGCCTGCTAGTTATTAGCTGAGTGGCCTTGGGGATATTAGAAAAACATTATAATCCTCAGTCCCTTCGTCTATAAAATGGGAACATCAGTATCTACTTTACAAGGCCGCAGTGAAGATTTAATGAGATAAAGCTTAAGTTCTTAGCACAGAGCCTTATATAATAAAATATTCAGTGAATGACAAATATAATAATACCAGAGTGAGGCCGGGTGCAGTGGCTCATGCCTATAATCTCAGCAGTTTGGAAGGCCGAGGCGGGTGGATCACCTGAGGTTGGGGGTTCGAGACCAGCCTGACCAACATGGAGAAACCCCGTCTCTACTAAAGATGTGAAATTAGCTAGGCATGGTGGCACATACCTGTAATCCCAGCTACTCAGGAGGCTGAGGCAGAAGAATCGCTTGAACCCAGGAGGCAGAGGTTGCAGTGAGCTGAGATTGCACCATTGCACTCCAGCCTAGGCAAAAAGAGTGAAACTTCATCTCAAAAAATAATAATAATAATAAATAATGCCAGATTTTCTTTGCATTCAAATCGGTGGTCTTCAAACTAGATCTCATGAGCACCTATGATTCTCACCACTCCTGGTGCCATTCAGACCTTCCCTCGGTAAGACAGCCTCTCTCAACCTGGAAAATGCCACTGGGTCCACAGTGAAGTGGAGGAAGAAAAACAAAGAAAATGGTAAGAGCTGACAGTTTCGACAAGCTGTTCCTTTGGAAGCTTCTCAATCATGGACAAGTCAACTCTGGTGACACATGAAAATGATGTGCCTGGAACAAGTAAATATACCTTAGACTCCTGATATCTAAATCTGGCTTTGGAAAAAGAATACAATTCATCCAGGAGTCAAAAAAGTGAGTAGGTGAAGGTCTCCAGGCAGAGGATCAGTGTGGGAGGCTACAGGGTCTCCACAAGCAGCCTGAGTTACTGGGAGGACAGGCAATTCTCACCTTCTCTACTGTAGGAGGAAAAGCAGCCCTGTTCCCATGAGTTCTCACCCAAAGAGGCCAGGGCCATGTGTGCTGCCTTCCTCTTTGATAAGGGGGACTAGTTTCAGCAACATGACCCCATGCCCTCTGCAAACTGCATCAAGTCATTAGCAACGATAGAGGTAACCTCACCATCTTCAGTAATTACCCATTGGATCTTTGGGATAGCAGTTCCTTGGTACCTAGGAAGCTGGATAAGAAGGGTTTCAGGGAGCCCTGGAACTCCTCCCCTGTTCTCTCAGAGAGAGAGAGAGCTTGGGTCTTAGAGTAGCTCTCCTGCTTCTCTCTAGAATGTCTGCCATAAGAAGGAGCTGAATTCTAAGGCAGCCTTACTCCAGCCTTGCAGCTGTTACAGAGACTGATGGTTGTGAATACAGATTCTTGTCAGCCAACCTGGCTCAAATCCTATCTGTGTGACCTTGAGGAAGTTGTATAACATATTTGAGTTTTGATTTCCCCATCAGTAAAAATGGGGATGTTAATATAAGTTATTTTTTCCCTTTTCGTCCTTCAGCCATTGTCACAAATCTCATGATCACCCTCTCATTTCAGACAAATGACTGATACATCATTCACTACATTGAGTCTTCACCTGGGGTAGTTTCTTTAAATGGAACTGCAGATTATCAGAGAATTACTTCTTGATGTTTGCATGTGAGCCTTATATTACATAAGCTTATTAACGCATTTACCCAAATTGATTGTCACATCTGTGGATTGTTATATTATTGCATTTTTTTTTTTTTTGAGATGGAGTTTCACTCTTGTTGCCCAGGCTGGAGTGCAATGGCACAATCTTGGCTCACCACAACCTCTGCCTCCCGAATTCAGGCAATTCTCTTGCCTCAGCCTCCTGAGTAGCTGGAATTACAGGCATGCACCAACACGTCCAGCTAATTTCTTGTATTTTTAGTAGAGACAGGGTTTCTGCATGTTGGTCAGGCTGATCTCAAATTCCCAACTTCAGGTGACCCGCCCACCTTGGCCTCCCAAAGTTCTGGGATTACAGGCATGAGCCACCGTTCCTGGCCTTTTTTTTTTTTTTTTTTTTTTTTTCTGAGACGGTGTCTTCCTCTATCACCCAGGCTGGAGTGCAGTGGCACGATCTCAGCTCACTGCAGTCTCTGCCTCCTGGGTTCAAGCGATTCTTCTGCCTCAGCCTTCCAAGTAGCTGGGACTACAGGCACATGCCACCCCACCCAGCTAATTTTTGTATTTTTAGTAGAGACGGGGTTTCACCATATTGACCAGGCTGGTCTCGAACTCCTGACCTCGTGATCCGCCCGCCTCAGCCTCCCAAAGTGCTTGGATTACAGGCATGAGCCACCGTGCCTGGACTGTTATATTATTGTTTAGAAACATTTGTTACCATCTTAGGTTTCTTATATCCTTTCTGTAGGTTTATTATATGTCAGTAGAAAGTTTTCTAAAATACAAGTTGCCATGTCCTATTGTGCTTCTCCTGGTGCCCTCTCAATGGAAGAAAAGAGTTTCACCCCCTCCTCACCAGTGACCCTGAACTGAATCATGGGAATGTCTTTGGTTAGTGGATGGCAAGCAGAACTCTGCTTCACATCCAAGCAGAACCAATAAGAGGCACATAGTTCTGCCATTTCTCGCTTTCTTCTGACACATGAATACCCGTGCCCAGATGCCACCTGCTCCTTCCAAAGAGACGAGACCATGGAGCAGAGTCATAGCTGGCCTCCAACCAACAAGTAACATGAATAAGAAATAAATGTGGTTCTTATAAACCGCTGAGATGTGGATGTGGTTTGTTAGGACAGCATCACTTAGCCTAAACTATACAACAACTGTGAGGTATGGAAATTGATAACCACCCCATTTCACAGATGAGAAACTGCAGCTGTGATTTGCAGACACTGCAAAGCTGGAGAATGAGAGCACAAGCCTCCTGCGCATGCTTTTGTTTCCAAACCTTGTACTCATCCTACTACGCTATGTGCTTCCCAACAAAATTTGGTTCCTTTGTAGAACTTCTCATAGTTCAGATTTTTATTTATTTTTACATTTTTTTTTTGGCATAGGATCTCACTCTGTGGCCCAACCTGGAGTGCAGTGGTGCAGTCATAGCTCACTGTAGCCTCGAAATCCTGGACTGAAGCAATCCTTTCACCTCAGCCTCCCAAGTAGCTGGAACTACAGGCACATGGCACCATATCCAGCTAATTTTTATTTTTTTGTCAGACTCACCCATCAGTCTAAGCTCCATGAAGGCAGGAGCCATGCCTATCTTTTTCAACATTTTATTCTCAGTTCTGAGTACATATTAGACGCTATTCCTTGATGAACAAATGAATGATCAAATGAATGAATGTATCTGCCCATTGAATAACTTGATTCTTTCATTTCTATGTTGGGAAGAAAAAAAGTGACCACAAAACAAGTGGAAATTTTGCATTTTAATTTTTTAATTTTTAAAATTATGTTTAAATTTTTTTATATTTAGGGGGTACAAGTGCAGGTTTCTTACATGCACATATTGCATATGGGTGAAGTTTGGGCTTTTCGTGTAACCCTCATGCAAATAATAAACATTGTTCCCAATAGGTAATTTTTCAACCCTCACTCTCCTCCAACCTTTCCACCTTTTGTTATCTCCAATGTCCATTATTAAAGGTGGGAAATGTTTAGATTCAAAGTGGACATTAGACCCAGTGGCCCAGCTGGAATCAGGAGGTGTGGATGGATGACACCCTTACCGTCCAACTCATTAACTTTCTGTAAGTATTACTACCATCATCACTCAAGCTCTGCCCAGGAAAGGGATATCTGTAATCTTAGACTGTGCTGCACAGCTCCACCCATTGGACCCTCAAACTGGGTGCATCCCAAACCTGCCTCTTCATTTTCTTCCCCAAACCTGCCTCTCCACCTGCATTGCTGTCTTGGTAAGGGCATCACTCTGCCCAGTCACCCAACCCAGAGACGTGGGAGTTAACCAGAGTTTTCCTTTCCATCCCTAACCTAGTTAGTCACCCAGTCCGACTGATATGTGAGATTACTCTTCACTTTCCTAGCTCTTCTGACCTGATTTTCAGACCTTATCTTCTCTCTTCTGGACCTCAACAGGCAGCTGCACTTACTACTCTCTCCATCCCCATACCCTGGATCCTCTAAAACACTTTCCATATAGCTGTAGGGAGACATTAAAAATAAACCATATATCCATATATACATATATAAATAAACAAACATATCATTTTCCTGCTTAGAAAAGGTAAGGGATGTTAGATATTATCTGCGTCAGTGTTTTTCAAACTTGTTTAGTCATAAGAATGATTTTAGGGCATTTGTTTAAAATATAGGTTCCTGGGCCCCACCCTCAACCTACTTACTTGGAATCTTCCACGGAGGAGCCTGGGAATCTGTTTTGAATAAATATTTCAGGCTGCGCTTATGATTGGGCCAGTTTAGAAAACATTTAACATTGACGTAGCCTACTAGTTAGAATGAGATTCAGCTGTGAGTAACAGGAATCTCTAAAACAACAGCTAACTAAACAAGATAATGGTATTTCTCTCCTAAATTATGCTGGCCATTGGTCCAGGGCTGATAGGGCACTTCCTGGTGTCAGGAACACAGGCTCCATGTCATCCACCGTCTTTGGCCTCAAAATCATGGCCCAAGATGGCATCATCCACATTCCTGGCTCAGGATGGAGGAGGAATGAAGGATGCATGGGCGTTGAGTCTCAGGAGGGCTCCTAGAACTGCCATGTGACTCTTCTGAGAGACCACTGGCCTGAAGTTGGCCACACAGTCGCTAGTTACAAGAGAAACTGAGAAATGCAGTCTGCATGTCCTATCAGAAAATGTGGGCAAAAACAATATTGGGAAGTAACTGTGAAGACCAGTACTCCTATTTAACAGAAAAATAATCTGAGGTCCAAAGAGATTAATTAGTTTGCCCAAAGTCACAGGACTAGGTAGTGTCCCCAAATACGGCTGCAGTTTGTTTACTTTCAGTTACTGAAAAATAAGCCATCACACAAGGAGATGTTATTGCTGATGGTTCACACAGGGTTGGCAATGCTGTCCAGATGGCATGGAACAAAGGAACCATATCTATATCTCTGAAGGTGGCCTCTGTCTTTCTAGGTATCTCTGTGAGCCAAGAATCTTGACTTTTCAGGAGGTGACAATCGGACATGATACTTGCAGTAAGAGAGAGGTGCTGACCTAAAGCAGAAAGATTTTTCAGCTCTGAACCCTTCAGTCTATTAATGTCTACACCACCTGTTAAATGAGATGATCAAATGCCTTCTATGGTGTCAGCCTCTCTATGTCAAGGTTTCCATTAATCTTAAAGCAATGCTAAAGAGTTCACCACTGCACCACTGCCTCCTTTGCCTGATTCCCCTGATGCCTTTTGTTCCCCCCATTTTTGGCCACAACTAACCATTCAGTCATTCAACAAATCCCTCTTGGGCACCTCCTCTGTGCCAGACACGATGCTAAGCATTGGGAGTAAATGAAGAATAAAATGCAGACTAAACCCTCAGAGCATCCCCCAGCTAGTAGAAGAGACAGGCAAATAAAGTGATTGTTACAGAATCATAATCTCACTGCATTGGGAAGTCTGAGAGGCCTGAGGTCAAGTCTCAGCGTTACTATTTATTACCTGTGTCATCCTGGGAAAATCTGCATTTGATTTCTCATCAATAAAATAAGGATAAAGTTCCCTATCAAATAGGGTTTGGGTGAGGATTAGCAAGGTAATGTACAGGACTTGGCACATTATTGAATGTAGATGGTAATAATGTATTGTATATTTCAAAATACCTAAGAGTACATTTTAAATGTTTCACTATAAAAAATGATAGTTAAACAAGGTTATGGCTATGTTAATTAGTTTGATTTAATCATTCTACATTCTATACGTATCTCAAACATCACATTATACCCCCTAAATGCAGATGGTTATGATTTGTTGATTAAAAAAATATTAATTTAATAAATAATAACTTTTTAAAAAGAAAGAGCCAATGCAAGCTTTACCATATTCCTTTTCCTGCCTTGAAATTCATGGAACCATGCATCATGATAGAGCTTCTATCACTTGGGTCTTTGAGTGACCAAAATGATCTGAGTAGTCCTGCCAGCCTCCAAGGGACAGATAGCACAAGCAATAAATAAACCTTTGTGGATCTAAATCACTGAGATTGGGGTTGTTACTGAAACACAGCACAGACTGCCAAGCTGGAAAGAGAGTCCTATAGACCACACCAGCCAGGAAATATACCTGGGAAACACCTGCTGGGAAGATGCACATAAACACCTACAGGAAATTTTCATTTGCAGCAGCTGGCATGACAGCTGGAGCAGGTCTCTCTCTTCACTACAGCCTTGCTACAAAAAGCATTTCTCCCTCTGAAAGAAGCAAGTGGTACCCATGGGGGAAGATGAAGCCATTTTTCTTTCTTTCCCCTGCTAATTCTCTCAAAATCCAGAAGTCGAGCAATCTCTAAAACAGAACCACGTACTAAGTGCTTATTATGTATGGAGGCCAGTGCTGAGCAATTCATGTCTATTTTTCACCCAGCAACCCCAGGAGATTACTGCTGTGATGATCACTCCTATTTTCTAAACAAGAAAGTCGAGGCTTAAAGTATTTAACTAACTTGCTCTAGATCACACAGATGGTAAGTGTGCAAGTTACGCTTCCAAGCAGGTTTGTTTGACTCCACTTCTGCTTGTTATGCTACAAGGAACTGTGTCCAGGGGCCAAGGAGAGCTCCAGCTCTGAAGCCTGAGAAGCTACCGCAGGTGCCTCTTTTTCCTAGGATTCTAGTAAGTCTACCATCTGAAGTGATCCTGTCACATGGTACATCCAATTCATCACAAGAACACCAGATCACTAGGAAAAGGCACAAGTAGGCCGGGCGCGGTGGCTCACGCCTGTAATCCCAGCACTTTGGGAGGCCGAGGCGGGTGGATCACAAGGTCAGGAGGTCGAGACCATCCTGGCTAATACGGTGAAACCCCGTCTCTACTAAAAATACAAAAAAAAATTAGCCGGGCGTGGTAGCGGGCGCCTGTAGTCCCGGCTACTCGGGAGGTTGAGGCAGGAGAATGGCGTGAACCCGGAGGCGGAGCTTGCAGTGAGCCAAGATAGCGCCACTGCAGTCCAGCCTGGGCGAAAGAGCGAGACTCCGTCTCAAAAAAAAAAAAAAAAAAAAAAGGAAAAGGCACAAGTAGAGGAGGGTTAGCACCCTCCCAAGCCTTTCTCATGCCCATACTGCTTTTCTTTTTCTCTGTTCCACCTCTACCCTCAGCAGCAGCTACACAATGATGTCATAATTATAAGGGCAACAGCATCCAGTAAGATAATGTAGGCAGGCCCAACCTGGGCTGGTCCAGGTTATAAGGAATAGAGGTGCTTAGCCTCTGGGGATGTGCAGGAGGAGTCCAGACAAACAAACACAGCAATGCTCATGGCTCGCAGGGTGAAAGATGACCCTGTGGTTGTCATTCACCATCCTGCATCTGGATCTTGACATGCTCTTTTTTCTGTATGAAATGCTCTTCCCCACAACACCTGTCCTTGTCTACACTTCTTTATACATCTGTCACCCCTCCTCAACTCAACAAATGTGAAGCACAGGGAATACATTTTATTCATCTTCATATCCCCTGAACCCAGCTCAGTGCCTAGCACACAGTGAGTACTCAATGAATTCATAAATGAACACTATAGCCCAAGTGGGGATCTTCATGTATCTACAGCATTTGACTCCCTATGAAATACTGTGACTTTTATGCTTCTCAAAAAGTCTGTGAATCAAGCAAGGCAGATGTCATTCTCCTTTTATGTAGGAGAAACCAAGATTCCAAAATTTTAAGTGACTTGGTCAAGATCACCAGTGAGCAAGTGGTACAGCCAGAAATGAAACTGTGTTAAATAACGGGACCACTTTAACACAGTATTAAACTGTGTTAAATATTTGTTGGAGAGACAGGAAGAGAAAAGGAGAAATGGAGAGAGAGAGAGAAAAAGAAAAAAAAAAACACAGAGGTGATTTGGATTCAAACCCAAATTCAATGGTCTGACCATCTGCCAGTAATAATTTGGTGAGACTCACACTGAGAGGCTGAATCAATGATTGTTTGTATAGGCAGAGATAAGTGGACACATTTCGCGTTGAGGAATTATCAAACAGCAATTTTAGTAATGTCGTTAGACTGTAATAGAGATAGAGTGCAATTTAGATAGGCATATCCTCTTTCTAATCATCATTCGTCCATCAGCCTTGGAGGTCAAGTTGAGTTTAATCTTCCTCGATGGCTGTACTTTTGGTTTCAGTCTCTCATACTCACTGCACCTCCTGTAACTTCCATTCAGCATGCAATGAGAGAGGCATGTGTCTAGAGACTGGGAAGGCACGGTGGTTCTGCTTTGTTAAAACAAAAAAGGCCCATTGTAACACTGGTTTTCCTCAGATAGTCAGCCTTGTCTACACTTCCACAAATTTACCCACTTGAATACGCTGTAGTATATTTCAGGAAACTCACAATGTTTCTGCAGAAAGGACTGTTTACATGGAGGTTTTCAGCAGCCTTAGCAGGCATGATGTTTGGATCCTGGAAATCATCTATTTTTTATGTGTAAATAAACAGTGGGAGGAAAGGAGAAGGCATCCATACAATTTTAATGAACAAGATTCCCATCAGTCATCAAAAGAAAACAAAAGGTAGCTTAAAGGGCACAAGGAAGCTATTCTTCTAGTGATTTCTCTGCTCAGCTCTCCTGGGAAAAGGAGTGGCTTCTAAATTAAAAAAAAAGAAAATCATGCTCTAGTATTTTTTTTTCCTGTCATTTCATTGTCTTTGATCTTGCATTTCCTAAGAAAGAAGCACTTAACCTCTAGTATCAGATCAATGTTGGAAATGCACGCTTTATTTTAAGATCCTTTTCTAACACATGGAAACTCTGTATCTTCACAAGTGAACTTAACATGATTCAAACAGATTGCATTCCACAACCAACGTGCTTCAAAACTATTGGCTGAATTCAGGCATAAAGCTGGTTTTTTTCATCACCACTAATGAATTATTTTTGAAATAGCAAGTCTTTTCCAAATAAAAGTTACTTAACTAAATTCGAGCCATGATGTTTTAAAATCAATTTTTACATGGACACTACCCAAGTGGATTCTCCTTGCACCAAAATGGCAGATTCTCCATGGATTTCTCCTGAAGGGAGGTGAAAGCCTCCTCCAGTCACACAAGTAGTCTATCATGAATCTGCCTGAATTCCCTTCCCAGTGAATGAAGTGTATTATGTTGGCAGAAGGATACTCCATCATCTATAATAAATATTCATCTGCATGTATCATGCACTTGAGCTGCATGACTGATGAACTCCGGCTCCGGAAATGAAAGGGAAATGCACCAAGACAAATGTCACCTTTCAATGCTTCTCCAACAGATAAATTGTAGTTAGATTTAAACAAAGTCAGTAATTTCATGCTTTCCAACTGGTGCCTGATTCAGCTCAGATGGCCCCTACTCTGTTTAAGGGTGCTAATACCCAGGTTGGTTAGTTGAGTTTTGGCAATCTCTACTAGAGAACAGTCAACAATTTCTACTTCATATGCTTATTGAAATACAATTATGCTAAATACACTTCCCCAGGTATTTATGCACGTTGGATAATTTAAAATTTGGGCAGCTTAAAAGCCAACATAGGTATAGCTCTTTTGAAAAATAATTTGGCACTATGCGATAAAAATGTATTTCCCCTTTAACTCAGGAATCACCCTCCTGGGGATGAATCCAAAAGCTTTACAAGGGGTATCATTTATCTCCCAGCGTCTGTTTTCTTTTGATGAGGGGAAATTCCACATCCCAGAAGATACTCTCTTTTTCTCTGCAGTCCCAGAGGGAAGGGAGGAATTTGGCTGATGAGTGGATTTGGGAGAAGGAGCCACAGAAGAATGCTCATACATATGTTGGGCTAATTTTCTTTCTCCATGCTCCATCTGGGGAGACAGTTTGGTCTGTACTGAACAATAAGAGATGTGAAATTCAATTCAGAAAAAAAATTTTAGGAAATTGGTATACCTGATACCTTATTCTGTATCTAACTGGCCTTAACATCTCTCATTCATTTGTATCAGATCTTGTGAGAGAAAGAGAAAGGTTTCATGTCTTAGCCCTTATCAAACACCAACAAGCTTCAGACTTAAAGATGTCCACTGTGAAATTATTTGTTACCTAACAATGGAAACGTTTGATGAGCAAAATCCACTCAGTGTGATGCATAACACTAGGCAGCCACTACAGATCATGTAAATACAATGCCTAGAATATACTTGATAATATTGAAGCAAAAAACAGAAGGATAGATAATACTTGCAAAACATTGATAATTATGAAAAAAGGTTGGTCAAGCTTATCAGAGCGTGCAGAGTGGTGCCATGGATCCTAGGAGGGGAATACCCAGTCTCACCACTCTGACATGTTCTTTGCATGGCCAAGGCCAAGAGAAGAGCTCAGTGACATCTGATATTTTCCCTACTGGGACTCTGCCTACTCCCACAGTACCTTTACACTTGGGAAAACATACATAGTTTAATATAAGCCGTAATGTAAAGTATGTGACAAGGTGTGAAACCAGACAACCCATACATTCAACAACAATGATGATACCAAAAATATCCATTAAAACTAAGCAGCAACATTAAAATGCTTGTGTATTGCTGAATACAAAATGGAAAACCCAGGACACAAAAATCCACAGGCACAAAATGATGAGAGTATGTTCTGAATTGGGTATTACTGCTAGTATCTGATTCTGTACAACTGCGGTCCTAACGATATGTGAAATTTGATGGGAATTACATTTAAAATTGTACTTGAAAATATGATGGTGAAAAAAAGAATTCAAAGAATTAGAGGGATGTTAAAATGCTGGGATTATGACTTCTGTTATGTAAATGTATTTTTTGGAAGTGTATCCTTGATCATTTGACTATGGAACAAGAATTCTGTGCAAGTATTACACATTCTTAGGGAGTGAGTCCTTAGGCCAGGTAAATATCTTTTATGTCTTTGGTTGAAACCTGAAATGAGGAAATTAAGGCCAGAAATTTGATGAAGTCCTATCATTAGTAGAACTAGGTCCTTATTTTTTCTGTTTGAGGAAACACTTATAATGTTGACTCCATTGCCCTTTATTGAAGTTTTTGTCTACAGACACCACTAGACTGTAAGCTGCATTCTTCTGATTCATTTCTTTATCACCACCCAGCCTAGTCCCTAATACTTAGTAGATACCCAATAAATGAACATTTGAGTTCTACTCCATTGGGTTGTCCTCTGATTGCTTCAGAGACCTTTGACGTGATTTCACAGCAAGAATTGTAAATTATTTGGCAGCCAGGATGACTTTGGCCAATATTCTTTTAGCATCTTCCCAACACACATAGCACAGGACTAGGTACACTACCAATGAATTGATTGACAGTTGAAGAGAAAATTTAAAGCTAACAATAGTTTTAACTTTTATTTTACGTGCAGAAGTACACGTGAAGGTTTGTTACATAGGTAAACTCATGTCATGGGGGTTTGTTTTACAGATTATTTCATCCCCCAGGCATTAAGCCCAGTACTCAATATTTATCTTTCCTTCTCCTCTTCCTCCTCCCATCCTTCACCCTCAAGTAGACCCCAGTGTCTGTTCTCTTTAAAGCTAACAAATTTACTGATACATTTGGCTTCTTATGGGCCATTGTCCTTGAGCACTTTCAACACTCATTGAACATTTACTGTGTGCCCAACATTCTGACATGCACTTTACATGCATTTTCTTATTTAGTCTTCATAACTCCATGCAGTAAGCATTGCTGACATCCCTGTTTCCTAGTTTAATAAAATGAGGCATGGAAGAAGCAAGGACAAAATTCACAGCTACTGAAAAGTGAGACTGTGATTCAAATGCAGAGTGTCTGACCCCGGAGCCCAAGCTCATGGGTACCCCTATGTCATGCTGAATTTTTGCTAGTCTTCCCTCTGGCAGAATTTGCATGACAGGAGTAAGAATTTTAACTACAGAGGGTCCTGGCATATTTTCGTTATTACCAACTAAATGTAACTGGCATCATAGTGTTGTTCATCACAGTTTCCATCTACCATAACATCTGCCAATGTGCTGCCATACCATTGGCCTAAACATTGACACAAAGAGAGAAGTCAGATCACAGAGGTAACCTGTCTTGATTTTCAAATAGGTAAACTCTGGCAAACAATATATTTTTGCACTCAACACTGATTCCGATTCCAAAAATTCCTGGAACTGGCAAGAAGATGGCAGAAGCAAAATGTAAACATTGTCAGTGCTTGTAACAAATGATAGTTAATAAAACCTGAAAAGATTATAGCTCAGAAACTGATTTCTTGTGTTTCCCGTTATTTAATAATTTATTATACGAAATCCATTGACCTTTCCATGGCTCTTTTTTTTGAGGAAGAGAGAAACCTGGAACGTTAATTATGGCTTAGCTATTTTATTAAGCAGCATTAGCATACAAATAGGACATCAATAACCAATTACAATCTTCATCTTGGGAAAGCAGGTCTCCTCCATCCCCTCTGTGAGTGCTAACTCAGCCACTTAAAGGTCTTGGGCACTTCATGATGATGGCATTCAAGGCTCTTCTCAATCAACCCCCAGGTGGTCTCTCTAACCTGACACCCTGCCCCTCCCCTCTGCATGCTGCTTTCTAGCCAAGCAGGGGTCTACCTGCTGCACTCCAAGCAGAGCCTATGCCCATCGGCCTGTGTTTCTTATCTCCTGCCAATCCTGGCCACCCAATCTCTGACTCTTTAATTCCTCAATTCTGTGCAGTCACCTCCCATTCTTCATTTATTCAGCAGATGCTGAGGGGATACTAGCTAAATACCAATCACTGAGTGACTCAGGGGAAACACCAGGAGCAAAGCAGACATGATTCCTCCCTGCCTGAGGCCTACAGGCTAGTGCAGGGGTCAATAAACTTTCTCTCTAAAGGGCCAGATAGTAAATATTTTGGGCTCTGCCTAACACAGTGTCTGTTGCAGCTCCTCAATTCTGCCTTTGTAGTGGGAAAGCAGCCACTGACATGACACAAATGGATGGAAATGGCTGTGCTCCAATGACACTTTGTTTATACAAAAATAGGCAGTAGTCTGGACTTGGTCTATAGGCCACAGTTTGCTGACCCCTGGTTTAGAGCATTGAACTCTGAAATTGAAGAGGGCTAGGTTAGAAATTCGAAATCCAGCTACTCCACCTATCATCATGTCGTCTTCAGCAAGTTTCTCTGCACCTCAGTGTCTTCATCTGTAAAAAGGAGAAAATGAAGTATACACCAGGCTCTGTTTTCCCAGTGAAATCCATCCCGTGGTTCCCATGAGTCATATCCAGACTTTTCACCATGACCTGGAGAGGCCTTCAATGATCTTCCTCCCACTTACCTCTTCTTTTTTTTTTTGTTTTGAGACGGAGTCTCACTCTGTCGTCCAGGCTGGAGTGCAGTGGCGTGATCTTGGCTCACTGCAACCTCCACTTCCCAGGTTCAAGTGATTCTCCTGCCTCAGCCTCCCGAGTAGCTGGGACTACAGGCACACACCACCGTGTTGGGCTGATTTTTGTATTTTTAGTAGAGATGGGGTTTCACCATGTTGGCCAGGCTGGTCTCGACCTCCTGACCTCAGACGATCCGCCCACCTCGGCCTCCTAAAATGCTGGGATTACAGGTGTAATCCCCTGTAGGATTACAGTGGCCCCACTTACTCTTCTACCCCTTCGTTACTGGTTCTTGAGCCCCTGACTCCATTTCTGTGGTGCTGATCTTCCTTCCCACCCCAGGGCCATTGTGGATGCAGCACCAGCTCCTGGGATTGCCCTCCTGCTGTGGTCACATGTCAGCTCCTATCCTTCAGGGTCCAATTTCAAGTGCAGTTCCCTTCAAGAGGCTTTCTGTGACCATCCGGTCTATATTCACCCACACACACATGGAGGAACAGCCACCAGTCCTTCCCCATCTTCACTCCTTGTTTGTTTCTTTGGTAGCATTTACGCCAATTTGTATTTGTTTGTTTAACTCTTCATTTTATGTCCCTCGACTAAATTATCCGTCCCATGAGTGCATGGACTTCACTGTACCTCTAGCATCCAGCCCAGTGTTGGCATGAACTGATTAATCAATGAAAGAATATTTGTGTCATTAGTAAGTCCATCAATAAATGATGGCAGGTGAATGCGTCTCAATTTAAAAAGCAGCATGGTGTTTTTTCTCTTCCACAGTTTCATCAAGCATGGTGGACCAATGCCTCATGTCTCTTCGTTTCCTCTGGCACTAATTCCATCTTAGAGCTGGTTACATTTTGATTTCTGAAATGATTAAATCGTTGACATGTAGCATTTAATTTGAGTATGTCCCAAATACCCTACGCTGAGATACCCCTAGGGTTTCTAGGGTTCCCTTCTTCTTATTCCTGGTGAGTTTTCTTCTTTCTCTGAAGAACCCGTTCAGACAAAAGACAGCAAGACCAAGGTATGAAAAATTGACCAGGGGTTCTGGTCTCAGCTCCCTCAGGTTGGCTGTGTGAGCCTAGACAATTCAAGCAACCTCTCTGAACTTGTTTTTTTTTCAATTGCAAATGTAGAAGATGAACAGATTAAGCAACAAAAATCTAATACTCTGGAGCAGTCACCAGCTCTTGAGCCAATGGTGTTAGCAGATACAAGAGAACAAGAAAAAAAATTGAACATACCTGCTTCAAAGGAGCACACCACTTTAAAGCAAGTAATCCAACGTTACCCCCTTTTGTGGAGCTCTCAGCCAGAGTGGACTGGCTTGGGCCAAGCCAGTCCCTGAAATGATTAATTATTGTAACAGCAGAGAGTTAAATGAAGAAGCGACAGATGGCCCATGTGAAATAGTCTAAAATCACCTGCTATGAAATTAATTCCACATCTTGGAGGCTTGGGGCTCAGAACACCATGCAAAAAGTGACTGTTGATAAATTGTGTGTGTTTGTGTGTCAGCCTCTCTGCAAACACCTAAATAATATATGTCGTGTCATGTTTTCTTTCCTCCATCTCCTTTTAATGTATTATCATTTATAGAAAACTGCAGGGAAACGTGAAACATCAATCAAGCCATTAATTCCTGAGATTATGCTAATGAGATGCCTGGAGCGTTTGTTTCCCAGAATAGCTGCTCCTCCCAGCCCCAGGAAGGAGCTCTTGGCTCCCCCCAGCTCAGCCCTCTCTGCTTAGATCAGGAGCCATTGGCACCCAGCGGGGTGCTCCTCTTAAAAGGGCACTGCGACGTCAGCACTGGCACGGGGAGGATTTGCCCAGCCAGACAGCAAAGGCAAGCCACAGATGAAACAGAAAACGTGTGAGACAAAAAGACCAGAGAGATGTGAGAGCTCAGCTAACGAGCTCAGGAGGCCTCTGCCACAGTTATCTGTCCTGCTGGTGAGCACAGTGGAAGAGGAAGACAAAAATGAAATAAAAGCAGTAAGAGCTTTTCGAGGGATGGGGAGATAGGCGTGATGGTTAAAAGGTACAAAAATCCAGTTAGACAGAAGGAAAATCATTGTTTTGTTTTGTTTTAAGTCCTAAAGCACAGCAAGGTAAATATACAGATATTCCTAAATGTACGATAGGGTTATGTCCCAGTAAACACGGAAAGTTGGAAATATCCTAAGTCGAAAGCATTTAATACACTTAACCTACAGAACATTATAACTTCACCTCACCTACCTGAAATGCACTCAGAACACTTCCATTAGCCTATAGTTGAGGACAGTCATCTAATACAAGGCCTATTTTATAATAAAATATTGTATTAAATATCTCACACAATTTATTATATACTGTACTGGCAGTAAAAATAGAATGGGTACTCAAAATATGGTTTCTACTGAGTGCGTATAGCTTTTGCATCATGAGAAAGTCAAAAAAGTTGTTTGTCTCACCTAAGTAGTCAAGAACTGTCTGTAGTTGGTAGTTTGTGTGTAGTATTGAGCATTTCTAAAGTATTCACAGAGTAAATTTCAAATGTTCTCATTACGAAATAATGTTAAGTTCTTGAGGTGATGGATATGTTAACTAGTTGATTTAATTATTCCACACTGTATTCGTAAATTATAACATCACTTTGTGCTCCATAAATTTACACAATTATCAATTGTCAATTTATAATTTTTTTTTAAAAAAAAAAAGATGGTTCATCAGCTGAGATGACAAGCAGAGGCCAGAACAGCCATGATTTCTACTCATGTGGAAGCAAATCAGGGTAATGAGGTTGGTGTCAGAGGAGAAACCTCAATTACAGTAACTACCACTCATGAGGCACTTATTGGCCACTGTACAGCAATGTTGCCTATTATTGCAAGTACTGTCTCCCCCCACCCTCTTATCAGTGAGGCTCAGAAAGGGACTCAAGGTTGCCCAGCTGGTGAAAAACTGTGCTGTGTCGCAAATCCAGGTGCACCAGATTCCAGAGCCTGTGATCATTCTGCTTTGCATATTGTATATGTATATTTAAAAACTGTGCTAATGAAGCTGACAGGGGTTAAAAAGAAAAAAAAATTAAAAAATTAAAAATAAACTGTGCATTTAAATTTACTCTTTGGAAGTCATCCAGAGAAACAGAAAATGAGTTTAGCTGTAGTGTCTTTAACATGCTTCAAAACAAAGTCACAGGCTACGAACAGATAGGATGAGAAAGCTTGTGGTGACAAAGCAGCTCTGTAGCTCGACAGTGGTGCTGGCTGATCAAAACTACATTTATGAAAAAACTGCATAGAACACAGGCACGCGCACGCACACACACACACACAAACCCTGTGGCTTGAACCAATGTCAATTTCCTGACTGTGATGATATTGTTCTATAGCTGTGCAAGATGTTACTACTGGGGGGAGCTGGTGTTGTGTCCTTGGGACCACCTTGCACGTTAGTTTGCAACTTGCTATGAGGATATAATTATTTCAAAGTTAAAAGTTGAGGCCGGGCTCAGTGGCTCACACCTGTAATCCCAGCACTTTGTGAGACCGAGGTGGGCAGATCACCTGAGATCAGGAGTTCGAGATGAGCCTGGGCAACATGATGAAACCCCGTCTCTACTAAAAATACAAAAATTAGCCAGGCATGGTGGCGCACACCTGTAATCCCAGCTACTCTGTAGGCTGAGGCAGGAGAATCTCTTAAACCCAGGAGGTGGAGGTTGCAGTAAGCCAAGATCGCGCCACTGCACCCCAGCCTGGGCAACAAAGTGAGACTCTGTCTCAAAAAAAAAAAAAAAAAAAAATTGAAAGTTGAAAAAAAACCCCAACAACCTCACAGCTAACCCTTCCAAGAGAACTTCTGCCAGAATTCTCAATGGTGTCAGCTTCTATTTATTCCTGCCCCCATTACTGACTCTATTTCCTGGTTATTAGAGGTGCATGGTCTTTGGTGGTAAGAATTACACAAAAAGTTCAAACTATGAAAAAAAAGATGGCAGATTTGACTACTAAATATAATTTCTTACAAAGACATCATAAGCTACATGAAAAGGTAACACATAAACTAGAAAACAATATTTCAAAGCATATAATCAACAGAATATGTATAATACAGAATATATAATCACATATATATACGTGCACATATATATGCATATACATATATATATCCAGAATAATATAAAGAATTCTTTGGCAATCAATAAGAAAACAATATACAACCCAATAAAAAAGTAAGCAAAAAATAGAGAAAGACAATTCACAAAAAAGGAAACGCAATTAGTCAAAAATCACATATAAAGATGTTCATCCTTACTAACCATCTGAGAAATACAAATTAAAAATAATAATGTCATTTCACATCATCAGATTTGCAAAAATTTTAAAGTCAGACAATACCAAAAGTGAATGGATAGGGAAGAACTGGAATTTTCCTAGATTCTAATGGTAGTATGAATTATTGCAACAAGTTGGGGAGCCATTTGGCAGTACCTAGTCAACCTAAAGGTGCGCATACCTTTAAGCCAGCAATTTCTCTCTGAGATGTGTACTCCCAGAGACACTCTCACAAGTGTGCACGAGGATGTGCATGGAGTTTTATGTATAACAGTAAAACACTTGGAAACAAGCTCACTATCTATTCTCAGGTGGTTCTAAATCAAGGCAATTGGATGCCAGGTCTGAGTTCTTCATTTCAGAACCATTCTGCCAGGTTGCAGCTTAGTTTAAGAACAAACTTTCTGACAGAAATGGCATCCCACAAAGCACTCAACTGGAACCAGGCTGCGGGAGGTTAAGCTGAGGCTCTAGTTCCTCTGATGCCAGCTCTAGGAAATTCAAACACATTTGTGGAGTGTAAACACACTTTCATGTTCTAAAGGCCACTGTCAAGACAGGGAACTGGGCTCAATCAGTGACCGCACAAGAATGTGGGCATGCTGAATCCCTGCGAAGCCAAGAATGCACCGGGGATTGGAAGAGATAAGCCAGAGACCAGCAAGATTCAAAGCAGATGAGCAGGCCACCTTTTGTTGGCATCTATGAAGAGAGAGTGGAAAAGGCAGCTTGTGGGGGGCATGATGGAAAGATGTGAAGTGGGGGTCTCTTGGTCAGAGGAAGCTGTTGAGCAGCCATTGAATGGGAAGCAGGGTGAAGGAGCCACGTATTGGCCAGCCTTTGTGCTATGCTCTGTGCTAGGTGCTTTCTACAGGTTATCTCAGTTAAAGTTGAAAGCATTCTTCTCCCTCCTTAATAGAGATGTGGAGATCAAGTTCCAGGGAGGCTGAACTATTTGCAGGCTATAACTGACGGATCCAGGTTTCAAACCCAGGCCAGTTGGATCCCAGAAGTCACTTTTCTCCCCTGTGGCTTCACTGCCTTTACTTAAAGTGACCGCTTTTGTAAGCAATCCATTCATTTGCACTTTAATTCCCGATATTTTGAACCATGAACCCAGATTCAGAGCTGGCTGGGAAGACCCACTCATTGAGTTTGGAAGTACTGATTAGCAGGTGGTTAGAGTGTGGCCTTTAGAGACAGGTGGACAGAGTTGTCTTTGGAAAGGCCCTTAAACTCCCTGAACCTCAATTTCTATGCTGTGAACTAAGGATAAAAGAAATAGTACTTACCTGGTGGGAATAAGATGATATAGACAGCGGGCTCCACCTGGTTCCTGGCACCAAACAAAAGCTTGGTGAGAGCTAAATATAAGTACTTTATGTGTATTTGTTTTTTTTCTCCAACTAGATTCTAAGTTCATGTTTGGAGACACACTAACTTCTATTTATTTTGCATGCCCTACAATGCCTAGAACAATACTTTCTATCTGTAAGGGTTAGTCCAGAGTGCACTGCACAAAAACAGTCTTTACTAGACTGCAAAATCTGAAAGAATCCTTTCTATACCCTAAGGCTTTACATTGAGAAACTGGTGTTGTTTTAAAACCTCAGCCCCTGCTAGGCTTGGTGGCTCATACCTGTAATCCCAGCACTTTGGGAAGCCAAGGCGGGCAGATCACTTGAGCTCAAAAGTTTGAGACCAGCCTGGGCATACTGGCAAGATCCCCATCTCTACAAAAAAAATTACAAAAATTAGCTGGGCATGGTGGCACATGCCTGTAGTCCCAGTTACTTGGGAGGCTGAGGTGGGAGGATGGCTTGAGCCCAGGAGACAGAGGTTTCAGTGAGCCAAGATCATGCCACTGCACTCCACCCTGGTTGACAGAACCAGACTCTGTCTCAGAAGAATGAAAGAAAAAGAGAGAGAGAGAAACAGAGAGAGAGAGAAAGAAAAAAGAAAAGAGAGAAGAAAGAAAATCTCACACCCAGAACAAATATTAGAGCAGGCTAAACTGGCAGGGTTGTCACAAAAGCTGGAAATTGTATCCGTTTCAGAACTAGAAGGCACATCTCTTAGATGCTGCTTGGTTTAAGGTGGTTGATTCACTTTGTGTGTATCTAGAAAAGACTTCTGCCTGTTCCTAAATTGTGAAACCCTAGTAACTCGTTCTATTATAATAAGGAAAACATCCCTTTAAACACACCTTAAAATGTAGGGAATGAAGTCTCTCAAGAAACAAGCTGCAAAGGTGGCTGGTCTTCTGAATATCTTATCACAGTTAAAGTAGGAACATCAGACAGAAAAATGCCAGTGACCAAAGTACCCCATATTTGTCTAGCTCCAGCACATATACGGTTTCATTTGACCTTAACCATAACACCGGAGAAATGTCCTTGTTAGACCCATCGTACAAAAGAGGAAACTAAGATCCAGAAGACTAGTCAAATAACAGATACAGAACCACAAAAAGGAAGAGGCAGAATGTAAGCCCAAGACTACCAACTCCAAACCAAAGTTCATACCTTAGGTGTTATTGCAGCAACTTTATTTCTGAAAGCACCTTTCCTATCTGACCGACGATTGATCTCTTTCATATTGTAAAGTTCAAACAGCTAATTTATCAATGAGTTTCACCTTCCTCTTAATCCCCAACAATTACTTTTTCACTTTGGGTTGGCGGGGTTCAGCCCTGCTGAACAAGATGCTTCCTTCTTAGAATACCCCAGGTGAGAGCAGGCACACGGGATTCTCGTGTGAGCACTAATGTTAATCTGCTACACGGCTCACTTCTCCCTGCCTTTATCATCTCCAAATCGGAACCCCAACCCTTAACCATACCATCGGGTTGTTCTCAAACTGAGATAACAGACATAAGTCATTTTGAAAACGTTACAAGCACTATACAAATGTAGGCATCATTATTACCAAGGCAATAAAAGTATTTATCACACTGATAAATGGTGAGTATGTTTCTGTGCCTCTGTAGTTTCCAAGAACAGGAGTAATTGCAGTTGGCAGATAAATCCAAGGCAGTTAACCAAACCCAGGAGTATTTGGGAAAAGGCACAAGTTGGCCAAATCCAAATGATTTTAAAACACGCTATAAAAATAAACAAGTATTCCAATATAATAATTCCAGTTTCGTCAATCCTTCCTGCTACTTGGAGCAATGTAGCTTGTTATGAAGCAATTACCCTTTGGATCCTTTTAATCCCAGCTGATCATTTTCAGCTTTAATTGTCTTGCTGGGTTTGAATGTTGTTGTAGTTCAAATGTAGCCAATTAGCATGGCCTCAGCCACCTTGTGATATTTTGCATGCAAAGAACACTCCTTAAAATCCCTGGTGGACTTTGTCCCAGATTGTACCAGTAGCCACAGTTCACACCCTCAGGTGCTTATTAAGTAGAAAAAAAGGCCAGCAGAGGCTCAGAGAAAGCCCTGGAAGCAGCAAGCCAAGTTCACCAGGGCTCAAAAACAAAGATCAAGTTTTCATAATGCTGGTGTCAAAATGTGGTCCAGGATGCCTGGACAGAGAGGGTAGCCCTCATCACTGGAGATGATTAAGCAGATGGCACAGGAGAGATTCACACATCTGGATGGGGCTGGGAGGGGCAGCGAGGTGGCCTTTGTGATCACAAAGATTTCTCTCTCCCCCCCTTGGGTGTCTGTGATGCGAGGTGATTTGGTAAGCGACAAAACAAATACAGCTTGGCATTTAGGATGTATAGGCTCACATCCTGGTTCTGCAATTTACTGGCTGAAAACTGTAAGAGAATCTTACAGGTGTGAACAGGGAACATCGTTTCAGGGCTTATTCTATTATGATTGGAATGATTATTACTTAACTCTTCTGTGGCTTAATTTCCTCATCTGGAAAATGGTGATCATAGTAGCATTGGCTTCATGCAGTTGTTCTGAATATTAAATGAGCAAGCACATGGAATACACTAAGCACAGTGTCTGCTATACATAACTGTTCAGTTCCTTCAGCCGCCTCGTCACCATCATCTTTATTCTCTCTTTCGGTGGTGTCATAACTACTGTTCCTGACTCCTTCCTCGCCCACAGCCATCTGCCCTCCACACTGCTGCTGGATGCTCTTCCTAAATATAAGTCCAATCCTGTTCTGCATTTGAATAAAACCCTTCCACCATTCCCCAACACCTACCGGATAGAGCCCGTGTTCTTTAGGCTGGTAGTTAACACCCTTCAAAGCCAGCGCCTTTCTCTTCTCCTCATCAATGTCCCCCGTCCCTGCCTCCCTTGTAGCCTCTACCACAAACCACTCATTGTTCACCAGGTCCCTAGTGCCTGCCACACAGTAAGTGCTTAATGCGTTTTAGCTATATGTTTCCTAAGTAAATGACTTTGGCATATCTTAGATACTTAGGGAGGGAGGTTAAAGTATTGGGAAAAGTAGGAGTCCAAATTTCAATTCTGCTGCGTGGTAACAAGTTCCCTAACCCCTCTGGAATGGTTACTACTGAGTGTCAGCTTGATTGGATTGAAAGATACAGAGTATTGATCCTGATTGTGTCTGTGAGGGTGTTGCCAAAGGAGATTAACATTTGAGTCAGTGGGTTGGGAAAGGCAGACCCACCCTTAATCTGGGCACAATCTAATCAGCTGCCAGCACAGCTAGAATATAACCAGGCAGAAAAATGTGAAAAGAGAGACTGGCCTAGCCTCCCAGCCTACATCTTTCTCCCGTGCTGGATGCTTCCTGCCCTCGAACATCAGACTCCAAGTCCTTTTGCCTTGGGACTCAGACTGGCTCTCCTTGCTCCATAGCCTGCAGACAGCCTATTATGGGACCTTGTGATCATGTGAGTTAATACTTAATAAACTCCCTTTATATACAGCTATTCCATTAGTTCTGTCCCTCTAGAGAACCCTGACTAATACACCCTCTGAGCTTCCATTTCCTCATTAGTAATAGATGGGAATAATATTTCCTTGTTGCAGAGTAATGGTGAAGAGTAAGTGGGATAGCCTATGTGTGGATTCCTGCCATGATGCCTTGCACACAGTGGGAGCTCCAGAGCCACCAGAGGCCCTCCTTTCACCTTAATCCTCCCTGAAACCAGAAAGCAGAGCAATACAAGGCAAGACTTTAACTCCCAGAGCAAGCTTCACTTGGCAACAGATTTGGCTGTAAGAATAGTCATTGGGCAATTACTAGGCACTAGACAATGTGCTTGTTTCTAGGGAGGCAAGTGAGGAACACAGACCAACTTCTCACTCTCAGGGAGTTTAGTCTCACTTAAAAGTCCCACTGCATCTCAAACCAGTCTTGAAGGTGATCACTTAAGGAGGCAGGTTATAAGGGGAGGAGAAAATGCTATCAGCCAGGAGGCTCTGAAAGGTCATGAGTTTCAGAATTTAGCCCTTCTCCAAATTTGGAGAAATTAGTCAACCCTGACACTTTTCTTCTCAAAAGGCAGTGCAGTAGACGTGAAGCATGTAAGTGACCCCCTCAGGGACCTCTTGATAAGTGGAGAAAATAAAGCCACATTAACAGAGACCATCTTTCATTTCCCCATATAAAAATGCGAATACCCTAGGATAGTCAAAAAAACAAAAACAAAAACAAAACACTCTGTAAAAACAGAACAAAGTTGAAGGACTAATATTACCTGATCCTGAGAATTATTATAAAGCTTCAGAATCAAAACACTGTGGTATTTGTATAAAGACAGACAAATAGATCGATGGAAGAGAATACAGGGTCTAGCAATAAACTCATGAATATTGACAGTGAACTTTTACAAAGGTGCAGCGGAAAAAAGGATTGACTTTGCAACAAATGATGCTAGAACAATTGGATCTTGATATGCAAAAAAAAAAAAAAGGAAACTTGGATCCATACTTCATATCACAAACAGAAATTACCTTAAGATAGATTATAAACCTAAACATGAAACCTTAAACTCTAAAACCTATAGAAGAAAACAGGAGAAAATCTTCATGACCTTGGGTTTTGCAAAGATTTCTTACATATGATGCAAAAGCATTAAAAAAATAGAATGATAAATGGAACTTCATCAAAATTAGCACTTCTTCTGGGCACAGTGGCTCAGGCCTGTAATCCCAGCACTTTAGGAGGCCAGTCAGGTGGATCACTTCAGACCAGGAGTTTAAGACCAGCCTGGCCAACATGGCAAAACTCTGTCTCTACTAAAAATGCAAACATTAGCTGGGTATGCCTATGCATGCCTGTAGTCTCAGCTAGTCAGGAGGCTGAGGCACAAGAATCACTTGGACCCAGGAGGCGGAGGTTGCAGTGAGCTGAGATCAAACCACTGCACTCCAGCCTGGGCAACACAGCAATATTCTGTCTGAAGAAAAAAAAATCCACTTATCAAAAGATACAAGCACAGACTGAAAGAAAGTCCTTATAAGTGACATATCTGAAAAAGAATTTATATCTAGAATATATGAAGAATCCTCAAAACTCAACAATAAGAAAATTAAAAACTCAATAAGAAATTGGCAAAAGATTTAAACATGATTTAAACAGATACTCCAACAAAGAAGATATGTGGATGGCACATAAGCACATAAAATATGCTAGGCCAGGTGCAGTGACTCACACCTGTAATCTCAGCACTTTGGGAGGCCAAGGTGGGCAAATTGCTTAAGCTCAGGAGTTTGAGACTAGCTTGGGCAACATGACAAAACCTCGTCTCTACGAAAAATACAAAAAATACTACAGGCATGATGGCACGTGCCTGTAGTCTCAGCTACACAAGAGGTTAAGGTAGCAGGATCTCCTGAGCCTGGGAGGTCAAGGTCACAGTGAGTCAAGACTGTACCACTGCACTCCAGCCTCATGACAGAGTAAGACTGTCTCAGAAAAAAAAAAAAAAAAAAAAGATCAACATCATTAATCATTAGGAAATGTACGCTAACACAGTGAGATGCCGCTACACATGTATTAGGAAAGCTAAAATTAAAAAGTCTGACCACACAAAGTGTTGGCAAAGATGTGAAGCAATTAGACCTTTCATATGCTGCTGCTGGGAATGTTAAAACGGCACCATCACTTTGGAAAACAGTTTGGCAGCTTCTTTAAAAGTTAAATACATACCTACCTCATCATCCAGCCATTCTTCTAGATATTTACAAACAAAAAAAAAAACTGAAAACAGGGCCAGACATGGTGGCTCATACCTGTAATACCAGCACTTTGGGAGGCCTAGGCAGGTGGATCACCTGTCAGGAGTTTGAGACCACCGTGGCTAACATGATGAAACCCCGTCTCTACTAAAAATACAAAAATTAGCTGGGCATGGTGGTGCACATCAGTAATCTCAGCTACTCAAGAGGCTGAGACAGGAAAGTCACTGAAACCCCTGGAGGCGGAGGTTGCAGTAAGCTGAGATCATGCCACTGCACTTCAGCCTGGGTGATAAGAGCAAGACTCCATCTTAAAAAATAAATAAATAATTTTTTTAAAAAAGGAAACATATGTCCATGCAAAGACTTCTACGTGAATGCTTATAGACACTTTATTTGTCATATTCAAAAGCTAAAAGCAACCACATGTCTATCCCTGGGCGAATGAATAAATGTATTGTGGTATATCCGTACAATGAAATACCAACTCAGAAATAAGTAAAAGAGCCAGACAAAAAGAGTTCACTCTGTATGCTTCCATTTATATAAGATTTTACAAAATGTAAACTAACATATGGTGGGGAAAGGGTGCAACAACAGAAGTCACTACAAAGGGACACAGGATGCTTTTGGGGGTGATAGATATGTTCATTATCTTGATTGTGGGGATGGATTTGTGGATGTATACATATGTAAAAACACCAAATCGTATACTTTAAATACATCAGCTTACTGTGTGTCCATTATACCTCAGTAAAGTTGATTTAAAAAGAAAGATGCGGCCGGGCATGGTGGCTCAACACTGTAATCCCAGCACTTTGGGAGGCCGAGGTGGGCAGATCACCTGAGGTAGGGAGTTCAAGACCAGCCTGACCAACATGGAGAAACCCCGTCTCTACTAAAAATACAAAATTAGCTGAGAGTGGTGGTGGGTGCCTGTAATCCCAGCTACTCGGGAGGCTGAGGCAGGAGAATTGCTTGAACCTGGGAGGTGGAGGTTGTGGTGAGCCGAGATCACGCCATTGCACTCCAGCCTGGGCAACAAGAGTGAAACTCTGTCTTAAAAAACATATATATATGAAGAAAGATTCCTGATATACTGAAAAAGTGTCAAGATGGGGGAAAAAAAACAAAAGCAATGAGATACAGAAGAAGAGATATAGGGGAGACTTGAATCCCAAGTGCTCTAAGAGCAGACAAATGCTGCTAATCACTTTATCACCCAAAACTGGACTTCAGTCTACCAGAGTTCAGGCAGATGGAAAGTAGACTGAGAAAATGCTGAAAACAAATTGATGTGCTATAAACTGGAATAAAATTCAAAGTATTTGCACAAAGCTGTTCTACACAGAGAGCTGTATGATTCTAAAAATTTAATTACTTACTTAGAAAATAACACACAATACACACACACACACACACACACACACACACACACACACACACGAGCTTAAAAACAGTGCCAGTAACTGGTATGACAAGAGATGAATACATTTAAAACCAACCCAATGTCTGGCTGGAAGCAGTCATTCTGAGCTTCTGACATTGCTAATACATCAGACAGAGGCAGCAGGAAGAGTTCCACTGAGGAAGATTCAAATGCAATTTGAGAAACCAAACAGGTACCAGTGAGTTAAGGGATCAGCCCTTGAGAATGAGGGGAGATGAGACCCAGCAGAGGGAAGGCAGGGAAGAAGGCAAAGCAGGTGTTAATTTCACTACCTAGCAGCAAGGCTGAAACTCTTGACAGCTACAATTGCCAATAGGCAGGCATCAGCTTCTAATGTCTGCTCTTAGTTGTTACAGATCAACAGGTCTGAAAGGGTTCATCTGGTGTTCCCCTCATTTTTTAAATTTTTATTTCAATAGTTTTTGGGGTATAAGTGGTTTGGGATTACATGAATAAGTTCTTTAGTGGTGATTTCTGAGATTTTGATATGCCCATCACCCGAGCAGTGTACACTATACCCAATATGTAGTCTTTTATCCTTCATCCCCCTTCCAACTTCCCTTCTACTGAGTCCCCAAAGTCCATTATATCATTGTAATGCCTTTGCATTCTCATAGCTTAGCTCTCACTTATAAGTGAGAACATATGATACTTGGTTTTCCATTCCTGAGTTACTCACTTAGAATAAGGGCCTCCAGCTTCATCCAAGTTGCTGCAAAAGACATTATTTCATTCCTTTTTATGGCTGAGTAGTATTACACAGTGTAGATATGCCACATTTTCTTTATCCACTCATTGGTTAATGGGCATTTAGATTGGTACCATATTTTTGCAAATGCAAACTATGCTGCTATAAACATGCATGTACATGTGTCTTTTTAATATAATGACTTCTTTTCCTTTGGATAGATACGCAGTAGTGGGATTGCTGGATCAAATGGTAGTTCTACTTTTAGCTCTTTAAGGAGTCTCCATGCTGTTTACCATAGTGGTTGTACTGGTTTACATCTCCACCCGCAGCATAAAAGTGTTCCCTTCTTACCACATCCGTGCCAATGTCTATTGTCTAGGTGTGACAAACGAGTTCACTAAAGTCTCAGGATATAAAATCAATGTACACAAATAAGTAGCACTTCTCTACATGAACAATGATCAAGCTGAGAATCAAATAAAGAACTCAATTCCCTTTATAATAGGTACAACAAATAAAATAAAATACTTAGGAATAGAGTTAACCAAGGAGGTGAATGACTGCTACAAGGAAAACTGCAAAACACTGCTGAAAGAAATCATAGACAACACAAATGGAAACACATCCCATGTTCATGGACGGGTAGAATCAATATTGTGAAGATGATCATACTGCCCAAAGCAATCTACAAATTCAATGCAATTCCCATCAAAATAACATCATCATTCTTCACAGAAATAGAAAAAAAATCCTAAAATTCATATGGCATCTAAAAAGTCCCCCTTGTTTTGAAAACAAAGAAACTTAAGGTTTGAGGGTTAAGGTGGTCTTCAAAAAAAAAAATCTAGCTTTTCATGACTGTGTACCACAGCAACACCCTCTTTGAAAAGACTCTGAGAGTCAGCTCAGGCGATGCTAGAGCCAGACTCCCTGGTCTTACATCCTGTGTCTTGTGTTTCCCCTACTCCTGAAAGTGCAACTTTGGGCACGTTATTAAGCATCTCACTTTCTTTAACTGTAAAATGAGGCAACTAATAATACCACCTCATTAGGGTTGTTAAGTCAGGGTTCTCTGGAGAAATAGAACCCATAGGGCATGTGTGTGTGTGTGTGTGCGTGCACACACACGCGTGCACACATGCACACAAAGAGAAAGTTTTAAGAAACTGTCCCACACAATTGTGGAGGCTGAGAAGTCCAAAATCTGTAGGGTAGGTGGGCTGGCTGAAGACCCAGAGAAGAATCACAGTTCCAGTCCAAAAGCTGTCTGATGGCAGAATTCCTTCTTCCTTCAGGGAAATCAGTCTTTTTCTATAAAGGCCTTCAACTGATTGAATGAGACCCACCCATGTTATTGAGGGTTATCCACTTTACACAACCTCCACTGATTTAAATGTCTACCTCATCTAAATGAGAGAGGTGTAGAATAATGTTTCACCAAATATCCAGGTCTCATGGCCTAGTCAAATTGAACACATAAAATTAACAGTCACGGGGTGCTCTGAGACTAGCCCTCATCTTCTCCCTTCTCACCACTTCTTCCTAACAAATTTCACAACAGTTCTCAGGCTTAGATTAAGCATGAGTGAAATTGTCTTCTCCTCCTTCTCCCTCTCCTACCCTCTCATATTTCCTCTTTGAAGAAACCCTGGCACCTCATCTTCCCCCTCCCCTTGTTTGCTCATCACAGATTCCCAAATAGATCTGTCCTCTCTAACAGTATCCTGTGCTCTAAACTAGTGGCTTCCAACTTTGGCTGCACATGAGAATCATCTGGGGGGAGCTTTTTTTTTTATTTTTGAGATGGAGTCTTGCTCTGTTGCCAGGCTGGAGTGAGGTGGTGCAATTATTCTAAGATGCTCATTCCTCACATTTTAACATCTCTGACACTGGAATGCCACTTGCAATTCATAGTTTCCTACAACTATAATTGGTAGCATTTAAAAAATTATCTTATTGATACATAAAGAAGCATCACACAATCTATTGTGCCTTACATGAAGTAGAATGTGGTCTATTCAAAAGGTCCAGGGCAACTCTAGGCATGATTGGTACTTAACAAAAAGTTAGTTCTTTTAAGTTTTTGTTTTTGTCTTTTGTTTTTGAGATGGAGTCTCACCCTGTCACCCAGGCTGGAGTGCAATGGCGCGGTCTCAGCTCACTGCAAACTCTGCCTCTGGGTTCAAGCGATTCTCTTGCCTTAGCCTCCTGAGTAGCTGGGATTACAGGCACGCGCCACCACATCTTGCTAGTTCTTTGTATCTTTAGTAGAGACGGGGTTTCACTACATTGGCCAGGCTGGTCTGGATCTCCTGACCTCGTGATCTGCCTGCCTCGGCCTCCCAAAGTGCTGGGATTACAGGAGTGAGCCACCACATCTGGCCCTGGGGAGCTTTATAACATCTCCAAAACCAGGCCACACTACAGAGAAATGAAATCAGAATTTCTGCAGGTAAGTCCCATGCATTTAGTTTTAACTCCTTGGGCAATTCCAACTTTCCAATATGCAGTCACATTTGTCCTGTGCCCTTTTCCTTCAAAGACTAATCCCACAGCAGAAGGTCAGATATCTCATCTGCTTCTATCTAGTGATGGATTACATGTTTGTTTTCATGAGTTTCCTATAGAAACAACACCCTGATTAATACACAATACATGACCCAAAAAATGAGAATCCCAGACAGACCAGTGGGTGAAGGGTGTAATTTAGGATACTATCCCGCGAATTACATCTCACAGAAGCTCACCTGCTTGAAGGATCAGCCTTACTCATGCCCTATGTGCTCATGAAAGAGTGCATATTCATGAGCCATGGATGTCAATGGCAGCAAGAAAGAAGAGAAAATAAACACACTCAACCAGTCGGATCTGCTGAGTCAATCATGGAATCCAATGAGACACGAATTCAAATGCCGCAAGTAAACACCAGTAGTAATAAGAACCATCGTTAATTGGGTGTCTTGCCAGACCTAATGCTGTAGTGCTCAGTTTTCTTTGCCTCTAATCTTCACTACTCTGAAGTGCAGATCTTTTTATCTCCAAGTTAAAGAAGGAGGCCAGGCTGAGAAATGATAAGCAATGTGGCCAAGGCTGCCCAATTAAGAAAACCAGAATATGATTTGCAAAGCATCTTCACATCCATTATCTCATTTGACTCCAAAACGTCCTGACACACCTCTCTTTTCTCAGCAAGTTGTACTTCTTTTGTCTGCCATTTTACTAAGTATTCATTTCACAGACAAAAACCCAAGATGCCAATACATTCTGAAATGACTTATCCCAAGCCACATACCCGGTTAGTCATGCAACCAGGACTCATGCCTCAACTTGCCCATGCCAGCTCTCCTTCGCTTTCATTTATATATAGGGCTGTCTTTCTATCCACTGACTTTTCAGAAAGTTGAACTGCTGTTATCTGGCTCTTTATTAAGGTATATTAATATTGAAGTAACTTCACCAACTTAAAATAACTCCCCTAACTTTCTTCACAATTCCTCCTCCCCCCATCCAAAGGATGGGCTGGCTCCCAACGACTACATTCGTACAATATGATACCCCAACCCTCTTCAGTTAATTAAACCAACAATGGATCTCTGACTGAGAATGAACCAATCAGATTCTTTTCCTCTGCAATTTGAAATTACACTGAGTGTTTCTTTCTCCATGTGGTCCTAGCTGTAACACATGACTTGGATGCCTAGTAGTAGGTAACAATAACCATTGGTAATGCTTGCCAAATGTGCCCAGCTCCCTGCCTTCTAGGAACCTGGTAGGATTGTCCTGCCTGGGCCCTTTGTGAATAGTTCAGTCTATGTGCCTAGTGCCTGCCAGTCACTAGGTTTGTGAGCAGATGTGACCTGTGCACTTCTAGACAGGATCACATCAAAAGTTTTCTCTGTCTCTCTACCTCTCTCTTACGAATCAGAAATCTTTGAGGTGGTGGCTGCTTTATCAGCCTGGGTCTCAGAGTCGTGAAGCAGGAACTGGAGTTCCCCTGCCAACCCACATTGGACATGTAATGTGAGCCAAGAATAAAATCCTTATTTTTGTAAACCACTAAGGTTTGGGGGTTGTTCGTTAATATGGCATAGTCTAGCTCATTCTGACTGATAGTTGTAGAAATAATAGTAAACCCTTATAAACCAATAGGGTTTGGGAATTATAACTACAGCATAGTCTAGACCAAGAATTGGCAAAGTATAGTCTGTGGGCTATAGTTTTATAAACTACATGCAATGGAATGCAGCCATGCTCGTTCCTATTTACACATTGACTATGGTTGCCTGCATGCTACAAGGGCAGAATTGAGTAATTGCAAGAGAGACCTAAGAGCATAAAAAGCCTAAATTATTTTCTATCTGGCTCTGCATAAAAAAAGTTTGCTGACCACTGACTTAGACCATTCTGACTGATTACAACAAAAATAAGAACAATAGCAAATACTTGTGTAGTGACCATTCTAGGCATTTGACACACATTAACTCACTCAATCCACACATCAACCAGTTTCCCTGCCTCCGTGCTTGCATCCGCTGCCTTCCTTAAATCCATTTTTCACATAAGCAAATCAAACCAAGTGAGTTTTCAATCATTCAGTGTCTCTTCATCACTTATCTCCTACCTGTTATAAAAATTTATCCAAATTCCTTATCTCTGTGCCTCAGTTTCCTCATCTGTAAAGCAGGGGCGATATCAGTAACTACCTCATAGACTTATTAGAAAAATTGAATGAGCTCATTCAGCCCTGACACTTGGCACAGTTCAATGCCTGGCACTTAGTACTATAAGTACGATCATGAACCACATGATGTTTTGGTCAACAGACTGCATACACAACAGTGGTGCCATAAGATAATAACAGAGCTGCAAAGTTTCTGTTGCCTAGTGATTTGTTACAACTGCCTACAGTATTCAGTCAGTAACATGCTCTACAGGTTTGTAGCCTGGGAGCAATGGGCTTTACCCTACAGCCTAGGTGCGTATTAAGCTATCCCATCTAGGTTTTTGTAAGTACCCTACTCTCTACGAGGTTCCCACAAAGACAGAATTGCTTGACAACACATTTCTCAGAACAAGTCCCCATGATCAAGCAACACATGACTGTATTACTCTTAATAACAAAACCCACAACACTGAAAGCAGACTCAAGTATCTTTATTTAACAAATGAGAATATTCATACTGCCACATAATACCAATACATAGTAGGGACTCAATGAGTATGCATGCAATAAATGAATGTTTCTTGTTCTCATACCTGACACTGACTTCTAGGATCCTTGCTAGGGGACATCCCCTACCACACCCCAAAATAAATACTACCTGCATTTTTCTCCTGCCAGATAAATGCAGTTGAGTGATTCCTTCTGAAGCCATTTCTAATACCATGACGCTATAAAGAAGGTCATTCAGCAAACTAGATGGTAGTTACTGTGTCACTTTTAAACAATGGATATTTTGAATTCCAGAGAAAATGGTGTTAGGTAAAGAGTGACATTTTATTATAAATTTCCTCCAATGTCATCTCATTTACTTTTAAATTGAACTTAGGTGTGTTTGAACTTGTCCCTGAACTCTTAGTCACTCAAAACACAAACACACAGTTTGTAAAGAAAGTTTGCCTCCTGTGAGACCCACAAGGCAGAGGGATTTGATGGGTTTTTTTTCTTTCAAATCTGTAATGAAGATTTTTCTTCAGACACACTTTCTCCTTCTGTCACTGCTTAGCTCTGCTTAGCTGTACCTACATTCTCTCTGAAATGTTACCTCTGTGAATCTCATCTTGCCCATTTGTTTAAGCTGCTGTCTTTTAAGAAGCGTTTCAAGGGAAATACACCCTGAACAGCATCATCAAGCCTCAGTAATGTCTTCTGATTACACATGTTTGATCTGCGTGAATTCCATTTCTCTCTTGCCTTCTTCATCCTAGTAACTACAGCCTCTCCCCGATAACATCAACACACCAGCCTGATAGGGCCAGCAGGAGAAACACCATTCCAGGGATGAGACAGAAAATCTCTAATTGTTCTGAATTTCATAACAAGTAGCAGGAGAGAGGAGAAAGACAAGAAGACAGGAAGCGCCCTCACTCTCTTTGAACTCCAGGTTGGGGCTTCGCTCAAAACAGAAAGGCTGGCTGAAGAGTATCGCATCATTCCCAGAAGACCAGCCTCTGTTATTGTTATTGTCACTTCTTTTTTTTATGAGACAGAGTCTCACTCTGTCTCCCCAGCTGGAGTGCAGTGGCACGATCTCGGCTCACTGCAACCTCCGCCTCCCGGGTTCATGCCATTCTGCTGCCTCAGCCTTCTGAGTAGCTGGGACTACAGGCACCTGCCACCATGCCCGGCTAATTTTTGTATTTTTAGTGGAGACGGGGTTTCACCATGTTAGCCAGGATGGTCTCGATCTCCTGACCTCATGATCTGCCCACCTCGGCCTCTCAAAGTGTTATTGTTACTTCTAAACCTGCTCTCCTGTATGTTAATTCCCAAAAATCAACCAAGAAGCTAAAATTCTAAAATTCCATATTCTTGATAATCCACCACTTAACTCTGTGCACCGGCCAAAATGATTTATCTGCGAGGTTTCTATTATGAGTTGAACTATGTCCCCCAAAAAGACATGTGAAAGCTCTAACCCCGAGGACCTGAAAATGTGACCTTATTTGGAAATATGGTCTTTGCATACATAATCAAGTTAAGATGTGATTATACTGAATTAGAATAGGCTTTATTCCAATCTGACTTGTGTCCTTATAAGATGAGAAGCAGCGTAGAGACAGATACACAGGGAAGAGGGCCATGTGAAAACAGAGGCAGAGACTGAAACGATGCATCCACAAGCCAAGGAAGGCCAAGGATTGCTCTTTGGCCTTCTGTGAAGGCCAGAAAAGAAAAGGGCAGAAGCTAAGAAAAGGGCATTAAACACATTCACCCCAAAGCCTTCAGAAGGAGCACAGCTGTAGGGCCAACATCTTGATTTTGGGCTTCTACCTTCTAGAACTGTGAGAAAATACATTTTTGATGTTTTAAGCCACCCAGTTTGTGGTACTTTGGTATGGCAGCCCCAGAGAAAGTAATATAGCCTCCAAGCTGCCATCTCCTGCCTCTTTTCCTTCACGTAGGACAATACCTCACCTACATGAGCTCAGCATCTTCTCTCAAGCCTATCCCATATCCTCGGATAAGACATTTGGACTCCTGTAATCTCCGCTTCCCTCAACCTAACACTCTCCACGGTGCATTCTAATTGTCTCTCTCTACCCACAAGACTACATCTCAGTCATCTTTGAATGCTCTGCACAGAGCCCCTTGCTCAGTAGACATACAACCAAAATGGAAAGATGAGAAAAGTGAAGAAAGTGGTCAGATGAAGGAGATGGGTAATGTCTGAAGTCAAATGTGAAAAGGTTCAAACAAAGATATGACAGAAAAAAATATTCATTCTAAGGGTACAAATGACTAAGGCTATAATCTAGTGAAGGAAATGTAGATGATATTGAAAAAAAAACTGAAGCAGGTGGAGTTTGGGAACCAGAGGAATATAGGTTAAGGGAAATTCCATTTCAAAATGCAAAAACAGAGTTGTGGAGGCAAATTAACGCTGGTGAAGATAATAGGTTTGGGATATAGAACACGAGAGGGGAAGCAAAGTCAGCAGAAATAGCAAGGGAACTTTGAATCCTGCAGAAAACAATACTGGCCTGGAGCACTTACCTTCCAGATTCAGCTATGAGCCCATCTTAAAGACAGTACCCTCCATCTGACAAGCATACATAAGGACTAGTTTACCAAACCCCCCACACTCAAACTAGGGGACGCCACTAGGTGCCTCATCCAGGAAGCTTAGTTGGGGAACCTAGGACAGACCTGCTGATACAAGTGATGGTGGGGTTCCGAAATGTCATACCCGTAACCCCACTGGATATATCCCACTGGAATAGCAACGGCGTGAGGTGCACAGTGGTAGGTCAGAAAGAACCTACTATGGATCTAACTACAATGATTTTATTTAGACCTTGCCCACCAGGTGACATAAGGGTCATTATCCCCATTTCACAGATAGGAAGACTGAGGCTCAGTGAAGCTAAGTGACTTTTCTAAGATGACCTAGCTCTAGTGAGTGCTTACCTCATTACGTCTTGCTCTACATGTCCACCCAGTTTGCCTAAGATGACCAATACATGGGAAAGCACTTTGATATTTGTTGAATGGCTTAGAAACAGAAGAAAGTATTCATGCTCAGAACTTGCTAAGGCCAGAGGTGCTCAGTAGTGAAAAATGGCTGACTCAAAAAGTAGTGTATTTGCCCACCCTCACTGAAAGGTCACCATAGAGAATCTTGCCTCTGTAAGTGCAGTGGATACCCCTCAAAAACCCACCCTACTGTCATGTTTGGTCCGAACAATTTGCCTTCGCCTGGTCATACATGGCCCTTCATTGCTCTCCTCCTCTTTGCTGAATCTCATTTCTTTCTTCTCCCTCACCTTAGCTCTCCACTTTTGATCATGCTTCCAGGAGCTCCCCCTACCCACTCCACCTCCCATGACGGATTAATCTAATTACTTTGGGACTCAGCTCAGAAGTCCCAGAGAACACTGTGGCTTCTGCTTACTGTTTCATATCCCAGCACTTGCCATCTGCTGCGTTTGTCTATTGACATATCTCTCTTCCCCATTAGATTGTAAGACTGTGGGAGCTGGGGTGGCATCTCATAGATATACCCCTAGTGCCTAGCACAGAGCCCAGCATGCAGGTTGCCTTGTGGATTCTATATTGAAAGCACCAGTATATGTTGAACTGTGGCAGTCCATCCACTCTCTGATTTCTCTTCTCCCCTCTCAGCTGCACAATTCCTCACAGATCTGTTGATAAAGACACTATCAATGGCAAGCTGCAGACCTTGCCTTATCTGCCATTCTTCTAGAAAACATCTATCCTCTACAAAGCCCAACATACAAGATGGTAGAAAAGAGGAGAATCATGGCCAATTCCTGGAGCATCCATAAGATCTGATGGAGACTGAGATGGGTAGGGTCCAGATCCTCTTTTCTTCCTTAAAAATGGTTATCTCCATGAGGATGAGGATCTTTAGAACAGCACTGGCTGGGCCAGGCATTTCCCAGAGTTCTTCTGATCCCAGGGTCCCTGTGGGACTTCTCTTCATGTACAGCTCTGAATAACTTCAATGAAAAACAAGGAAAGTAAAGCAAGTTAGAGAACCGTTCCAAGGGGCCTAGCCAAATAATTAGAAAGATTGGTCTGGAAAGACTTTGAAAATTCCAACCTTTATATTATTGCAACAGACAAGAAGAATCCAGACTTCTGGGCCAGAGAAGAATATGCTGAAAAGTCCACACATATGACACACAAGCTGGAGGCTCAGTATTCCACTTAGGAAAAAGAATCACAAGGACAATCCTGAATTGGTTCCACATCTGTGGAATAAGGGACAGTCACTGGGCTGACTTTTGAAGACAGAAAGATGAATTATTAAAGCAGTGCTTGCCCTGAAGGAATCATAGTAATTTTAAAATAAAAAAGTCAAAAGAATTACATAGGTCAACATCTTGACTCCATGCCCAATATGCTGTTCCAATTCGTTTACTGAAGAACTATTCATTCTTTGGGGCCTTTCAAATTTTTCACACTGTGGACCACTTCATAAAGGGCAAAAAACAGGGATCATATTAGCAGGGTGTAAAAGGGGAAATTACTAAGAAGTCAGGGATGGATTCACTTGTGATGCTTGTGAATGCATTCTTCTTCTTTTTATTAATTATTACAAACAAATTAATCATTTATACTCAAAACCAGTATGAAAAGAGGCCAACCCTGAGATCATCAACTCCATCAGAGTTGGAGAGCATTCATTCCTATTTACCCTTTCAGACTCATCTAGGATTTCGCTTCCTCCAGGAAGCCTCCTTGAGTCCCCGCCTTATCCAACAGAATGAATTCCTTCTTACCTGGGCCTTCAGCATGCCACACAAACCTATCATTTCTGTGTGTTTGTTTATGTCTGAGTCCAGTATTGCACCATGAGCTAACTCAACAAGGACTGAGTTTTGCCCCTGTCTAATCCCCAGATTTATCACAATGACTGGTACATATAGGTGCTTCATGAGTCATGAGGGTCTGTTGAATCAAATCAACACAAGTCTAGAAGGAGAAAGTCAGTCCGCAGGTTATCAGATCTCTGAAATAAACCATTTGAAAGCATTAACCCAAGGCTCAGCATAAACAAATAAATTAAATTAAATTGCCTTGGAAAGTCCAGCCACCCAAATCTTGGGCCACCTAAAGGGATAAATTGCCACTCTGCACTGCCAGACAAAATGACAGCCAGCCAGCTTTCACCAACCACTCTGAAGTCACTTACCCGTGCAAAATTAAATCCTCACTAAAGGCATGGAAAAATTAACTGAGTCATTCTTGACCAAAATGTGGTTTCCAGTTATCTAAACTTCTCCCACAAAGAGATGACCCATCATATGAAGGTTCCTAATTCTCTCAGGGGGGGTTAATAGATTGGCTATTGACCAGACACATCATCCAATAAACCTTCCTACCTGATCTCAGCCAAGATCTCCCGCCTTCTCCTTGCCAGGGGCCTGATTCATGCTCTAGGACACCTGCCAGCAGGGCTCTTGACCTGATTCCCAGGGAAGGACAGGGCAGCCTAAGAGAACAAGACAGAGGCAGGGTGGAGGCACAGCCTGAAGGCCAGCGGGGAGGGAGGCTTCCCTAGAAGACAGACGTAAGTGCAGCTCTGGGCACACACATTGGCTGTTTACCTGGGATCCTCACACAATGTGTTGCAAGAGTTCTTTCACGGGCAGATTGCAGCCTGCAGATTACTCAGCATCAGCAAGGGTGAGCCTGAGGGGAAGCCACAGCCTTCACAAGGAAACCGGCCCACACCCAGGTTGCACCTTTTACCCCGGGAACTCGCCCCGGGCCAGTTCCTATGGAGGCTGCCAAGAGAGCCCCACTTGAACCTTGGCAGGGAGGTAGTGCTTGCCCGGGGTGCTGGGGAGCTGCTGTGGATTCTGGGACTTGCTTCCTGTCCTTTCTCCATTGTCCACCTTTCTGAATTTTCCAGTGTATTCTGGGGTGTGTTCCAAAGAAGGTTTTACAAAGGGAAGATCATAGTGGAATTTTGCAACAGCCTTCTAGCCATCCTCTTCCTCAGCTGCTGTCTTGTCCTGTCTACTCTGTCTCCCTCAACACTCCAGAGTGAACTCCCTAGAGGACTCACCTGAGCTTCTCACTCACCTTCAGGAACCCCATCAAGAGCTCCCTGTTTGTTGTGGTCCTAACTCATTAACAGGACATACACTGCCCCACCCAACCTTAGCCTCCACAGATTTACCTCCAAGCTCAAAGAGGGGGCCAAGGAGCAAGTTTAGGGAGTGGTGACTCTCATGACCTCCATTAGCAGCACCCTCATTCTTTAATGCGCATTGTCAGCTGTTTCCAAATCTTATGCAGAGAACTGTGCAAACACAGCTTCACAGTCCCCTCAATTTCTCTTCAGAGCCCCATTACTGTAGAGAACCTAGAGGCACCCTGCCATGCCCTCATCACATTGCCAGCTTAGAGGCTAACTTGTAGTTTTCCAAATATATCCTGCATTTTTTTTTTATCCACCAAATAATCTTTCTGGAGCCAGTTACCAGCAATCCCATCAGGAACCACAGTCAGGCACAGTCTTCCCAGATTCCCCAGAGGGAACGATGCCACTGAACCAGCAACTGTGCCTTTGCCAGAAATTCCCTTCCTACTCAGCTTCCTACCTGTTGACCAAACTTCTACTTCCTCAAAACTCAAGCCAATTGCCATTTGCTCCGTGAGATCATTCCTGGCCTTCTCTTAGTGATATGCCCTCTGGGCTCTCATCATCTCTCGGCGGACTTGCCTTGGTGGTCTCTTTTGCTATGTGTCTCTCCCCATGCGAATGTAACCTCCTTGAGGACAGGAATCACTGTCTCATCTCTGTATCCTGATGGTAGGAGCACAATCAATATTGGTGGCATGTAATAGTCCCTCTCACAGCCTTTAAGATCCCCTTTGAAATGTGGACCCAGTCTGACCTGTAGCTCTGTCCAACCCTCCTGGTTACATCCAAGCCTCCAGACCTCTACAGCTGCCACCTCCTGGCCTCCCTGCTTCCTGTTCAATTCCCTAGTCTCTATTGCCCCTACAACATAAATCCAATCACATCTCCCCAGCTCAAAATCTTCTGCACTTAGAGAAACATCCCAAGTCCCTACCACAGCCCACCAGGCCCTACGTGACGTGGCCCCAGGTAACTCAGGTACCCCCTTTCCTCTTCCCCAACTCTCCACACCTCACGACAGCCACACTGACCTCACTGCTTCTGAAGCCCACCCAAAAGCATTCCCACCTCACCCCATTGCTCTGCTCTCTCCTCTGCCGAAACACAGTTTCTTCAACATGGTCACCCCTCATTTCTTCCCACTCTGCAGTCCCTATTCCTGTGGTGTCGCTATTTTCATAGATTTCTCATTGCTAGGTAGCACAGGCATTGCTAAATATGCTCCTTGATTTGCTATCACCTGTTGCCCATACTCTGTGCCCTCAGGGCTCTTACAGTTGTCCCAGGCCATACATACAGCAAGCGTCTCCTGAGTAAGCTGCTCTGGGCGCACCCGTTTTCTGCTCCTTGGGGCAGATCCTGAAAGACCCAGGGTGAAGGGGATAGAAGGTACCACCTTCTCTTTTTCTCCCAGTTCTGATCCATGTCTGGGCACAGAGGTGTGGTCATGGAGCTGCCAGGGCAACAGCTGGGCTGCAAGAGCCTGCACATGGCACGCCTAGTACCTGCTGAGAGGCTCATTCCTGAGCCCTGTATCAGCACCCAGGACTGCTCGCAGAGGAGGAGCTGCAAAGCCAGAAAGCATCCTGCCTTGGCTAAATCACACTCCTCAAACCATTTCCTGGCAATATATGGGGCAACTTGAAAGGTGACAACTATATAGGTTAACCCTTGTCTGCACTCCAGCCATGACAATAGTCTGGTCACAATTCTTCTCTACTAGACCTTACTCGAGAACCTCCAATTCCTCTTTCCTGGAGTTTCCAGGGGCTACAGGATCTTTCCAGTCCTTTCCTGACTCTCTCTATCCGGACTCTCCTTGCTCCATTCCTGTAATAAACTGCTTGTGGTCATTCTCCCAGCATGCCATACCCTCTAAAGCCTCCACACCTCTGCTTATGCAGATCCTTCCTCCTGGACTGCCCTTTCCCCTCTCCTTTGATTAATAAGTTACATTCATCTTTCAAGCCTCAGCTCAAATGACACCACCTCTATGAAGTATTTCCTGACACCTCCTTCGAGTGGGTTCCAGTCCAGGCCAAGTGCTCTCCTTCATGCTCCCATCCCTGGGACAAATTCTATCATATATCGGTAGCATTTTATTTCACTTTCATAAATGTTTCCAGGGCTTTCTCCCCAACTAGGGCTATGAGCTCTTAGAGAACTGAACCTTTGGCCAGGCATGGTGGCTCACACCTGTAATCCCAGCACTTTGAGAGGCCGAGGCAGGTGGATCACTTGAGGTCAGGAGTTTGAGACCAGCCTGGCCAACATGGTGAAACTCGTTCTCTACTAAAAATACAAAAATTAGCCATGCATGATGGTGCACCCTTGTAATCCCAGCTACTTGGGAGGCTGAGGCAGGAGGATCCCTTGAACCCGGGAGGCGGAGGTTGCAGTGAGCCAAGATCATGCCACTGCACTCCAGCCTGGGCGACAGAAAAAAAAAAAAACAGAGAGAGAAAGCTGAACCTTTATTCACCAGCACTAAAAGGCCAGAGAAAAATGAGAAAAATTGTAAAATGCAAATCAGTTGGTGTCACTCCCTTGCTCAAAAAGCCCCCAGTGGCTCCCACCTCACTCAGACTCAAAGTCAAAGTCCTTCTTCTTACCTACGAGAACCTACACAATCTTTATCCTGACTATCCTGTCCACCCATCAGCTCTCTGCCTCTACCTCCTGGGACCTGCCTCCTCATTGGCTCTTCTCCAGGTACACCAGCCTCCTCCCTGTTATTTGAACATATGAGGCACGTGCCCACCTCAGGGCCTATGCACTGCTGTCCTTGCTTCTGGAACACCCTGTCCCTCAGTTATTTATGTGACCATCTCCCTCACCTCCTCCTATCCCTGCAGTGAGATCTTCCCTAACCAGCCCACTTAAAACCAAAGCCCACCACACTCTAAGCACGTTGTCATTTCCTATGTCCCTTCTCCACCTTGCTTTTCTCTATAGACTTCATCACCATCCAACATGCTATGTGTTTTATTTATCTATTTTGGTTATTGTCCATATTGCCTCACTACAGCTTCAGAGGGGCAGGAATTTTTGTCTGTTTACCTCGTTATTAGAGACTCAATGCTTTGAATAGTGCCTGGAACATAAGAAGGACTGAATATTTTTTGAAGGAATGAATAGTATCTCTAGCATCTAGCATATTTCCTGGTTCATAGTAGACATCCAGTAAGTAATTGGGAATAATGAATGAAAGAAGTCAGGTGGAGAAGGAGAGAAGAAAGGAAGGAAGAAAAGACAGAAGGGAAGGAGAAAAGAAGAGAGGCAAAAGGGGAGAGAGAAAAAAAGAAAGAGAAGAAGGAAGCAAGAAAGAAACAGATACAGTAGGGAGACAGAAATACAAAGAAAAACCAGCCCTTATTTGCCTAAAGTCCTCAGACAATTGTGTGTGTTGTGGGCTTAGACAGTATTAGGTTGGGGCAAAAGTAATTGCTGTATTTACTGTTAAAATTAAAGGGAAAACTGCAATTACTTTTGCACCAACCTAATAGAATTTTTCATCCTAGAACTACCTATCTTAGATTTCCTGGGAAATTTCTCTGCCCTCAGCTTCTTTTTTTTTTGCCAACACAGACCCACCCAGAGATGAAAACATGAATGTTTTACAAGGATGCTTGGTCATTAGTTTGTGACTCACACTGGCAAATTCTAAACTTCAGCTTGCTACCTGGGATACCTGCATGCATGCAGTTCCTCCAAACCTTTGGCCAAGAGCTCTTCACTTAATATTTTAAAGAGATTTTTGTTTTTAAAAAGAATGCATTTCATTTTTATTTTTTGAAATGGATCTCGCTCTGTCGCCAGGCTGGAGTGCAGTGGTGCAATCTCAGCTCACTGCAACCTCTGCCTCCTGGGTTCAAGCGATTTTCCTGCCTCAGCCTCCCAAGTAGCTGGGACTACAGACATGCACCACCCTGCCCAGCTAATTTTTGTATTTTTAGTAGAGACGGGGTTTCTCCATGTTGGCAAGGTTGGTCTTGGTCTCTTGACCTCGTGATCCTCCAGCCTCAGCCTCCCAAAGGGCTGGGATTACAGGCCTGAGCCACCGTGCCCAGCCTTAAAAAGAATGCATTTCTTTATAATTGTAGAATACACACAAAGACACAATGAAAAAAACAACCAAGTGTTAATCCGTGTTTGTTTCCTGTACTTATATACATGTATATGTAGTTATCAAGCCAGGCGCGATGGCTCACGCCTGTAATCCCAGCACTTTGGGAGGCGGGTGGATCATGAGGTCAGGAGATGGAGACCATCCTGGCTAACACAGTGAAACCCCGTCTCTAATAAAAATACAAAAAAAAAAAAAAAGAATTTAGCCGGGCATGGTGGCGGGCACCTGTAGTCCCAGCTACTCGGGAGGCTGAGGCAGGAGAATGGTGTGAACCCGGGAGGCGGAGCTTGCAGTGAGGTGAGATCACACCACTGCACTCCAGCCTGGGTGACAGAATGAGACTCTGTCTCAAAAAAAAAAAAATGTAGTTATCAAAATACATTTACGCTGTGCATGTATATCACTTCTTATGTCTGGAGTTCTACTATTGCTGGATACGTGCTTAGGACATAGCCAGGGAAGCAGCAGGAAGGTGTACACTCTGGAAACTGACATACTTCAGACCAGTCCAAACTCTGATACTTGGTGGCTGAAGACCCTAGTTAAATTACGTAAGTAAAGTGATGTTCCCCCATACTCTGCCAGGACTCAGGGACTGTCCGAGTTTACACCTGCTGTTTCAGTGTAATTAATAAGAACATCCCTTTAATGCTCAAAATGTCCCAGTTTAAACAATAAGTTATATGGTCCTTCTATCCTTCACCCTGTGAGCTTTGCTTTTCTCTACTGTAAAAATATAGAAAACAATATCCATTTCCAAAGAACTATTATGGGAATTCTATTAATTATCTTTGCTGTGTAACACAAACTACCCCCAAATTTAATGGCTTAAAACAACAAGCACATTTTTAACTCACATATGTTCCAAGGATCAGGAGTCTAAGCATGGATGAGAGGGTGGTTCTGGCTTAGGGTTCCTCCTGAGTCCTCTGTCACATTGTCACCTAGGGCTGCAGTCATCTGAAGGCTGGATTGGGCTGGAGGATTTGCTTTCAAACCCATTAACCTGGCTGCTGGCTGGAGGCCTCAGTTTCTCACCATGTAGGCTTCACCTTGGGGCTTCTCATGACATGTGAATGATCCAAGAGAGAAAAAGAGGGAACACAATGGAAGCTGCCAATATTTCTAATCTCAAAAGTGAGAACGCAGCCTGGTGCCGTGGCTCATGCTTGTAATCCCAGCACTTTGGCAAGTCAAGACGGGAGGTTTGCTTGAGTCCAGGACTTCGAGACTAGCCCTGGCAACATAGTGAGACCTCGTCTCTGCGAAAAAGAGAACTAACCAAGTATGGTGGCATGCACCTGTAGTTGCAGCTACTCAGGAAGCTGAGGTGGGAGGATTGCTTGAGCCCAGAGGTCGAAGCTGCAGTGAGCCGTAATTATGTCACCGCACTCCAGCCTGGATGAAAAAGCGAGACCCTGCCCTTTAAAAAAAAAAAGTGAGAAACCACCAATTCTGCCACATAGACCCACCCTGGTACAATGTGGGAGGGGACTACACAAAAGTGTGAACACCAGGAGGGAGGCAGGATCACCGGGGCCTTCTTCAAGACTGGCTACCACAGAACTTAACGTAAATACTGCTTGTAAAGTCCCTGGAACATAGCAGACATGTAGCCAATGTTAGCTACTTCAGAGCAGGATCAGACAAGAAAATCTTCTAAAAATAATAGGCAGCCCTGGTAAGTTCTTCACAGCTAAGGATTTAAATATTATGTCTTTCTTATAAGCCAATTCAATTCAGTTCCACAAATATGTATTATATACCTACTGCTTGTTATTATGTCCTTGAAGCCAACGGCAATTCACAACTAACTACTGAGTTGTTGTAGATCCTTAAACTCATTACTTATATAAACAAAAAGGTACTGTTTTCTAATTCAAGATGTTTCTTTATATTCTTAAACTTCTGAAGATGTAATCTTAGCATGTCATTTGAGTGTCGCTGTCAGAAGCATTTGATGTTTACTCCTACAAAGTAAGACTAACAGAGTTTTCTGTAGTCAATGCACAAATAAGCTAATTTGCCTGGTGTTTGAATATACATCATATTGAAGTCAAGGCTGCAATTCTAAGCATGTAAGAAGAAGAAGAGAAGTTAAGTAAGAATTCATCTAGCCCTATGGTGGACACAGTCGTTGATGCTTAAAAACAATGAGTTTTGATTGAGCTTACAGAATCCATTCAAAAGGTAAGCTAAACTAAAATTTCAGACTTCAACACTAAACAATTCACCCATGTGACCAAAAACCACTTGTACTCCAAGAGCTATTGAAACAAAAATGTGTTTTCTAAAAAAGTGAGCAAAACATATTACCTCCACTACCTGGGGCTGCAGTCATCTGATCCAAGTTACCATTACATGAATTATTGTGATAATTTTTCAGCTATTTCCCTTTCCTTCTTCCTTTGCCCTCCACCCTACCTATTCTCAACACATCATTCAAAGTGACCCATTTAAATATATCTGATCACATCATTCCCCTGCTCAAAAACTCCCAATGGAGTCACAGAGGCATTGATGCCCTGGCCATATCCATTCTGCATTCAGCTGTGCAAGTCAATTAGGCTCTGCAACCCTCTGCCTCAGGGCCCTTTTCCTGGCTGGAGAAGCACACATAATCAAGTCCAGGGCAAACAGAATGTGCCAGATAGTTAACACCTTTGGACATGGCCTTCAACCACCAATGGTCAGAGAGCCGGTGGATCAGTTTCCCAGGTCCTTCGGCCTGGGTGGTGATGACATGCAAGCATTCTCTACACTGTCTCCCAGTGGTCCCTTGCAAGACAGAGTTGCAGTTGCTTACAATCGCAACCAGCTTGATATTACCCCTTTTACTGGGTTCTTTTTCTTTCCTGTCTTACCTCTCCACACCTATTCTGGTGCTTCCTGGAATCACTTTCCACATAAACTACTTGCATTCAAATTATTGTCTCAGGATATTCCTCTGGGTGAACCTCCACCCAAAAAAATGGCTTCCCCTTCCAGGGCAAAGGCCAGAGTCTGTGCCGTGATCCATGAGGCCCTGCACACTCTGCCCTCCTATCGTTCTTCCTCACGTTCACTACACTCTAGCCATCTTGGTTTCCTGGATGTTCCTGGAACATTCTAAGCATGCCTTCAACTGAGCAGCTTTCCTCCCTGATTTCCTGTTCCTGAGATATTTGCTTATGTTTATATGTTATATGTTTATAGCCAACACTCTACCACCAGCCCCTCCAAGTAGAATATAAACACAGAAAGGAAAGTGACTTTGCTCTGGGTTTTTTCTTTTCTTTTTTTTTTTTTCCTTTTTTTGAGATAAGGTCTCACTCTGTCACCCTGGCTAGAGTGCAATGGGGTGATCTTGGCTCACTGCAACTTCCGCCTCCAAGGCTCAAGCAATTCTCCTGCCTCATCCTCCCAAATAGCTGGGACTACAGGCACACACCACCACACCCAGCTAATTTTTGTATTTTTAGTAGAGATGGGGTTTTCATTATTTTGGCCAGGCTGGTCTCAAACTCCTGAGCTCAGGTGATCCACCTGCCTCAGCCTCCCGAAGTGCTGGGATTACAAGCATAAGGCACCGCACCTGGCCTGCTCTGTTTTAGTCACTGCATCATTTCTAGTAATTAAAATAGTGCTGGATACATAGTAGATGTTCAACAGATACTTGTTAAATTATTGAATTAAGGATGACTTGAATGAAACCTGATTAGGTCCAGTAAAAATACTTGTGAAATACCTGCCAGGCCCCTAGCTGTTATTATTGGCGCCCCTGCAAGGAACCTTCTACTTCACCATGAATAATCCAGTCTTTTCACTTTCCACATGATGAGGACCAGAGAAGGTAAGCATGTTGCCTAATATTACAGAGCTCCCCAGTGGCAGAGCTAGGAGCAAACTCTAGCTCCATCTGGGTTGTGGAGGGATGAGAACCAGTCTGTCTCGGTTTAATCTCAGGTGTACCACTTATAAGCTTTGTAACTTGTAAATAACCCAGGCAAATTTCTTAACCTTTCTGAGAACCAGTTTTCTCATCGGTAGAATCAGATGAAGCACCCATTTCAACAAATTCAGATGATTACACAATATAATGAGTATAAAAGAGCTTGGCACATAGTACGTATTTATTAGGTGCTCATTGAATCTAAAGAAGTACTAACTTAAAAACATTCAGAAGAGCAGGCACATGCTTACAATAATAACAGTAATACTTTATTGGGACTAACCAAGTCCAAAGCACTATGCTAAGACATTTTACATGCCTTATTTCATTCAATCCTTACAACACCCTCTGAGGTTGATTCTAATTTTATCTCTTTCTACAGTTAAAGAAACTGAAGCTCAGAGAGGTTTTCTAACTTGCCCAAGATCACTAAGACAAAGGCCATTGCTCTGACCCTGGACTCTGCGTTCATAATCACTGTGCTATACTGCTTAGAGACGTGGCTCTTAGGTCCTTAGAGATTTCTTCAATTTCAAAGACTTGTGAAATATAAAGGACATGGTCTGCTTCCCAGCAGGACCAGGGTAAAGGCATTTCCAAAGTCTGATAATTGCTGTCTCTTTGAAATCTCTGTTGAAGGAAACTGGGCTGCATTCATCGTAGGTTGTAGGATCTCACAGTGCTAAAATCTAGAATCCAATTCACTATCATTGAAGCCCACCTTCACCCTGGGTAGCAAGCTTCCCTTCGGAAAGTAAAGTCATTGCTTGCCTGGGTGTGTGTGTACCTCGGTATCTCTCACACACACACACACACCAGCTCACCTTCATTTACTTACACTTCTAGCCCAGCGCTTGTCAGTGTGGTCTAGATCCTGACCTTCAGCGCAACACCTGGAAATTCTTTAGAATTGCAGACTATTTGCCATCTGTGGTGGCTCATGCTTGTAATTCCAGCACTTTGGGAGGCTGAGGCGGGCAGATCACGAGGTCAGGAGTTTGAGACCAGCCTGTCCAATATGGTGTAACCGCGTCTCCACTAAAAAATTCAAAAATTAGCCCTGGGTGTGCTGGTGCGTGCTGGTGAGTCCCAGCTACTCGAGGCTGAAGCAGGAGAATCGCTTGAACCCGGGAGGTGGAGGTTGCAGTGAGCCGAGATCACACCCCTACATGCCAGTCTGGGCAACAGAGTGAGATTCCGACTCCAAAAAATAAAGGAAAGAAATGTAGACTATCAGCCCCAACCCATCTACCCCACTGTCCCCAACCAGACCGATGGAATCAGAACTTCTGGGGATGGGGCTCAGCACTTTATTTCAATGATCCCTCCAGGAGATTTTTATACACAGGATACTGAAGTCTGAGAACCAAAGCTTTAGCCTGCAAAAAGCAATTTGTCCAATCTCCCCACCACTTTCTCCAAATTGAGCTTCAGTATAAATCACGGCTCCTCTTGCCCTTTAAATGTCAAGGATCCTGAGCTCAGAGAACAAGGACCTCAGCTGGAAATGCCGGTCTGAGGCTTTGGCCCTGGGAGTGTTGGGGCCCCAGTCTCTGCCAGGCATTTGCAGCCTACTCAAAAATCATAGCTTCTCGGAAAGCCACCTCCCTTTCACTTAGAAATACAATAAAATTCATGTATGGAAGAAAAAGATTTTTAAAAAAACAGACCTGGTAAGGCAGCAACAGTCTCCAAATAGAACGAGCTGGCTTTGGGGAGGGCCGGGGGTGCTGAAATGAAGGCACTCCTGGGGGCTTGTTGCCTCGCCAAAGTTAGGCTATAAACACTCCCTCCGCTCAGCGACCGCGATGGCCTCATTTGGTGCTGCTCACCCACTTCAGTCATATAAAGAGCGATAAAGAAAGACAAGGGCGGAATAACCTCTAAATAAAAGATGAGGTAATTTTGAAGGCGCATTAGGATTTTATGTGTATTATGGCTTGTGGTTTTCTATTCAAACCCAGGGAGGGCTTGCGCTGAGGCTGGCCCTGCAAATGGTCCAGGGCTGCGCTCCGCAGCTTGGATGGTTTGGGGAAGGCAGGAAAGAGAAGGGGAGAGAGAGAGAGAGACAGAGACAGAGAAAGCCATTTTTCATCCCTTTGGCCTGGGTTTTATTGCACCAGACGTTACCACCAAAAGAATAAAAATGAAGCATCCCGGGTCAGCCCTTCCTCTCAGGTTTATGTTTTCCTGAAGGGGAAGTTTGGACAGAAACCTCAATAGGACAATAAAGACCAGTCCTGAAATGAAAGGCTCACTGCTGGTGGCCCGGTGCAGCCTCAAAGCTCCTCTGAAAATGCAGCGGGGTGATGCTTTGCAATTCAGACGGGGTAGCCTTTGCAGCACCAACATGTCTAAATGCCACAGGACCCTGGAAGAGGACAAAAGCCCCCTTTCCAAGGGTCCAAGAGGACTCAGGGTGGGGAAGGGAGAAAGGGGAAGGCTGGCCCACTGCAAGTTCTTTTCACAAAGTGTTTTTAGGCAGCTCAAGACAGTAAGGAGGTCTGGTTGTCCTGGAGGGCAAAGCCCTGAAACTAATCACCAAGTCTCCTTGCTGCCTCTATTTCTCATGTACAAAATCAAGATTGTGGCATGGACATCATCAAGGCCACCCTCATTCCCTGAGCAGTCACTAAATGTCCCCCCTACACTAAGGCTTTACTTGCATATCTCCAGCACCCTGTAGAATGAGCTTTATCCCCACTTCACAGACGTGGAAATCAAGGCATACAGAGCTGTAATACCTCACCTGAGAAAAAGCAAAGGAACCAGGATTCAAATCCAGGTCTCTTTGGCTTCAGAACTCACGCTATACCTGGCAGATGTTTGATGATACTGACTATGTTAACAATATTAGGAATAATTCATATTCTTGGAGCACTTTCCATGTGCCAAACACTGTTCTAAGTTCTGTATTATCTCATTTAATCCTCACAGCAGCCGAGAATGTTTTAACCCAGTTGACAGATGAGAAAACTGAGGTCCAGAAAGGCAAAGTAAATAGCCAAGTTCACACAAGCAGGCAATGGATCATTTCTGCCACAAACCACACAGAGATGCCTGCAGGAACCACATTCTGTTCTGAAGATTCCACATTCTTTACTCCATCAATGTGTTTACATCACCTACTATGTGCAGAGCACCTAACCAGGTGCTTGAGGGGGACAGAAGCCTGCAAAGATGACAGCAATCTGGTGCTTGCCTTCAGAGAGCCTAGAGTCTAGTGAGAAAGGCAGATACATGCACAGGAGAGTTTATGCCACAGTCTTCTCTAAATCTGGGGTCTTCTTACAGGAGGCCTCTGTAAGCCTGTCTCCTAGGAAGTTTTAGTGGGGTTGTTCCCGTAGGCACATATAGACTCAAGCAAGCTTCCCAGTGTCAACCAGCCTAATTCCCTGAGTCAGCAGCAGCAAAATATAGATACATCCAAAATTCTTTGAAGGACCAGGTAGCCCAGTGTGTTTCAAATCCAGGAAAGGGCGTCGCAGGTCTCTATCTCAAACCCTGAAATATAACAATTGGCTTGCTTCAAAATTGTTTGGCCATCTGTGGGTACCCCCATCCCAGCCTGAATCACCCCACCCTAACAGAAAGGGACACGGCAAAAACAGAACCAGAAAGATATAAGAATTGGATATTCAGAATTGGAAAGACCTGGGATGTCTCCTAGGCAGGACTTCCCCTCCCTAGCTGAATGATCTTGGGCAAGTAGTTTAACCTCTCTGTTACAGACGTTTTCTCATCTGTAAAACACGGATAATGTATACTCCGTTTTAGTACTGTTGTGGGGAATAAATGGATTAATACGTGGAAAGCTCTTAGAATAGCGCCTCATGTCTGATAAGCCCTTCGTAAACATTGCCAATTGCAATTTAACTAACAAATATGTATTGAAAACCAGCTAGAACTAGGATGATTGACATAGATAGGGTCCATACAAAGCACTGTGCCTGATGCATTCCAGGGGTTCAGTAGCTTTGGAATGAGGAATCCCAGCATCTCAGCATGGGGAGGCTTCCAGCATAAAGAGGTCAGTGCTTTCTCAGTGGGGCTTAGTGGTGCACAGGCCCCAGATCCAGGTAGCCTAGGGTTAAATCCCAATTCTTTATTTGATAGCTATAAAACCTTAGATGAGCTAATTATCCACTCAAAGTTTCAGTGTCTTCGTCTGTCAGAGGGAAGGTGGATAACGATAGTACCTACTTCCTAGGGTTTGTCGCAAGAGCTAATCCCTGACAAGCACATAGTTCAGAGGACATAGCAAATGCTCCAAAAATGGAAGCTATTATTATTGTTATAAAATAATAATAATTATAGTGTTATATTACCCAACTTTTCTGACCCAGTTAAATGGTGTCTCTTGCAGAGATTCTCCCAAGTTCTCTCCTGCTAAAAGTACTTACCCCTTATGTTTATCTTCATCTGTCTCTTGGAAAATATATTAATTTTATTTTATTTAAATTATGTTTCTCCCATTGGACTATAGGTTTCTTCAGGTTAGAGATTTTGCCTATTTGTTATAGTATGATCTGACCAACATTTGGCAAGTCTTAGATACCCAATAAGGTTTGTTGAATAAATGAATGAATGAGGTGATAAGGATATGACTAGAAGGAGAGGTAAGTGTAAGGCAGGTGGATACTGGGAAAAGGCAAGAGTGAAAGTGTGCAAGGGCATAGAACATGTTGGGGAATGATATGAGTGCAGGTTTTTATTTGTTTATTTTGCTTTTAGCTAACACTTTATGCCAGAAACTGCTCTGAAGACTTTTTTCTTTTTTTGAGATAGTCTTGCTCTGTCACCCAGGCTGGAGTGCAGTGGTGCTATCTCGGCTCATGGCAACCTCTGCCTTCCAGGTTCAAGCGATTCTCATGCCGCAGCCTTCCAAGTAGCTGGGACTACAGGCATGCACCCCTATGCCTGGCTAATTTTTGTGTTTTTGGTAGAAATGGGGTTTTGCCATGTTGCCCAGGCTGGTCTTGAACTCTTGGCCTCAAGCAATCCACCTGCCTAGGTTTCTCGAAGTGCTAGGATTATAGATGTGAGCCACTGTGCCAGACCTAGAGTTTACATATATTAAATCATTTACTTGTCATAAGAACCCACTGTGGTGGCTACTATTATCATCCTCATTTTCAAGAAGATGAAACTGAAAAAGGAAAGATAAATAATTTGCTGTCAGCCACATGGCCAACAGGAGGTGGAGATGGGACTTGAACACCAGCAATTAGGCTGCAGGGGCCATTCAGGTTGAATGACATAGCAGATATAGCCCATAAATGGTCTGCTTGACACCCACCAACTGCCAGACCATCACTGCAGCCCCAGCTTCTCTCCTCTGGCTCAGGGGTGGGCCCAGCCCTTCTCATTTCCCCCCACCCCACCATGGCCAAAGACAAGAGTCCTCTTCAAAGTCCTCCCTGATAGAAGCTCCATCCAGGTCGCTCCACAGGTACAGTCCTGCAGCAAATGTAATAGCCAATACCTATCCCGGAGTGAAAAAAATTGGGCAATACCATATATGGGGGTGCCTGATGAGAGAGTATGATGGGAATACCACTTCGTGCCAGCTTGGCTGAGCTCTACATACCTGGCCATGAGCTTCCCCTGGCACTTTCACTGGAACATCTGGAATCCTGGAAATGGGGCCACATTTTAGTCCAGGCAGGAAATTCTACTCCTTGTTCCATTGCTCTGCTCAGCTGGGTGTCAGGCCAAGACCTACTGCTGGATAAGGCAGATGGCAGAAAGGCTGGGCAGGCACAAAGCCACCACTCCTACCTGAGGGACTCAAGAATGATATCGAGACACAGGCAGCATTATTCTTTCTCCTTAGGCAGGCTGCTCATTTTGTTTGTTTGTTTGTTTGTTAGTTTGAGACAGAGTCTCACTGTCACCCAGGCTGGAGTGCGTTAGTGTAATGTCAGTCCACTGCAACCTCCACCCCCAGGTTCAAGCAATTCTCATGCTTCAGCCTCCCAAGTAGCTGAAATTACTGGCATGCACCACCACACCCAGCTGATGTTTATTTATTTATTTATATATTTATTTATTTTAGGTGTTTTTTTTTTTTTTTTTTGAGACGGAGTCTTGCTCTGTTGCCCAGGCTGGAGTACAGTGGCATGATCTTGGTTCACTGCAAGCTCCGCCTCCCAGGTTCACGCCATTCTCCTGCCTCAGCCTCTCAAGTAGCTAGGACTACAGGCGCCTGCCACCACGCCCGCCTAATTTTTTGTATTTTTTTAGTAGAGGTGGAGTTTTGCCATGTTGGCCAGGCTGGTCTTGAACTCCTGGCCTCAAGTGATCCACCTGCCTTGGCCTCCCAAAGTGCTGGGATTACAGGTGTGAGTCACTGCACCCAGCCTGTTCTTTTGAATATCCTGCTCAAGTAAGCACCTTCTATCTGCCAGACTCAGACCTGTAAGCTCCCCTCTATCCCTGCCTGCACTCCATTTTTCTCTCAGGAAATTTATTTCTCCTAGGTTCTCATCAGAGGCAGCCCCTGACCTTGGGCCTTAAGTCAATGAGTCAGCAAGCAAATATTTATTGAAGACTTCCACAAACCAGGGCCCCTGCTAGGTACTAGGGACAACCCAGCTTCTTGTCCAACAAGCATTAAACTGGTGCTCACAAATAATTAATTACTAATGTGATGAGTGTTACACAACCCAAGAAACAAAGGGAGAGGACAAAAAGAAAGGCATGTGAGGAGTAGGGGGCCCCACAGGGACTCATTAGCTGAGCACTGCTATTTTACAGAAGGGACCGGTTTGCCTCGCTCTTCGAAAGGCCCTGCCTGGTGTCTGTGAATACCTCCCATAACCCCATGTGTTGCAGAGGACAGAGCAGACATGATCTCTACCCTCTAGGAACATCTCCTTTGATGGCTCATTAACATGAGAAGATGGAGAGTGAAACCTACAAGAGGCTCTGTGCCTGCTCACTTATCCGGGAGAGTTACTCAGAGTTCACTGATTTCATCTCTGGAGGAAGAATCCTTCTTTCTTTGGAGGAGAAATCCTGGATTATGCATCCCTGGCAGCCCAGAACCTCGAATAGAGGGGACCGGTAAATAATTGTCCAATAATTGGATGAGTAAACAATTCAGAAAAAAGTGAGGACCAAAGGAAGAATTCAATTAGTGAGAAGGATGACTCGTAGGTAGGGTGACCATATGACCCAATTGGTCAGGGTTAGTCTCCATGTAAGCCTGTCATCCTAAAGTAATTATGATTCCCACACCCTTTTACTCTTGGAAGTGTCCCAAGTTGTATGGTCTATGATGCTCACCCTACTTAGAGCACATTTTGTAAAGAAATGCAGCTTTGCTGTTCTTCAGATCATAAGTGGGGCTAGCAGCCAATGCCATTTGCTCCAGGTGGGCTAGCAGCTCATGTGGCGGGTCCATTGTGTGCCCCTGAATCTATCTAATCTTCAGCTGTGAACACTCAGAAACACTAATGCAGATGGAGATTCAGGGAAAACAACTACAAAAGCCAAAATCAAAATGCACGGATCCAAAACCAAGGTCCTCCAATGTCTTACTGACAAAGGGCATTGTAATTCCTAAAAATCAAATCATTCACTTAATTTATTTTTCCTCAGCTTCAATCTCATTGTCTTGAAAATGCGGGAAATCATACCTGTTCTACTTCCTTGCCAAGCTGCTGTCATAGCCAATGGGCTCATGCGTGTACCTCCTAAACTGTTAAGTCCTAAACCAATACAAGGTGCTATTATAAGCTAGTTCGATATCATTATTAAGTCTTATGTATTCAACTACACCAGCATTCACAGATCCATCTGACTCCTCACCATGCCCCTCCTCCACTGCACTCCCAAGACAGACATGAGAACAAGACCACGCTCCTTCCTTCCTCCTCGGTCAGAACCTTTGCCTCCTCTGTTCCCCTGTGGCTTCCTTCAGGGCAGGAACCTTCTCCTGGTCCCTCCTTTACCACGGGGCAGAGCCTACTGCTTGACACCATGTAGATAGATATTCAATCATTCTTGCTAACAAGTGAATAAAAGAAAGCTCAGCTCTGGTGCCACCTCCAGAAAGCCTGCTTCAACTTCCCTGGGCAGAGCCATTAGCCAAGGCCTCTGAACAATTCCAGCTCCTTCTCTATGTTTCTTATCAAACTGGACTCCAGGGTCAGTACCAATTTATATCATCTGACTCCTACTCTTCTGGGGCTAATTTCTCATGTTGTGTCTCGCTTTTCTAGTGCCCGACATTCTTTTTAAACAAGGAACTTGGAAATGGTTGCTGAATGACACTTTTTATCTCTTTAGTTTGGGGTTTTCTGTACATGCTGTCCCCTCTGTTTGGTGTCCTTTTCCCTCTCTTCTTCACCCACTTACCTTGTATCATCCTTCAGATCCCAGCTAAAGCACCCCTCCCCGCTAGGAGCCCTTGCTGACCTCCCTGACTTAGAAGAGCGCCTTCTCTTAGCTAGCTCAGAGCATCGTGAACCTCTGTTTTCTAGGGCTCACCTTGGCAGGAATAGTACATAACTGTATTTTTTTAAATGTCTGACTCCTTAACTGGACTGTAAGCCAAGGTGGAACCAGAGAATAGAGCTCTGGCCTCCTTGTGCTTTGTTGTATTCCCACAACCTAGCACAGTGCTGGAGGATAATACATACTGGTCAAATGAATCAAGGTGATAGAAGGGCACTCAAGAGGAAATGTCAGGAGTCCTTTGGAAGATGAAGGTGGGCATTCTTCTGGCTCCCCTAAAATCATCATCATCACCCCCTCTATCAAATGATGATATGGGTCTGGCCCTGAAATAAGTGCTTTTGTATAAATTTACTCCTTTAATCCTCACAACAACTCTGAAAGAGGGGTCCCGTGTTACAGACGAGAAATATAAAGCATGGATTTTTAGGCCTGAATATACCTGTGAATCATTCAACTGAACAATTTTCTCAACCTTGTAACCTGTAAGTTCTAAAAAATTGGGAAGGGAGGTATACATTTGAGAATGCATTGGGGGGACTTTAAAATAACTAAGAAATATCTGAAATAACATCTTTTTTTTGTCCTAATTTCTGTTTTTTATATGTATGAGGGTATAGGAGGGGGGATGGCAAAAAAGATCTGATTTGTTTTTTCTGCTTTCTTCTAAAGACATGTTTTGGCAATTCTGGAATGAAGGTGGGAATGGACACCCATCTAGACATTGCCCTGGGAAAATCACCGCTCTTTGTGCCTAAATGTCTTCATCTACAAAAGGTGGATAAATAATATTTATCTCATGAGGTGTTTGGAGATTTAATTAACACTTGCAAAGCACTTTGAATAGGAGATGAAAGGCCCTGTTAAAGGAACTATTAGTGTCAGCACCTAGCGCTCTTTGGCCACTGAGGAAATTTAATCAGGATGGGGAAGTCGGTGCAGGCCCCTCCTAGGCCATCCTCTCCTCCACCAGAAGCCATATTGGCCTTTCATTATCCTCTAAGCCTGGAATTCTCTCCACCAAGCTGCTGGTTATGTCATTTCCCTGCCTACAATTCCCTCTCTTCAATTTTCTCCCTCCTCTTTTCCACGTATTAAATCCTCCAGGACCGCTTCAAGCCCCATCTGCTCTGCAAAGTCTTCCCTAACCATTCATTGACTGATTCATTCATTTACTTATTCATTTGACAAGGCTTTGGTGAGAGCCTCCTCTGTCCCAGGCTCCACGAAGAGCCCTGAGGTTGCTGTAAATTGCATATTCTTGACCTCGTGTGCCGGAAGGGGAGACTGGAGCTCAGACAGGCTACAACGCGTCCAAGGTCACACACCTAGTTAGTGAGTGAATCTGGATTGAAACTTACATTTCCCAGGCTCCAAAGCCTATGGCATTTCCTCTCCTTTGTGCCGCTTCCCGCCACAGATCAAGGTACATGATACAACAGAGAAAAAGACTCACCTGACTAATAACTCACAAGCTCAGTACAAACTATGTCACTAAATCTGACATATGGGTTGTCCTTGAAATTCCTTTCATAACTAGGTCCCTCTCAGTGGCATCACCAAGGGCTTACTTGGGGGTAGGAGGAGAAGAAGGGAAAGCACCTCATTCTAAGAGAAAAAAAAACAAAACAAAACAATAAGCTGTGCCTGCTCTATAGGCACTGCTTTACATGCCCCACAGCCTGACCCTCCTCCGATCAGATTGTCATTGCTCTGTTCCTCTCCAATAAGAACTCAGAAACCCCAGTGCTTTCTTTTTTTCAGCTCCAGGGAGAAAAATTACAGCAGAGTAGATAAGAACATAGACTTAACAGTCCCAGAAGAGATGCCTGCCCTGCCTCTTATTGGCTGCAAGACCCTGGACAAATCAGTAAGCTTCCCTGGGACTCTGTTTTCTCATCTGCAAATGAGAACAATGATAACACCAATCTTCCAGGGCTGTTGGGAGGATTAAATAAGCTTCTGTATGCACAGCCCCATGTTTGCACACAGGAAGGCTTCCATAAACTCACTGTCCTCTTTCTAAGATATGGACACTCCCACAGCCACATACCAGTGTCTTGAAAAGTCACTAGGTGGCCAACCCTGGATGCTATCAGTAGGTATCGTGGCTTCAGAAATGCACAAAGTGCTCACTGTCCACCAGATTAACTACCTTACATTCTGTAATTTTGCTTCGACACCTTTACCATAATGGTGTTGGGCTACAGAGGGCTTTGCTGAGGAGCTATGGAAGTCTGCATGTGAATAAACACCAACTTTCTTTCCCCTCCTGGGAGATCAGTGGAGCTCAAGTGTTACATGCCACCACTTAGAAAACTATTGAGACAATTAGTCATTGCACCAGTCACACAGGACTCAAGCTAACCAGAAGGCAGAGGACAAAGTTTTGCGGTCAGCGCAGGAGAGAAGCTGAAGTCTCCACCAGCCAACTCATGGAGCTCCTGAACAGAAGGCTGGAAAGAGAGAAATTTGACAACAAGTTTGGGCTGGCTGCCTTTTGAAAATTAGGAGACTTTATACTAAAATACAATTTCTAGATATCTTGATAAATTGGAAGATCTGGCCAGATTTGGGCTTACATTCTGGCATGCCAGCTGACAACTGGAGCTGAGAAATGGTGGGCCTTTCTTGGGAATTGGGCTCTCCGCTTCTCTCTGGCCTCACCCCTGACTCCCAGTGCACCACTCAGCTTCCCTGGCTTGCATTACTTGCCTAGCCCTTGTGGGCATTTGAGTTTTCTATGCCTAACTGAGCAGTCTCAGAATATGCAACTTACAGCAACCCCAGTACTCTGCATGGAGCCCAGGACATAGGAGGCTCTCATCAAAGCTTTGTCGAATGAATGAGTAAGTAAATGAATGACTCAGGCAGTGAATGGTTAGGGAAGACTTTGCAGAGAAGATGGGGCCTGAAGTGGTCCTTTATACATATTGTTCCTCCTGCCCGGAAAGCCTTAGCACCCCAACACTCTCTGCCTCACTAACTCCTACTCAGAACTCCTCCTCATTCTACAAGACATAGCTCAGCTAACACCTCCTCCAGGAAGCCTCTCCTGATTACTATCTCCATCCTCCCCAGACTGGGCTCCTGTTTACAGAGTTTCCATTATCTACTGCTGCATAACAAATGAACTTAAAATGTAAGTGACTTGAAACAACCATAAACATTAATTATTTCACAGTTTCTGTGGATCAAGAATATGGGAGCAGCTCGCCTGGACAGTCCTGGCTTGAGGCCTCCCATGAGATGGCAGTCAGCTTCAGGCATGGCTGAGACAAGAGGATCTACTTCCAGGATGCACTCACATGCTAAGTAAATTGGTACTGGCCATGGATTGGAGGTATCAGTTCCTCACCACATGGAACTTTCTACAGGGTTGCTTGAGTGTCCTCATAACATGGTGCCTGACTTCTCCTAGAGGAAGAGATCCAAGAAAAAGAGTCAGAAGTTGCAAAGTCCTATATGACCCACCTTGTAAGTCACACGCCTTCATTTCTGCAATACCCTATTTGCTACACAGTTTACAAGGTGGGAGGTGACTGACTGCATAAGGAGACACACAAGGTGGCAAGGACCGTTGGGTGCAGTCTTGGGATTGGCTACCACACTGAATGTTGGTGGCCTCTCTCCTCCGTCACAGCACTTTTCATGTGGACTGTAGATGTTGCCCTATATTTCTCTCTTAGTAAAACTGTGACTTACTAAGAGATTGTTTCTTTAATCCTGATATTCCCAACACTGACAAATAGTAGCTGCTCAATAAATGTGTACAGACTGGGTGCAGTGGTTCATGCCTGTAATCCCAGCACTTTGGGAGGCTGAGGCAGGCAGCTCACTTGAGGTCCGGAGTTCGAGGCCAGCCTGGCCAACATGGTGAAACCGTGTCTCTACTAAAAATACAAAAAATTATCCAGGTGTGGTGTCACATGCCTGTGATCTCAGCTACCCGAGAGGGTGAGGAAGGAGGATCACCTGAACCTGGGAGGCAGAGGTTGCAGTGAGCCAAGAGTGCAGTGAGCACCACTGCACTCCAGCTTGGGGGACAGAGCAAGACTCTGTCTCAAAAAAAAAAAAAAAAAAAAAAAGCATACCACATTACTCCTTTTCTCCAAACCCTCCAGTATCTTTCTATTTCACTGAGTGAAAGCCAAGGTCCTTTGAACCGTCTAGAAGGCCCCACACTGCCTGGCCGCATCACCTCTCTGCCTTGCTCTTGTGTTTTTCTCCGTGTTCACTCTGCCCCGTCACCTGGAGCTGAAGCCTGTGGTTCCTCGATCACTCCAGGCAATCTCCTCTCTAAGATCTTTTGACGGACTGCTCCCTCTTCTTGACGGGTATCCCTAGGATTTATCCCATCACTTTCTTCAAATATTGCCCAAATATCACATTGAGAGAGACCTATACTGAGGCATCCTCAGTAATAGCGCTTCTGATTCCCTTAACCCTCTCCAAATTTTTCATATAGCACTTGTCACTACGTCATTTATTTAGTTGTCATGTTTATTGCTTATTTTCTGTCTCCTCACTCCAACACATAACCTCTCTGAGGGGAGAAGTCTTTGTCTATCTTGTTTGCTGATAAAGTTGTAGCACCTAGATCAAGGTAGGTGCTCAAAAAAATGTGTTGGTTGGCCGGGCACAGTGGCTCACACCTGTAATCCCAGCACTTTGGGAGGCCGAAGCAGGTGGATCATGAGGTCAAGAGTTCGAGACCAGCCTGGCCAACATGGTGAAACCCCATCTCTACTAAAGATACAAAAAAATTAGCTGGGAGTGATAGTGTGCGCCTGTAATCCCAGCTGAAGCAGGAGAATCGCTCGAACCCAGGAGGCAGAGGTGGCAGTGAGCCAAGATCACACCACTGCACTCCAGCCTGGGCAACAAGGTGAGACTCGGTCCAAAAAACAAACAAAAAGAAAAGTTGATGTTGGCCAGGCACAGAAGCTCAGGCCTATAATCCCAGCACTTTGGGAGGCCGAGGCAAGTGGATCACCCGAGGTCGGGAGTTCGAGACCAGCCTGGCCAACATGGTGAAATCCTGTCTCCACTAAAAAAATACAAAAAATTAACTGGGCGTGGTGATGGGTGCCTATAATCCCAGCTACTTGGGAGGCTAAAACAGAAGAATCGCTCCAACCGGGGAGGCAGAGGTTGCGGTGAACTGACATCACCGCACCACTGCACTCCAGCTCCAGCCTCGGCGACAGAGCAAGACTCTGTCTAAAAAAAAAAAAAAAGAAGGCTGATGTAAATGAATGAATGAACCAACTAATTCATTGGTGCCCCACCCCTTGAGAATAGATGTCAGGAAACTGCCAAATTATTTAAAAGTGTAAATTAAGAAAATTCAAGATTCTCTTTTGGTTTAGACAGAAGGTTCTGGGGATGCCCAGAAGTAGGTGAACCTTGTTCTGAATTTAAAAGAAGACTCTGTAGGAAAAAGATTTAGCCCTTTGCTCAGCATGCAGTAAGCAAACTTCGAGGATTAGCTCCCTTTGCTTCTGTCACCTGCCACTTCCAGAACATGAAAGAACTTCCCTGCCCCACAGCTGCAGGTATCCCCATCATTCAATAGCGTGTGACCATCAAGTGCAGAAACTCACAGAAGAAACTTGACGTCAATCCCCAAGAAGCTTCCTTACTCATGAGCTAAATGGGTTTCAGCAAATTGTTGTACTTTTTTTTTGCCTCAAGTGTCTCATCGGTAAAATGGGAATTGAAATAGGTGTCTCTTCACACTTGTGTGGTAAGGATAGGATGAGACAATGTGTGTTACTTACCACAGTGTCTGGCACAATCATGACAAGCATTCAATAAATGCTGAACATTATCATTATCCAGCACTTATGCTGCAAGGCTGCAATGGAATATATTAAAAGTGTCAAAAAGATAAATTTAATAAACAGTGTTTTTAATGCCCCCATTAGTATGGATTGGAAGATTAAATCTGTTCTAATTCCTGCTGTCTGGGTAATATGCCAGCCAGGAAACCTCAAATATAAAACTGCTTCATCTACCTTTCATATAAGAAGAAAAAGAAATCAATGCATTTTTGTTCTCCTCTCTTATCCTTGGCTTATTTATATGCCCAAATAAGGTTACTGTACAAAACACAATTGTGTGGTCTATAAATAATGAACTGCTTCTCCATGTAGTCAGCATCAGCAGAGAAAAGTTCTAAATGGATTTCCTTTGCCGGCATCATTTTCTGCCCTACATCTGACCGTCAACGTAAATACAGGCAGCCCTGGTTGGCATATAAAAGGCCCAATTGACCTGTTGACCCAGTTTGCAGAGACGGCTCCATGCACAACCACTTTAGCAGCTGCTGTAGAAAAACCTTTTGGCCACACAAGCCAAAAGCTGCTCGTTCATTCACTGCAATTACTCCTTGAGCCCCCAGTGCTCCCGGCACTGGACTCAGAGACATTCCTGCACCATGCTTTGAGACACCCACTTCAGTCTAGCACTGGTGGACTTGAGTCCTGCGTCTGTTATGGACAAAGAATAACAAAGGCTTTTTAGTCATTCCTAAGAGAAGTGGCTGGCCTGGTGCAATGGCTCACGCCAGAACTTTGGGAGGCCAAGGTGGGAGCCGAGGAGTTCAAGACCAGCCTGGCCAACACGATGAAACCCTGTCTCTACCAACAATACAAAAATTAGACGGGCTTTGTGGCGCATGCCTGTAATCCCAGCTACTCTGGAGGCTGAGGCATGAGAATTGCTTGAAGCTGGGAGGCAGAGGCTGCAGTGAGCCAAGACCACACCACTGCACTCCAGCCTAGGTGACAGAGTGAAATTCTATCTCAAAAAATAAATAAATAAATAAAAAATAGAGACAGAAGAGAGGGAGAGAAGTGGCTGACCGTCATGCGGCAAGATTTAGTGAGAAATTCTACCTTAATCCTCTTCAGGATCCAGCTTTTCCTAGTGAAGTAGCAGATCTTCTCTATTTAGCAAACTTCCATATCTTTTTTTCCTTTCTGTTGCCCTCATCTGCCGTATTATTCCAGCTGAGTAATATAGAAAGGCAAAGTGATTCTATAGGCGTGGTTATAACCTCACAGAAATAGGAGGCAGTGAAAGAATGGGGGCTGTGGGCTGGGGGCTGAGTCCCGAGGGTCACTGTAAAAAAGAGCATTTCACGCACACAACGTTGTCTTGTGGAGGCTGGCAGTCAGGTAGTCACAGCTTCTCTCTCTCCACTGCCATTGGAAATCAGAGTCCCATGGTCACTGAAAGAAATCATAGTCAGTCTTCCTTCTAACTTTTTCCAGTTGACAAACAGCCATCCCATGTTTTTATTTCATTTGATACATACGTCCCTCTGTCATGGGAACACTAAGAACTTGTGAGGAAAAATAGCTTACCCAAAGCCACAGGGTTAGTAAATAGCAAATCCATTAGTGAAAACTGTGTTTATCCATTCTGGAACCCTCCATACAGCATGGTGGTGGTTAGCTGTGTAGCCTGTAAAGCTGGCTTGCCAGGGGTCAAATCCAGGCTCTGCCCTCGGGCCTCCTCATCAGTACAATGGGCATGCCGCTAATAGTGCCCATCTCATAGGGTGACTGTGAAAATATTATAATAAAAGCAGTTCTGTAATACATGTGGTTGGCACACAGTGAGTGCCCATGAAGACTTCCAGGTTACGACCGCTATCTTTGCACCAGACTTTCCACTGAGGCAGAAGCTGCTACTTGTCCCCCTTCTTCCAATAATAAAATCCCAATTTTCCAGCCTTTCTGGCGGCAAGGTGTAAATACAAACTCAGGTTTGTCCAAAGGGATATAAATGGAAGTGAGGTAACTTCCAGGCACCATCCCATGGATGAGACAGCCCATCTCTCCACCCTCCTGCTGGCCCCTAAGCAACCACCTTGGACTGAACAGGAAAACCACATGTTGAGGATTGTAAAGTATCAGGATAGAGCCACCATGCCACACCACACCGTGGGCAGCTGTATTTTGATGAGAGCTAAGTCACCTTCATCTCCTTCTCACAGCAGGGAGAACAAAAGAAGTTCCATCCATCTCGAAGCAGCCTCTGTCTCAGGACCAGAGCTGGTGTCCTCGCTCACTGGTGCTCCAGACACCTTGGATGCTGAGGGCCAGCTGGTCTGCCTCTGCCACCAGATGGGCCCAGACAGGCTGACTGCGACATGAAATGACTGCCTGCCACATGCCAGGCATGAGGATGAGGACTGCACATCCTCACAGCAGGTCTATAACAGCTCTGTAAAGTGGCTATGCAGCCCATTCCACAGGTAAAAAGTCTGAGGCCCAAGGAGGAGCTGTGGCACTGTCCTGAGACACAGCCCAGATCTAAAATTCAGGCTGCCTGACTCCACATCCTGCACTCTTCTCACGGGAGTCCCTGCCTCCAAACTCAGGAGCACCCCAGAGTCCTGCACCCTCATGCAGAGCTCCTCATGCCCCAGCTCTTGAGCCCTGGGGTGTATAGATTTGAAGTTGCCATGGAGCACTTGCTATCAGGGAACCAAAAGCCAGATTTCCTAGGTGTGACTCCCAGCTTAGCAGCTGTGGGAACTTGGGCAAAGGAACTCTAACCTCTCTGAGTTTCAGCTTCCTTGTCTGCAGACCAGGAATAACAATTCACAAGGTGTTATAAAAATTAAATCAGTGAACATGCACAATGCTGCAAATATCAAGTTATGAGTAGCAGTACTATTGTTGTTGTCCTTGTTGGTTTTTGTCTTAAGCCTGAATCCCTAGAAGCATAGCCCAAATGGGGACTCTTGTGTAAGTGGTATATTGGGGCACTGTCTGGAGAGAAACATAAGGGAAAAGAGAGGGGAGAAAGACCAAGGAGCTAAGCCACGTGGTGACTTCAGCTGAAATCTGGGTTCAGCCCGAGCTCTAGAATGTGAATGGCACCACAGAGCTGCCGTACTTTGAGTTGAGGCATGAATAAGTCATTATCTGGGAGCCATCCATGTGGCGAGAACACAGCCACTCATGGGGATGGGGAGTGGGGGCTTTTATTAGCAGAGGGAAATTCTTCAGAGAAAGGCGCCACTGTTGGCCTTAGAAACCAACCACCCTGGCAGCTGGACCCAGTGAAGGGGAACCGAGTGAGGCATGAACAACATTGACTAGGTTAGTGTGAGTCATCAAATGCCACCTCTTTCACAAGTTCTGTCCATCCTCTCAGCTAGAAGTCATCTTCACATGCCCATAACATTTTCTCTCTACCATGCCTACTGAACTGAACTTTGCTTAATACTGTGTTATAGCCATTCACGTACAATTCTTGATGAGTATTCTCCTTGCTCCATGCTCATCCCTCTGAGCCCTTGAGAGCTGAGATGGTGCTGAAGATGGGGCTGTCCATCATGCCTGCACTGTACCCCAGTAAGGAGCACAGGGCTTGGCATGTGACGGGCTTTCAGCCAACCTGACCAGAGACTGAAGGATGCCCTTATCTCACACATGCCAAGACACGGGGTAATATAATGTCAGTTCTTGGAAATACATGGACAAAAATTAATATTCAAGTTTTAAAGCCCAGATGCCAGTAAAAATTGTCTTGTGCAATGATTGTAGATGAAGAGTCTGATGTTTTCAGTAACTCAGAGTGTCCATCATGAGTGTCCTGACGCACCTCCTTAAATGTTGTGTTTTAGGCTGGGCGTGATGGCTCACACCTATAATCCCAGCACTTTGAGAGGCCGAGGCAGGTGGATTTCACTTGAGGTCAGAGTTTGAGAGCAGCCTGACTGATGTGGTGAAACCTCGTCTCTACTAAAAATACAAAAATTACCCAGGCGTGGTGGTGCATGACTGTCATCCCAGCTATTTGGGAGGCTGAGGCAGGAGAATTGCTTGAATTCAGAAGGTGGAGGTGGCAGTGAGCCAAGATGGCACCACTGCACTCCAACGTGGGCGACAGAGTGAGACTCCGTCTTAGAAAAAATAAAATAAAATAAATTAAATTAAATTAAAAAAAGGTGTGCCTTAGGTACCTCACTCATTTCAACCTAGTGTTAACCGTGACACCCCAAGTCATCAGATTGATAGTCATTATGTGCACCCAAAGCAGCATTAATTTATTCACCAACTGCTTATTCTGGGCCAGGTATTATGGTCACGAATATGGAAACCACATTTGGTCATTTCCTCAAGGAGCTGCCGGCATTTGGAGAATACAGACATGAATGCAGACTATCTCAGCATCAGATGGAAGGCAGTGAGAAGGAAGGGTATGCCGGCAACACCTCTGATCTCTGCTATAGGTGGAGGTGATCACGGCAGGCTTCACAGAGAAGGTGACGCTCCAGCTTTGTCTTGAAGGTTGAGGAGGAATTTGGCACAAAAGGACAATGGAGAGAAGTGCAATGTGCATATGGGTGGGAAAAGGGACAGGCTACATGGCTGGGGAAGGGGAGAGTGATTTGGAATGGCCAGACTTTCTGGGCCAGAAAATGGCTCATCTCAGATTCCTGAAAGAAATATTCATTGAGGAGCTTCCAGGTTGGTGAACACATGGGCATATTGAGAGCACAGCACACCTGGAGAGGACACAGAAGCTCCACACCACCCATGTTTCTTCCATTTGGCTGTTTATGAGTTGTACCCTTTATAATAAGGGTATAATAAACAGGTAAGCAATAAAAAAGGAAAGTGGAGGAGCCGGGCACAGAGGCTCACAGCTGTAATCTCGGCACTTTGGGAGGCTAAAGCGGGCAGATTGCTTGAGCTCAGGAATTCGAGACCAGCCTGGGCAACATAGTGAAGCCCTGTTTCTACCAAAAAAAATACAAATTAGCAGGATATGGTGGCATGTGCCTGTAGTCCCAGCTACTCGGGAGGTTGAGGTGGGATCACTTGAGTCCAGGAGGTTGAGGCTGCGGTGAGCCATGATCGCACCATTGCACTCCAGCCTGGGCAACAGAGTGACACCTTGTCTCAAAACACACAGAGAGAAAAGAAGTAGAAGAAAGGAAAGGAAATAAGGAAGGAGGAAGAGGGAAAGGAAGAATGAAAGGAAATAAAGAAAAGGGGAAAATCGTCACTAAGGTAAATAGTAGCATTGTAATATTATAACAATCAATAATTTGTTGAGAATCAACTACATTTCAGAACCTTTACAGTCATTCATTACATCATTTAACCTCCACTACAATCCTATAAAATCCATATTAGAACTCATCCCCCCATCTGACAGGTAAGGGCGCCCAAAGGTTACATGACAGCCTATCTTTCTCTAGGTACTAGGAAGCAAGGCCTTGGCCTTTCTGACTCTCCAGAGAGGGAAAGCAGTTACCCCTTCACATTGACCAGGCATCTAAAATCTGCATATCTGTGCCCAAGAGGTCCATAAAGTTGGTTGAGTCCAATAAATTTCTGAATAGACTTCCTCCTATAGTTGACTGGGATTTTTTTGTGGGAGTTGTTTGTTTGTTTAATTTTTTTTAGCGAGATGGGGTCTCGCTATGTTGCTCAGGCTGCTCTTAAACTCCTGGGCTCAAGCAATCCTCCCACCTCAGCCTCCCAAAGTGTTGAGATTACAGGTGTGAGCCACCATGTCCGGCCTTCTAGTTAACTGTTGATTCTTTAAATGTTTTTTCCCCCACCTTAAAAGGATGACAGATTCATTAAGCTATGAGACAGTATCTGCTCATTAATGTGTGCTAAATTGCCATGCAATTTCTATAGAATTAAATTACACCTCAATGAATAAGCAAATAATTCGTCAAGACTAATCTTACTCCCATGAATGCCAAAGTAAGACTTGGACCATTTACTTATCAAATGCTGATTTAAAAAAAAACTCACAATGAAATAATAAATAAATCATCAAGTCAAAAGTTTAATTTGGTATTCCGGCTCAATCAGGAAAATAAGCACAGCACCAGGTACCCTCCTCGGTTTCCAAATAAGGTAGCAGTCAGAAATATGAGCCCATTCATTTTCATACAGCTGTACAATTACCTGCGAAGGCTATGTAGCTAAAATACAAGCACACACACACACACACACACACCCGTCACTCATACACACACAAAGCCAAGCACCACAGCATCTATGCTACTTGATAGGAACCATATTCAAATGCAATAGAAATATTCAGAGCAAATTGGGTATTTTGTAGAATCTGCCTGGCCCTGAACACCCCTGTAGATCGAGATAAGGAATAGCATCATCTTCCTACTCTAGAGTTCTCAAAGTGTGGTCCCTGAACCAGCAGCAATAGCATCACCTGGGAACTTGTTAGAAATGCAAATCTCAGGTCACTCCCCTCCCACTCCACCCCCAGACCTGCTGACTCAGAAACTCTGGGGGTGGATGATTCTTCCAGGTGATGCTAATACAGCTAAAGTTTGAGCCACTAGTGTATATGCATAAAATACCAAAGGAGCTAGGGATTTTCCCTCACATAGACCCAAGTTTGAATTCTAGTGGCTAAACACTAGTTATATGACCTAGGCTGATTATTTCACTTCTCTGAGCCTCACTTTTATCATCTTTTTCAAAAGAAAATTAAGAGATGAATGATACCACCTTCCTAACATTGCTGGTGAGGTCACTGAGATGACCCAAGTGATGCCAGTGGAGCGAACACAGACCTCCATGGATTCGGCATCATCCCCTCTCCCTTCTAAGTTCCCATTCTAAGGGCTCATTTCCAAGAATCCCCTTCCCATGTGGCTCCCAGCAAGAGTTTGCCAATGAGAGGACTCGGCTAGACCCAGAAGGCACAGAGGAGGTGGGGTCATTAGCCTTGGAGGTAGTTGCAGCCGGGCCTCTGTGGTTCACAGCAGCTTCCCACAGGGTTCCTGAGAACCACCAGCTTTCCCACCATAGTCTAAGAACATTAGATTGGCATTTCCACACATTCTTGAGCATTAGAGCTCATGAGAACTTCTGTTATGGCACTTCAGGATAAGATCAGCCATGGTGGAGATCCAAATGTCTTTTATAGTCCTAAGTCCTTTGAATAAAGCCCTTACTCCCTGGAATCTAGTGCACCTTCTGCTTTCCAATCAAACCCTGAGATACACATCTAATTTCCACATTTACCCAGGAATATCTTATTTCTATAAAAAGCAGAAAAACCTACTTTCTCCAGACTCAAGGGAAAGTCCTGGGATCAAAGAAATCCCCCTTTCTTTAAAGACCTTCCTTCAAAGAATCATACATGTTCACTGTCACATTACACTCATATATCCATAACCTATTTTAGTATTTTAAATGACTGCTTACAGATTTCCTGCAATTTTGAATGTGATTTTGCTTCGTTGCAAGCCACCTGCCCCCATGGAAACCAATCATCATTATTTATGCAAATCAATGGAGAAATATGATTCAATTAACAGAAACTTGCTTAACAGTCATCATGCATTGGCTTGTTTTTTATTTGACTTTTCATATTTTTATAATGTCACATAAGCCGTTTTTCTCCCCTCTTGCAGAAAATGACTAAATGTAAAAGACAAAATAATAATGAAACCTCAAATAGGTAAAGCATTTACAGCACTTCAAAGCCTCCCGATAGTTTATCTCTGGTCAACAGATATTCTCAGACTCCTGCAGAGAAAAAGAACGAGATGCAGACAGGTCACACAGGTTGTTAGGAAGAGCAGTAACTAGTACTGTAGTTCCCTGAAGGCACTAACAAATCCCAGGTCCTTGTTCCATGAAAATAAGTCTGTGATTAGATACTAAATAAATTATCTAGTCCTCAGTAATAAATTCCTTATTAGCAGAATTAGGTCACAGCTACAAAAGTGGTTCTCTCTCTCTCTCTCTCTCTGTCTCTCTGTCTGCTAAAAAAAGACTTTTTTTGGAATTTTACCCATGAAAATCTGAATGGGAATTTGAGTTCTTTGGCTAAAAGGTTTTTCTCAGAACATGGGCAGCTTTCCAGACTTCCGTTTTATAATGAATATTCCTACTATTTTTGACTTCTCAGTTTTCCAAGGCCATGGCTACCCAATTTGGCTGTCATAAGAATGTCGTTACTCTAAATCCGTTAAGCTCTGCAACGCAGAAGTTTTCCCGAAACCAATTCACAGAGATGGTATCACTGAGGATATGGAGGAGGAAAATATCCCAAGACAGTGGTTCCATTGATTTTCAAGTTGGGTAAGAAAATATAACTGGTGATGAAAATGAAAGCTGAGGCATATTCTAAAATGAAACCTTAGAACAAGATAGAAAAATAAAAAATAAAAATAAGTGGCAAAGATATCTATATAAATCTCTCACACTAAATTTTTAAAATCTCTCACACTGAGTTGAGTGTAGAAACAGGATCAATGCTATCCAGACAACTGCAGCTTTTCTCTCCTGGGGTTAGATGGTCCCTCCAGGCAGCCTGCTTCATCAGGATCTAACATGACCCTTCAAATGTCTCTCAGAGATGACCAGCCATGTCTGGTCCATGGGAAGCATGGAAATTGAGAGACAGGATGCTTGAAGATTTATTTGAAAAGAGCTGTTTCCTACCTAAAGGAAGGCTTGCTTTCTAATACTGTATTAGTTATCCTTTGCTGCGTAACATATCATCCCAAAGCTCAGTGACTCAAAACAACCATAATGATCTGTAATTTCTCACGGTTTTACGCCTGCAGAATTCAGGAGCAACTTGGCTGGTGAGTTCCTACTTCGATTTTCACGAGGTTACAATAAAATGTCCTTCAGGACTGCTGTTATATGAAGGCTTGATGTGGGCTGGAGGACCCACTCAAAGGTGGATTGTTCACACAGATGGCAAAGTGGGTACTGGCTTTCGACCAGTTCTTCTCTGCAATGTCATCTCCATGGGGTTACTTGAGTGTCCTGGAGGCATGGTAGCTGACTTCCTCCTGAGTAAGCAAATCAGGAAAACAAAGCCAAAATGCTACAACACCTTTTAGGACCTACTCTCAGAGGTAATGCCTTGTTATTTCTGCCGTATTCTATTGGTCACAGAGGTCAGGGCTAAATTTTTATGGGAGGTCATAAAAATCAAGAGGCAAGGATCATTGGGGACCTTTTAGAGGTCTGGCTAGCACAAATACGGACGCAGGCTGGGCACAGTAGCTCACATCTGTAATGCCAGCACTTTGGAAGGCTGAGGCAGGAGGATCACTTGAGCCCAGCAGCTTGGGACCAGCCTGGGCAGCATAGTGAGGCCCGCACTTCTAAAATAATAATAATAATAACTCATGCATTGCATATGACTTACAGTGAGAAATCTAGAAAAGGCTGGCAAATGCAGTAGTGTCAACAGAGTGCTGGGCAAAGGATGTGGCATTTCATGGGCCAAATGTGAAGCTCTCTGGGAGAGACCTGATGTGGAGTTACCTAATTGGAAACATGGGTATAAAGGCCAGAGGCAGCGATAGATTCATGAATATGAAGCCTGTACAGCCACACAGAGTCCTCCACTAAGAAGGACCCCACGCTTCAGTGTAATGCACTGCTATTGCCTTCTTGAAATTCTGAATACTTTCTGAACAAGGATCCTGACATTTTCATTTTGCACTGGGCCCCACAAATTATGTAGCCATTCCTACCTTAGTAGCCAAGGGTGAAAATAATGATCCATGGAAATAAAGAGGTGATTGCTCTGTCAAGAAACCATGGATGAGAAATCCCCAGGGATAGGGTTTTCTAATGAACTCATAAAAGCATCTAGAAGAAAGTAAGTTCTAAACTGCTGCAAAAACTAAACAGATATCTAATTGCTAGATTTCTCCAATAGCCTGAGTTCCTCCAAAAAGCAGAGCTTAAGACAAGAGTTTGCATGCAGGTAGTTTGTTTTGGGAAATGACCGCTAAAATAAAAAATGGGAGTTAGAAAGAGTAAAAGGGGAGGAGAAAGAGCTGGTCCAAGGTTGCCTCATTGAACTCATTGCTCTGTGAGCAACTGGGGCTCAATCTCATCAGAGGGCTCGCTAAGGAGCTTTGTAGGATGCTCTGCAAGACTGACCTTCTGAGACAAAGAAAGAGGAAGCATTTGTCCTCCAATTGCCACCCTGATGGTCAAATTGCTCTATGGGTTTACAATGCTCTCATGCATGCATCAGAAAGGCTGAGTGGGTTCCTTTGGGATGCTGCAGGGTGGAAGCAAAGAGGCCCTAGAGCAGAAAGCAAAGAATACACTATGTTTCCAAGCGAATCCCATTACAGCTGTTCGCTGAAGCAAGAGATGGAGTGAAAAAGTGGATGCGAGGGGCTCCCGTGGCACTACAATCTCCATGCCAAAGTCAGCCAAGGAATAAATTTCTTGCTCCTCTACTCACTCCTTCCCTGAGCTCCATCCCTGGGGAGATGGGGGAGGGAAAAACTAGCAAAGATAGAAGAAACCATCTCTAGCCCTTCCCCAGTTGAGGCTTCCCTCTTGAGCAAGGAGAAGGCAAAAGCCTCAACTGTAATCAATTTGGAATTACATGAGAAAGGGGAATTTAATTCCTCCATTTGAGACATTTCTTTATGATAAAGTGAAAAGAGCCTAGGAAAGTCCTGGGGCCTGCCTGAGTTTTCTTCTAGGGCCATGGGGATTAACAAGCCCCCAGAGTGGACTTAAAAGGGGTTGGATGGTGTAAGCTGGAGAAAGCTGCTTTGTGATTACCTCCTCCAAGCTTGTTCCTCCTAATCGAAGACATTAGAAATATCCAGAATGCACTTGATAGAACAAGAAGACAATGTTAAGGGGGTGAGGGGGAATGTGCTGTTAGTTGAATTCCTTTCATGACACAAAAATGGAAGCCAGAACTCACGTCCATTTCACATGTCTTTGCTTTTTGAGATGGTGTTCATTCTGCCTGAAATATCCTGCTCCACCATCCGATTCACCTCCCCTATCATTTGTCCCCTCCTGAGACAGGGAGGGTTTTGTTATTATCATTATATGGTATTATCATATATATAGTCTGCCTTATACTAGAAATATTTATGGAGGCTTTTTTTTAAATAGAGCAAAAATGACACAAATTAAAAGGCATGGAAAATGAAAGATAAAAAATAAAAACCAAGTGCAGGAAATTATAACAGAGTACAGAGCGAGACCCTGTCTGTGGCTCTACACATACCTTAAGTTACTGACAGGTGATAAGGGTACAGTTTTGGCTCTCAACTCTCAATTTTGTACCAGCAGCTGATACAAAAAAGGGAACATGTTCCAGTCTCAGTTAGCATCCATAAGGCAAAACCCGCACCACTTCTCAGGAAAAGCAGAGCTACTTCTGATTCTGAAGTCAGGTGGACAATTGCCTCTGGGGATCTCCTAAAGAGACACACAATGTACAAAAATTGAACAACATGCTCCACAATATCTTTTCTATTTATTTGTTTTATTTATTTATTTATTTTTTTGAGACAGAGTCTCGCTCTGTCGCCCAGACTGGAGTACAGTGGAGCAATCGTGGCTCACTGCAACCTCCGCCTCCAGAGTTCAAACGATTCTTGTGCCTAAGCCTCTCAAGTGGCTGGGATTACCATGTGCTACCATGCCCGGCTAATTTTGGTATTTTTAATAGAGACAGACTCCTGGCCTCAAGTGATCCACCCGCCTCAGCGTCCCAAAGTGCTGGGATTACAGGCATGAGCCACCTCGCCTGGCTAACATCTTTTCTACAGGCAATTTTTTTTTTTTTTTTTTGAGATGGAGTCTCACTGTCACCCAGGTTGGAGTGCAGTGGCACGATCTCGGCTCACTGCAACTTCCACCTCCTGGGTTCAAGCAATTCTCCTGTCTCAGCCTCCCAAGTAGCTGGGACTACAGGCACCCGCCACCACACCCGGCTAATTTTTGTATTTTTAGTCAAGACGGGGTTTCACCATATTGGCCAGGCTGGTCTCAAACTCCTGACCTTGTGATCTGCCCACCTCAGTCTCCCAAAGTGCTGGGATTGCAGGAGTGAGCCACTGCACCCAGCTCAGGCACTTCTTATAATGTCCCTCAATCTGTGACACAGACATGACAAACAGGAGAGAATCACCAAGACCCAGGCTGACTGCAGACACCTTCGGGCCACCATGCACTATGGCTTTAATCCCCTTCATTGCACTCACCATTTCTCTTTGCAATCATTTCTACATGAATCTTTCTCCCTTTATTTTTTATTATTTATTTAATTTTTGAGATAGGGTCTCACTCTGTTGCCAATTCTGGAGTGCAGGGTTGCAATCACGGCTCACTGCAACCTCAACTTCCCAGGCTTAAATGATCCTCCCACCTCAGCCTCCTGAATACCTGGGAACATAGGTGTGTGTCGCAATGCCTCACTAATTTTTTAAAATTATTTTTTATAGACACAGTGTCTTGAGGGCTAAAAGCCATGTCTTGTTTATGTCCGTGCCACCACTGCCAAACATTTGGGTTGGTATGTATACCACAACATATTTTCTGCATAAATGAGAGAATTACAGATTAATGCTTTTAATTAATGCGAGGCAACATAGAAAGCAGGAGACAAATGATCAGATGCCATTTCGTCTGGAGCTCTTGAGAAACTAAATCATGCACAAATGAGATCAGCCAGCCTCTAAGCTGCAAGAAGCAAGGTGGCACGGAATCTTCCAGTCAACCTCTGAGTGAAAGAATCAAAATGTATAGTACAGAGATCACAGATTACAAAATGTCTCAAAACTTGTCATCAACGCCCATGTTGGTTACTTATTTCTCGTAGCCATATCTGCACGGCATGTGCACCAAGTTGGCCAGGCTGGTCTCGAACTCCTGACCTCGGCCTCCCAAAGTGCTGGGATTACAGGCATGAGCCACCGCGCCCGGCCCCTTTTCTTCTAAGAATTCATCTTACAATTTCAGCCATCTCTGAATTTCACTTAGATGGGCCTCTTTGGTTGGAGGAACAGCGTGATAAGTCTTGATGTAAATTTTGACTTAGAAGTGTAATAGATAGTGTTCTTTTTTATTTTTGTTTTGTTTTTGAGACAGGGTCTCACTCCATTGCCTAGGCTGGAGTGCAGTGGTGTGATCACAGCTCCCTGCAGCCTTGACCTCCTAGGCTCAAGCAATCCTGCCACCTCAGCCTCCTGAGTAAAAAATTAGCATGTGCCACTGTGCCTGGCTAATTTTTTTTTTTTTTTTTTTTTTTTTGGAGACAGTCTTACTCCGCCTCCAGAGGTCAAGCGATTCTCGTGCCTAAGCCTCTCAAGTAGCTGGGATTACCATGTGCCACCACACCTGACTAATTCTGGTATTTTTAGTAGAGACAGACTCCTAGCCTCAAGTGATCCACCTGCCTCAGCCTCCCGAAGTGCTGGGATTACAGGCGTGAGCCACCTCGCCTGGCTAACATCTTCTCTACGGGCAATTCCTTTTTTTTTTTTTGCGACGGAGTCTTCCTCTGTCGCCCAGGCTGGAGTGCAGTGGCATGATCTCGGCTCACTGCAACCTCCACCTCCCAGGTTCAAGCAATTCTCCTGCCTCAGCCTCCCTAGTAGCTGGGACTACACGCGCCCGCCACCACGTCCAGCTAATTTTTGTATTTTTAGTCGAGACGGGGTTTCACCATATTGGGCAGGCTGGTCTCAAACTCCTGACCTTGTGATCTGCCTGCCTCGGACTCCCAAAGTGCTAGGATTACAAGTGTGAGCAACCGTGCCTGGATAATTTTTAAATTTTGTAGACATGGAATCTTACTCTGTTGCCCTGGCTGGTCTCAAACTCCAGGTTACCCAAAGTACTGCGATTACAGGTGTGAGCCACCACTCTCAGCCTTTTCTTTTTCTTTTTTTACAAAATAAAATACACTAAGATTTGAAGAAATCTCACTCATCTTTAAAAAGATTCAATGGCAATGAATCACTTTTCTGCAAAGGCTGGAGTTAGGAGAACCCGTGGTTGATGGCTTTGTTAATTATTATTATTATTTTTTTTAAGATTCAGGTTCACACTTGTAATCCCAGCACATTGGGAGGCCAAGGTGGACAGATCACCTGAGTTCAGGAATTCGAGACCAGCCTAGCCAACATGGCAAAACTCCATCCCTACTAAAAATACAAAAATTAGCCAGGTGTGGTGGCGCATGCCTGTAGTCCCAGCTACTCAGGAGGCTGAGGCAGGAGAATCACTTAAACCTGGGAGGGGAATGTTGAAGTGAACCAAGATTGTGCCACTGCACTCCAGCCTGGGTGACAGAGCAAGACTCTGTCTCAAAAAAGCAAACAAACAAAAAAACAAATTGCACTGTTTGGTCAAGAATTCAATTCACGATAATCAAGCAGCTCCTAACACAGTTCTCTAGTCACATTTTCAGATTTAGCTTCTGTGGGGGAAAAAAAAGTCTGTATTTCCCTGTAGCTCTGTGAGATAAGCCTTCCATACCTCTCTTGGGTTACTATATTTGAAGGATTCCTGAGATATGGAATGAAAGAACTAGCAAAAAGCTATAATGATCACTCACATTTGATTTTAATTAGAGAAAAAAACAAATCTCTTGCTCTCCTCCCTCAGCTGGGATGGGATTCTTCTCCACGATGCCTCTATGGTTTCTTTCCTTGCCTTGAGTGCAAAGGCGATGTGTATTTTTCAGCGGGAAAGATGGCAAACATGCCCATCTCAACACACATAACATTTTATTAAGTATATATATTATACAGAACCCCCCAAAAAATTTAAATGTGCTTTTTTTTTCTAGATCCCTGAGGAATCGCCACACTGACTTCCACAATGCTTGAACTAGTTTACAGTCCCACCAACAGTGTAAACGTGTTCCTATTTCTCCACAGCCTCTCCAGCACCTGTTGTTTCCTGACTTTTTAATGATCACACATACATTTTATTAAGTATATATACTAGCAGAACCCCCCCAAAAATTTAAATGTGCTTTTTAAAAAGGTTGGGCTGGTTTCAAATGTTCTCAGAACCAAAGCAACACACGCCTTTCAGAGCGCTGGAGAAAATGCTGTTGAACAAGCTCTCATGGCTCAACAGTGGAGATCTGAACAATGTATCTGACTATTAACATAATTTGAGAAGAGAGGCTCCCTCTTAACCTGTATTTTTGGCTCACTCAAAAAAAGTGCTCCTGTCAGCCTTCAATTTCTCTACCTGGGTCTCTAGTCTGAGGACAGCATCCTTTTGGAAGACTTCAGCAATTTCTGTGGAGCCATGTTTAAATTGGGCAAGTGGAAAACTAACTCCCTTTAAGAAAAGTGGCATTGTTTTGCAGTCAGGTAATTCCACGTGGGCTCACTGGTTACTTTCCATGGGAATAGTCTTTGAGGAAGAAAGGGCCTTTGTTGAGATTTGTTTTGTTTTGAGAACAGTCAATTGGTTCTTTCTACTCTTCCTTCTAGGGCGCCAATCTTTCCAAGGATAACCACAAAGTGCAAGCAAAAATAATGAAAAAGGAAAGAAAGAAAGAAAATCTGTATGCAAACCCAGGTTGTCATTATCTGGCGTTGTTTTCGGCCATTCTTGTCTTCTGACTCCTACCTGGCACACAGATCACTCCTGCCCACTCCTGCCCATTACTCTCTATCTTGTACACGCCTTGCTGGTACATATGGAGGACCATGGAAGAAAAGCATTGCTGTAAATTTCCTCCTTCTCAAGGAATCCTGCTCCCTGAGTTTCTGCTTAAGTGACTTCTCACCTTCAAACTCACTGAGGTTATTCTTGTTTGGCTTCAGATAAGTGGCTGAGATTTTAATTGTTCTCAATTGGTCTGTTTATCAGGGTAACTGTTTCAGTTTTCTTCAAGACAAATGATTAGATCCTTCGGTCTTTATCAGTATATTAAGTATGTTTTTCAGGTGTGGACTTAACTTTGCCCTCCACTCCCAGCAACCGTTTCCTTTCATAACTTGGGTGTAGTTTAAACACACACACACACACACACACACACACACACACACTTGCTCAGAGTTATTTTGGAAAGTGTATTCTTTACCAGTGACACCAACCTCAAAAGAGTCAAGGATTCCTTAAAAAGGAGAAGATTTTATATATTAAGTCTGAATTGAGAAAGGGGGAAAGAAAGGAATAAAACAGAGAGTGATAGGAAAAATTAGGAGGTCTCAATGGATTGAAAAGGTAGCAACAAAGGACACTAAGTGTGCACAATGGCTGGGTTCTCTGTATTTTCTCATTTCATCCTTAAGACAACTTAGAGAGGTAAGAAACAGTTTTTTCTCTTTTAACAGAAGAAGAAATTGAAGTGGAGAAAGATAAGAAGCTTGGGGAAAAGCAATGAATGGTAGAATATCTCAATAAGCCAAACTATTTTCAACTTTTTACTTATGAAGTAACTAAGGTTCAGAGATGTAAAGCAATTTGCTCAAGGTTAACCAGCAAATCAGTAGAAGAGCTGTGATTCAAGCCAGGTGTGTTGCTCCAAAGTCATTTAAAGGCAAAAGCTGAAAAGCAGGAACTGGAAGGTGAATGAATATATACTGTGAGATGATCTTTTCCTAGTTTAAATAAATCTCAGCCAGCAGCCATCCAAAGAATCTACCGGAGGAGAAGTGCAGGCTTTTATTGCTCAGGATAGGCTAAGCTATGCTGCAATAATAAATAAAGCCTGAAATTTCAGTGGCTTATAAAAAACAAAAGAAGAAGAAAGAAAGAAAAAACATTTGATTCTTATTCACACAAGTCCACTGCTGGTCAAGCAACTCTGCAGTGCAGCTTTCTTTGGCACTTCCAGTATTCAGACTTCTTTCATCCTGTGGTTCCATCATCCCAATAGAACAATTCTATGGTCACCCCAAAGAAGAAAAGAAAAAAAGAGGAGACACAAAGCTCCTAATGACTTTGGCTGTGAAATAACACACATCATTGCCACTCACAGCCCATGGCCAGAACTAATCACTGGCACCAGCCTTCCTGCAAGGGAAGCCAGGAGATATAGGCAGCCCCTTGGGTATTTGGTGAGTGCTAAGTACAACTGTGCAACACTCCCCAACTTTCCTTGGCCTCATTTTTTTTTTTTTGAGACAGATTCTCACTCTGTCACCCAGGCTGGAGTGCAGTGTCATGATCTCGTCTCACTGCAACCTCTGCCTCCCAGGTTCAAGCTATTCTCGTGCCTCAGCCTCCTAAAATAGCTGGGACTACAGGTGTACATCACCATGCCTGGCTAATTTTTGTATTTTTAGTAGAGATGGGGTTCCACCACATTGGCCAGGCTGGTCTCGAACTCCTGGCCTCAAGTGATCTACCCACCTTAGCCTCCCAAAGTGCTGGGATTACAGGCATGAGCCACCATACCCGGCCTCCTTGGCCTCATTCTTGAGTTTTTAATATCTGTGTAAAAAATGAACACCATTGAACCTTAGTATAGGCTTTTTGGGAGTAGCAACAGGTTAAAGCAATTGCAGGATGCTTTCTTCAACAAAGTAGTAGCATCTGAAATTTGAGTCATGATGGGGATCTTTAGAAGCCCTAGGTATTCCTGAAAAATCTGGAGGTTACTGCTGCAGCCCTCATATGATGGTTTCAAAAAAAACTGCAGGAGATCCTCCCACCTCCACATTTAAGAAAAACTGAGAACACCCACCTTTTCGACTGGTTTATGATGGGTTATCTTCAGAACAAAAGAAATATTCTAATTTCAGCGGCTTTCAAACAAACTGAGTGTTTAACACACAGGCCTTTTGATTCCCACAGGAGGAACCATCACATAAGCTTATATTGTTAAGCGAAATATGCCCAGGGTAGAATCTCATTCATAAGCCATTGGACTTGAGCTTAGGCAGAGATGATCCGTGAGCTGGATCCAAGGTAACATAGGAACTCAGGTTCCTCAAGTGCAGCCTCAGCTGCATTCATTTCATATACCTGCACCATGCCAGGCTCTGATTAGGTAAAAGAGTATTAGTCAATGCGTTTTGTTTTTTGCAAGTGACAGAAACCCAACTCCCACTGGCTTCAAGCAAAATAGGGAATGTTTTGGCTCCTGTAACCAACCACTACCATATAGAGAAAGCCTGCTTGAGAATGAAGCCAGCCCAGAGGAAAGCTGGGCCAAGAGGAAAGGGCAGAGTTTTTAGGAGTTGACCAAAGCCCTTGATCCAACTGTACCTGAAGGAAACATGCAGTTGGGTAAGCAATAAATTTAAGATTTTAAAAATGTGTTGTATAATATTTTGTTTGCTTAGGCTTATTAGATACTAGTTTCTACTGTATACAACTGAAAGAGCCCCAGCCAATAAATATGCTAAGTAAAGGACACAGTGAAGTTGTCCTATAAAAAAATGTCACTGACCTTGGTGTCTCTGTCTTTCCCAAGTCAGTGTTCATACATACCTATGTATTAAACTCCTACTAAATAACAAGCCCTGTTCTAGGTGCTTAAGATATAGAAGTGAAGACACACAAAGACTCTGCCATTGTGGAGTTTATATTCCAGTAGGGGAAATGTAAAACAAATAAATAGATAGGATGCCCAGTCTTAGGTCAAATGGGGAAGTTTGGTGATTACTGCTTTAATTCCAGGGAAGTCTCAATTCAGGGGATACCAATTGGCCTCATAATCTGACCCTAGAGAATGGTCAGTCTCTGGGTAAATGTCATCCTGATCTCTCATCCCCATAACTGAGATAGTACATTTCCTTTTGCCTTTCAAGTCTGACAGCCATTCCTTTTCATTAGCCAAGAGAACAATGGACAAATTGGAAAGAACCGCAAGCTAGAAGTATATGAACATAGATCATTGTCCCAGCTCTGTTACTGATAAGCAGCCCTTCCCCTGTCCCTGTTATACGATTTAATGATAGAACGGGTTGGATGATACAACATTTGCTTTCAGTGACTCCAACAGCAATGTCAGAAATTCTATTGTAGACATCGACCACAATTCCTGGTTCATGGTACATGCATGATATATATTTACTAATTCGTTCTCAGCTGATTAGTTAACTGAGATGCATGGGAGATTAGAACCTACCACCTCTACAACAAGAACATGGTTATCAGAGAAGACAAATGTTACATATTTATTTTTAAATTATTTGACTCCTGGATTTATTGTGTATCTTTCTACGGGCAAGTTTCATGAGACTAGGGATTTTGTCTGGTTCATCTTTGTGGCCCAGGGCCTACGTAGTGCTCACTAAAATGGATGAATGAGTGAATGAATACCATAAGAGTTTACAGAGTGAGCCAGGGAAAGCTTATGAAGATAGGGGCATTTGAGCAGAACCTAGGAAGATTCTTAGAATTTAAAAAGCGGGCCGGGTGCAGTGGCTCACGCCTGTAATCCCAACACTTTGGGAGGCCAAGACGGGTGGATCACCTGAGGCCAGGAGTTTGAGACCAGCCTGGCCAACATGATGAAACCCAGTCTCTACTAAAAACACAAAAATTAGCCAGGCTCAGTGGTGAGCAACAAGACTGAAACTCTGTCTCAAAAAAAAAAAAAAAAAAAAAAAAAAAGCAAAACTTTTAATGTAGAACTTTGCTTTAGCACTGTCAATCTGAAAGCAGTATTACAATGGATTGTCAAAGCAAGAGATTAAAGTTGGGAAACAGTCCAAAAAATAGGAAAAATGAGATTTAGAAAGGCACGAACAGGAGGAATTGTCATAATAACCCACCCCAGCATGTAATCCCTTTGGAAAATAGTAACTTTACAGTGGAATAATCTGGCAAACACTTCTCTAAGCAAGTGTTCAAAGCTGATATCCATCACCATTGATGTCAACTGGATATCATGTACCCCCTGATGTGATGAAAAGGGCACTTCACATCTGTAGTATTTTTTTTCCCAAAAACCCAAAACCCTGGTCTAATTATAAAAAAAAAAAAAACCGGCCAAACACAAATTGAAGGATACTTTACAAAATACTTAACTAGTACTCCTCAAAACTGTCAAAGAAAGCAAAGAAAGAAAACTGTCATGAAAGCAAGAAAGACTGAGAAACTGTTACAGATAAAAGGGAACTAATAAAACATGACACTAAACGCATTGTGGTATCTTAGATTGGATCCTGGAATAGTGAAAAGGGTATTAGCAAAAAACTGGCAAAATTGAAAAAATTATCTGCAGCTTAATTAGTAGTGACATGCAAATGCTGGTTTCTTAGTTGTCATAAACAATGTGATGATAAATTAGGAGTAATTGAAACCAGGTGACAGCTATATTATCTTTTCAACTTTCCCACAAATTTTAAATTATCCCTAAATTTTTAAAAGTAATGTTTTAAAATAACATGCATGTATTTAGCTTACAATTGTACAGGTGGATAATTTCGACTGGGCTCGGTTGAGTGGTTCTTCTAGTCTTGGCTGGGCTACGGTCAGCTCAACAAGGCAGTTCTGCCTCTATAGACTGGCTGGCTTTTGCTGGAGCATCTTTGCTTTGATATGCATGATCTTTTGTTCCCCAAAAATCTAGCCTGGTTTGTTTCCACAGTGCCTGGGCAAATTTCCAAGAAAGAAGAAGCAGAAATGAACACAAGTGTACAAAGCTTCTTGAAGCCTAAGCTTGGAACTGGTACATCATCAACTCCATCTCATTTTTGTGTCCAAAGCAAGTCACAAGGCCAACCCAGATCCAGGGGAAGGAAACAGCTATCACCTTTTGACAGCACAGCCACAGAGGCATGTTGTAGGGTGCATGAATTTCTGCCATATCTACAATCAGTCTTTCATGTCATATTATTTAGTTTCTTTCTCCTTGAACCTTAGAGCAATTCTGAATGGTCAAGAGCAGTTCAGTTAAACTGCTTCTTGTCATTTATTTGCAGCCACTGGCAGGGTAGAAGCTTGGGGGTGCAGAGGTCTAGCATCAGTGATTCTGTTTTTTTTTTCATCAGTGATTTTCATTAGGAATCTGTTATGTATGAAACAACGACTTGCCATAGTTCTGAAACCCAGCTCCTCCATTTATTAGCTCTGTAATCTTTGCCAAGTTTTACCTATTTGCACCTCAATTTCCTCTTTCATAAAATGGGGATAAGAGTAACAATGTTACGGTGTTATGAGGATGAAACGTATATAAGGCCATACCTGGCAGCCCCCTCCCCTTGCCCAGCCTAGATTTGCCTGTAGGAAAAGAAAAACACTGTGGTGCAACTCTTGCCCAAGAAGTTTAAGTTTCTAGCTCAGTGAGACATCACAGCTCTGCTGGAAAGGTCAACTCAGAGCAGCTTCCAAGCCCACCTGGCCTCCTGAAGGACTAGACCACCCTCTGAAGAGCCTGAATTGGATAACAGTTAACTAGGCACCAGCCTTCAAGCTTAACATCTCGTTTCCTTTCTTAAGACACTCAGGAAGACATTACCATTTTAGCTACATGGAGAACTAGCCCTGGAGAACTTAAGATCACAAAGCTGTGGAGTAAGAGAACAGGGATTAGAATCAAGCTGTTGGACCCCCAAGCCCAAGCTGGTAACTACTGTGTATTCCCCCACTCTTTGCTATATTATCCTCTGCCACTCAGTGCCCACTTAATAATAGGCTCAATTCCAAAACACTGCATAGTTCTTGATGGGGACTTTGGTGCTCCAGGGACAAACTCTGAGCAGCATTTGGCCACTATGTGCTAAATTAAAAACTCCAAATACCCTTCACCTTCCCCAGCGGAACTATTTCCAGCATCGTTATTCAAGCTCCCCTCTCCTAAAACTACAGTTATCTAGAAGCAGAACATTAGGGAGCAAGAGAATGAGGCTTTGAAATTACCAACATTACTCAAACCCAAAGCTCAGATGGAAGCATTCACAGCTTCCCTTCCTCTCCTGGTGACAACCAATGTCTCCAATTCACCACCGAGGAACCGGGAGAAGTGTGAAGATGCAAAATTCTACACTTTCAGAGCTGGAAGGGAGTTTAACGCAGCTAGTCCCAATGCACAGATGCAAAAATGAAGCCTGGAGAGAAAGGGATTTGTCCACAGAGCTAACCAGAAATGTGAGAAATCCAAAGGGTTTTTCTGTCCAGTATTGGATTTGATCCTGACAAGAACATTGTGGAGCAGCAGAGCACATACATTTACTTTAGAGAAGACAGGCTGAGTTAGCCAATGCAGGGCATCCAGAGTGTCTGGAGCAACACTGAGACTAGAACCACCTTCCTACTCCTAGAGCATCAGACAAGACTTGTCTAGGCTGATTCCGATTCTGTATTTTTTTTTTTTTAATGAAGTCTGCTCTGTCACCCAGGCTGGAGTCCAGTGGCACAATCTCGGCTTACTGCATCCTCCACCTCCCAGGTTCAAGCAATTCTCCTGCCTAAGCCTCCAAAGTAGCTGAGACTACAGGTGCCCACCACCATACCCAGCTAATTTTTGTATTTTTTTTAGTAGAGATGAGATTTCACCATGTTGGCCAGACTGGTTTCAAACTCCTGACCTCAGGCAATCCGCCCGACTTAGCCTGCCAATGTGCTGAGATTACAGGCATGAGCCACCGCACCAGGACTGATTCTAATTCTTAACTCTGTGTCTTCAGGTAAATCATGACTTCTCTAACCTCAGTTTTCTCATCTATAAAATTAGAATCAGGATGATTCTGAGTGCTGTGTGATTAAAATGAAATAATGATGCATCAAGCTCTAGGTTTAGAATTAGCATGTGACACACACTGCAAAATTGGTAGCTGTTTATATGATAATTTTTGTACAAAATCTGATTTTTTTTTTTTTTTTTTGAGACAGGATCTCTTTCTGTCACCCAGGCTGGAGTGCAGGGGAATGATCTTGGCTCACTGCAACCTCCACCTCCCAGATTCAAGCAATTCTCATGCCTCAGCCTCCCAAGTAGCTGGGACTACAGGCATGCACCACCACACCTGGCTAATTTTTGCATTTTTAGTAGAGACGGGGGTTTTCTATGTTGGCCAGGCTGGTCTTGAACTCCTGGCCTCAAGCAATTAACCCACCTTAGCCTACCAAGGTGCTGGGATTACAGGCGTGAGCCACCACACCCAGCCAAATCCAATATTTTTTAAAAATATTACTTAATAGGATCAGGATCATGCAACACCACACCTGGCTAATTTTTGCATTTTTAGTAGATACGGGGCTTTTCTATGTTGGCCAGGCTGGTCTTGAACTCCTGGCCTCAAGCAATTAACCCACCTTAGCCTCCCAAGGTGCTGGGACTACAGGCATGAGCCACCACACCCAGCCAAATCCAATATTTTTTAAAAGCATTACTTAATAGGATCAGGCATGGTGGCTCACGCCTGTAATTCCAGCACTTTGAGAAGCCAAGGGAGGAGGATCCCTTGGGCCCAGGAGTTTGAGGCCAGCCTGGGCCATATGGTGAGACCCCATCTCTTAACAGAAAAAAATAGCCAGGTGTGGTAGCACAAGTCTGTAATCCCAGATACTAGGGAGGCTGAGATAGATGGGAGGATCACTTGAGTCTGGGAGGTCGAGGCTGCAGTGAGCTGTGATCAGCCACTGCCTTCCAATATAGTGAGATGGAGTCTCATTCTGACCCCCCAGACTGGAGTGCAGTGGCACAATCTCAGCTCACTGCATCCTCGACCTCCCCAGACTCAGGCGATCCTCCCAAACCTCAGCCTCCTGATTAGCTGGGACTACAGGCGTGTGCCATCATGCCTGGCTAATTTTTGTATTTTTCTGTAGAGACAGGGTTTTGCCATGTTGGCCAAGCTGGTCTCGAACTCCTGGACTCGGAATATGCCTGCCTCGGCCTCCCAAAGTGCTGGGATTAAAAGCGTGAGCTACCGCGCCTGGCCATTTTTTTTTAATCACAGGAAAAGTGATTCAAAGTGTCACTTCAGAGACACAAAATTTTGCTTGAGCTCTGATGTAATATTTAGATGATTTATTCACAGAAGGTGATCTGCTAATTCAGGGACCTTGTTTTATGGCCCAAATTCTTTCCAGTTCATTCAACTCTGCTTTCTCAGAGACAGGGTAAATGTAGCTTTCTGACAGAGGTCCTCATTTTGACTTTAAGTAACAAAGAAGTGTTAGTGTTTTGGTTGTTTCCTTTTGTTCATCTTAGACAGCTAAATGGCACATAGGCCGCCTTGGCTCATACCTGTAATCCCAGCATTTTGGCAGGCTGAGGCGGGCAGATTGCTTGAGTCCAGGAGTTCGAGATTAGCCGGGGCAATATAGTGAGACCCTGTCTCTTCACATCCCTGTGGTCTCAGCTACTCAGAAGGCTGAGGTAGGAGGATTGCTTGAGCCTGGCAAGTTCAAGACTGCAGTGAGTCGTGATCACACCACTGCACTCCAACCTGGGTGAGAGTGAGAGATCCTGTCTCAAAAGAAATAAAAATGAAAGACACATAATTCACAATCCATGTCAAGAAGACCTTGCTTACTCTGTTTTCTCAGTGGACTTTGTGGCCATTCTCTTTCTCCTGAGCTATCTGTATCATAGGTAAGTTATACAGTCCTATCCCTCCAAACTTACCTTTAAACACATTTCATGATAAGAGGGTTTTGCACCTAAAACCTTTACCCTCAGAAGTTTATCTTATCCATTAGTGGGTCATCCAAGACATTTCCACCAACCCAATAACGCACAAGTAAAGCTAAGTGAACATTTGTTGAAAAAAAATTACTAAATATTAAGTTTACATTGATTGAACACATAATATGCGCCAAGTACTATAAGCGCATTATATGCATTATCTTAATTATTCCTCCCAAGAATTCCATGAGGTATTTATTATCCCCATTTTAAAGATAAGAAGATGAAGGCTGAGAGAGTTTGAGTAGTACAGATTTATGGAGTAGGGACAACAGCATTGGAACTTGATGTCCTCTCTTCTCTAACCACGACACTGCCTAGTTCAGAAATTACCAATCTGAGGAAGAACAAGTGAATGGACAGTTAACAGGAATGTCCTATTGATTTCTTCAGGCTCTTGCTCTCAAATGGATAAATGAGGGTCTCCTGACCTTCCCTGCCATCCATCTCTTCCGCTTACTTCAACTGCTTGATTTAATTGATATCTTTCAGGAAGCCAAGGTTGGCTAATATCAACTTCAATAAAAATTTAGCTTTAGAGATGAACCAAAATGAACCACATTTTCCCAGTGATAACCCACTTAAGCTTGGCTCATGCTCTCCAGTTTCAAAATCTCCATCCTGTCCTCTTCACACTGCCTGAATTTGAATCCCTGTTCCACCATTTACTTTTTTTTTTTTCTTTTTGAGATAGTCTCACTCTGATGCCCAGGCTGGCGTACAGTGGCATGATCTTGGTTCATTGCAACCTCCGCCTCCTGGGCTCAAGCAGTTCTCGTGCCTCAGCCTCCTGAGTACCTGGAACTAAAGGCATGCACCACCACACCCAGCTAATTTTTGTGTTTTTAGTAGAGACTGGCTTTTGACACATTACCCAGGCTGGTCTTGAACTCCTGGCCTCAAGTGATCTGCCCACCTTGGTACCATTTATTCTTGAATCCCAGGCAAGCTAACATTCCCACACTGCAGTTACCTCTTTTGTAAAATGTAAATAAAATGGGCACTGATCTGATTGGGTTGCTGTGGGGACTAAATGATGAATACATGTAAGTGCTTATTGGAGAGTCAAAGGCTGAAAATCTCTCCATCCTTTCAGTATGTCTCTGGGACTGCATTAATGATCTCGCCTGGAGAGGCAGAGGTTGCAGTGAGCCGAGATCGTGCCACTGCACTCCACCCTGGGCAACAAGAGTGAAACTTCATCTTAAAATAATAATAACAATAATCTCACCCAGAGATAATGGCCAATATCTCAAGGCCCTTGATGAGTGAGAGAGTGGACCAAATCACCCTTCTGTTTTCCCCTGTCCATCCCCACCCCAGGTTTCATGTTGAGATTTTACAGAGAAAAAAACATAGTCCACTTGTAAAGTAAACCAAATAAAGGCTGGGAGTGTTGGCTCATGCCTATAATCCCAGCACTTTGGGAGGTCGAGATGGGTGGATCGCTTGAGTCCAGGAGTTCAAGACCAGCCTTGCCAACATGGTGAAACCTCATCTCTACAAAAAACTGCAAAAATTAGCCAGGTGTGGTGGTGTGCACCTGTAGTTCCAGCTACTCAGGAGGCTGAAGTGGGAGGATCACCTGAGCCCAGGAGGTTGAGGCTGCGTTGAGCCGCGATCATGCCACTGCACTTCAGCCAGGTGACAGAGGTGAGGGAGGTCTTGTCTCAAGAAAAAAAATAAAATAAAATAAATCCAATAAAATGTCTGAAAACTCCTAACCTCTCAGTGTTCTCCAAGTCTCCTTTCATTGCAACTGTCAGCATCTTCAGTTCTGTGTCTTCTGCACCAGGAGCCATCTCCACAGCGCTTCCCATCCACCCACAGCACTTTTTATTACACTGCCAGGTGTAGCCATCATCTACAGGGGAGCAGCCCTCTATTCTGATAAGGCATAAAAAATGAGCTGCAGACTGAGAGTCCAGCCATGTGTCCTTCTGCCTTATCTGCAAATCCCATCATCAGCAATTTTCTCGAGCCTGTTCAGGTCACTTCATTCTCTTATCCTCACCTACAAATGCTCCTATTCAGTCTTTCTTGGGCTCCTTTAGGAAAATGCACTAATAATGTACTATCTATTTTTTTTAATTGGAGTATCAGTTAAGATGTGTTTCTGTCATTTGTGCAATTATTAGATGTGCTTCCACTGTAAATCAAAGAAATGCAGACTACAGCAAAGCTGTTTTTAAAATGATAATAAACAGTACTGACATGAGTCTCATTAGTGTAGCACTCTCATATATTCCTGAGGCAGTGCAAATTACAACATCTCCTTTTTTCCTCAAGCTTTAGTAATATGAATCAAGGACTTTACAAATGCCTCTGATTCAATAATTCTGGATTCTATACTAAGAAAAGTATCCTAAAAATTAAGAACAGATTTATTCCCAAAGATGTTCATATCAGTGTTATTTACCATAGCAAATCAATGACACACTTCAAATTTTAAAAAGGAAATGATTAAATGAGGTATTTTATAATCACCTAATAGACTATTTTGCAGCCATTTAACATTTGCTTTCAATGATGCTGACAATTTTTGTAACACAATGTGAAATGGGAAAAAAGGCAGATTCAAAGGAACATTTATAGCATGATTACAAATTTATAAAACAAAAACTTTCATTTAAAAGAAAGATAAGAAAATATAAGGGCACAAAAATAAATGAATGTTATTATGGTAAATCAACAGGGCTGTGAGAAAGAATAAGGGTCCTAATTTAGACAGGAAGGTCAGGAAAGCCTCTCTGAAAATGTAGAAGATAAACAAAAATTAGTCAAGGAAAAAATTAAACAAGGAAATAGCCAGGAAAGGCCAGGTGTGGTGGTTCATGCCTGTAATCCCAGCACTCAGATGGGCAGATCACCTGAGGCCAGGAGTTTGAGACCAGCCTGGCCAACATGGTGAAACCCCATCTCTACTAAAAATACAAAAATAGCTGGGTGTGGTGGTGCATGCCTGTAGTCCCAGCTACTCAGGAGGCTGAGGCAGGAGAATCGCTTGAACCTTGGGAGGTGGAGGTTGCAGTGAGCCAAAATTGTGTCACTGCACTCCAGCCTGGGTGACAAATTGAGACTCCATCTCAAATAATAATAATAATAATATTAAAGCAGAAACAGCCAGAACAAAAATTTAAATGGAAAATTTAAATTAAATTTTTAAATTAACCAAGGAAATAATTAATCAAGGAAAAAAATAGCATGTACAAAGTTTCTGAGTCAGGAAAAACAGGATAAATAGGAATTACTGAGGCACTGACTATTAAGTGCTAACTATACATTGACAGTTGAGTCGGAACTAAAATGTCCTTGCATTGAATAGTATTCATTTTATTTGTTGACAAGAAAGCTTGCAACTAAAAGTCTGAGCCTGGCATGTGATAGGAAAAGGTAGTAACAATAGTACTTATCCCCAAGGCTGTCATGGAGTAAAGCATTGCTAGACCTAAGCACTTACAACAGGCCTGGCAAATGACCAATAAGCACATGGAAAGTTGCTCCATGTTGGCAGGACATGGTGGCTCATGCCTGTAATCCCATCACTTTGGGAGGCTGAGGCAGGGCAGATTGCTTGAGCCCAGGAGTTCAAACCAGCTTGGGCAAGATGGTGAAACACTCTCTATGCAAAAATACAATAATTAGCCATGCATGGTGGCATATGGCTGTAGTCCCAGCTGTCCCAGCTACTCATGAGGCTGGAATAGGAGTATCAATTGAGCTCTCAAGTTCAAGGCTGCAGTGAGCCGTGACTGTGCCACTGCACTCCAACCTGGGTGAACAGAAAAGACTCTGCTTCAAAAGAAACAAAAAAACAAAAAAGAAAGGCAAGTCAAAAAGCACAGTGAGATACCACTTCACGCCCACTGACATGACTATAATGAAAAATAGAGAAAGAAAGATAACAACAAGTATTGACAAGGATGTGGAGAAATTGAAACTTCATATACTGCTGGCATGAATATAAAATGGTGCTGGATGGGCACGGTGGCTCACGCCTCTAATCCCAGCACTTTGGGAGGCCAAGGATCACCTGAGGTCAGGAGTTCAAGACCAGCCTGGCCATGGTGAAACCCTGTCTCTACTAAAAATACAAAAAATAAGCTAGGCGTGGCTGGGCGTGGTGGCTCACACCTGTAATCCCAGCACTTTGGGAGGCCGAGGTGGGTGGATCATGAGATCAGGAGTTCAAGACCAGCCTGGCAAAGATGGTGAAACCCTGTCTCTATTAAAAAATACAAAAATTAGCCTGGTGCGGTAGTGGGCACTTGTAATCCCAGCTACTTAGGAGGCTGAGGCAGGAGAATCGCTTGAACTTGGGAGGCAGAGGTTGCAGTGAGCCGAGATCATGCCACTGCATTCTAGCCTGGGCAACAGAACAAGACTCCTTCTCAAAAAAAAAAAAAAAAATTAGCTAGGTGTGGTGGCAGGCACCTGTAATCCCAGCTACTCGGGAGGCTGAGGCAGGAAAATCACCTGAACCCAGGAGGCAGAGGTTGCAGTGAGCCGAAATTGTGCCATTGCACTCCAGCCTGGGCAACAAGAGGAAAATTCCATCTCAAAAAAAATAAAAATAAAAATAAATAAATAAATAAAATGGTGCAACCACTTTGAAAAACAGTTCAACATTTCCTCATATGGTGAGAATAGAATTACTATATGAAGGCTGGGTGTGGTGGTTCATGCCTGTAATCCCAGCAGTTTGGGAGGCCTAGGTGGGTGGATTGCTTGAGCTCAGGATTCCAAGACCAGCCTGGGCAACATGGTGAAACCCTGCCTCTACCAAAAATACCAAAAATACCAAAAATCAGCTGGACGTGGTGGCATGCACCTGTGGTCCCAGCTACACGGGAGGCTGAGGTGGGAGGACTGCTTGAGCCCAGGAGGCAAAGGTTGCAGTGAGCGGAGATTGTGCCACTGCACTCCAGCCTGGGCAACAGAGGGAGACCCCATCTCAAAAAAAAAAAAAAAGCAAAACTATATGATCCAGCATTTCCATCCATCAATAGATAGATAGACCCAAGATAAAAGAACACATATATTCACACAAACATTTGTACAGAAATGGTCATAGCAGTATTATTCGCAATCCCCAAAAAGTAGAAACAACCCAAATGCCCATCAATGGATGAGTGGATAAATAAAATGTGATATATCCATACAATGAAATATTATTTATCAATAAAAGGAAGTGAAGTACTGATAATACTATACCACGGATGAACTTTGAAGTGATTATGCCACATTAAAGCAGCCAGGACAAATGACCACACATTGTATGATTCCATTAATATGAAATGGCTAAAATAAGCAAACTCATAAAGACAGAAAGTAAGTTGATGTTTGCCAAGGGCTGAATATGTTGTGGGAAATGGGGAGTAACTGCTAATAAGTACAGGGTTTCTTTGGAGGGTGATGAAAACGTTGTAAAATTGATTGTGGCCAGGCACTACAGCTCACACCTACAATCCCAGCTACTCTGGAGGCTGAGGTGCGAGGATGGCTTGAGCCCAGGAGTTCAAGACCAGCCTAGGCAACATAGTGAGACCCTGTCTCTAAAAGGTTTTCTAAAATTAGCCAGGTGCATATGCCTGCAGTTCCAGATTCTCAGAAGCCAGAAGTGGGGAGGATCTCTGGAGTTCAGGAGTTTGGGACCACGGTAAGCTATGATTGTGTTACTGCACACCAGTTTGGGTGACAGAGCGAGACCCCTTCTCTCAAAACAAATAAATAAGATTGTGGTGATAGCTATACAACCCTGTGAATAACTAAAAATTGTTGAACCATGCACTTTAAGTGCATGAATTTTATGGCATGTGAACTTTATCTCAATAAGGCTGCCATTACAAAGCTAAAAAGGGAGGCAGGTGCATGAGCACATATATGTCTAATATTAGCTAAAATAGTATCACCATTATTAAATAAACTTTTAAAAAATACCTTCTTTCTGAGAATGCAATTCTTCCTTATAATCAGAACCATGAATATACCAGGAAACTTTTTAAATCAGGGAACAAATGCCTACGAAGGACAGGCACAAGCCAGAAAGGGACTATGGATGAATTAAGTGGGCTGAGCATATGGGAGCGGTGGAGACTGGGGCAAACTGAACAGCTCCTGGCCCTTTTAAAAGAAATCGGCTGCTCCTCAACTTCCATCCACTTCTGAATGCAGTTCCAGAATTACCAAATCTGCCTGTTTAAGGAAAGGCACAAATTCAGATTGTTAATGTGAAATCTATTGACTTGTAAGTGTTGGCACCTATTTTTAAATGTTATAAATGCTGAGAGGGTCAAAACCTGTCATCCAAGCCAACCTACCAGTAAGCAAGACTTGGTCCTCAAGCAAGTTTGCTGCCTCTGCTTTGAGTACTTTAGCATGACTTTCAAAACCTCCCACCTCCCCCTCGCCCTGCCTAAACCCACTTTACCCCTCACCACCACTGCAAGAAGTTATCCAAGCTATGAAGAGAGACAGAAGAATTCATACATAAATAAAGAGTCCCAAAACATTCTCAAAGATGCCAAAGTCAGGCTAGGGTGGCATGGAGAGGGAGTGGGGCATAAAGTTTTTGATTCCTAATCTAATTAGAGAGCCCTATAACAGATTCTTTGTTCAAAGACCAAATTTAATTTACAATTTTATATCTCCAGTGAAGTCAGCTTTTATTAATTTCCAGCACAATATTTGGATATACTGGCCAGAACTTCAATGAGTTCCTATTTAGTGTTTAATCTTCTAATGCATTCCAATTAATTATTTCAGTTTTATGGCAAACTGTCTTCAGCCAACATCCAAGCTGGACACCCCATGCCTCTCCACTCACCCAAAAAACCAGCTCGGGAGGTGTCAATATAATGACTTAAGATGCTGAATGGTAAAGGACAGGATTGGAAGGAAATTGCGCCTGCAATTATGCACTAATGCTTCACCAGAGAAGCAGATGGCATTCCTTGCATAAATTATTATTTATCCTTGGAATTCCCCTCTGCCTATTACCAAATCAACCCTTGAAAACAAGTCTTTGTTGGGTCTGTGAAGTCCCCTGGCCAGTTTCCAATGTCTGCTCCCTCCCTCACATCCCACCCTCCAGAGCTGCAGCGAGGGTAAGAACTCCAACATGGCCCACAGGCAAGGGTTTCCGAAAGCATCGACGTTCTAAATACATTTGGACGGAGGTGCACAGAAAGGAGTCCGCTTTATTTTGCAGACTGGGAATCCAGATGCAATGACCACAGGCAGAAAGCATGGAGCAGAACCTCCCAGCCTCGGCTGTACCCCCAGTGATAAGGCTTGCCACGTGTGGACGTCACCAGGTTGCCCACCACAGCACGGGGCTTAGGCTGTACTGTGCATTCTCTCATGGAATCCTTGAACAAGGATTGAGGTGGGCAATGATGTTCCACTTTGAGGAAATGAAATGAAGAAACCAGAGACTCTGAGACAAAGAAAAGGGCTTTGGGTTTTTTTGTGTTTTTTGGCTTTTTATTTATTTATTTATTTTGTACAGATGAGGTCTCACTTTGTTGCCCAGATTGGTCTCAAAGAATGGTGCTTTGGATTAGATCTTATTGTGATGAAAAATAAAAAAAAATTAAAAATTTTTTAATTTAAAAAGAATACTGCTTTTTTTTTTTTTTTTTAACAGGGTCTCTCTCTATAGCCCCTCTCTATAGAGTGTACAGTGGCACAATCTCAGCCCGCTGCAACCTCTGCCTCCCAGGTTCAAGCGATCTTCCCACCTCAGCCTCCTGAATAGTTAGGACTACAGGCATGTGCCACCACGCCTGGTTAATCTTTTGTAGAGATGGGGTTTCGCCATGTTGCCCAGGCTGGTCTTGAACTCCTGAGCTCAAGCGATCTGGCCACCTCAGCCTCCCAGAGTGCTGGGATTACAGGTGTGAACCACCATGCCCAGCCAGAACACTGTTAACCTTAACATCAACAGGCAGCTACCATTTTCGAGTGCCTGCAATGTCATTTAACCTTTAGGAACAGCTCTGGGAGACAGCTATAGTTGTTGCCATTTTCTGCAGATTGAGAAACTGAGGCTCAGTTAAGTGACGTAATTCTAAGGCACCACACCCAGTCAAGCGCAGTGACAGAATTCGAACTCTGGCTTGTAGGGATTCACAGGACTGCCAAAGCTTACGCTAACCCATTTCTTCTCCTGTGCACCATCATTGCCTCATTCTCTGCCCTCATTTTCTTTATTTATTTTTATTTATTTATTTTTCTTTTTTTGAGATGGAGCTTCACTCTTGTTGCCCAGGCTGGAGTGCAATGGCACGATCTCGGCTCACTGCAACCTCCACCTCCCGCGTTCAAGAGATTCTCCTGCCTCAGCCTCCTGAGTAGCTGGGATTACAGGCATGCACCACCACGCCCAGCTAATTTTGTATTTTTAGTAGAGACGGGGTTTCTCCATGTTGGTCAGGCTGGTCTCGAATTCCCTACCTCAGGTGATCCACCCGCCTCGGCCTCCCAAAGTGCTGTGATTGCAGGCGTGAGCCACCGTGCCCAGCCGCTCTGCCCTCATTTTCTCCCCAAAACCAAAGTCTACTTTACAAGCACAGATATTACTAACTTGTCTTACGAAACTTTCCAGAAGAAAGAGAAAGAATATATGTTTTACCAAGCCCCTTGGAGGACAAGGATTTGTTTCTGTATCCACTGTCTCGATACTCATGGTGCCTTTTACCCCTTGGCATTATGCCCCAGGAAAGTGGCAAAAGTAAGAGGTAACCTCTCCTTCCTTCCTTATTTCCCTAAGGAAATTTGCTCTGGTCACCAGCAGCAGAGAAATAGAAAGCGCCGGGCACCTGGCTCGACTGGGGCAGTGACAGGGCAGAGGCGGCCCAGGTTATGGTATCAAAAGGTTTCTGGTGCTGAATCTCATGACTACTATTCACCGTGTGAGTTTAAGCAAGTCCCTGCAACACCTCAATTTTCCCCATCTGTTAAATGGAATTTTAACCTACACCTCCTAGGATTACTATGGAGATTTAAGGAGGCAATGCAGTGGGGCTTTCTAACCTTTTTAACTCACTGAGATACATTTCCCGTATCGTCCAAGTGCAGACACACACACACACACACACACAGAGAGAGAGAGAGAGAGAAAAGAATACTTCATCTGCAACACACTTTGATATTTTCTGTGCCAGCCCATTTTGTGAAATTGCTCATCATGATTCATTAAATTCATTTCTTATTTACTATTTTTAAATTTTTATACATGCAGGGGGCTCAAGTGAGGATTTCTTTCATGTATACATTGCATAGTCGTCAAGTCTGGTCATTAAATGTATTCATTATCCAAATAGTGAACATTGTTAAATTGATTTCATGATCCACTAAGGGGTCATCATTTGCCATTTTAAAACTCTGACAGTATGAGCTTCTCCCTAGCCCAGTTCCTGTTACCATCTTCCCATTCTTCCCTTCCTTCTTCAATTCAGATAGGATTTTCCTCCAGAGGGATTATAAAGTTGCGAGGAAAGCGCCTGCAGGGGGTGCTGTTCCACACTGTTGTTGAAGTGTGGTTTGGTTTTTATTTCGTTGCATTTGCTTTTCGGTCAATGAGGGCAATTCATCTGGAATGACCCCCATCCTCGTCACCCTTGCTCCAACGATGTTGGGGCCCAGCTCATCAACAAGGACACCTGAACAGAGCCCTACCCATTGATGGAACCGAAGCAAGGGCAAGGAAGAGTTCTCAACCCTTCTCTCTATATACGATTAAAACTGGGTTAGGCTAGGTGTGCCCTCAGCTCAGAAGCTCTCTCTAATAGCATTCCTTCACTAAGCACTTACAGAGTGCCTACCACGTGCCAGGCATTGTGCTGGGCTCTGGAGACCACCTACTCTGTGAATGGCACCTTGAGGCTTGATGGGTGAGAACGCGAGTAAAACACAATCCATACTGACCCCAGAAGCTTCTCCTCAAGGAATCAGACATTAAAAAGCACAAAAACTATAAAGTTGATTTTTTTTTTTTTTTTTTTTTTGAGACAAGAGTCTTGCTCTGTCACCCAGGCTGGAGTGCTGTGGCACCATCTGGGCTCACGGCAACCTCCACCACCCAGGTTCAAGCAATTCTCCTGCCTCAGCCTCTCGAGTAGCTGGGATCACAGGCATGCGCCACCATGCCCCGCTAATTTTTGTCATTTTTAGTAGAGACAGGGTTTCACCATCTTGGCCAGACTGGTCTCGAAATTCTGACCTCGGGTGATCTGCTCACCTCAGCCTCCCAAAGTGATGGGATTACAGGCATGAGCCGCTGCATCTCTGGCCAAAACTTGAATGTTTGTTTGTTTTGAGACAGGATCTCACTCTGTCATCCAGACTGGAGCACAGTGACACAATCTTGGCTCACTGCAGCCTCAACAGCCACGGCTCAAGCAATCTTCCTCCTCCACCTCAGTTTTCCAAGTAGATAGGATTACAGCCATGAGGCACTGCACCCAGCTAATTTTTTTTTTTTAATTTTTTTGTAGAGACAGGGTCTTACTGTGTTGCTCAGGCTGGTCTCAAACTCCTGGGCTCAAGTGATCTGCCGGCCTTGGCCTCCCGAAATGCTGGGATTACAGGTACGAGCCACCACGCCTGGCCAAACTTGTATTTTCTAAGACAGAAGAATGAGGGGATGGTTTAAACTCTCAAGGGAAGGGGAAAGGATCATGAAAAGCTCCTACAGGAAGATGCTTGAGTTGGATTACTAAGACATATGAGCAGAGATGGCAGGCTGGCAGCCTGAGGGCCACCTCTGCCCATAGACATGCTTTGCTTCTCCATATCATTTTTTTTCCCAACACACTGCTGCTGGCTTGAAATCTCCATATAATTCTTACAATAAGTTGTTAACATTTTAAAACCTGGATTTCCACCTTCCCTGAAAAACTGGAAGCATTTCCACCCATGGGCCCATATTTCAGGGTAACCACCAGAGCAGGTGCCAAATGGGAGCCACCAGACCTACACAGGCAAATGCTCTCCAGTTTACCAGTCTCCACCACTCCCTATTGTATTCTTCGTTTACATTTCCTGCCAAACCTCTGTAAGCATCTGAGTTGGCAACCCTTGATGTGTTAGCGGAAAATGTGGATCAGAAGTTAGAAAGAGTTTCTAAACCTGGTTGTTGATTTACGCTTTATGCTTTGAAGGAAAACAGTTTTTCCAATGCCCAGATCCACTCACCAAGACAAAAAAAAAAGCAAGCTGTAGATTTCAGTAGCAGCCTTGTCTAGCCAGCAATAAAGGTGCCCTGGGTTTCCAGGACCACACCCCAGGGATTAGCCCCGGGGCATCATATGAATTCAGTGAAAGGCGGGAAATCCTAACATAAAGCGTTGATTCGTATTAAATAGGAACAATGCCTAATTCTGCCTTCCTGAACTTCCAGAATTTTGCTTTTTCTGAATAGAGTGATCTGCAAAACAGCATACACTTGGAATAGTAAGTCGTGCAAGAGTTGGAGACAGGAAGGGGGTGGGTTTGGAATTGTCTCCAAACATTAGATAATCTCTTTGTGATTCTAAACCTCAACTTGACAAGCTTGTATTAGTCCACAATTTTTCACACTTGATGAAGTGATAAAGGACATCAATTTCATGGAACTCACTATGAAACACCATGCAATATTGATACATTTAACTTAAAACAGCTCAATACATAACTTTCTGCTAAATCTGGAACTCACATTAACAATTGCTAACATTTGCTGAGTGTGGGCCAGACAGCAGGCTCTGTGCTGAATGCCTTATCTCACTTAATTCCTGTAACACCTTCAATAAGATAGGTGCTACAATTATAGTAATCCCATTTTACAGATGAGAAAAGTGAGATTCAGAGAGGTCATGTGACTTGACAGATTTATCAGGTGATCATGACAGAGTAGTCCTCCAACCAAGCTGATTCAGCAACCCGTCCTTATATTCTAGATTCTTGTGTAGCCAAAAAGTTATTGAGAAAGTCTGCCCATTGACTTCATTCTCTTACCCAGTGTAGAGTCAGCATACATTCATTCACATTAACTATGGGCCAGACTTGATTCCTGGCCTTGGGACTTTTTTTTTTTTTTGGCAGGGGCTGATAACATTCTATTTTATTTATTTATTTATTTCTCTCTCTTTTCTTTTAATTATACTTTAAGTTCTGGGATACATGTGCAGAACATGCAGGTTTGTTACATAGGTATACACATGCCATGGTGGTTTGCTGCACCTACCAACCCATCATCTACATTAGATATCTCTTCTAATGCTACCCCTCCTCTAGACCCCCGGGACATTTATAATCTCATGAAGAAGAGAAAAAGGAGGCCTTTCTCTGACAGCTAGAAAACCACAGTTAGTCTATTTTAGCCGGAGACCCTGGATTCTACCCTGAGAACAAAGGTTTATGTTTCAGCAGCTTAATTAGAGGTTTTCCAGAACTTTTTCTGGCTCCATGCTTTTATGATTCTGTAAGATGATCATGGGAAAAGGAAGAGTCCACAGAGAAAATGGGGCTTGAACTTGGGCTGGGAGGAAAGGTGGTTCTTAGATAAATCAAGAAGAGAAGAGACAGTAAGTCTGGGGAACTGCCTGAACCAAAGTGCTGAGGTGGAAACTTGTGTGTCACTCAGAGTGGCTGTAAATAGACCTGTTTCTCTGAAGTGCAGAGTTGGTAAGAAATAGGGTAAGATAAGGAGGAGGCCAGATGCATGAGGGCTTGGAATTCCAAGCTCATAATGGAGAACCTCATTTTGGACCATGGGGGTCAACTGAAGAATTTTAAATGAAGAGGAAAATTAATCAGTGTGCAAGGTTAAATGGAGTGGCAGAGACTAGGAGCTATTAGGAATCTACTGCAAGATGATTCTAACAGCCATAGGTAGTGGGTAAAAGAGGAAAGTGAGCCAATAAGGGAAACAGAAGAACAAGTTGAATATGTGGGAATATAATCAGGAGAATGTGGAGTGAACCCAGGGATTCTCAACCTCAGCACTGGTGACATTTTGAGCCCCACTCTCTGTTGTGGGAGCCGTCCTGTGCAATGTAGGACATTTAGCAGCATCGTTGGCCTCTACCCACTAAAAACGCCAAGTAGTAAGGCCCCATCCCTTAGTGACAACCCAAAATGTCTCCAGACATTGCCAATTGCCTCTGGTTGAGACCCACTGATTTATGGAAATCAAAAGAATAATCATTTCCAAAAGCCTGACAGCAAACAGCAAAGTCCAAAAATAAAATGAGAACAAGACCATTGGCTTTGGTGGTTGGAGGTCATGAGATACCTTCAAGAAAGCACCCTCTATAATATCAAGTCCATGTAGAAGACGTTACAGAGGAAACAAACAATATAAAAGTGAAAACAACCAAGGGTGAGCTACTCTCAGAAAGTATGCCTTTGAAAAGAAAGTCAGAAGCCATAGCTTGGGATCTCTGCAGATCCCTAAAAGAATAGATTCCTATTCTACTGACTTTCTATGAAGATCAAATTGTAAAAAGCAAAAGTTTCTCTCCAAGGGTTTCCTTTGCAGTGACCTGTATGTCCAACCACGCAAGGGCCCATTGTGGGGACATATGTTGTCCAAAAGGACCATAGCAGAGACAGGCCAGTGAGCCAAAGTGTGGAAACTTTTGAGACTGGCTTGAGCTTGGCACTTATAGAACAATAAACCAAGCCTTTGAAGGGGTTCAACAAAGGAACCATTTGTCCACTCTAGTAGCTACAAAGTAAGGCAGGGTTGCAGCAAAGAACAAAAAAATAAAAGAAGGCCAAGCTGGAGGTATGACCAAAGTTTACTAGGTCCATTCTGAGACCTTCTGCTAGGGTCTGAGATCTAGAAGACAGTGAATAAGGAAACAAACCCAAAACTCAACGCAACACAGGATATGGAAGCTCTCAGGCCTGACGTTAACAGCATCTACTATTTTTCTTCTCAGCTACTTTAATGAATGCAGTATACTAAAAGCCAGGAGGGGAAGGGACAACACTAAGCAAAAAACATGCATTTTTTAAAATGCACAGATTTTCTTCACTGCCGTTTTTGTTATCATTCCTATGAATTAGTGATGCCGAATTTCATTTTCTCATCTGCTGAAGAGCTTTCCTGTGTTCCTCTCGTTGGAACACATGCTTGGCATTAAAATGCTTGTGAGAACTTCTCTTCCTTTAACGTTCCCTGGCTAGCTTGGTTTTTAATCTAACAGCCCTTCTTTCAAAATGATCCTTCCACTGGAGATAGATATTTATCATTCTCTTCCTTCACCTCATCTCTTGACAGGCCGCACGTGACTTGAAGGAATTTTTCAAATAGCAGCTCAGCCACCCTGAGGGGCTTCAGTCTCACCCCTAAGTTCGCTGGCTTTTTCTTCACCACGTCCAGTTGCTTTCCATCTTATTAACTGCTCTTTTCACTAGAGGACCAACTCAGTAGGAAATTTTTTGAGAGGTGGAGAAAGAGATGTTCAAAGAAGGTGTTGGGGTCGGGGGAAACTGGTTTTATTTTATACAAGTCACACATTCTGAATCTTCCCTTTTGTGTCTCTGGGGAGAAAGGAGAAAGTTTGATCAAATCGCTCATTATTTCTGCACTTCTTTCTTTTTTCCTAAGTATAAAAATATATGACTACTACTACTGTGAGACTATGTGATTGTGAGAATGAATGATTCTTTTTTTTTTTTTTTTTTTTTTGAAACGGAGTCTCTCGCTGTCACCCAGGCTGGAGTGCAGTAGCACGATCTTGGCTCACTGCAACATCTGCCTCCCGGGTTCAAGCAATTCTCCTGCCTCAGCCTCCTGAGTAGCTGGGACTACAGGTGCGCTCCACCACCCCCAGCTAATTTTTGTATTTTTAGTGGAGACGGGGTTTCACCATGTTGGTCAGGCTGGTCTTGAACTCCTGACCTCATGATCCTCTCACCTCGGCCTCACAAAGTGCTAGGATTACAGGCGCATGGCCAAGAATGAATGATTATTTGTGCCTTCCTATGTGAAAAAAAAATGTTTCCTCTAGCTACACACTATTCTGTTCTGTGAGGCCGCCCCATCAGACTGTTGACCTAGAGTCCCAACCCCGGCCCTCCAGGAGACCTGCCTGTTCTTAGAAGCCCAACCCACTCAGCAGCAGCTCCAAATAACAGGGGGAGCCAACAAAAAAGAGTGCTGCTAGAGCAACAAGCAAGGGGCAATTAGTCAGAAGGCAACTTCCATGGTCTTCCAAAAAAAATTGAGGTGAAAGACCAAAGATGTCCCTAAAATGTCTTCCTAAAAGATAAACTTCATCAACTACCTCTGACTGGTCAGTATTAAGAACCACTTTCAGGCCAGGTGTCATGGTTCACGCCTGTAACTCCATCTACTCCAGAGGCTGAGGCAGGACAATTGCTTCAGGCCGGAGGATTGCTTGAGGCCAGGAGCTGGAGACCAAGCCTGAGCAACACAGTGAGACCTCATCTCTACCAAAAATGTACCTCTATTAAAAAACAAAAAAGAAGAAGAAGAAGAAGAAGAAGGAGAGGAGGCTGGGTATGGTGGCTAATGCCTTTGTAATCCCAGAACTTTGGAAGGCTGAGGCAGGAGAATCACTTAGGCTGAGGCAGGAGAATCACCAGAGTCTAGGAGTTTGAGACCAGCCTGGGCAACATAGTGAGACCCCCATCTCTACAAAAAAAAAAATTCAAAAATTAGCCAAGCGTGGGGTTTGTGCCTGTAGACCCAACTACTCAGGAGGCTCAGGTAGGAGGATCACCTGAGTCCAGGGAGGTCGAGGCTGCAGTGAGTCATGATTATTCCACTGCCTTCCAGCCTAGACTACAGGGTGAGACCCTGTCTTAAAAAAAAAATTAAAGAAGAAAAAACTCTCTTTTCTTTTCTTTCTTTCTTCTTCTTCTTTTCTTTTTTTTTTTTTCTTTTTTTTTTTTTAGAGATGGCACGTCACCACATTGCCCAGGCTGTTGTCGAACTCCTGGCCTCAAACGATGCTCCCACTTGAGCCTCCCAAAGTGCTGGGACTACAAGCATAAGCCACCACACACGGCCTTTTCCTTTCTTTTTCTATTTCTCAATGGATTTTTCCAATGGACACGTATCACTTTGGTAGTTATACATGATACTAGTTGTAATCTCAGCCATTTTTCAACCCAGCAAATGTCTATTCTAGGTCAAATATGTCTCAAAAATTACTAAAAGAAAATCAGTTATGTCCTTTAACCTGGCTGAGGTCTGGCTTTGTTTTCTCTCATGTAAAAATGGAGATGGCACAAAACAACTCCAAGCTGTTACTTGAAAGTAACACCTCAGGTGATGTCACCAGCCTGAGGGAGAGTGAGGTTAAGTTCTGAACCCACAGGCATTATATCTGCCTGGGGTTCACATGCCCTACACTGGACTGGCATAATTTGAGAGTCAGATCCGAAGATGTGGTATATCCGCCATCTTTAGCAACTTTCAAAAACTACCCTATGAGGTCAAGCTGGACCTACTTTTGGTTTTGCCATTGTTGTTTGTTTGTTGTTGAGGGTTTTCTTTGAGGGGCGGGGAGTGCATGCCCCTGTGGAGAGCACTCATTTAGCTTCAATTAGAGTAATGCCAAAAGTGCCAGATTCCTGGGAAATCAGCCTACAAGGCTCCTGCGGGAAGGAACCTCCACTGCCAGAAGTCCTTAGGGCATCTAAGTGATCAGACACCGTCAGGGATTCTTTGCCCCGTAAAAACCTACTTGACCAGGGACACGTGCCAGGTAAATTTCCTTCACATTTACTTCAACCTTATTGCATACTCATTTTAGTATTAAAACCTTTAATAAAATGCTCCTATTCCTTCACACTTTTTTTCTATGAGATCTCAAATACCCCTTCTTGCTATTAAAAAAAATCACTTATTATTCACCAGCCCAATATTTTAAAAGTAAAAATAATAAGCCAAGGCCAGGAGCGATGACTCGCACTTGTATTCCCAGCAGTTTCAGAGGCAAAGGCCGAAGGATCGCTTTAACCGAGGAGTTTGAGACCAGCCTGGGCAACATGACCAGACTGCCTCTCTACAAAAAGTTTAAAAAATTAACCGGGTGTGGTGGTGCACTGCACTCCCAGCTACTGGGCTGGGGTATCAGGCTGAGGTAGGAGGTTTGCTTTGAGCCCGGGGGGATCGAGGCTGCAGTGAGCTTTGATTGTGCCACTGCACTCCAGCCTGGGTGACAGAAGGAGACCCTGTCTCAAAAATAATAAGAATAATAATTAATAATAATAGGCCAAACCAAATACCCATCACCTTCTGCTGTGCCTCCCCTTTCCCCAATAAATCCAGTGTCTTGCTTTCAAATTTTGTGGTTAAAAAAGATGATGAGTTTCTAAGACGTGGGGGCTAAAGCTTGTTTGGCCGTTTTAGGGTTTGTTGGAATTTTTTTTTCGTCTATGTACTTGTGAATTATTTCACGTTTGCCATTACCGGTTCTCCATAGGGTGATGTTCATTAGCAGTGGTGATAGGTTAATTTTCACCATCTCTTATGCGGTTGAATAGTCACCTCTGAACCACTTTTTCCTCCAGTAACTCCTCTTTCTTCGGACCTTCTGCAGCCAACCTGAAAGAATAACAAGGAGGTGGCTGGAAACTTGTTTTAAGGAACCGCCTGTCCTTCCCCCGCTGGAAACCTTGCACCTCGGACGCTCCTGCTCCTGCCCCCACCTGACCCCCGCCCTCGTTGACATCCAGGCGCGATGATCTCTGCTGCCAGTAGAGGGCACACTTACTTTACTTTCGCAAACCTGAACGCGGGTGCTGCCCAGAGAGGGGGCGGAGGGAAAGACGCTTTGCAGCAAAATCCAGCATAGCGATTGGTTGCTCCCCGCGTTTGCGGCAAAGGCCTGGAGGCAGGAGTAATTTGCAATCCTTAAAGCTGAATTGTGCAGTGCATCGGATTTGGAAGCTACTATATTCACTTAACACTTGAACGCTGAGCTGCAAACTCAACGGGTAATAACCCATCTTGAACAGCGTACATGCTATACACGCACCCCTTTCCCCCGAATTGTTTTCTCTTTTGGAGGTGGTGGAGGGAGAGAAAAGTTTACTTAAAATGCCTTTGGGTGAGGGACCAAGGATGAGAAGAATGTTTTTTGTTTTTCATGCCGTGGAATAACACAAAATAAAAAATCCCGAGGGAATATACATTATATATTAAATATAGATCATTTCAGGGAGCAAACAAATCATGTGTGGGGCTGGGCAACTAGCTAAGTCGAAGCGTAAATAAAATGTGAATACACGTTTGCGGGTTACATACAGTGCACTTTCACTAGTATTCAGAAAAAATTGTGAGTCAGTGAACTAGGAAATTAATGCCTGGAAGGCAGCCAAATTTTAATTAGCTCAAGACTCCCCCCCCCCCAAAAAAAGGCACGGAAGTAATACTCCTCTCCTCTTCTTTGATCAGAATCGATGCATTTTTTGTGCATGACCGCATTTCCAATAATAAAAGGGGAAAGAGGACCTGGAAAGGAATTAAACGTCCGGTTTGTCCGGGGAGGAAAGAGTTAACGGTTTTTTTCACAAGGGTCTCTGCTGACTCCCCCGGCTCGGTCCACAAGCTCTCCACTTGCCCCTTTTAGGAAGTCCGGTCCCGCGGTTCGGGTACCCCCTGCCCCTCCCATATTCTCCCGTCTAGCACCTTTGATTTCTCCCAAACCCGGCAGCCCGAGACTGTTGCAAACCGGCGCCACAGGGCGCAAAGGGGATTTGTCTCTTCTGAAACCTGGCTGAGAAATTGGGAACTCCGTGTGGGAGGCGTGGGGGTGGGACGGTGGGGTACAGACTGGCAGAGAGCAGGCAACCTCCCTCTCGCCCTAGCCCAGCTCTGGAACAGGCAGACACATCTCAGGGCTAAACAGACGCCTCCCGCACGGGGCCCCACGGAAGCCTGAGCAGGCGGGGCAGGAGGGGCGGTATCTGCTGCTTTGGCAGCAAATTGGGGGACTCAGTCTGGGTGGAAGGTATCCAATCCAGATAGCTGTGCATACATAATGCATAATACATGACTCCCCCCAACAAATGCAATGGGAGTTTATTCATAACGCGCTCTCCAAGTATACGTGGCAATGCGTTGCTGGGTTATTTTAATCATTCTAGGCATCGTTTTCCTCCTTATGCCTCTATCATTCCTCCCTATCTACACTAACATCCCACGCTCTGAACGCGCGCCCATTAATACCCTTCTTTCCTCCACTCTCCCTGGGACTCTTGATCAAAGCGCGGCCCTTTCCCCAGCCTTAGCGAGGCGCCCTGCAGCCTGGTACGCGCGTGGCGTGGCGGTGGGCGCGCAGTGCGTTCTCGGTGTGGAGGGCAGCTGTTCCGCCTGCGATGATTTATACTCACAGGACAAGGATGCGGTTTGTCAAACAGTACTGCTACGGAGGAGCAGCAGAGAAAGGGAGAGGGTTTGAGAGGGAGCAAAAGAAAATGGTAGGCGCGCGTAGTTAATTCATGCGGCTCTCTTACTCTGTTTACATCCTAGAGCTAGAGTGCTCGGCTGCCCGGCTGAGTCTCCTCCCCACCTTCCCCACCCTCCCCACCCTCCCCATAAGCGCCCCTCCCGGGTTCCCAAAGCAGAGGGCGTGGGGGAAAAGAAAAAAGATCCTCTCTCGCTAATCTCCGCCCACCGGCCCTTTATAATGCGAGGGTCTGGACGGCTGAGGACCCCCGAGCTGTGCTGCTCGCGGCCGCCACCGCCGGGCCCCGGCCGTCCCTGGCTCCCCTCCTGCCTCGAGAAGGGCAGGGCTTCTCAGAGGCTTGGCGGGAAAAAGAACGGAGGGAGGGATCGCGCTGAGTATAAAAGCCGGTTTTCGGGGCTTTATCTAACTCGCTGTAGTAATTCCAGCGAGAGGCAGAGGGAGCGAGCGGGCGGCCGGCTAGGGTGGAAGAGCCGGGCGAGCAGAGCTGCGCTGCGGGCGTCCTGGGAAGGGAGATCCGGAGCGAATAGGGGGCTTCGCCTCTGGCCCAGCCCTCCCGCTGATCCCCCAGCCAGCGGTCCGCAACCCTTGCCGCATCCACGAAACTTTGCCCATAGCAGCGGGCGGGCACTTTGCACTGGAACTTACAACACCCGAGCAAGGACGCGACTCTCCCGACGCGGGGAGGCTATTCTGCCCATTTGGGGACACTTCCCCGCCGCTGCCAGGACCCGCTTCTCTGAAAGGCTCTCCTTGCAGCTGCTTAGACGCTGGATTTTTTTCGGGTAGTGGAAAACCAGGTAAGCACCGAAGTCCACTTGCCTTTTAATTTATTTTTTTATCACTTTAATGCTGAGATGAGTCGAATGCCTAAATAGGGTGTCTTTTCTCCCATTCCTGCGCTATTGACACTTTTCTCAGAGTAGTTATGGTAACTGGGGCTGGGGTGGGGGGTAATCCAGAACTGGATCGGGGTAAAGTGACTTGTCAAGATGGGAGAGGAGAAGGCAGAGGGAAAACGGGAATGGTTTTTAAGACTACCCTTTCGAGATTTCTGCCTTATGAATATATTCACGCTGACTCCCGGCCGGTCGGACATTCCTGCTTTATTGTGTTAATTGCTCTCTGGGTTTTGGGGGGCTGGGGGTTGCTTTGCGGTGGGCAGAAAGCCCCTTGCATCCTGAGCTCCTTGGAGTAGGGACCGCATATCGCCTGTGTGAGCCAGATCGCTCCGCAGCCGCTGACTTGTCCCCGTCTCCGGGAGGGCATTTAAATTTCGGCTCACCGCATTTCTGACAGCCGGAGACGGACACTGCGGCGCGTCCCGCCCGCCTGTCCCCGCGGCGATTCCAACCCGCCCTGATCCTTTTAAGAAGTTGGCATTTGGCTTTTTAAAAAGCAATAATACAATTTAAAACCTGGGTCTCTAGAGGTGTTAGGACGTGGTGTTGGGTAGGCGCAGGCAGGGGAAAAGGGAGGCGAGGATGTGTCCGATTCTCCTGGAATCGTTGACTTGGAAAAACCAGGGCGAATCTCCGCACCCAGCCCTGACTCCCCTGCCGCGGCCGCCCTCGGGTGTCCTCGCGCCCGAGATGCGGAGGAACTGCGAGGAGCGGGGCTCTGGGCGGTTCCAGAACAGCTGCTACCCTTGGTGGGGTGGCTCCGGGGGAGGTATCGCAGCGGGGTCTCTGGCGCAGTTGCATCTCCGTATTGAGTGCGAAGGGAGGTGCCCCTATTATTATTTGACACCCCCCTTGTATTTATGGAGGGGTGTTAAAGCCCGCGGCTGAGCTCGCCACTCCAGCCGGCGAGAGAAAGAAGAAAAGCTGGCAAAAGGAGTGTTGGACGGGGGCGGTACTGGGGGTGGGGACGGGGGCGGTGGAGAGGGAAGGTTGGGAGGGGCTGCGGTGCCGGCGGGGGTAGGAGAGCGGCTAGGGCGCGAGTGGGAACAGCCGCAGCGGAGGGGCCCCGGCGCGGAGCGGGGTTCACGCAGCCGCTAGCGCCCAGGCGCCTCTCGCCTTCTCCTTCAGGTGGCGCAAAACTTTGTGCCTTGGATTTTGGCAAATTGTTTTCCTCACCGCCACCTCCCGCGGCTTCTTAAGGGCGCCAGGGCCGATTTCGATTCCTCTGCCGCTGCGGGGCCGACTCCCGGGCTTTGCGCTCCGGGCTCCCGGGGGAGCGGGGGCTCGGCGGGCACCAAGCCGCTGGTTCACTAAGTGCGTCTCCGAGATAGCAGGGGACTGTCCAAAGGGGGTGAAAGGGTGCTCCCTTTATTCCCCCACCAAGACCACCCAGCCGCTTTAGGGGATAGCTCTGCAAGGGGAGAGGTTCGGGACTGTGGCGCGCACTGCGCGCTGCGCCAGGTTTCCGCACCAAGACCCCTTTAACTCAAGACTGCCTCCCGCTTTGTGTGCCCCGCTCCAGCAGCCTCCCGCGACGATGCCCCTCAACGTTAGCTTCACCAACAGGAACTATGACCTCGACTACGACTCGGTGCAGCCGTATTTCTACTGCGACGAGGAGGAGAACTTCTACCAGCAGCAGCAGCAGAGCGAGCTGCAGCCCCCGGCGCCCAGCGAGGATATCTGGAAGAAATTCGAGCTGCTGCCCACCCCGCCCCTGTCCCCTAGCCGCCGCTCCGGGCTCTGCTCGCCCTCCTACGTTGCGGTCACACCCTTCTCCCTTCGGGGAGACAACGACGGCGGTGGCGGGAGCTTCTCCACGGCCGACCAGCTGGAGATGGTGACCGAGCTGCTGGGAGGAGACATGGTGAACCAGAGTTTCATCTGCGACCCGGACGACGAGACCTTCATCAAAAACATCATCATCCAGGACTGTATGTGGAGCGGCTTCTCGGCCGCCGCCAAGCTCGTCTCAGAGAAGCTGGCCTCCTACCAGGCTGCGCGCAAAGACAGCGGCAGCCCGAACCCCGCCCGCGGCCACAGCGTCTGCTCCACCTCCAGCTTGTACCTGCAGGATCTGAGCGCCGCCGCCTCAGAGTGCATCGACCCCTCGGTGGTCTTCCCCTACCCTCTCAACGACAGCAGCTCGCCCAAGTCCTGCGCCTCGCAAGACTCCAGCGCCTTCTCTCCGTCCTCGGATTCTCTGCTCTCCTCGACGGAGTCCTCCCCGCAGGGCAGCCCCGAGCCCCTGGTGCTCCATGAGGAGACACCGCCCACCACCAGCAGCGACTCTGGTAAGCGAAGCCCGCCCAGGCCTGTCAAAAGTGGGCGGCTGGATACCTTTCCCATTTTCATTGGCAGCTTATTTAACGGGCCACTCTTATTAGGAAGGAGAGATAGCAGATCTGGAGAGATTTGGGAGCTCATCACCTCTGAAACCTTGGGCTTTAGCGTTTCCTCCCATCCCTTCCCCTTAGACTGCCCATGTTTGCAGCCCCCCTCCCCGTTTGTCTCCCACCCCTCAGGAATTTCATTTAGGTTTTTAAACCTTCTGGCTTATCTTACAACTCAATCCACTTCTTCTTACCTCCCGTTAACATTTTAATTGCCCTGGGGCGGGGTGGCAGGGAGTGTATGAATGAGGATAAGAGAGGATTGATCTCTGAGAGTGAATGAATTGCTTCCCTCTTAACTTCCGAGAAGTGGTGGGATTTAATGAACTATCTACAAAAATGAGGGGCTGTGTTTAGAGGCTAGGCAGGGCCTGCCTGAGTGCGGGAGCCAGTGAACTGCCTCAAGAGTGGGTGGGCTGAGGAGCTGGGATCTTCTCAGCCTATTTTGAACACTGAAAAGCAAATCCTTGCCAAAGTTGGACTTTTTTTTTTCTTTTATTCCTTCCCCCGCCCTCTTGGACTTTTGGCAAAACTGCAATTTTTTTTTTTTTATTTTTCATTTCCAGTAAAATAGGGAGTTGCTAAAGTCATACCAAGCAATTTGCAGCTATCATTTGCAACACCTGAAGTGTTCTTGGTAAAGTCCCTCAAAAATAGGAGGTGCTTGGGAATGTGCTTTGCTTTGGGTGTGTCCAAAGCCTCATTAAGTCTTAGGTAAGAATTGGCATCAATGTCCTATCCTGGGAAGTTGCACTTTTCTTGTCCATGCCATAACCCAGCTGTCTTTCCCTTTATGAGACTCTTACCTTCATGGTGAGAGGAGTAAGGGTGGCTGGCTAGATTGGTTCTTTTTTTTTTTTTTTCCTTTTTTAAGACGGAGTCTCACTCTGTCACTAGGCTGGAGTGCAGTGGCGCAATCAACCTCCAACCCCCTGGTTCAAGAGATTCTCCTGCCTCAGCCTCCCAAGTAGCTGGGACTACAGGTGCACACCACCATGCCAGGCTAATTTTTGTAATTTTAGTAGAGATGGGGTTTCATCGTGTTGGCCAGGATGGTCTCTCCTGACCTCACGATCCGCCCACCTCGGCCTCCCAAAGTGCTGGGATTACAGGTGTGAGCCAGGGCACCAGGCTTAGATGTGGCTCTTTGGGGAGATAATTTTGTCCAGAGACCTTTCTAACGTATTCATGCCTTGTATTTGTACAGCATTAATCTGGTAATTGATTATTTTAATGTAACCTTGCTAAAGGAGTGATTTCTATTTCCTTTCTTAAAGAGGAGGAACAAGAAGATGAGGAAGAAATCGATGTTGTTTCTGTGGAAAAGAGGCAGGCTCCTGGCAAAAGGTCAGAGTCTGGATCACCTTCTGCTGGAGGCCACAGCAAACCTCCTCACAGCCCACTGGTCCTCAAGAGGTGCCACGTCTCCACACATCAGCACAACTACGCAGCGCCTCCCTCCACTCGGAAGGACTATCCTGCTGCCAAGAGGGTCAAGTTGGACAGTGTCAGAGTCCTGAGACAGATCAGCAACAACCGAAAATGCACCAGCCCCAGGTCCTCGGACACCGAGGAGAATGTCAAGAGGCGAACACACAACGTCTTGGAGCGCCAGAGGAGGAACGAGCTAAAACGGAGCTTTTTTGCCCTGCGTGACCAGATCCCGGAGTTGGAAAACAATGAAAAGGCCCCCAAGGTAGTTATCCTTAAAAAAGCCACAGCATACATCCTGTCCGTCCAAGCAGAGGAGCAAAAGCTCATTTCTGAAGAGGACTTGTTGCGGAAACGACGAGAACAGTTGAAACACAAACTTGAACAGCTACGGAACTCTTGTGCGTAAGGAAAAGTAAGGAAAACGATTCCTTCTAACAGAAATGTCCTGAGCAATCACCTATGAACTTGTTTCAAATGCATGATCAAATGCAACCTCACAACCTTGGCTGAGTCTTGAGACTGAAAGATTTAGCCATAATGTAAACTGCCTCAAATTGGACTTTGGGCATAAAAGAACTTTTTTATGCTTACCATCTTTTTTTTTTCTTTAACAGATTTGTATTTAAGAATTGTTTTTAAAAAATTTTAAGATTTACACAATGTTTCTCTGTAAATATTGCCATTAAATGTAAATAACTTTAATAAAACGTTTATAGCAGTTACACAGAATTTCAATCCTAGTATATAGTACCTAGTATTATAGGTACTATAAACCCTAATTTTTTTTATTTAAGTACATTTTGCTTTTTAAAGTTGATTTTTTTCTATTGTTTTTAGAAAAAATAAAATAACTGGCAAATATATCATTGAGCCAAATCTTAAGTTGTGAATGTTTTGTTTCGTTTCTTCCCCCTCCCAACCACCACCATCCCTGTTTGTTTTCATCAATTGCCCCTTCAGAGGGTGGTCTTAAGAAAGGCAAGAGTTTTCCTCTGTTGAAATGGGTCTGGGGGCCTTAAGGTCTTTAAGTTCTTGGAGGTTCTAAGATGCTTCCTGGAGACTATGATAACAGCCAGAGTTGACAGTTAGAAGGAATGGCAGAAGGCAGGTGAGAAGGTGAGAGGTAGGCAAAGGAGATACAAGAGGTCAAAGGTAGCAGTTAAGTACACAAAGAGGCATAAGGACTGGGGAGTTGGGAGGAAGGTGAGGAAGAAACTCCTGTTACTTTAGTTAACCAGTGCCAGTCCCCTGCTCACTCCAAACCCAGGAATTCTGCCCAGTTGATGGGGACACGGTGGGAACCAGCTTCTGCTGCCTTCACAACCAGGCGCCAGTCCTGTCCATGGGTTATCTCGCAAACCCCAGAGGATCTCTGGGAGGAATGCTACTATTAACCCTATTTCACAAACAAGGAAATAGAAGAGCTCAAAGAGGTTATGTAACTTATCTGTAGCCACGCAGATAATACAAAGCAGCAATCTGGACCCATTCTGTTCAAAACACTTAACCCTTCGCTATCATGCCTTGGTTCATCTGGGTCTAATGTGCTGAGATCAAGAAGGTTTAGGACCTAATGGACAGACTCAAGTCATAACAATGCTAAGCTCTATTTGTGTCCCAAGCACTCCTAAGCATTTTATCCCTAACTCTACATCAACCCCATGAAGGAGATACTGTTGATTTCCCCATATTAGAAGTAGAGAGGGAAGCTGAGGCACACAAAGACTCATCCACATGCCCAAGATTCACTGATAGGGAAAAGTGGAAGCGAGATTTGAACCCAGGCTGTTTACTCCTAACCTGTCCAAGCCACCTCTCAGACGACGGTAGGAATCAGCTGGCTGCTTGTGAGTACAGGAGTTACAGTCCAGTGGGTTATGTTTTTTAAGTCTCAACATCTAAGCCTGGTCAGGCATCAGTTCCCCTTTTTTTGTGATTTATTTTGTTTTTATTTTGTTGTTCATTGTTTAATTTTTCCTTTTACAATGAGAAGGTCACCATCTTGACTCCTACCTTAGCCATTTGTTGAATCAGACTCATGACGGCTCCTGGGAAGAAGCCAGTTCAGATCATAAAATAAAACATATTTATTCTTTGTCATGGGAGTCATTATTTTAGAAACTACAAACTCTCCTTGCTTCCATCCTTTTTTACATACTCATGACACATGCTCATCCTGAGTCCTTGAAAAGGTATTTTTGAACATGTGTATTAATTATAAGCCTCTGAAAACCTATGGCCCAAACCAGAAATGATGTTGATTATATAGGTAAATGAAGGATGCTATTGCTGTTCTAATTACCTCATTGTCTCAGTCTCAAAGTAGGTCTTCAGCTCCCTGTACTTTGGGATTTTAATCTACCACCACCCATAAATCAATAAATAATTACTTTCTTTGACTCTGACTCCTAGAATAATCTATTCAAAACCTTAATGTCTTTTTCTTGATCCTTCTTTTGAGTCCTAAGTACCGCCATTACAGCTTCAAATTGGCACGTCATATAGGCGAATTTCAAAGGGAGATGCAATCCACAGAAGTATAGTAGTTCAAAGGGTTACAAAAGCAAGGCGCTCTTAAACAGCTCAGTCTTTGCCCCTTTGTGGCCTAGGGCTGGAGTGCAGCTCTGGGGTGACTCACTTGGGAATCGGGAAGGTGTTAGTCTGAATCACTAAGTCCAGGCAAGCCCTCAGAATAGGAGAGAGTGTTCCTAGCAAGGAAAACAACTCTCCATTCCAAATAATCAGGAAAGAACTTTAGGGATGTGGAGCTTGGCTATGGGAATAGAAAGGAACCATTCCAAGTGCCTATTAGGCCGCTCTTACCTTTACTGAGCCAGAGAATGGCTCTGAAAACAGGACAGATGCCAACTTCCTTCCCGAAAGTCAGGCTGATCTTGACCACAATACAAATTGGCCCTTAGAGCCTATACAGGGAGTCCCAGGGGTCTCTGCCATTGTGCAACCTATTTTGTAGATAATAATCAAGAATCGGACGTGAAGGGGAGGAGTTTGCAACTTGGTCAGGAATGTATAAGAAGGAATAAGCTAATTCTGACTATGCCCTTTATCCATGACACTATCCAGGAATTAATGACTCTCCCAGAGGATTCCTGGAATGATTTTGTTGAGGGATGGAATGTATAAAGAGGAAGGAAGTGTTATTTTATGCTGCCATTTGGAAGCAACAAAGGAGATCAACAGTATGAAAACAATCAATCAAATTTGAAAATGAACAAAGTTTTCACAATCCCAGCCTAATACTTAGAGAGCTCACAGCTTGGATGCATAAGTAAAGAGTTCTCTGCTGGTCTTTAAGACAAACTCTCACACAAAACTTGGGAAAAAGGACAAAAATGTTGCATTAGGGGGTTTTCTGTGGTTTGTTTGCAATAACTATAATTGGCTCAATCAATAATTATTTTTTAGTATACACACTAAGGGCCCCTGTAGCATTTTTTCCCATCGATAAATAATCCTTAGTCTAGAAAATGCCGAGGGATGTTCTCCACCCTTGTCTATAAATGCACTTCTAGATGACTTTATAAAAGGCTCCTCCTTCAAGTTTATAGAATATTATAAGACTACATTAAAGGAGAAGAGAGGCCGGTCGAGGTAGCTCACACCTGTAATCCCAGCACTTTGGGAGGCCGAAGTGGGCGGATCATGAGGTCAGGAGATGGAGACCATCCTGGCTAAAACAGTGAAACCCCGTCTCTACTAAAAATACAAAAAATTAGCCGGGCGTGGTGGCACAGCCTGCAGTCCCAGCTACTCAGGAGGCTGAGGCAGGAGAATCGCTTGAACCTGGGAGGCAGAGGTTACAGTGAGCTGAGATTGTGCCACTGCATTCCAGCCTGGATGACACAGCGAGACTCCGTCTCAAAAATAAATAAATAATAAATAAATAAATAAATAAAGGAGAAAAAGTAAAAACAAAGCCAGTAGGATGGGAGCAAGGACTTATTTTTAAAAATAAAACTAAAAAGACTCTGCTACCTACCTCCAAAGCCTTAGCAAAAAGTCTTTTTTCTAGCTCCTTCAGGAGAGAACTTACACCAACTCTCCATTTAGAGGAAAACACCCAGAAATGCTGGCTTTGCCAAACTGGTTGGAGACGACTGTAAATGACTGTAAGTTGATTTCATTTTTAATTTTATTTTATTCACTATTAGCTTATACTAAGCTTTTTCGGAAGACAGAGTTGAGGGAAACAAGTGTTCATGGGACGTAGATCTTCTGAGGTTGAAAGGAATGCTCTTTGTTTTCAAAGAATGCCTGGGACCTCAGCCACAGTCCCCAACACTTTCTTTCCATTGTCATCCCCGTCAGCGCTTTAAGGGATAAAATAGTCCAGTGCAATCTGAGGTCTATGGGGGTGGGAAAGGAGAGAGCTCAGAGAGAGAGAATGAACCTTTATTACATACATACACTCTTCCAGACTCTCCATCTCACCAGACCCGACAACAGCCAGCTGGAAGAATGTGACAGTTGTTGAATGTGACAATACTGAGGTTTAGGCAAGTTAAATGGCTGTCCCCAAGTCACACAAGGGCCAACAACAAAACAACAGTAATATGGCTGAGCGTGGTGGCTCACACTTGTAATCCCAGCATTTTGGGAGGCCGAGGCGGGTGGATCACTTGAGCCCAGGAGTTCGAGACCAGCCTGACCAACATGGCGAAATCCTGTCTCTACTAAACACACACACACACACACACACAAATTAGCTGGCCGTGGTGACAGCCTGTAGTCCCAGCTTAGGCTGAGCACAAACACACTCACACAAATTAGCTGGCCGTGGTGACAGCCTGTAGTCATAGCTTAGGCTGAGGTAGGAGGAGAATCCCTTGAACCTGGCAGGCGGGGATTGCAGTGAGCCATGATTGCACCACTGCACTCCAGCCTGGGCAACAGAATGAGACTCTGTTTCAAAAACAAACAAACAAAAACCTGTCATAGTAGTTAACATTTACTGTGTGCTAAACATTTTTACATGTGTTACCTGACTTCATCCCCAAAGCAGCAGTTAGGAGGTGAACTCTATCTCCAGTGCCCATTTCCCAAATGAGAAGACTGAAACTTTGATGGATTAAGTAAATTGCCTGCATTCACAGAGCTGGCAAAATGGTGAAAGCAGAAATTATTTATTCATTCACCAACATTTGAGCATGCTGTTTGCCCGCACCATGCTAGAGGTAGGAAGAGATACCAAGATAAATGGGATGGATAAGGTCCTGGTGCTGAGGGGTTATGGATTAATGGAGAACAAAGAAAACATGCATTTTTTTTTTTCTTTGAGATGGAGTTTCTCTCTTGTTGCCCAGGCTGGAGTGCAATGGTGCAGTCTCGACTCACTGCAACCTCTGCCTCCAGGGTTCAAGTAAGTCTCCTGCCTCAGCCTCCCAGTAATCCTGTGGAATCACAGGCATGCACCACCACACCCAGCTAATTTTGTATTTTTAGTAGAGATGGGTTTTCACCATGTCGGTCAGGCTGGTCTCCAACTCCTGACCTCAGGTGATCCACCTGCCTTGGCCTCCCAAAGTTCTGGGATTACAGGCATAAGCCACCGCGCCCCACGGAAAACAGGCAATTTGATTCTATTTTACAAACACTTTCGAGCTTACTATGTAGCAGGAGGAGGTTCAAGCTCCAGGAGCTGCTAAAGGCATTCCTTCTCCCCCCAGAGAAAATAGAATCCAGGAAAGAGCCCAGGAAATTCTGGAAGAGGAGCCAAAGGAGAAGACATCATCAGAGAGATAAGGAGAAGCTTGGAGGAAAGCATGTAACCAATGTCAGGGAGGAAGCCCTGGTGTGTCAAAGGCAGCAAGAAGCACAGCAAGATAGCAGAGGAAGGTCTGTTGGATTTAATCACATGAACGCAGCTTCCTGGCTGCACCCCTCATGAGTGGGATGACAGCTCCATCCACCGGCATCCTCTCCTTCATTCCCTTCATTCAATCCATCTCCAGAAACGGCTGCTTTTCTGTTCTCCCAGCACCCTGCCCTACCTTCTCCAAGAGTTCCCAAAGCATGATTCCAGACAAGCAGCATCCACATCATGTGTGTATTTGCTGCAAATGCGGGTACACAGCCTGAATTAGAATCTCAGGAGATGGGGCCCAGAAAACTATTTCAATAAGCCCTGGATCGCTTGATGAAGTTTGAGACCCTCTGCCTTCTCCATCATTCCCAGTGATCCTCTTCCACAATCCCAGTGCTACTTATGAATCACAGATAAAATAATGCCCGTCTCTGCTTAAAACCATCCAGAGGGGTCCTGCTATCTTCAGAATTAAGTTCAAAGCCATTCTTCCCAGTGGTCCATGTTCTGTGAGCTTTTTCAGATGCCTTGTCCCCTCTGTTCAAAGCACTGTTCACCCACCACCTACCCATCCACTGACACTGCTACCCACCAGCCTGCCATGCTCTTCTTCATCCTTTGTGACTCACCTTCCAGTATCCTCTGACCTCCAGACAAGTTTCCACAGGGGAATGGGAGTGCCTGAGATAATACTGCTCACTTCTGTGAAAATCGCTCTTCCTGCCTCTTAAATCAACTCCTTGAGGAATGGACCCACTATCAGTCTTGTTTAACAATGAATCTTCAGTGGCAACGTAAGTGCCCAGCATCTAATAGCAACTCAATAATCCTTTGATGGGGCTTGGCACAGTGGCTCACTCCTGTAATTCCAGTACTTTGAGAGGCCGATGGGGGTGGATCACAAGGTCAGGAATCAAGACCAGCCTGGTCAAAATGGTGAAACCCCGTCTCTACTAAAAATACAAAAATTAGCAGGATGCTGTGGCAGGCACCTGTAATCCCAGCTACTTTGGAGGCTAAGGCAGGAAAATCATGTGAACCCAGGAGGCAGAGTTTGCAGTGAGCCGAGGTTGTGCCCCTGCACTCCAGACTGGGTGACAGAGCAAGACTCTGTCTCAAATAATAATAATAATAATAATAATAATAATAATAGTCCTTTGATGAATGGCTGAATAAAGACCCATTTTGATGGAGTGAAGGATGTTGGAGCATGAGTAGCCGAGGAAGCAGGAGCAAAGTTCTCAACCACCTTTCAAGACTCAACTGGGAAGAGAAGGAAAGAGATGAATACACCAAGTGAAGTCAAACATTTTTATTTGGATTTATTTGATTGACTCAATCTTTCTTTCCTTTTATATTTATTTATTTATTTATTTATTTATTTATTTATTTTGAGACAGAGTCTTGCTCTGTCTCCCAGGCTGGAGTGCAGTGTCATGATCTTGGCTCACTGCAACCTCCGCCTCCCAGGTTCAAGTAATTCTCTGCCTCAGACTCCCGAGTAGCTGGGATTACAGGCTCCTGCCACCACACCCAGCTAATTTTTTGTATTTTTAGTAGAAACAGGGTTTCACCATCTTGGCCAGGCTGGTCTTGAACTCCTGACCTCGTGATCCACCCACCTCGGCCTCCCAAAGTGCTGGGATTGCAGGCGTGAGCCACAGTGCCCGGCCCAAATTGTATTTTATGTTATCAAAGATAGAAGAGATAATTAGTTTAGATGCTGATGGGACCGAGCTGAGAGAGGGAGAACTGAAGATACAGGAGCAAAGGGGATGATGTAGCCAGATGTAGGCATCTCCAGGGCAGTTTCCATCTTTGTTCAGTGCCTGGAGCTCTCAGCTGTGTGTGGAACTGAGGTGAGGAAGAATGCATTCCTGAACACAGCCTCACCTCCAGGTGGTGATTCTTCCAGGTAGGAACTTCAAAGGCCAGGCCAGGTCTCCTTCTCTGGACTCCCAGAGCCCTCCCCCCTTCCTCTATCACAGCACAGGTTCATGTGCTCATGTGTGTAAATAACCTGTTTAATTCTCTTTCTCTATTGCTAGATTCCTTGTGGGCAAAGACTATGTCTTTCTCTTTCATAACTATATCCTGAAGACCAGGCATGATGTCCAGTCTCTAAAATTGTTTTGAATAAATGAATGAGCATATAAACAAATGAATGAATGAATAAATGGATGTATGTGCATATAGTTTAAGTTTCTACTTCCTGGGACTGTCAGTCTTTTTCACCCCACTCAGTCCTATGCTGCCTCCTCAGCTCATGCCAAATCTCTTCCCTTTTGTCTACCTACTTCATTACAGATAGCAAAAGACTCAGCAATAGCTTCTCTGAATCTATTAGTCAGGATATCCTGGTGACAAATGACAGAAACTCAGCTCAAATGGGCAAAAGCAAAAAAAAAAAAAAAAAAAAAAAAGTGTATATTAGTTTATGTAACTGAAAAAGCAGGAATGATTCAATCTAGAGGCTTACACAATAGCCCATCTCTGTAGTTTCATCTCAGTCAGGATCTATCTCCACCTGGGGCAAAGGTGGCTGGCAGCCTTTGGAGGCTTACACAAGCCTCTCAAAGACAGAACCCCTCTTTCCCTCCAAGGCGAAAGCCTTAGACAGGATTCCAGTTGTCTCCCGCAGTCATGTGCCCACTCTGAGGCCAGTGGATCAACTGGATCCCAGCCCCCATCCTGTGGTAGCTTTGGGGCCCTTCGGTTGGTAGCACCATCAGGAAGGGGAAAGACAAGTTCTAAAAGGAAAGGATGGGCACGCAAAAAGGAACAGATGTTCTCTGCATTGACTCTTTGGGCAATTGTGTTGCTAAGCTCCTGAGAGCTACATAGAATGTAGCGCAGATGTTTTTAAAAACCTGGTTTTCAGAATTACCTTTTGTGAAATAGAGATTTCGAAAGTCCACCTAAGAACTGCTAAACCAGAATGTTCAGAGAGTGACGCCTAGGATTTCATATTTTTTTAAAGCTCCATAAGTAGGCCAGGTGTGGTGGCTAGATCTTGTAATCCCAGCACTTTGAGAGGCCAAGGTGGGAGAATTGCTTGAGCCCAGGAGTTCAAGACCAACTCAGGCAAGATGGTGAGACCCTGTCTTTAAAAAAATTAAAAATTAGCTGGGTGATGCATGCCTGAAGTCCCAGCTATATGAGAGGACCCCTTGGGTCCAGGAATTTGAAGAGGCAGAGAGCTATGATTGCACCTCTGCACTCCAGCCTGGGTGACAAAGTGAAACGCCAGCTCTAAAAAAAAAAAAAGACAGTTCCACAGGGGAAGGGAGAAACAAATAAGTTGAGGAATGAATGTCAGAGCAGATGGCAAGTGGCTTCTAAAGTCCCATAGACTTGTTTCAATCTGGCTGTGCCCCCAGATAGCTGCCTGACCTAGAGGAGACCTTGCTGTTCTGAGCCTGACTTTCCTGATTTGTAGCAGGGAAAGAAATAAAGGAGTGGCCAGAAGAGTGTGGGAACCATACCTCTCTGCCAGAGCTTTTGAGAGAATTAAATGAGACAAGATATGAGAAATGGTCTAGCACAGGTTTAGTAAATGAGAATTTCTTTCCCTCTTTCTCCTCCGTCATCCTTCCTTTCCTACTTTCCTTCCTTCCTTCTCTCTCTCTTTCTCTTTCTTTCTCTTTCTTTCTTTCTTTATTCTTTCTTTCTTTATTCTTTCTTCTTTCTTTCTTCTTTCTTTCTCTCTCTCCCTTCCTTCCTTCCTTCTCTCTCTCTCTCTTTCTCTCTTCCCCTTCCCTTCCCTCCCCTTCCCTTTCCTTCCTCCCTCCCTTCTCCCTCTTTTTCTCTCTTCTCCTTCCCTTCCCTTTCTTTCTTTCTTCCTTCATTCCTTTTTTCCTTCCTTCCCTTCCCTTCCCTTCCTTCCTTCCTTCCTTCCTTCCTTCCATCCTTCCTTCCTTCCTTCCTTCCGATAGTGTCTCACTCTGCCACCCAGGCTGGAGTGCAATGTCATGATCACAGTTCACTGCAGCCTCAACCTCCTAGGCTCAAATGATCCTCCCACCTCAGTCTCCCTAGCTAGGACTACAGATGCCCAGCTAATTTTAAAATTTTTGTAGAGATGGGTTTTTGCTATGTTGCTCAGGTTGATCTCAAATTTCTGGGCTCAAGCAATCTGCTTGCCTCAGCCTCCCAAAATGTTGGGATGACAGGTGTGAGCCACTGTGCCTGGCCTCACCCTCCCTTTCTAATGTATCACAAAGTCCTTTAGATTCTGCCTCTGAAACACTCTAGGCTCTGTCCACACATCCCCTGGCCCATTGCTACTGCTGTCTTGCTGCCTACCATCACCCTGTGCCTGGGGGTCTCTGCAGTATCTTCTCCCTGCAGGCTTCTCAAAGGCACAGGAGTAGGCTACCTCAAAAGCTAACAGAGCAGATCACTCTCCAACATATAGGAATTTAGTACTCTCCTTGCTCTGAGTATAAAGTACAATTATCTTCCTACCTGTTCAAGATCTGCCCTCAGATTACCTGTCCTGCCTCATCTGCTGCCATATCACCTGCTCCGATCTAGGCTACAAACTTATGGAGGTAATTTCTAATGTCTCTGAAATGCTAGGCACATTCTCCCCTTGGATCTCTACCCTTGCTCTTTCCTCTGCCTGAGAGATGTTCATTCAGCAACCCCCATCCCGAGTCTCCATGTCTCATTTTGAATGTCACTTCTTCATGGAAGCCCTACCTGATCTCTACTTTCCTGGTTCCCCTTATCCATGGTTATCTTGATCACAATAGCCAGCAATCGTTAACCACTGTGGTACCCTTCTCATTCACCAGGCTATTCATGTTTCATTTTCTTTCACAACACCCCCTTAGAAAATTACACTTCCTCCTTTTACACTTCAGGGTACTGAGATTTAGAGTCAGCAGGTAACGTTCTCAAGGTCACATAGCAATGCATTGCAAAGATTCACCCTAGGTCTTTCTGATTCCTTGTCACCAGCCTTCTCCACTTTTTGCTACTTCCCATCAACCACACCATATTGAAATTGCCTATTTCCTCCTCCTGCTTCCCCATTAGAATTGGAACTACTTGCTTATATGTCATGATATCGCCCATGCTTAGCACAGACTGGGTACCTAGAACAGACCCAATTACACGGTTGAATAAATGCAGTCGGTGTGCTCAGGTGCTGAGATCCATGGCCAGAAAGAGTCTGGTGATAGATTTATGCCCAGAGGAGTTTGTACCTGCCTGGTTGCTTGAGGGTTAAAATGGGTTAAAATATAGGATGATGACTCAGAGCTGGAGACAACCTTAGCATTCGCTTTCCAGATGAAGCCCCTGGAGAAGACGCAATCTTCCTGAGATCCCTCTACTGGCTTTTGGCTGAATTAGCTTATGACCTCAGGGCCCTGGTTGCATCCTAACTGATTATCAAAGCAAAGTAAGACCTCAGGTCTTCTGAGATGCAGGATGCTTACTTGCCTTACTACTAAGATGAAGCTTTCAAACTCACCCCGTTTCCAAGTCCATGCCAGGTCTTATGCCCACACCCAGACTGGCCCAGTCAACAAATATTTATCGGGCACCTCCGATAAACAAAGGAGGCACCCGTGTGGAAGAAACAGATTCAACAGTCTAGTAGAGAAGAGTGGCATGATACAAGTATTTACATACATAATTACCTAAACAGATGCAAAGGCACAAAGTAGTGGGGTGAGGAAGTACAGAGTATGTGGGGGCATCTGACAGCCTAGGAGTTCCAGGAAGTTTCTCAGCCAAGACATGGAGGGTGGGTAGGAGTTAGGTAAGCCAAATATCCTGAGACCCTGCTATGGGAGAGGGGGAGACATGCTCAGGAAATGGAGAGCAAAGCAGAATGGAAGGAGCAGGAAGGACAAGAGAATTTCCACCCCTGGGGGAGACCCATGGGTGGGCCCAAGTCAGATCATCCAGGGCCCTGGTGAAACAGTTTGGACTGTTATCTAAAGACAAACTCCACAGTGGGGAAGGTCACATTGATCCCACCAGGGCTATCTGGGTCCTGTGGTCAAGGTGGCACCATCCTCATGGTCAAGGGGAAAGTAGGTCAGGCATGGTGGCTCACACCTATAATCCCAGCACTTCGGGAGGCCAAGGCAGATCACTTGATATCAGGAGTTTGAGACCATCCTGGCCAACATGGTGAGACCTCGTCTCTACTAAAATACAAAAATTAGCCGGGCGTGGTGGCGTGGGCCTATAATCCCAGCTACTCAGGGGGCTGAGGCAGGAGAATCGCTTGAACCCAGGAGGCAGATGTTGCAGTGAGCCAAGACTGAGCCACTGTACTCCTTGCTGGGTGACAGAGCGAGAGTCCATCTAAAAAAAAAAGGGAGTGGGGTGGGGGCAAAGTCATGGTGCTGAATGTTAGGACACCGGATTTTCTTTTTTTTTTTTGTTTTGAGACAGAGTTGGAGTCTCTCTCTGTCGCCCATGCTAGAGTGCAGTGGCACAATCTTGGCTCACTGCAGCCTCCTCCTCCCGGGTTCAAGTGATTCTCCTGCCTCGGCCCCCCAAGTAACTGGGATTACAGACACCTGCCACCACGCCCAGCTAATTTTTGTATTTTTAGTAAAGATGGGGTTTCGTCATGTTGGTTGGGCTGGTCTCAAACTCCTGACCTCAGGTGATCCACCCGCCTCAGCCCCGCAAAGTGCTAGGATTACAGGTATGACTGGACACTGGATTTTCTACACTGCCATTATCTCCCTCCAGGCCTCAGTATCCTGCCTGTAGTATGGGTCAGTAAGTCCAGACCAGGTAATGTTAAGGTCTTTCCAGCTGGGACAAAACAGTAATAATAAGAATAGTAGGCTGGGTGCAATGGCTCACACCTGTAATCCCAGCACTTTGGGAGGCTGAGGTGGGCGGATCACAAGTTCAGGAGTTCGAGACCAGCCTGATCAATATGGTGAAAACCCGTCTCTACTAAAAATACAAAAATTAGACTGGCACACACCTGTAATCCCAGCTACTTGGGAGGCTGAGGCAGAATTGCTTGAACCCAGGAAGCGGAAATTGCAGTGAGCCGAGATCGTGCCATTGCACTCCTGCCTGGGTGACAGAGTGAGACTCCATTAAAAAAAAAAAAAGTTTCAATGAAGAATAGTAAGGCCAAGTGCAGTGGCTCACACCTGTAATCCCAGCACTTTGGGAGGCTGAGGCAGGATTATCACTTGATCCTAGGAGTTTGAAGCCAACCTGGGCAACGTAGCAAGACCCTATCCCTACAAAAAATACAAAAATTAGCAATGCATGGTGGTGTGCCTGTAGTTCCAGCTACTCAAGAGGCTGAGGTGGGAGGATTACTTGAGCCCAGGCAGTCAAGGCCGCAATGAGCTATGATCATACCACTGCACTCCAGCCTGGGTGATACAGTAAGACCGTGACTCAAAATAACAAGCAAACAAAAAGAATAATAACGCTAGCATTTGTAGTGTGTTTTCTGTGTACCTAGTACTGTGCAAAACACTTCTCATTGAATCTTCATGACAACCACATGAAGAGGTAACTATGATTATGCACATTTGACAGACAGATGAGAAAAAAGACTGAGGAATTAAGTAAATAGTGCAAGGTCCCCCAGCAAAAAAGTGAAAGAGCTGGGATTCAAGCCCGAGTCTGCTCTGACATCCAGCCTGACTCATCTGCCATCTCTTACTGCTAAGATACTTTAGGAAGTTTCAAAACCTGAAAAATCCATGATGGCTTGTGCCAGTTTAACATGTTTTAAGGCTGTTTCAGCTGCTTTGAACTTTTGATGAGGTGCCCTGTGTGACTCTGGACGGCTCCCAGATGAAGCACTGAGGAAGCATTCCCCGAGGTGCTGGGGCCTCCTCAAGATCTAATAGCAATGTGGCATGATGAACGCAGAGCGGACAGAAACCACATCTTTGCGCCCCAGCCTCATGAACCCTCACCAGGTCTACTCAGGCCAGACAGGGATCCTGAGGTTGTTTTTCCAGGAGCCTGGCAGGGCCCTCTCTCTCTCCCTAACAAACCAGGCTGTCATTCCCCTCACCTTGTAAATAATCTCCCTCCCAGGCACCGAGACTGCTGCCTTCTGCAGCATAAATGTGAACACTGTTGTGGAATGCCTGCCACACTCCCGTGGGCTTTTGCCAGAGGGCCTCCCGCCAGTAATCTGCCCTTCAGAAACTGGCCTTGGATTTCTCAGTCTCCATTTGTGACCTTGGTGGCGAGAGGTTTGGGAGTCTAAATGCAAGGAAATCAAAGATCAGAGCCGTGAGAGTTACCAGAGTCCAGAGAACAATCTGGATGGAAAGACTACTAATGTCACGTGAGTGGACAGCCTCATTTTACAGGGGAAAAAGCTGAGGTCCAGACAGGAGACAGACGGTACGCAGAGGACACAGACATGCAGGAATAGGTTGAGACAGCAGGTCAAGTTCATTTCCAGGGAAGCTTTATGGCATTGGGACTGCTCAATGTTCTTTCCTCCTCTTTGGGTAAAGCATCCCATCTCTTTTTGGAATTTTCTCTCTTTTAAAAAATTTATTTTTGGCCAGGCATGGTGGCTCACACTTGTAATCCCAGCACTTTGGGAGGCCAAGATGGGTGGATCATTAGAGGCCAGGAGTTCGAGATCAGCCGGGCCAACATGCCAAAACCCCATCTCTACTACTAAAAATATAAAAATTAGCTGGGTGTGTTAGTGCACACCTGTAATCCCAGCTACTCGGGAGGCTGAAGCACAAGAATCACTTGAACCCAGGAGGCAGAGGTTGCAGTGGGCTGAGATTGTGCCACTGCACTCTAGTCTGGGTGACACAGCGAGACCTTGTCTTAAATATATATACGTGTGTGTGTGTATATATGTGTGTTTGTGTGTGTGTGTATATATATACTTTATTTTTAAATTTTAAAAAAAGTTTTTCAGTAGAGTCAGGGTCTCACCATGTGGCCCAGGTTGGTCTTGAACTCCTGGACTCAAGTGATGCTCCTGCCTTGGCCTCCTAAAGTGCTGGGATTACAAGCAAATGTCACCAGGCCCAACCTGGAATTTTCTCTTACCCATTGTGGGTGGTCTTTGTAGGCCCAAGGAAGTGCCTTCCCTCTTCTAGCCACAGAGATGTCCAGAAGAGATGGCACAGACTCTTTCTCTCAGAACTTTGAATCTTTTTTTGTTTTTTTGTTTTTTTTTGGTTTTTGGTTTTGTTTTGTTTTGTTTTGTGTTTTTTTGAGATGGAGTCTCGCCCTGTCTCCAGGCTGGAGTGCAGTGGCATGATCTCGGCTCATTGCAACCTCCACCTCCCAGGTTCAAGTGATTCTCATGCCTCAGCCTCCCAAATAGCTGGGACTACAGGTGCATGCCACTATGCCCAGCTAAGTTTTGCATTTTTAGTAGAAACGGGGTTTCACCATGTTGGCCAGGATGGTCTCGATCTCTTGACTGTGTGATCTGACCGCCTTGGCCTCCCAAAGTGCTGGGATTACAGGCGTGAACCACTGCACCCGGCCAGACTTTGAATCTTACTTAACTGGAATGACCCTAAACAGAGCACATCTCTTCTGGTGCCTGTCCCTGGAGTGACTGAGTCATCCAGCTCTCTAAACACTTGGCGCTGCCTGGGTCAAACCTGTCTCTACCCTGGCTTCCCTATCTCCATCAGTTCTAGAGCTCTCCAACACCCTTCTAGAAAATTCCTCTAAATTAGCCAGTAGGAGCTTCTGCTTCTTGCAACTAAAAAGCCATGAAGGATGAAGCATGCTTTAAATTTTCCCCACAATTTCATGCTGTCTTGCTCTGAGGCAACAACCTTTAAAAAAAAAATGGCACAGAGACAGAAACACTGCAAGTCATAACAGGGTATACATACAACCAAACCCTGGGTAGTTGCATCTTTTCAGTCAATGGCTGCATATTTTGTTCTTTCACTATCTAATTTGGGGATAGTTTGTACTGGAGATCAGCCCCCACTCGCAACACAGCTGATAGGGTGGTCTACACACTATAGTGTCTCCACTCTTACTGTCTCGAAGTATCAAACCCAAATAAACTCTGTGCAGTTTAAACACAATTCTCAGATTTTTTAAAAAACTGCCTTTTTTTTTTTTTTTTTTTTTTTTTGAGACAGAGTCTCGCTCTATCACCAAGTTGGAATGCAGTGGCGCGATCTCGGCTCACCGCAACCTCCGCCTCCCGGGTTCATGCGATTCTCTTGCCTCAGCCTCTTAAGTAGCTGGGATTACAGGCGCCCACCACCATGCCCGGCTAATTTTTGTATTTTTACTAGAGATGGGGTTTCATCATGTTGGCCAGGCTGGTCTCCAACTCCTGACCTCAGATGATCCACCCGCCTTGGTCTCCCAAAGTGCTGGAATTACAGGCGTGAGCCACCAGGCCCGACCAAAACTGTCATTTAAGAAATTACTATTTTATGAAAGGTTTTGTGCTAAGGATTTTATATACCATCTAATCAGCTGAACAATTCTACAGATGGTGCATTACTATCAGCTTAATTGCATTAATGAGAAAACTGGCTGTCCAAATTGGGAAAGGGGCAGTTGTAAATGAATGTCAAGGTCACATAGCTCACAGTGGTGGTCTTTAGGTATAATCCCAGCTCGATCTGATTCCAGAGTCCTTGCTGTAAAACCTTAGGCTGAATTGCCTGGAAATGACTCAGTGGTGCCCCAGTCAGGTGGTTCTCTATTCAGAGAATGCCCCACCATAAGATAGTTGAGTATCAGAATCTCCAGAGAAATTGCCATTTGAAATGCATATTTAATATGATGTTATAACTTAATATTTGGAAAGTGAAAAGTAGGCTGGGAGCAGTGGCTCACACCTGTAGTCCCAACACTTTTGGAGGCCAAGGCGGGCTGATCACTTGAGGTCAGGATTTCAAGACCAGCCTGGCCAACATGGCAAAACCCTATCTCTATCAAAAGTACAAAAAAATTAGCCAGGTGTGATGGCACATGCCTGTAGTCCCAGCTATTCGGGTGGCTGTGGCACGAGAATCACTTGAACCCAGGAGGTGGAGGTTCCAGTGAGCCGATCATGCCACTGCACTCCAGCCTGGGTGACAGAGCAAGACTCTGTCTCAAAAAGTAAATAAATAAAGTAAAACATAAAGACAATCCCAATGTTTTTATTTTTATTTTTATTTTTTATTTATTTTTTTAAGATGGAGTTTCGCTCTTTCGCCCAGGCTGGAGTGCAGTGGCGCGATCTCAGCTCACTGCAACCTCTGCCTTCCGGTTTCAAGCAATTCTCCTGCCTCAGCCTCCCGAGTAGCTGGGACTACAGGTGCCTGCCACCATGCCCGGCTAATTTTTGTATTTTTAGTAGAGACGGGGTTTCACTATGTTGGCCAGGCTGGTCTCGAACTCCTGACCTCATGATCCACCCGCCTCAACCTCCCAAAGTGCCGGGATAACAGGCGTGAGCCACTGCGCCAGGCCCCCCAGTGTTTTTAATACAAACCAGGCCACCTTTGAGAGTGCAAGTGGCTCCTGCGGTTGATTAGGTCTAGGTGTTCCCAGGCAAACTGGGATGTATGATCACCTATCCACAGAAGAGAAAACAGGTGCAAGTAGGTGAAGATGGCATAGCCAGCAAGTGGTAGAGTAGGTATCAGAATCCTGAAATAAAATAACACCCAACATTCCCCTGTGACTTTTCTGACAGCCCGAGTTCTTCCAACCTTTTAAAACTCTGATCAAAACTAGCTTCTGCCAGGAAGCCCTTCCCAACTAACTCCAGCTCCTTCTGCATCTTTGTCTTCTGACAGCCACCTTGCACTGTACTTGATGAATTTTCTGTTGAATTATAGACTGTGGTTTTTCATGTGTGTGTGCACATGTGTAAACAGGCAGTCCTTGCTTTGTATGGTTCTTTTTTTCTTTTTTTCTCAATGTGATAGTATATCTCATGTTAACTGAGACCTCACCTTGGTTACCATGGAACCATGAAAAATGAGGACACGGTTCTGACACAAATGAGTTTCCATGAATACAGTGCCTTACAAAGTGAGGAGAGCCTGTTTTCTGGTTTTCTTTTTCTTATTTATTTATTTATTTATTTTGAGACAGGGTCTCACTCTGTCATCCAGGCTGGAGTACAGTGGCACAATCATGTCTCACTGCAGCCTGGACCTCCCAGGCTCAAGCAATCCTCCCACCTCAGCCTCCAGAGTAGCTATCACTACAGGCGAGTGCTACTTACCACACCTGGCTACTTTCTAAATTTTTTGTAGAGATGGGGGTCTCCCTGTGTTGCTCAGGCTGGCCTCGAACTCCTGGGTTCAAGCAATCTTCCTGCATTGGCCCCTCAGACTGCTGGGGTTACAGGTGTGAGCCGCCATACCTTACTTGTTTTTCTCTTATGATGGTATATTAGTTTCCTAGGATTGCCAAAACAGATTATGATGAATTGTGTGGCTTATAACAATAAAACTTTATTGTCACGGTTCTAGAGACTAGAAATCTAAAATTAAGGTGTCAGCAGGGCTGTGCTCCCTCTGAAGATTCTAGAGGAAAGTCATTCCCTGCCTTTCCCAGCTTCTAGTAGATGCTGGCATTCCTTGGCTTTCCTTGGCATGTAGATGCATCTCTACAATCTCTGCCTCTGACTTCACATGGCCTCCTCCCCTGCATGTATGTATCTCTGTAAGTCCTTGATTTTTTTTTTCTTTTTTGAGACATAGTCTCACTCTGTCACCTGGGCTATAGTGCAGTGGTGTGACTTCAGCTCACTGCAACCTCCACCTCCCGGGTTCAAGCGAAATTCTCACGTGTCAGGCTCCCAAGTAGCTGGGACCAGAGATGCATGCTACCATGCCCAGCTAATTTTTGTATTTTCAGTACAGACAGGGATTCACTACGTTGGCCAGGCTGGTCTCGAGCTCCTGACCTCAAGCGATCCACCTGCCTCGGTCTCCCAAAGTGCTGGAATTAAAGGCATGAGCCACCTTGCCCAGCGTGGATTTAAGGATTTAAATCAGTCATTGGATTTAAGGTCCACCCTAATTCAGTATGATCTCATCTTAACTAACTAATTACATCTGCAAAGACTCTATTTCCAAACAAGGTCACATTCTGAAGTTCCTGGTGGACATGAACTTGGAGGATCACTACTCAGTTCACTACAGGTGGATAAGAACCTCCAGGGCTGGATTTATAGCATAAATCAACTCCACTCCCAGTGCTAAACTAGCAAGTACACACAGCAGGCACTCAACAATCCAGGAAAGACCCATTCACAGGGTTGGATCTGAATGAGGGCAATGAGCTCCGTTCACTGGAAGCCAGTTTTATTTTCTCCTTCCAGCCTTCTGTACAGCCAACCACTCCCAAGCCCATTTCCTTCCCTTTTTTGACATGGCTTTCTCTTCCTGCTCCCCACCCACCCTTGCTGCCTCTTTTCTTTCTTCCTCCCACTTTCCCGCCTTGAATGACAGTTTAAGGGAAGCCGTATGTGTATGCATGTGAGTGTGCATGGGCATGCATTCTGGAAGCAAGGAAGCCCCTCCTCACTTCGAGCACCTTCACCCATCCAAGCATGTCATTATTCTCTGCTTTTAGGGTGCAAGGCCATTAGGGTTCCTCTGAAAGTTGAACTAAATTCTCAACCCTTAGTCAAATGTCCTCTCCTAGCCACATACCCTTCCGATTTTTTTCTTCCAGAAGTCCCAGGCGAAAAGGTTCCTCATTGTTAGCACTGCCTGTGCCTTCCTCTTTTTAGTTTCTGGATGTCAGTTCACTTTTTTGGTGAAAAATTAACAATATGTTGTCACTTTATGAACACTGTGTGCCAAGCAGTGTGCCAAGCCCTTCACACACATTATCTTGCCCATTCTTTATGTGTTTCTCATTGTACCGAGGAGAATACTGAGGGCTTAAGCAACAAGGTAGTTTGTCAAAAGTCATGCAGCTGATTGAAGGTGGAGTCAGAATTCGAACCTACGTTCATCAGATTCCAGAGTGCATTCTCTCCACCACAGTATAGGGTTGTGAAAGCAACCTTTGGGAACATTATTCCTTTAGACTGCTTCCTAGCCAAGCTTCCTGAAAACACATAAGACCATTGAGTACTAACTGCTGTTTTCTTTAAGGAGTTAAGGTTAACAGACTCTTTACACTTCCCTTCTCCTCTGAAATCACTGGAGTGGGAGTAGGGTTGCAGCTAAAAGGGAACTCATTGACAACCTGCAGATTTTTATACAAAATCCCCTTGGAACTGGTTTTTCTCATAGCAGTTGCTTTGAGTTTCTGAGTGCAATAACTTAAGGTCTAAAATGAAAACGCCTCAAAATTTCAAAATACTCCTCCTTGTTGGCAGATTTCCATTAAACCTGATTCAGCATTTTCAGTCAGGGAACAAGTCACAAGATATCCCCAAATCAGAGGCAACTAACAGACACTCTAATCATGTTAAACTTCTCGCAGTTTTATGAACAAACCATTCTCTCCTGCCTCTTTGTACCTTTTCCTTCTGCCTGACACCTCTCTCTGAACCCAACTATTTGCCAGTGGCACAGTTTTGAGGGAGGCATTTAGCCATCCTGGCTCTGCCCTGGAGGAGTCCTTATCTGAACCCTAAAGCAGCGCTTGATGTCTCACTCCTAGGGAAGCCTGGGAAGGAGAAGGTTGTTAAAATCTGGGCCCTGCCCCAAATCTACTACGTCAGAATCTCTAGGGTGGATCCTGGGGAAGACGCATCTCAACAAGTTCTCCAGGCGCTTGGGAAGATGTCCTGGACCAAGGTTCCAAGCGTTGAATCGTTACTTCATCTTCACAATTTTTATCTTGTACTTTAAAAAAATTAACAAACACTGATGTGGAGCTTACTGTGTTCCAGGCACTCATGCAGTGATCATAGCAACCCTAGTGAGGAAGGCACCGTCATCATCCCTGTGCTGCAGACAAGGAAACAGGGGCACCAAGAGGTTAAGGAACTGGTCCCGCCGGGCGCGGTGGCTCACACCTGTAATCCCAGCACTTTGGGAGGCCGAGGCGGGCAGATCACGAGGTCAGGAGATCGAGACCATCCTGGCCAACGTGGTGAAACCCCGTCTCTACTAAAAATACAAAAAATTAGCCAGGCGTGGTGGCGGGCGCCTGTAGTCCCAGCTACTCGGGAGGCTGAGGCAGGAGAACGACGTGAACCCGGGAGGCGTAGCTTTCAGTGAGCGGAGATCGCGCCACTGCGCTCCAGCCTGGGCAACAGAGCGAGACCCTGTCTTAAAAAAAAAAAAAAAAAAGAAACTGGTCCGAAGTCACCCATCAAGTAAGCGGCAGAACTGGCTCCTGCCTGCTGCACTCTCCTACTTCTTTATATCTGTGGATTTTTTTTTTCATTTAAATAATTGATTTGAATTTCATGTCAAATCTATGAGGGCAGAGATTTTCAGCTGTTTGTTCACTGCTGGATACCAATGGGCTAGAACAATGCCAGGTGGAGTAACAGTCAATATATATTTGTTAAGTGAATAAATGCATAGAGAAAATCTCAACCCGGAATTAAGGTGTTGGTTATATTTTTTCCTTATATTCACTAAAATTACACAGATATAATTATTACCATAAAAAGTCTATGTAGGCAGGGCGCAGTGGCTCACGCCTGTAATCCCAGAACTTTGGGAGGCTGAGGCTGGCAGATCATTTGAGGTCAGGAGTTTGAAACCAGCCTGGCCAACATAGTGAAACCCCGTCTCCACTAAAAATTCAAAAATTAGCCGGCCATGGTGGCGCGTGCCTGTAATACCAGCTACTTGAGAGGTTGAGGCATGAGAATCGCTTGATCTCAGAGGTGGAGGTTGCAGTGAGCCAAGATCGCACCACTGCACTCCAGCCTGGGTGACAGAGTAAGACTCTGCCTCAAAAAAAAAAAAAAAATTCTGTGTATCACCTTAAGTCCTGTCCCATTTCCATACTGGTATCTATACCCTAGTTTGGGAAGCCCTAAGCTCCAGCTTACTTCTATCATTATACTGACAACAGTAAACTGTAATTTATGTTCCAGACTGTAAGCTCCCAAGAACAGGGACTCGATTTACCCATCTTTGTGTCCCTGTGGTTGAGGGTAAAGGCCAACAGTGCCATTCTCCATTCTTGCTAGAAAGAACTGGTTATAGATTTGATGGTTCCTTCAAATCCTTTGAGATATGAAAGAAAATGATAGGATTCAATGGATGGCAAGAACAACAAGAGGAAGGAGGCCTGGACTGGAGCCCATTAAAGGGAGGACTTCCAGGTTTGAGCTGATGAGCATCAGGACACCTGCACTCTACTTCTGGCTGATTCTTCATGTCCTGGAGACAGTCTACTACTTTGAACTGGTGGCCTTTCTCAGGCTGCGAATTCCTTGAGATAAACATCATGTCTTTCTTGTTGTTCACCAGTTTATCTGCAGAACCTGCTTAGTAACCAGCACACAGAAGATGCTCAGTAAAAAAATGTGGGTTGAATGAATACATGAGGGAAAAATTGTTAAATATGTTCTGATTAGGAAAGTACAGCATGCTTTCTCCCTCATTTTCTTCTGTTTCCACAGTCTCCTAAGGCTCTAATATTTCCATAAAATATGGGTTTGTGGAAGGCAATTTGGTTGGAAGGGTTGATTTAAAGTTGTACGGGAGGCCAGGCATGGTCACTCACTCCTGTAATCCCAGCACTTTGGGAGGCCAAGGCAGGTGGATCACGAGGTCAAGAGATCGAGACCATCTTGGCCAACATGGTGAAACCTCGTCTCTACTAAAAATACAAAAATTAGCTGGGCTTGGTGGTGCACGCCTGTAGTCCCAGCTACTTGGGAGGCTGAGGCAGGAGAATCACTTGAACCCAGAAGGTGGAAGTTGCAGTGAGGCAAGGTCGAAGCACTGCACTCCAGCCTGGCGACAGAGCGAGACTCTGTCTCAAAAAATATATATAAAATAAAGTTGTATGGGAAAAGCATTATACACAAGCTGGAAAAATGACAATAAGACACATAAAGGAAAAGGGACTGTGGAACTTTCCCTGGGGAAGAGTATATGTCCAGTCCCACCCCAGATATCAGCCTCCAGCCCCCTGGTTGTCAAACTCTGGGACTGGTGCAGTGACCTCACCAGAAGGCATGAGATCCAGCGAATTATTCAGAATATTGGTTCTGCTTCGGATGAGATGCCAGTGAGAATATCACCAGCTAACTGCAGGCAGGGAGGAAGTCAATGGTAATTAAACTTTGTTTCCTTGTACACAGCAGCCAACCGCAAGGTACACAGGAAATACACAGGCAGAAGTTGCCAAGAGCAACTGCAGATGAAAACTAGTAATAAAATCAGGTACCACTCCAAAAAGAGACACTGGAGAAGAACGAAACTAGAGCTATACGGAATTGTGCCTGAGATGGCACACACGCTTATGATGTATCAGGTCACTACCATCCTAACATATCAAACTGAAAATGTCACCCCCATCTGGAGAGTGGGACACGTTTTATTGAAACAATGTTTTCTCTTGTTTGTTTATATGCTCTGCACTAGTGGCTGGTTCAGTAATAAATCTGTAAGGGCCTTTTTTTAAATAAATAAATAATAAATTAGGAAAAAAAAAAGACTGTGGCTCCTATCTTGGGCACTTCTTGCTTTCTGCCTCCCATCAGTCATCCCAGGGGACGCCAGCTGCCACTTTGATGGCTGCACTTTGGAGAGGCCCACAGAGGAGGAACCAATGTCTCCAGCCAACAGTCAGCAAAGACCTGAGAAGACCTGAGGCCTTTCCAAAGCCGTGTGAGTGACGCTGGGAGGGAATGCTCCCAGAGTCCAGCCTTGAGAAGACCGCAGCTTTGACAGAGAGCTTGAGTGCAGGCTCCAGAGAGACCAGGAGCAGAACCACCAACTAGGCTGAGCCAGGATTCCTGTCTCTTAGAAGGTGTGAGATAATTAGTGTTTATTGTTTTCGCTTGCTAACTTTTGGGGTAATTTGTCACACAGCAATAGATAATTAGTATATCATTTTAAAAAATTACTCTGGGGCTGGGCACAGTAGCTTATACCTGTAATCCCAATACTTTAGGAGGTCAAGGTGAGAGGATTGCTTGCGTTCAAGAGTTAGAGACCAGCCTGGGCAACATAGCCAGATCCCATCTCTACAAAAATTTTTAAAAATTAGCTGGGCCTTCAGCCAGCCGCAGTGGCTCATGCCTGAAATTCCAGCACTTTGGGAGGCCGAGGTGGGCAGATCACCTGAGGTCAGGAGTTTGAGACTAGCCTGACCGACATGGTGAAACCCCGTCTCCACTAAAAAAAATACAAAAATTATCTGGGCATGGTGGCGCGCTTCTATAATCCCAGCTACTCAGGAGGCTGGGGCAGGAAAATCGCTTGAACCCAGGAGGCGGAGGTTGCAGTGAGCCGAGATCACACCTCTGCGCTCCAGCCTGGGCGACAGAGTGAGACTCTGTCTCAAAAAAAAAAATTAGCTGGGCCTGGTGGTGCATGCTTGTGGTCCCAGTTTCTCGAGTGGCTGAGGTGGGAGAATCATCTGAGCTCGGAATGTCAAGGCTGTAGTGAATCTTTATCATGGATCACTGTACTCCAGCCTGGGCAAACAGAGTCTCTGGGACCCTGTCTCAAAATAAATAAATAAATAACTCCATAGAGATAGTCATTAGCTTTGTTCACCAAATATTTCCAGTTCTCCCTCCTCCTGGGAACATGGTAGAATTAACTTCCCTGCCCCCTCTGTTAGGTGTGGCCTTCTTATGTGCCTTGGCCAGTGAAATGTGAGTGGAAGTGAGATATGACACTTTCAGGCAAAAGTTTTTCTGTGCAAGTCACTTTGGATGTGTCTCTTTGTTCCTGTATGGCAATCTTGGAAGCATAGGGATAAAGCTTTTTCGTCTGGGCTCCTGGATGAGCATGACACAGGACAGAACCACCCAGTGAACCCAGGAGGAACATACAGTGTAAGAAATAAGCCTTTGTTGAGGCCGGGCACTGTGGCTCAAGCCTGTAATCCCAGCACTTTGGAAGGCCAAGGTGGGAGGATCACCTGAGGTCAGAAGTTCAAGACCAGCCTGGCCAACATGGTGAAATGCCATCTCTACAAAAAATTCAAAAATTAGCTGGGCGTGGTGACACATGCCTGCAGTCCTAGCTACTCAGGAGGCTGAGGCAGGAGAATTGCTTGAACCCAGGAGGCAGAGGTTGCAGTGAACTGAGACTGCGCTACTTTACTCCAGCCTGGGCAACAGAGTGACCCCACCTCCAAAAAATTAAAAATAACAATAATAATAAAAATAAGCCTTCATTGTTGTAAGTCACTGAGACTTTGGAGTTGTTTGTTACTACTAGCTTACTTTGACTCATATAAACCACAGTGTCTCTTTGACAATTATAATTTAACTCAAAATGTAATTCAATCAAACCTGCAGCTAATCAACAGACCACATTACCATTTTGTTCACCTGAGTTATTAGTATTTGCATCTGAACCAAGATTTACTATGGTCACTTAATAGGGATATCCACAAAGATCATCATTTTATTATAGTCACCTTTGTAAGAATTCACTGGAGAAACCTCTATCTCAGTGCCAAGATAACTCTTCTCTTTGGAACCAGAGATTATAACCTTACTTTTATTTATTTATTTACTCATTCATTCATTTTGAAACAGCGTCTCACTCACTCTGTTGCCTAGGCTGGAGTGCAGTGGCATGATCTTGGCTCACCGCAACCTCCACCTCCCTGGTTCAAGCGATTCTCCTGCCTCAGCCTCCCAAGTAGCTGGGTTTAAAGGGGCACCAACATGCTGGGCTAATTTTTTTATTTTTAGTAGAGATGGGATTTTACCATGTTGGGTAGGCTGATCTCCAACTCCTGATCTCAAGTGATCTGCCCACCTCCGCCTCCCAAAGTGCTGGGATTACAGGTGCGAGCCACCACGCCTGGCCTATAACCTTACTTTTAATATATGTATTTTATTTTAAGCTCTGAGGACATTAGGAGCAAATAAATGAAGAAATTTCCCTTTTTGCCCTGGCTAGTAGGAAGCTCCAAGTCAAACTGCAGTCTATCTACAGCAAGCTCATAAGATTGTATGGCGCTTATTTTTAGTACTAACCTTGTCCTGGCTTCATTCTATTTTTCTTTTTTTAATTTTTGTTATCCTGATTTCTTTACTTATTTTTTCTCTTGTTGAAATATATACTCATGAGGAACCTCACATCCATTTTCAAATGAGGAAAGAACATTAAAACACAGGCAGCATAACTTGTAAACATCAGTGACAGAACAAGCTCAAGCATTAGCATCAGAAAATATCTGGGCTTCATCTGAGTTTGACTACGTAGTAGCTGTGTAACTTTGTAAGAATCATTGTGTCTCAGTTTCTTCCTTTATAGAAGTCAGGGTGAGAGGCTAATAATATCTCCCTTGAAACTTTGTGTTGAAGATTATACTGGGGAAAGTACTTGGCCCTTCATAAGAGCTCTTACCAAATTTTAGTTCTTTCCTTCCTCAACCCCAAATCCTTTGAGTAGCTATTTGCTCTTGGCCTTGCTCAATCATCTTCCCAGACAGTATGCAATGCACCCTGGTGAGCTCAGAAACATCCCCTGCTGAGGAAATGGATTTCAGCTGCATCAGGAGAAACTTAGGTCAGAAAAAAGATGGGGAAAAAAAGGACTGGATAAGAGAAAATTATGTCTGGCCAGTGCCTACTTCAATCCTTAGCATAAATGAGCTCATGCAATCACAGTGGGAACAAGCAGGGAGAAACTCCGGTTTCTGGTAGACACTGGTAGACGCTGCAGTGTGCCACAGAGGCCATGGGGCTGCCTCTGAGAGGCGTCCTAAAGGGGAACCTCTTCAGTGTGGTCCTGCTGGAAAGCAGGAGATAGGTGATTCCAGTTCACATTTTAAAATAGTATTCATATATGTAATTCTGTGTGATGCATAAGGTGTCAAGTAGGGTTTTCCAATCTCACTCAGCACTACTAACATTTTGGGCTGGATAGCTCTCTGTTGTAGGGACCATTCTGTGTCTTTTTTTTCTTTTTCCGAGATGGAGTCTCCCTCTGTCCATGGGCTGGAGTGCAATGGCATCATCTCAGCTCACTGCAACCTCTGCCTCCCGGGTTCAAGCAATTCTCCTGCCTCAGCTTCCTGGGTAGTTAGGATTACAAGTGTGTGCCACCTCGCCCAGCTAATTTTTGTATATTTAGTAGAGACGGGGTTTCACCATGTTGGCCAGGCTGGTGTCGAACTCCTGACCTTGTGATCTGCCCGCCTCAGCCTCCCAAAGTGCTGGGATTACAGGTGTAAGCCACCGCACCTGGCCACCTGTTCTATGTCTTATTGGATGTTTCTGTATCTCTGGCCTTTGCCCACCAGATCCCAGTAGCTCTCCCATCCCAGGTCATGACAATTAATAATGCCTCCTGGCATTGCCAAATGTCCCTTGGGAGGCCAAATTGTCCCCTCTCCTCCTGTGTGAACCATGATGCAAAGTAACAAAGCATTGTGGCATGGTTCAGTATTTATTAAAGCATCCACAGAGTGTGGAGAGAGAAAAATGCTTATGACCTGGGCTTGCTCCTTAAGCAACTCATAACTCACGCAGCAGTAGGGGAGACGAAGTGTCCACATATAATTGCCTTTAAGTGTGGCCAGCGCAGCAATAGAGAAATGAGTGAGGAAGGAAGTACAACCTGAGCTCAGCAGGGGAGAGGACAGCTCTTCTCAAAGTAGAGAGGAAGGGGACTCTTTGGTAGAGCCTGGATCTGAAACCACTGACTGCCCTCCCCAAAGTGGGCCCACTCCCTCCTTGGTTGCAATTCTTTTTTCAGCACCCTGTGTGTTTTCTTCACAGGAAGTTCTATTATTTATTTGAGACAGAGTCTCATTCTGTCACCCAGGCTGGAGTACAGTGGTGCTATCTCGGTTCGCTGCAACCTTTGACTCCGCGGTTCAAGCGATTCTCGCTCCTCAGCCTCCCGAGTAGCTGGGATTACAGGCACGCCCCCACGCCAGGCTAATATTTGTACTTTTAATAGGGACAGGATTTCACTATATTGGCCAGGATGGTCTTGAACTTCTGGCCTCAATTGATCTGCCCACTCGACCTCCCAAAGTGCTGGGATTATAGGCATGAGCCACGGCACCTGGCCAGCAAGGTCTGTAATCTAAAACAAACTTTTTTTTGGTTTCCTCTTTTTTTTTTTAAGATAGAATCTCACTGTGTTGCCCAGGCTGGAGTGCAGTGGCATGATTTCAGCTCACTGCAACCGCTGCCTCCCAGGTTCAAGTGATTCTCCTGCCTCAGCTTCCCGAGTAGCTGGGATTATAGGCGTGCACCACCATACCTGGCTAATTTTTTTTTTTTTTTTTTTTTGGTAAGCATTCAACAAATGTTAGTTTTAATAGGACTTAACATATAGCATTTTTTATTCTCAATCCACAATTATACATATTATACAGCATATATATGTGGCCTAGGGGTTACATATGTATTTTTAAATGTTTTATTACTTAAAGGATTGAGTATCAGTTTCCTATATAATAGAAACTGGGCATGCCAGTACACAGGCAATCCATGAAGCACTGTTCACACGTCTTGATTTTCAAAATAACCTTACAAGGTAAAATAGTAATATGCCCAATTGGTAGATAAGCAAACTGTATCTAGTGGCAAGTATTCATGAGTAAAAAGAATAGAGCACTCCTGACTTCAAGTCCGGTACTCTTTCCATTTACCGCCTCGCTCCTGAGTAGCTGTTAAGGGACATCTATCTTCTTTATATATATATATATATATATATATATATATATATTTTATACTTTAAGTTCTAGGGTACATGTGCACAATGTGCAGGTTTGTTACATATGTATACATGTGCCATGTTGGTGTGCTGCACCCATTAACTCGTCATTTACATTAGGTATATCTCCTAATGCTATCCCTCCCCCCTCCCCCCACCCCACAACAGGCCCCTGTGTGTGATGTTCCCCTTCCTGTGTCCATGTGTTCTCATTGTTCAATTCCCATCTATGAGTGAGAACATGCAGTGTTTGGTTTTTTGTCCTTGCGATAGTTTGCTGAGAATGATGGTTTCCAGCTTCACCCATATCCCTACAAAGGACATGAATGCATCATTTTTACGGCTGCATAGTATTCCATGGTGTATGTGCCACATTTTCTTAGTCCAGTCTATCATTGTTGGACATTTGTGTTGGTTCCAAGTCTTTGCTATTGTGAATAGTGCCGCAATAAACATACATGTGCATGTGTCTTTATAGCAGCATGATTTATATTCCTTTGGGTATATATCCAGTAATGGGATGGCTGGATCAAATGGTATTTCTAGTTCTAGATCCCTGAGGAATCGCCACACTGTCTTCTGCAATGGTTGAACTAGTTTACGGTCCCACCAACGGTGTAAAAGTGTTCCTATTTATCCACATCCTCTCCAGCACCTGTTGTTTCCTGACGTTTTAATGATTGCCATTCTAACTGGTGTGAGATAGTGGTTTTGATTTGCATTTCTCTGATGGCCAGTGATGATGAGCATTTTTTCATGTGTCTGTTGGCTGCATAAATGTCTTCTTTTGAGAAGTGTCTATTCATATCCTTTGCCCACTTTTTGATGGGGTTGTTTGTTTTTTTTCTTGTAAATTTGTTTGCGTTCTTTGTAGATTCTGGATATTAGTCCTTTGTCAGATGAGTAGATGGCAAAATTTTTCTCCCATTCTGTAGGTTGCCTGTTCACTCTGATGGTAGTTTCTTTTGCTGTGCAGAAGCTCTTTAGTTTAATTAGATCCCATTGTCAATTTTGGCTTTTGTTGCCATCGCTTTTTGTGTTTTAGACATGAAGTCCTTGCCCATGCCTATGTCCTGAATGGTATTGCCTAAGTTTTCTTCTAGGGTTTTTATGGTATTAGGTCTAACATTTAAGTCGTTAATCCATGTTGAATTAATTTTTGTATAAGGTGTAAGGAAGGGATTCAGTTTCAGCTTTCTACATATGGCTAGCCAGTTTTCCCAGCACCATTTATTAAATAGGGAATCCTTTCCCCATTTCTTGTTTTTGTCAGGTTTGTCAAAGATCAGATGGTTGTAGATGTGTGGTATTATTTCTGAGGGCTCTGTTCTGTTCCATTGGTCTATATCTCTGTTTTGGTACCAGTACCATGCTGTTTTGGTTACTGTAGCCTTGTAGTATAGTTTGAAGTCAGGTAGCATGGTGCCTCCAGCTTTTTTCTTTTGGCTTAGGATTGACTTGGCAATGTGGGCTCTTTTTGGGTTCCATGTGAACTTTAAAGTAGTTTTTTCCAATTCTGTGAAGAAAGTCATTGGTAGCTTGATGGGGATGGCATTGAATCTATAAATTACCTTGGGCAGTAAGTCCATTTTCACAATATTGATTCTTCCTATCCATGAGCATGGAATGTTCTTCCATTTGCTTGTGTCCTCTTTTATTTCGCTGAGCAGTGATTTGCAGTTCTCCTTGAAGAGGTCCTTCCCATCCCTTGTATTCCTAGGTATTTTATTCTCTTTGAAGCAATTGTGAATGGGAGTTCACTCATGATTTGGCTCCCTGTTTGTCTGCTATGGGTGTATAAGAATGCTTGTGATTTTTGCACATTGATTTTGTATCCTGAGACTTTGCTGAAGTTGCTTATCAGCTTAAGGAGATTTTGGGCTGAGACGTTGGGGTTTTCTAGATATACGATCATGTCATCTGCAAACAAGGACAATTTGACTTCCTCTTTTCCTAATTGAATACCCTTTATTTCCTTCTCCTGCCTGATTGCCCTGGCCAAAACTTCCAACACTATGTTGAATAGGAGTGGTGAGAGAGGGCATCCCTGTCTTGTGCCAGTTTTCAAAGGGAATGCTTCCAGTTTTTGGCCATTCAGTATGATATTGGCTGTGGGTTTGTCATAAATATCTCTTATTATTTTTAGATACTTCCCATCAATACCTAATTTATTGAGAGTTTTTAGCATGAAGTGTTGTTGAATTTTGTTGAAGACCTTTCTGCATCTATTGAGATAATCATGTGGTTTTTGTCTTTGGTTCTGTTTATATGCTGGATTATGTTTATTGATTTGCCTATGTTGAAGCAGCCTTGCATCCCAGGGATGAAGGCCACTTGATCATGGTGGATAAGCTTTTTGATGTGCTGCTGGATTTGGTTTGCCAGCATTTTATTGAGGATTTTTGCATCAATGTTCATCAGGGATATTGGTCTAAAAATATCTTTTTTTGTTGTCTCTGCCAGGCTTTGGCATCAGGATGATGCTGGCCTCATAAAATGAGGGAGGATTCCCTCTTTTTCTACTGATTGGAATAGTTTCAGAAGGAATGGTACCAGCTCCTCCTTGTACCTCTGGTAGAATTCGGCTGTGAATCCGTCTGGTCCTGGACTTTTTTTGGTTGTTAAGCTATTAATTATTGCCTCAATTTCAGAGCCTGTTATTGGTCTATTAAGAGATTCAAATTCTTCCTAGTTTAGTCTTGGGAGGGTGTATGTGTCCAGGAATTTATCCATTTCTTCTAGATTTTCTAGTTTATTTGAGTAGAACACCTGGCTAATTTTTGTATTTTTAATAGACATGAGGTTTCACCATGTTGGCCAAGCTGGTCTCAAACTCCTGGCCTCAAGTGATCCGCCCACCTCAGCCTCCCAAAGTGCTGGAACTACACGCGCAAGCCACTGCACCCAGCCTGTTTCTTTATAAATGTATTTGTCTCTTTCCTTCACCAGCCCCTAGTGACAAAGACTACTTCTGTCTTGTCAACTCTGGAATCTCTGGCCTCCAGCATAAGGTAGAACCTACATCAGGGACTCAACAACTATTAAGGGGAGGAATGAAACAAGAAAATAAGGAAAGCAGGGAGGGAGGGAAGGAAAAAGAAAGGGAGGGAGGGAGGGGCGAAGGAAGAAAGGAAGGAAGGAAGGAAGGAAAGAAGGAAGGAAGGATGGAAGGGAAACCAGAGATTCCCCAGGCAAGTGAGGTGGGAAGAGCATTCCAGGCAGGCAACTATGTGCAAAGGCTCAGAGGTCAACAGGACTGACTACATAATTTGTAGGGCCCAGTGCAAAGTGAAAATGCAGGCTTCCTTACTCAAATGTTACTAAGAATTTCAAGACAGCTACCACAGAGCATTAAACCAAATGTGGGCTTTTCTGAGAGCGGGGGCCCTTTGTGATTGCACAGGTTACCTGCCCACGAAGCCCTCCTTTGAAGACAAGCATAATGAATGATCAGCAGTCGGGTAGAGCTTGCCTCTCTCAATCCACACCTTGGTCAGAAGAGGTAGTCAATGTGACCTCTAGCAACCACACCATGTTTCCTAACAGCTGAAGCCAGTTTCCCAGAAGAGAACAGAGCCCATGTAAGGGTGTTCTTCCAAATTTGATGTTGATATTAAGAAATACCTAAGGACATGTTTTTTCGGTATAGGCTGCACAACACATTGCTTGGTGAAAGCTTGCTAAAACTCTCAGCAAGCCCCAAACAGAGCTGCAGTGTGTGGAGTTCTGGATCAAAGCCTGCCTGCTGAAAGTAGAAAGTACTGAGTTTCTACTAATGAGGCCCATTCAGCGTCTAGTCAAATCTTTCTCTATTCTGTGCCTGGCGAACACGGCAATTTGTTATCAACCCACAGAGTGAGCTGCAGATAAATGCTCTCTGATCCTATCTTTGGTAAAACCTGTAATTTACAGGCTATCTTAGGGGATAACTGTAATTGGAACTTTTACGTTATGTTTTACTTTCAGTTGTGATCACCCACAGCTCCATTTGCTTAGATACATCTAAAGGGCACCTGTACTTGGGTCTAGTTTTGACCTTGTACTTGGTGTGAGTGTGTGTGACTGCATGTGAGTGTGTGTTCATACATACACACATACCCTTTTGTGAAATTCGCACATATATAAATATGAAATGGGTAACTACTTTATTTGCTTTGTTTCTGTTAAGCCTAGAGAAAGCTGGTAATCCCAGAGACACTGGAAATACCATTTCCATATAGAGCCAGTAATCTCATTATTAGGTTTATACCCAAAGGATTATAAATCATTCTACTAAAGACACATGCACGTATATGCTTATTACAGCACTATTTACAATATCAAAGACTTGGAACCAACCCAAATACCCATCAATGATACACTGGATAAAGAAAACGTGGCACATATATGCCATGGAATACTATGCAGCCATAAAAAAGAATGAGTTCATATCTTTTGCAGGGACATGGATGAAGCTGGAAGCCATCATTTTCAGCAAACTAACACAGGAACAGAAAACCAAACACCACATGTTCTCACTCATAAGTAGGAGTTGAACAATGAGAACGCATGGACAGGGGGAGGGAAAAATCACATACTGGGGCCTGTCGGGGGTGGGGGACAAGGGGAGGGAGGGCATTAGGACAAATACCTAATGCATGTGGGGCTTAAAACCTAGATGATGGGTTGACAGGTGGAGCAAACCACCATGGCACATGTATACCTATGTAACAAAGCTGCATGTTCTACACATGTATTCCAGAACTTAAAATAAAATTATATATATATAATATATGTATATATTATATGTGTATATATACATATATTATAATATATGTATATATTATAATATATGTATATATTATACATATATTATAATATATGTATATATTATATATAATATATATATATATGTTAGTTTATAATGGTCTCCTTCAGGAATGGAAAAGAAAAGTAAAGAAAGTTTCATCTACTAGGCATTTTCTTACCATGTTAATCTCTCTCATATACGTGATCTCATGAATTCTTCACAAGAACCTGAGAGATGGCTACTATGACAATTCATTTAATTTCATGTGTCAACTTGACAGGGTCAGGGGATCTCCAGAGAGCTGGCTAAGCATTGTTTCTGGGTGTGTGGGTGAAAGTGTTCCTGGAGGTGATTTGTATCTGAATTGGTAGACTGGGTAAATATCACCCTGTCCAGTGCAGGTGAGCATCACTTAGCCTACTGAAGGCCTGAATAGATCAAGAAGGCAGAAGACAATTGGATTTGCTCCCTCTCTTCCTGGCTGCTGGAGCTCAATTGAACTTCCCCTGCCCTCAGCACGCCTAATTCTCAGAACTCAGGCTAGCATTGGAATCTATACCAAGACTCTCAGACTTTCCAGCGACACCACCAGCTTTCCTAGGTCTCCAGCTTGCAGACAGCAGATCGTGGGACTTTCCAGCTGCCATAACCATGTGAGCTCAATCCTCATAATAAATCTCTTTTTAGCAATAAGAAAGATAGATAGATAGATAGATAAGATAGATAAATATCACCTCAGAATTGTAGTTGAGAAATCTGTAACTCTAAAACCCATACAGGCCGGGCTTGATGGCTCACGCCTGTAATCCCAACACTTTGGGAGGCTAAGGTAGGTAGATCGCTTGAGCCTAGGAGTTCAAGACCAGCCTACGCAGCATGGCGAAACCCAATCTCTACAAAAAAATATTGAAATTAATGGGGCTTGGTGACACATGCTTATAGTCCCAGCTACTTGGGAGGCTGAGGTGGGATGATGGCTTGAGCCCAGGAGGTTGAGGCTACAGTGAGCCAGGATCATGCCACTGTACTTACAGTCTGGGAGATAGAGAGAGACCCTGTCTCAAAAAAATAAAATAATAAATAAGTAAATAAAACCCATATGATTTTCATGAAACCACATTTCTTCTTGAAGAGAGTAAAAAAGGGATGAAAGAAAAATGGAGTTATATTCTTTTCCTTGAGGATAAAAAAAAGTACACTGAAAACTATCCCATGGCTTAGGAATTAGCCTAGACTCAACTGCCTATTTTGTTGGCAGCTAAAATCTCATCTTCTTCTACTTGTTCAACCTCAGAGAATCAATCAACAATCAGGCAGCCATTGTATTAATAGCTGTTATAAGCCATAGTAATGGAAAATTCAAAAGAATAATAGTTTGGACTGTGTATGGTTTCAGAAGGTATTTTTTACTACTTTTACTGTTAGGAATGACTAGAAAATCATTCCCAGCACCTCCAGCAAACTATTGACTCCACACTAGCCTTCAATTCTTGAGAAAAGAGTGTGAACTAAGGTCACTTGGGGCTCCACTTTCTTTTTCTTTTCTTTTTTTTTTTTGAGACGGAGTCTGGCTCTTGTCCCCCAGGCTGGAGTGCAGTGGCATGATCTCGGCTCACTGTAACCTCCGCCTCCCGGATTCAAGTGATTCTTCTGCCTCAGCTTCCCAAGTAGCTGGAACTACAGGCATGCGTCACCATGCCCAGCTAATTTTTGTATTTTTAGTAGAGACAGGGTTTCACCATGTTGGCCAGGATTGTCTCGATTTCTTGACCTTGTGATCCACCCACCTTGGCCTCCCAAAGTGTTGGGGTTACAAGCATGAGCCACCGCACCCAGCCAGGGGATCCACTTTCATGGTGGTGCACTCACATGGGTGGTAGGTAGGTTGGTGCCAGCTGTCAGCTGGGAGCTGTGCTGGGACTGTGTGCTGGGAGCCTGGGTTTTGCCATAGCTTTATTGGGTTTCCTTGCGGCATGGTAGCTCGGGTTTTTTTGTTTTTTGTTTTTTGTTTTCATGGGGTCTCTCTCTGTGGCCCAGGCTGCAGTACAGTGGTATGATGATGGCTCACTGTAGCCTCAACCTCCTGGGTTCAGGTGATCCTCCCACCTCAGCCTCCTGAGTAGCTGGGACTACAGGTGCATACCAGCACACCTGGCCAATTTTTGTACTTTCTATCACAATGGGGTTTCACAATATTGCCCAGGCCAGGTTAGTTCAGTTCTAAGAATGAGTGGCCCAAGAGCTCCAGAGAGGCACTTTGTTACGCTTTATGACCCAGCCCCAGAAGTCATAGTATCACTTTTTTTGTAGTCACAAGCCCAGCTAGATTCAGAGGGAACATTGAATCTACCTGTCAGTGGAAGGAAAACCAACCCACACTGCAAAAAGAGATGAGAGACTTTCTTAAGGCCATTTTTGGGAAGTACAGTTTGCCACAGAGTGGTAGTAACGAGTTAAACATTTTATGAATAATATGTGTTTAGATGCCTGGTAGAGTACCTGGCATGTAGCAGAGACCCAATTTGTGGTGGCTGGTTTACACACGGATATGGAACCAAGGCTAGTCAGAATCTCAGGGGAGGCCTTCAACAGGTCAACAGGTATTCAGGGTCCAGTGATTTTCAGATAGCCTATTTTGCGGTGATCTGGATCACCCTTGCTCTCACCTCACAATCATAATAAAGAGTGTGACCGTCCTGACATTTTGCTTTCTGTATTGCTCTCCTTTTCCGTCAGTTCATAACCCACATATTTGGTCGATCATGAGAATGACCAGAGACAGGCAACACTGTAGCATTGTTTAGTCACATCCCATTTGTCTCATGGCTGGGTCTATCCAAACTGTCTTGTATAGGTTGGCTCCAACACAGTTTGTCTACAGTGTGTGAAAGTGGATGTTAGTGATAAGACAGGATGTGAACTTGACCTACTGTCAGTCAAATAGGAGGTTTTGGCATGGAGCGCTTCTGAGCCACTCCGTCTCAGCTGTAGAGATGCCAGTATAGCAACAGAGCTTCTCTGTTCAACTGATTTGGAGCTGGAAAGAACCCTCGAAAAGGGCCAGAGACAGAACGGCACTTGCCCAAGGTCATAGAGGGATTTAATGTCAGAGTCATGAATTAGAGCAGGGTTTCCCAGCCTCACCACTATTCACATTTTATTTATTTATATGTTTTTAAATATAAACAAAATGGGCTCAGAGGGTAACTATTGATATTTATTTATTTATTATTTTAAGATGGAGTCTTACTCTGTTGCTTATGCTGGAGTGCAGTGGCGCGATCTCAGTTCACTGCAACCTCCACCCACCGGGTTTAAGTGATTCTCCTGCCTCAGCCTCTCATGTAGCTGGGATTACAGGCAGGTGCCACTACACCCAGCTAATTTTTGTATTTTTTTTTAATTTTTATTTATTTATTTTTTTGAGACGGAGTCTTGCTCTGTCGCCCAGGCTGGAGTGCAGTGGCACGATATCAGCTCACTGCAAGCTCCGCCTCCTGGGTTCACGCCATTCTCCTGCCTCAGCCTCCCAAGTAGCTGGGACTACAAGCGCCCACCACCACGCCCTGGCTAATTTTTTGTATTTTTAGTAGAGACGGCGTTTCACCATGTTAGCCAGGATGGTATCGATCTCCTGACCTCGTGATCCGCCTGCCTCGGCCTCCCAAAGTGCTGGGATTACAGGCGTGAGCCACTGCGCCCAACAATTTTTGTATTTTTAGTAGAGATCAGGTTTCACCATTTTGGCCAGGATGGTCTTGAACTCCTGGCCTCAAGTGATCCACTGGCCTCGGCCTCCCAAAGTGTTGGGATTACAGGCGTGAGCCACCGCTCCCAGCCACTACTGACATTTAGACCAGAAAATTCTTTGTTATGAGAGGGCTGTCCTGTGCATTGCAGAATAGTTAGAAGCATCCCTGGCCTCTATATATCAAATGCTGTTAGCATCATTTTCTCCATTTGTAATGGCCAAAAATACCTTTGGATACTGCCAAATGTCTCCTGGGGCCAGGGTTGGGGGATTACCTACAATAGAGAACCACTGGACTAAAATTCAGGTCCTCTAGTTGCTTGTAAATCTATCCAGCTAAAATATTATTTTGCTAAAAATTTATAAAGACCAAATTCAGATGCTGAATTGGTAGGGCTTTACTGTAGAAAGAAAACACACACACACGAAAAGACAAGTTAAAATATAGAATCGTCTACGAGATAACAGGCCTGATTTCTCCAAAAAGTCAAAGTCATGAAAAAAAGGAGGCAGGAATGACTCTTGGAGATTAAAAGAGACTCATGACCTTGTCCTTGATTGGACCTGGTTTTAGAAAAACATAGCTAGAAAAGATATTTGAGAGACAGTTGGAAAAATTTGATTATGCTATTATTGTTTAATTTTTTTAAGTGTGGATATCTTGTTGTGGTTGAGAGAATGTCCTTGTTTTGGGGACATGCATGTTGAAATATTTAGCGATAATCTGTAACTTACTCTGAAATAAATATCTCAGCCATGAAAAGTAATCAAATATGAGGAAATGTTAATAATTAATGAATCTACATTGTAGATCTGTAATATTCTTTTTTCTGTATGTGTGAAAATGTTTTTAAAATAATGTGAATAATATAAATAAAATAAAGGTAAAATTAGAAGAAAAAAATTGAAGTTTTCTGAAGTTCACAAAGATGTTCATTGCAGCAATGTACATAATAGAAAAAAAATCAGAAGCAACCCTAACTATTTATCCCTAAGCAACTCCTAAGCACGGTTAAATAAATTCTGGTATTCTAGATGAGGTAGAATACATGCAACATTTACAAAGAGAAAGACACAGACATCTTTTTTTTTTTTTTGAGACAGAGTCTTTCTCTGTCACTCAGGCTGGAGTGCAGTGGAGTGATCTCAGCTCACTGCAACCTCCATATCCTGGGTTCAAGCAATTCTCATGCTTCAGCCTCCCATTGGCTGGGATTACAGGCATGCACCACCACACTTGGCTAATTGAAAGATACAAACCTCTGTTGACAAGCCTGAATGTGCAAACAGGAGTGAAAATATTATGAATCAATAATGACTGTCAAGAGTTTCCCTCATCCTGGGACATCAGTTTTCATGAGGGCAGCCGGAGTTACCAACTCTAATTCTCAGATTGGCAATCGGTAGCTGTGATGCAGCAGCTCTGTGGATGCTGAGCCATCCAGGATGAGACCATACGTGATGGAAATGTAAATCTCAGCCCAGTGATGATCTATACTGCAAGAAATACCACTTTCTTTATTTTCTGAATATTGACTTTGCATTAAACTTCCATTCCATTGGGATAGTAAAATTCCCACCTCTGGAAATGTAGCATTTCCTTTTTCTCAGGATCTGTCTCTCTGGAGGAGATTTTGGGTTAAACCATCTAACATGGCATATATATATTTAAATATAATATAATATAATATATAATTTAATTAATATATAATATATTAATTTATATATAACATATAAATATATATTTTAAAATATATATTTAAATTATATATATATTTTTTTTCTTTTTTTTTTTTTAAGAAAGAGTCTTGCTTTCTCACCCAGGCTTAAGTGCAGTGGTGCAATCACAGCTCACTGCTGCCTTCACCTCCTGGGCTCAAATAATCCTTGTGCCTCAGCCTCCAGAGTAGCTGGGACTGCAGGTGCAAGCCACCATGCCCGGCTAATTTTTATATTTATAGTAGAGACAGGGTTTTGTCATGTTGGCCAGGCTGGCCTCCAACTCCTGTGCTCAAGTGATTCACCTTCTTCAGCCTCACAAAGTGCTAGGATTACAGGCATGAGCCACCACGCATGAAAAAATGGCCAGTATGTTTAACCTTCCAAAATTCCAACTTCATACAGTTTAATCTAAAACATAGGACCATGTTCATTTGAATGGGGATGGGGAAGGGACTGAGGAGAGGGAAAATGGAATAGAACTGGATGTCCTAATATGGATGGCTTTCCAAGACAAATTCATTATTGAGAATGTGTACATACATATGCAAACAGATAGGCTGCCGACCACTGAGTGAAAATAGCTTATAATAATATAAGAAGGCTGGGCACAGTGGCTCACACCTATAATCTCACCCCTTTGGGAGGCTAAGGTGGGAGGATTGCTTGAGCCCAGGAGCTCAAGACCAGGTTGGGCAACGTGGCAAGACCCCGTCTCTACAAAATTAAAGAAAAGAAATTAGCCAAGCATGGTGGTGTTCACCTGTAGTCCTAGCTACTTGGGAGGCTGAGGCAGGAGAATCACTTGAGCCCAGGTGTTTGAGGCTGTAGAGAGCTATGCTCTTCAGCTTGAATGATGGAGTTAGGCCCTGCCTCCAAAAACAAAATAATAATAATAATATAAGAAAGGCACACATGGAACAAGGCTATGTATTTTCTTGAGTGTTTGTGTATGTGTGTATATAAAAAATATATGTATAGATGTGTTATACATATACACGAACATGTATATATATTTTATATTTAAAATGGTGGAAAATATAAAATCCAAATGGACCACAATGACTGCCTTGGGGAATCAGAGATTTGTAGTGAGTGCTGTAATGTGCTGTTCAAATTAGTCCGTCATGACCAAGACAGTGATTACCTCAGCTGGCAGCAGTGCTGCTCGCTGCCTTCCAGTCTGAGCTGACTTCTCCAAGGTTCTGCCCCTTCTCCAGGGGCAGCCTACCTCCAGGAGTGCCAAGGCAAAGTCCCCTTGCCCCAACTATGAACCTCTCCAAAGGACCATCTCAGTGGCAGAGCTCCCTGTGGGGTTGGCTAAGGCCTCTGAGACCCATGTTAATCCCAAAGGCACTGCCTAATAATCCTCCTGCATGCATATCTGCATCTTGTTTGTTTGGGTTTTTTTTTGTTTTTTTTTTTTTTTTTTTTTTTTTTTTTTTTTTTTGAGACGAGTCTCCCTCTGTCACCCAGGGGCTGGAGTGCAGTGGAGCTATCCCGGCTCACTACAAGCTCCGCCTCCCGGGTTCACGCCACTCTCCTGCCTCAGCCTCCCGAGTAGCTGGGACTACAAGTGCCGCCACCACGCCCGGCTAATTTTTTTGTATTTTTAGTAGAGACGTGGTTTCACCGTGTTAGCTAGGATGGTCTCGATCTCCTGACCTTGTGATCCACCCGCCTCAGCCTCCCAAAGTGCTGGGACTACAGGCATGAGCCACCGCACCTGGCCGGGTTTTTTTGTTTTTTTTTTTTTAGATATAGTCTTGCTCTGTCATCCAGGCTGGAGTGCAATAGCACGATCTCGGCTCACTGCAACCTCCGCCTCCCAGGTTCAAGCGATTCTCCTGCCTCTGCCTCCCAAGTAGCTAGGATTATAGGAGTGCGCCACCATGCCTGGCTAATTTTTTGTATTTTTAATGGAGACAGGGTTTCTCCATGTTGGTCAGGCTGGTCTCGAACTCCCGACCTCAGGTGATCTCCCCACATCAGCCTCCCAAAGTGCTGGGATTACAGGCGTGAGCCACCGCACCCAGCCTGATTTAGCTTCTAAAATTGTACTGCTGACTGGGCGTGGTGGCTCTCATCTGTAATCCCAACACTTTGGGAGGCCAAGTTGGGAGGATCACCTGAGGTCGGAAGTCCGAGACCAGCCTGACAAACATGGTGAAAAACCATCTCTACTAAAAAGACAAAAAATTAGCCTGGCGTGGTGGTGCACGCTACTCGGGAGGCTGAGACAGGAGAATTGCTTGAACCGGGGAGGCAGAGGTTTTGGTGAGCTGTGATCATGCCATTGCACTCCAGCCTGGGCAACAGGAGTGAAACTCCATCTCAAAAAAAAAAAAAAAAAAAAACAGCTAAATCAGCACCATTACTGCTTACTCACAAGCATTTAATGGCTTGTATCTTACCGAATGCAGTCTTGTGCCTCACGCAACATTGTCCTCCAGCCCCTACACAATGTGGTGCTCCATTACTCTGTGACCTTAGTGCTGCTTCTCTCTCACTAGGTCTTTCTGTACCACTCCTACTGGCATCATTGCTGCCCCTCCAGCCTGCTAGGCAAACTCCCATCTCAGGGCTTTTGCACTTACTCTTCCTTCCACCTGAAAGATTCTTATGCTAAATATTCACATGACTCACTCCCTCACTTCGCCTAGACTTTAAATAATATTACTATCTCTGTAAAGTCTTCCTCAATCTCCCTAATTAAATTTGTAAAGGCCAGGTGTGGTGGCTTGCTCCTGTAATCCCAGCACTTTGGGAGGCTAAGGCTAAAGGATCTCTTGAGGCCAGGAGTTTGAGACCAGCCTGGGCAGCATAGCTAGATCCTGTCTCTACAAAAAATTTAAAAATTAGCTGGTTGTAGTGGCATATGCCTGTAGTGCTAGCTTCTCAGGATGCTTAGGTGGGAGGTTCCCTGGAGCCCAGGAGGTTGAGGCTGCAATGAACAGTGATCATGTCACTGCACTCAGCCTGGGTGACAGAGCAAGATCCTATTTAAAAAAAAAAAAAATGTAGATCACTGTGTGAAGTTCTCCCATTTCACTGATGAGAAACTGCGACCTTGAGAGGCAGGTGTCTAGTTTAATAACGCAGGAGGAGCAGAAAACAGATGTCCCTTTTCTTGGCACTTCTCACCACAGCTTCTGTCTTTAGTATATGTAATTTTTTTTAGGAGCCAAGAAATTCCATGATGGCAATTTAAAAAGCAATCAGCTTCTTTGTGTTTGACCAATGACGGATGAGCACATGGTTTTGTTTGCTATAGATAAACTGAGTTGATCAAGACATCAAAGACTTCCTGCTGGATGGGCCAGTCCAACCGGCTTATGGTATTTAGAGTTGATGTCAATGCATTAAAAAAGGTAATAAATTAACCCCATTATTCTTGGCCATTTATAAGAAACTGCTCCTGCTTGGGAGAACCTGTGCTTCTGGTTCTGGACTAAGAATTGCTCAACCTGGACCTCATTAATAGGGCAAGAGCTCAGAAGAGCATCCATCTGGCTTGGATTACCTTCAAGGATGGAGAAAATGGAGCATTATTCTCTAGTTAATACTGAAAACACCCAGTATAATGCATGGTAACTAGTAAGCTCTCAAAAAACATCTGCTGAATCTAAATTAAAAACAGCAACAATGACAAAACCTTTCTAAAATGTTTTGCTTAGGCTAGAGGCCGGGGCTCATGCCTTAATCCCAGCACTTTGGGAGGCCGAGGCAGGTGGACCACCTGAGGTCAGGAGTTCAAGACCAACCTGGCCAACATGGAGAAACCCCATCTCTACTAAAAATACAAAAGTCAGCTGTTCATGGTGGTTCACACCTGTAGTCCCAGCTACTCGGGAGGCTGAGGCAGGAGAATTGCTTGAACCCAGGAGGCAGAGGTTGCAGTGAGCCAAGATCGCACCACTGCACTCCTGCCTGGGCTATGGAGCGAGACTCCATCTCAAAATATATATGTATATATTTGCCTCATTTTTGTTATAATATAGTGGTTATAATTATGAACTCTGGAATAAGCTGAGTGATCTTAAATAAACCACTGAAACTTTAGGTACCTCAATTTCCTCTTTGACAAAATGGGATTAATAATAGTGTTTACCTCATAGGTTGTTGTGAGAATTCAGTGTGGTAACCCACAAAAAGCACTTAGACCAATGTCTGGCACGTGACAAACTCTATGTAAGTTTTGCTATAATGTCTCCCTATGTGCCAATTAGTTTATTCAACCAATGTGTACCAGGCACCCTACTTTGGGTGCTAAGCTCTGTGCTGGCTCTCAGGAATACAAAAATGCAAAGACATGGTTTCTGTGTTCCTGTAGCCCACAGCCATGGCAGATACTGCTAACTGGGAATCAACAGACCATTACATTTGTGAGCACATGTTGGTGTATATTTTTCGAAAGTGGAGAACTCACTGTCTTCATTATTTGCTCAAAGGGATCCATGACCACTCCACAAGCAGATTTTTAAAACCTGGTTAAGGACCACCTTAATTTTGTTATAAATATTGTTATTGTTATATTGTTATAAATAAAGCAGAGGCCGGGCACGGTGGCTCACGCCTGTAATCCCAGCACTTTGGGAGGCTGAGGCAGGCAGATCACTTGAGGTCAGGAGTTGGAGACCAGCCTGGCCAACATGGTGAAACCCCATCTCCACTAAAAACACAAAAATTAGCCAGATGTGGTAGCAGACACCTGTGATCCCGGCTACTAGGGAGGCTGAGGCACTAGAATCGCTTGGACCTGGGAGGTGGAGGTTGCAGTGAGCCAGGATCATGCCACTGGTCTCCAACCTGGAGACAGGGCAAGACTCCGTCTCAAAAAAAAGAAAAAAAAAAAGATAGAGTGAGATATGGGTGGGATGGAGTAGATTAGAATGTGTGTCAGAGACTACCAGCTGTGCACCCATCTCTTTCCCTCTTCTTTGGGTACACTGTATGTCACTGAGTTCTGGCAAAAGGAATGTGGATGAATGTAATGGGAATCACTTCCAGGTCTGGCCTATAAACCCCCACCCCACCCCATGCTCACTCCTCCACAGACTTTTCCCCTTTAGGCTGTTTGGAATGGTGACCCCAGGGGAACTTGGAAGCCACACGTTGAAGATGAAGAGTTGTCAGCAACCTAGAGCCCTGAATGACTGCCTGGAAGAGCTGCCTCACCACCTGAGCATCTGTGTTAGACCAGCGGGACATTCGCTAAAGCAATTAAAACATATTTTATTCAATACTACTCACAGTCAGGGAAAGACCTGAGCTCCATTCTAATTTGTGCCCAGGTATCTGGGCATTTTAAAGGGAGAAGGAGGGATGGGGGATGGCAGGGCTTGAAATGAGTTAGGGAAGTGAAAAATTACAAAGAGCAGGAAGGGAAAAGGGCTTGGCCCATGTGACTGAGACTAGCACAGGACCCTATCTTCAGGTGTTGGCTGGAACAAACAGTAAGTTCTTTGAATTTTGTAGGCAGGCACTTTCAGGGTGGGCTCAAATCGTGCTGGGGAGGCATCCTCGTGCTGTTAGAACCATGTTAGTGTGTTTCCAAGGCTTTTTTTTTTTCTTTTTTTCAGAGACAGGGTCTCACTCTGTTGCCCAGGCTGGAGTGCAGTGGTGCAATCACAGCTCACTACAGCCTTGAATTCTTAAGCTTAAGTGATCCTCCCACCTCAACCTCCTGAGTACCTGACACCACAAGTGCACACCACCATGTCTGACTAGTTTTTTAAAAAATATTTTTGTGAGATGGGGTCTCCCTCTGTTTCTTGGGCTGGTCTTGAACTGCTGGGCTCAAGTAATCCTACTTCCTCGGCCTTCCAAAGTGCTGGGATTACAGGCGTGCACCACCATGCCCAGCCTGTCCAAGTCTTTTTAGGCTGAGGTTAAGACCTGGTAAGAGATTGGTCAAGAAGAGAATCTTTGCTATCACCCTATTGGGCTTATTCCATTAGTTTACAAATGAAGCCCAGGAAATACTAATGTAGATGGGTCCCAGCAAGAATTTAAGTACTGGTAATTCTTAACAAATGTTTATGAAGAGTTTATTATGTACCAAACTCCCTACCACACCTACATCCACAATCTTCACACCTACATCCACAATCTTCACACCTACATCCACAATACCACATCTACATCCACAATCTTCATTTGCTCCTCTATTTGCAAGATCTTGTCTTTACAAAAAAAATTTTAAAAATCATTAGCCAGGTATGGTGGTGTGTTCCTGTGGTCCCAGCTACTCAGGAGGTTGAGGTGGGAGCATCACTTGAGCCCAGGAGTTTGAGGCTGCAGTGAGCTAGGATTGCACTATGCACTCCAGTCCGGGTGACAGACTGAGACCCTGTCTCAAAATATAATAATAAATTAAACAAACAAACAAACAAACAAACAAATAAGTAATCTGGCCGACGCAGATACTGAACGTTGGTTAACACAATCCCAATTCCTAATCCCTTTCCTCCTTGACTGCTTTTGCTACAGAGGTTGGAAAACTCCAACACTTGCTATCCCAGCTTTACTTGCAGCTAGCAGAGGCCATATGAGAGCTCTAGCCAATGAGGCTGAATGTTTTACCACGGGTTGGTTGGAAGGTTTTTGCTTTTTCTGGCAAACAGGACATACTTGGTTTAGGCTGCTTCTTTTACTTATTCCTGCTTTAACCATGGATTTGATGCCCAAGACCAAGAATATGCTGCTCTGACAATACTAAGCTCAAACAATAAAGAGTATTGTTTTTTACATAAGAAGAGGAAAAATGATCTCTTCTTTTATCTCTCACTTACAATTGTCTAAGTTTTCCCAGAAGCTCCCCAATAGCTTTCCTTTCACATGCCATTGGCCAGAATTGGATCAGCTGAGCCCATTCCTGAATTGATCACTAAGAAAGGAAGTAGAATCACATGCTAGGCTTAGACTGATCACTGGGTAGAATGGATACTGGAGCATCAATCAAAGCATGCCCTATAGCAGGTAAATGTGATCACAAGACAAATAATGACTTTCTGAATATAAAAACCATAGGAATAAATAACAAATTAAATGACTGGTGAATATGAGCTTATTGACATTAAAGCAAATTTATAAAACCACTCATAAACAAAAGGAAAAGGCAAATAAGACATCAGGGATATATTTTTGCAATTTACATGGCAAATAAAGTGTTAATATCTCATAAGTCACTTCTAAAAATTCACCTTAAGGAAATCATTAAGGTCATATGCAATGATTTAGTCACAAAGATGTTTGTAACAGAACTGTGTTTAATAACGGAAGTTTGCAAGCAAGATGAATTCCTAGCAATAAGGTACTGGTTAGGTAAAATATGATACAAACCTACAATGGAATGCAACAGGACTATTGAAAAACAACGTTGCAGAAATATATGTACCGTTATGAAAAGATGATTGTGATGTGTTATTAAGTGGCAAAATCAGAATACAAATAATGCACATGGTTTGTTTCTATATACCTGAAGAAAAATGTAGGAGTATGTGTGTGTGTATTTGTGTGTAATTATGTAGAAGGATGTGTATTCCAGAGTTAACAATGGCCATTTCTGATGGATTTGTTGACTTTTCTTTTTCTTTCTTTCTTTTTTTTTTTTTTTTTTGAGACAGAGTCTCGCTCTGTCACCCAGGCTGGAGTGCAATGGCACAATCTCGGCTCATTGCAACCTCCGCCTCCCAGGTTCAAGCGATTCTCCTGCCCTCAGTCTCTCAAGTAGCTAGGATTATAGGCACCCACCACCACGCCCAGCTAATTTTTGTATTTTTAGTAGAGATAGGGTTTCACCATGTTAGTCAGGCTGATCTTGAACTCCTGACCTCAGGCGATCCACCCACCTCAGCCTCCCAAAGTGCTGGGATTACAAGCACCGCTCCCGGATATATTTGTTGATTTTTTAAACTAGTGAGCATTCAGGTTGCATTTGTAATAAAATAAACAAGTAAAGGAACTTAATTTAGGGAACATGTATCAAAAAGTAAATGAGCATCTCAACAGCAAAGTGGTCAATGGGCCTAAGGAAAATATGTTCATAAAATAAAGTACAATGAGCCAATGATCAGGTGTGTAAGAATTTATTCTTGGTAATAAATCAGTATGTAATTAAAACAAGAATGTAATGTCTCTCTTTTTATTCCCAATCCATTGAACTGGAATGCTTTCCCCGCATGAAAAGAATAGAGCCTGGTTGGGAGTACAGGGAAATGTACAAGTTCACAGGTAAAACTGTGCTGAAGAACAATTTGTCAATAGGTAGACATTCAAAAATGCCAATTTTCTTTTGTCTGAGTTATTATTATTATTATTATTATTTTTATTTTTGAGATGGAGTCTCACTCTGCTGCCCAGGCTAGAATGCAGGGGTGCCGTCTCGGCTCACTGCAACCTCTGCCTCCCAGGTTCATGCAATTCTCCTGCCTCACCTCCTGAGTAGCTGGGATTACAGGCACAGGCCACCACACCAAGCTAATTTTTTTTTCTTTTTTTTTTTTTTTTTTAGTAGAGATGGGATTTCACCATGTTGTCCAGGCTGGTCTCAAACTTCTGACCTCAGGTGATCAGACTGCCTCGGCCTCCCAAAGCGCTGGGATTATAGGTGTGAGCCACTGCACCTGGCCCTGGTCTAGGCAATTATTTTTAAATTATTTTTATTTTTATTTTTTGAGACAGGATCTCACTCTGTCACCCAGGCTGTAGTGCAGTAGTGTGATCATAGCTCACTGCAGCCTTGACCTCCTTGGGCTCAGGTGATCCTCCTACTCAGACTCCCCAGTAGCTGGGACTACAGGCTTGCACCAGCATGCCTGGCTAATTTTTGTACTTTTTGTAGAGATGGGGTTTTGCCATGTTGCCCAGTCTGGTTTCAAAATCCTGGCTCAGGTGATCTTCCCGCCTCACCTTCTCAAAGTGCTGGGATTACAAGCATGAGCCATCATGCCTGGTCTGATTTTTTTTTTTTTTTTTTTTTTTTTTTGAGACTGAGTCTCTATCTGTTGCCCAGGCTAAAGTGCACTGGTGCGATATCAGCTCACTGCAACCTTCACCTCCCGGGTTCAAGCGATTCTCCTGCCTCAGCCTCATGAGTAGCTGGGATTACAGGCTTGCACCACCAAGCCCAGATGGTTTTTTGTGTTTTTAGTGGAGACGGGGTTGCACCATGTTAGCCAGGCTGGTCTTACACTCCTAACCTCAGGAGATCCACCTGCCTCAATCTTACGAAGTGTTGGGATGGTGGGAGAATAAAAATGATCAATGTGGTTCCAGGAAGCACTGATTCATTAGGAGCTGGCTTTCTTTGTCTCTGTTGCTTGAAATAAAACTAGTCTTGGCTTCCTGTCACCTCAGGGGCAGCTGTGCTGTAGAAGACACAGGTGACTTGTTCCTGGTTCTGCCACTTGCTGATTTGCTTAGACAAGACTTCTTTGGGCCTCGGCTTGCCTGTGTGACTTGACAAGTGAGAATTATAATAATGTCCCTGCCCGGGAGCTGTTCAGAGGCTGAAGAGGAAGACCAGACTCAGTAAAGCCTGGAGGCTGCCAGGTAGGGCTGGGGCCAGCATGACCTGAGTCCTAGCAGGAGAAGAAGAGGCAGCCTAGAGTCTTCTGTGAAGTGCACATAGAAGAGAGACTGGGGCCAAGCCACAAAAGATAGAATGCACAGCTGGGCCCTAAAGAAGGATTTTCTAAGAGAAAAGAAAAAGCCAATGAGACAGGACAGCTAGATACTGTGTGGTTAGAGTGAGACAAGAAAAATCTGCATCTTCATAAGATAAATCCGGAGAGACTATTGAGAGTCTATTAGTGGCAGAGAATTGAATTCAGAGGGGCCAGTTGTGCTGCTGCAGAATCCAGAAAAAAAAAGACAGAAGCCGACAAGGCACAGTGGCTCACACCTGTAATACCAGAACTTTGGGAGGCCCAGGTGGGAGGATTGCTTGAGCCCAGGAGTTTGAGGCTGCAGTGAGCCACAGTTGCACCACTGCACTCCAGCCTAGGGTGACAGAGTGAGACTCTGTCCCGAAGAGAGAGAGAGAGAGATTGATTGAAGAGATGGAAGCTTATTCCAGAGCAATGACCGTGAGCATGAAGAAAGGTGGGTGGGTGAATCTATAGGACTAATCAGTAGACAGACATTGGGAAGAGGAGAACTCAGGTTCATGGCCTCAGCAAGTGGTGGTACCTGTCATAACCACTCTTGAAGCCTTGAAGCCTGTTATGTCAGGCAGAAAGTAGGGGACAAACTTTCAAATCATACATCTACAAAGAACATTCGTCATGCACTCCAGCCATCCTGAATTGCTAGCAGTACATCAACCTATGCACATACACACTGTTCCCTTTGCTAAAATGCTCCCCATTCTCTTGGACAAATGGCAAACTCCAACCTATTTTTTGAGTTTCAGCTCTGGCCCCACCTCCCTGGGGCAGTCTTTTCAGCCTTTGCCAAATAGATACCTCTCTGTGCTTCCACCACACCTGGGGTTACCCCCTCTCATTCTGTTCTCACAAGATCTAGGATGTCTATCCCTTCGTTCACTCATTGGTTCTATATGGAGCTACTGATATGTGATTCCTGACCCAATAGAAAATGATGAGGGTGGCTGTTTGTCTGACTCAAGCCTTTGTGAAATGACTGATGGTTCTCTAGGCCTTTTTCTGCTGTTCTCTCTGCCTGGAACACTCTAACACTCTATCTGGTTTTTATGGCTGGCTCCTTCTTTTTTTTTTTTTTTTTTTTTTTTTTTCCTTTGAGATCGAGCCTCTACCTGTCACCCGGTGGAGTGGAGTGGTATGATCTCAGCTTACTGCAACCTCCACCTTCCAGGCTCAAGTGATTCTCCAACCTCTGCCTCCCAAGTAGCTGGGACTACAAGGTGCGTTGCCACCACACTCGGCTAATTTTTGTATTTTTTGTAGAGATGGGGTTTGGCTACGTTGGCCAGGCTGGTCTCGAACTCCTGGCCTCAAGTGATCTGCCTGCCTTGGGCTTCCAAAGTGCTGGGATTATAGGCATGAGCCACCACACCTGGACGGCTGGCTTCTTCTTGTTGGTCAAATTATCTAGTATCAATTATCTTCTTGCCCCATTTTCTCTTTAGCTCTCTGCCGAGATTTACTGTCTCAATAGCATTGACCATTGTTGAAATTACCTTGCTTATTGGCTTGTCTGCTTCTTCTGACTAGAATGTCAACCTCACAAAAGCAGGGACTTGGGCTGTCTTATTGCACTCATAGTCCTGAGGACTAGCACAGTGCCTGGCACATAAGAGGAATTTGATAATGTTTGATAAAGGAATGAATGGGTTTTGTAGATAAGGATGCAGATATAGGGCCAGGCATGGTGGTTCATGCCTGTAATCCCAGCACTTTGGGAGGCTGAGATGGGCAGATTACTTGAGGTCAGGAGTTCAAGACCAGCCTGGTCAACATAGTGAAACCCCTGTCTACTGAAAATACAAAAAGTAGCTGGGTGTGGTGGCAGGTGCCTGTAATCCCCACTCAGGAGGCTGAGGCAAGAGAATCGCTTGAAGCCAGGAGGCGGAGATTGCAGTGAGCCCAGATCGTGCCTGGGTGACAGAGCTAGACTCCATCTCAAAAAAAAAAAAAAAAAAAAGAGGATGCAGATATAGAGAAGGTAAAGACTGGTACTGAGCCTAAAATTATTTAATTATAGAACCAATACTAAACAACCATGAGAACTGCATTTACAGAATGGAAGTGGTAATCGAAAGACAATAGCACAACTAGGCTAGCGCAGTGGCTCATGCCTGTAATCTCAACACTTTGGGAGGCCGAGGCGGGTGAATCACTTGAGCCCGGGAGTAAGCCAGGCATGGTGGCACATACCTACTCAGGAGGCTGAGGTGGGAGGACTGCTTGAGCCTGAGAGGTGGAGGCTGCAGTGAGTCGAGTTTGCACCACTGCTCTTCAGTCTGGATGACAGAGTGAGATCCTGTCTCAAAACAAAAACAAAAACAAAAACAAAAACAGAAAACAACGAACAAATACAGGTGAGGTAAAGGGAGATGTGAGAAAATGTGTGAATGTAATAGCAAAAAGTTGCCTGGACTTTACAATGATGAGGCCTACAAGTAAAACATCATCATGCCACTCTTTCCTTGCTTTTCATTATCTTTTCTGAACCTTTGTAGCCTTATTTAGAAAGCAATGCTTCTCATGTGGTAAATAAATATTTAAAACACAACAATTCCTTTAGTTTTATGTTAGCTTCCTTTTCTTCTACTAAAAAAATTAGATTTCTTAAAAATTGCAACTATGAGACATTAACATTGTAAAATATTTTTCCTATCTATTTGTCAATCCTGCATCCATCTATATATCTATATCAAGATCTATGCCTATATGTATCCATCTGTGCCCAAAAAGGCCTCATCTGATATTCAGAAAAATTATTTCTGGCTGATAAAATTTGTTTTTCTTCTCTATTTTTTTTTCTGCAGAGTTTTAATGTTTTACAACGTGTATGTATGTGTGTGTGTGTATATATATATATAATATCACTTTTGCAAGAAGAAAAGTGACTTTTAAAAAATGAAAGCAGGCCTGGGCACGGTGGCTCACGCCTGTAATCCCAGCACTTTGGGAAGCTGAAGCGGGTGGATCACGAGGTTAGGAGATCGAGACCATCCTGGCCAACATGGTGAAACCCCGTCTCTATTAAAATACAAAAAATTAGCAGGGCATGGTGGCGCACGCCTGTAGTCCCAGCTACATGGGAGGCTGAGGCAGGGGAATCGCTTAAACCCAGGAGGTGGAGGTTGCAGTGAGCCGAGATTGAGCTGCTGCATTCAAGCCCGGTAACACAGCAAGACTCCATTTAAAAACAAACAAACAAACAAACAAACAAACAAACAAAACAAAACAAAAGCAGATATACCAAAATGTTTATTTTGGATGGTAGGAATATTAAAATATTATTTTTTCTTTGTATTTTTACTGAAAAAATGTTTTAATTCTAAAAAAGAAATTAATAAAAAGGAAAATGTGAATCTAAGATTAGTGCATGAGAGCTGGAGACCCAGAGAGGGCAAACAGCATCAAGGTCAAAGTTGAGTGAGTCCTGGGTGAAAGTGTCTTTTCAGCCAGGGGAGATTTTCCATGCAGAAGGGACTGGGCATCAACTGTCAGGACATGGACAGAGACGTCTGCCATTAGAAGCTGGTCCTCTCATAGCCCACCAGCATCCCCCAGGAGGACACTGGCTTCCTCAAGGTCACAGCCTTTGGTTTCTGGAAAAAATGATTAAGCAGTGAAAGGATTAAGGTCTCACAGCTCCTATCGCATGATGTATAGATGCAGAGGTTTCTCATCATCTTCTTTTTATATTTTAAAAGATGGATGACAACTAGATGCCAACTGCAGCTCAGGCACCTGCCCAGTCCCTCTCAGAGCCGGGCACAAAACAGACACCTGTCTAGCCCCTCACAGAGAGCCAGGCACAAAACAGACACCTGTCCAGCCCCTCACAGAGAGCCAGGCACAAAGCGGAGACTTGTCCAGCTCCTGGCAAGGAGCCAGGCACAAAAGAGATGCCCATGAGTGTAAATGAATCTGTGAAACAGGCAGAACAGGAGCATCAACTGAGTAATTGTTTTTTCTTTTTCAAATAAGAACATTTGCGTTGAGAAGCCGCCACGGGAAGAGATGTGATGAAACACTACACAGAAAGAGGGAGGAGCCTCCGGGTAGGTTGGAGTGAGTAGGATGTAGGGTAGCCGGCAGGGGAGAAGAGGGGCAACCTTCTGTTCCGTAATATTGATACCACCCATTTGTGTGTCCAATTTTTGCTGGTTTGTGACGTCCTTCTAGGGTCCATGAGTAACCCCCACCCCATTGCCTAGCTGGGTGCCTGACTCCCCTTAAGTGCTCAGTAGACGTTGAACTGGACGGGCGCTGGCGTGGTGGCTCACGCCTGTAATCCCAGCAATTTGGGAGGCCGAAGCGAGTGGATCATCTCAGGTTCGGAGTTCGAGACCAGCCTGGCCAACATGGTGAAACCTTGTCTCTGCTAAAATTACAAAAATTAGCTGGGCGTGGTGGCGCGCGCCTGTGATCCCAGCTACTCCGGAGGCTGAGGCAGGAGAATCGCTTGAACCAGGCAGGCGGAGGTTGCAGTGAGCCATGATCGGGCCACTGCACTCCAGCCTGGGTGACAGAGTGAAACTTCATCTCTAAATAAATAAATAAATAAATAAATAAATAAATAAATAAAATAAACTTTGAACTGAACAGGGGCAGCTCTTACATCTGTCCAGTCTCGGGTTTATGCAGATAGAACAAGATAACCACATCCCACATGGGAGGCCAGTGTCCACTTGCTCCTTTGGAGGAACTACTGGGCATTTAAGGGACTCGTTGAACACACTCTGTAGGTCAACTCTGCCCGGAGTGGAGGGAGCTGCGCAGACCGCTGGCCCTCTGCACGGGTTTGCAACTCGGCTTCTGGAAACAGCGGGAGACGTCGAAGGAGGCGAGAAGGTGCGCGCGCCCTTCTCACCAGGCCGGCGGATGCTGGGTGGTACCCAAAGAGGCGCTCAGATCACTGGAGCTGGAGCTCAGTCGGCGGTCTTCTGCGGGAACTGCACCTATCCCGGAGCATCTCTGGCCCTCCTATTTCACTGAACTCGCCTTCCTCAGCAGGAAAGTGGGAAGACCGCTTGCTTCCAGGACGGTGTGGGGAAGGGTAAGAGGGCTCAGGGAAAGACCGTGGAAAGCTCGGCGCACAAGCGAGCTGGCATCACCGGGGATTCCCTCCGGCCCGGTGGGACTCCGGCGCGCTTGTAGCGAGGACCCCCAGCCCAGGGCAGAGCCTACCCTCCGCTCCCCCAGTCTGGGCCCTTGGCGGCCGCAGTCGCCCAAGCCCGCCCCGCCTCCGCGCGCGGCCCTCTCCGGCTCAGTGCCCTGCGCTGCCGGGAAGCAGGCTGAGGGGCGCACCGGGCGGCGGGCGGGGACCTGGGGAAGGCCGGGAGCGCCGGGACCGAGGACGCACGCGGCGGGCCGGGCCGCGCGCGCCTCCCCCCTCCCCCGAGGCCCGAGCGCGAGCCGCCGTGACGTCACGGGCAACCCGCCAGCCCCGCGCTCCTCCGGGCAGAGCGCGTGTGGCGGCCGAGCACATGGGCCCGCGGGCCGGGCGGGCTCGGGGCGGCCGGGACGAGGAGGGGCGACGACGAGCTGCGAGCAAAGATGTGCCCCGGGACCCCCGGCACCTTCCAGTGGATTTCCTTGCGGAAAGGATGTTGGCGGTCCCTGTGACCTGTGGAGACACGGCCAGATCTGCCCTCCAGTAAGTTCCAATTTTGTCCCCTGCGTTTCTGGAAACTCTCGAGACTTGGCCCTGAGTAGGGATGCGCTGTGAGTAGTCGGACGGAGGAAAGGGGCTTTCGGAATCCAATATGTGTGTGCTAGGCGTGCACTGTCCTCATCACCAGCCTCAAGACTGGTGGCGAGTTTGGGCGTTTGGGGAGGGTGAGGGGAGGGGGATGACACCGAATGGCCGGTGCATAGAGGCAATTCTGGATTTATGAACTTGATCAAAGGCATATTAACTAATTTCTAAAAATAGACCCCTCTGCAGTCAGAACAGATTTGGAGCCATGATGTGGTTTGGAGGCCCCTCTGGCGAAACTAGAGGTCTGTGAATGTGTGATCCTCCCTCCATCCTTTGACCATCACTCCCCGCTTCCTCTCACACCCCCTCAGGGCTGGGCGAAGGTGATTTCCAAAAACTCAGTAACTCCGTGTTTTGAGACTTTCTCAGTTTTTGCATCGCATGTGAGGGTTTGTTGGGTGCTCCTAAACCCTCATCATGGTCATTCTTCTTGGCTGGGCTGTTGATTTAATTAGGTTTGCCTTCTCTTGCTAACGTGCTCTTATTTATGCCAGTGTTTGTGGTTCTGGGTGTAGACTTTCAGGAAGCACAGCCATGAAGCTGCATGCGTCTGTGTGTGGATGCCTCATGCCTTTTCCTGGTGGTTTGCAGGCATGGAAGATTCTTCTGTTCATCTAAGCTCCTGACTTTAGGCCCTTCTAGAACATTAGAGAGGAGAAGAAATCACGTGCAAGGATTTAGGGACAAGAGGATGAGGTTTTGGTGTTTCCTTTCTGGTATTAGGTTTTCCAGAGAGAGGCTGTTAGCCTGTCTCTCGCCCACTCCACCACTGTGAATCCTGGCTACTGGGGCTAGTTCCTTGCTAGGAAAAAAAAACTCTAGAGAAATGTGTTTGTGTGTGGTGGGTGGGCGGGGGCCCTGAGGATGCAGGGACTGTGTCTGCTGTGTTGTCTGTTATAAGATGTTTCAGACCTATTTTGCATACTGGCAGCGACAAGTTGAGACTTGTTCAACTTGACACAGTCCTGTGGTCATAGCGAATCTTTCTAAAGCTCTGATCAGTCAAGAAGGGGGTTGTATCAATCCTCAGAACCCTGAGTGGAACTTTCTACAGGATTTATTAGGAGAAAAACCTTCCCGGAAGCTGCAGAAGGACAAATACAGAATCCGTGTCTGGGAGAAACCTCGTGGCCTGGTCTCCATTATTTGAGATGAGTTACATCTTGGAGGTGAGGACGTGCCTCGTGGTCTAAAGCTTCGGCACAAGGGCCCAACTGGAATTCCACTTACGGGTATGACTGTGGGGTATATGCTGTACCCATTGAATTCCCAGAGGGATTTGTTAAGTGGTTGTGTTGCTGTTTTGCCTGGTTAAGAGTGGCTTATTCTTGTTGCCTCATCTATCTTGAGTGCAGAATTTTTGCATAAACGGCTTCTCTTGAAAAATAGAAGTCCGTTTTTGTTTTGTTTTGTTTTTTTTCTGATTAACTTTCCTTTTCCTCTGTCTTAAACACCTTCCCCCGCCCCTCGCCACCTCCATGCTGTGTTTCTGTGGCTGGAGCTTTTCTGCACTGGAAAGGAGGAGTTCTCCCCTCTGTTCTGACATATCTGATCCCCACTAGTTTATATGATTGCTGGTCTGAAAACCTGGTGAATTCTCACTGCCCACATCAAATCAATTCCCTGTTCTTTAGTTGTTTTTTTTTTCCGCCTCCTGAGCGGTAGGCAGGCACTCTGGCTGGATTCTGGAGCCTGTGTTTGCCATGCCTGGGCCTTCTGCCTGCCCAAGATGGACACGTTTCTCTGGCAGCTTTGTCAAGAGATCTCCTGGACTATAAGACACCCTGTTCTTTCCTCCTGTTTGTGTGAGTGGCCCTGCATTTGGGCAGAGTATTGGCAGAATATCTGGGGGAAGTGGAAGACTTTGGATAGTTGCCGGTCCAGGTCGTCTGGAGAGGCAGTGGCAGGCCTGCTGATGGCTGCCCCTTTGCTATTTGTTTTATATCAGGTGGCCCTTCTGGATGTGTGGCCTTTTTATTTTGCATTTCCTTTCATAGTTGGCTGCAGACATAAGATTCTTCTTTTTCTCTTGTTTTGCTTTTTTTTTTTTTTTTTTGAGACAGAGTTTCACTCTTGTTGCCCAGGCTGGAGTAAAATGGCTGGATTTCAGCTCACTGCAACTTCCGCCTCCCAGGTTCAAGCGATTCTCCTGCCTCAGCCTCCCAAGTAGCTAGGATTACAGGCATGCATCACCACACCCAGCTAATTTTGTATTTTTAGTAGAGACGGAGTTTCTCCAGATTGGTCAGGCTGGTCTTGAACTCCCAGCCTCAGGTGATCCGCCCGCCTTGGCCTCCCAAAATGCTGGGAGGCCTCCCAAGTTGCTGGGATTACAGGCATGGACCACCATGCCTGGCTAATTTTGTATTTTTAGTAGAGACGGAGTTTCTCCAGATTGGTCAAGCTGGTCTCGAACATCTGACCTCAGGTGATCTGCCCTCCTCGGCCTCCCAAAGTACTGGGATTACAGGTGCCACAGTACCCGGCCTTGTTTTGCTTTTTATTGTTTCCTGATGCAGGTTTGTGATCTCTTTGAGGGATCAGGACCACACCCCCCACCCCAATTTATATTCCCAGTGTCCATGGTGGGACCCTGACTGAGGATGGGAACAGAGCAACAATCTGGAATCATTTGGACCATTGAGTCCTGTGGACAGTCACTTCAATATCATCCCTAGAGAGTCTCAGAAATTCAAGGCCTTTTGGAATGCTGCCAAAATGGGTCCTTTGGCAGGAGCCCCCTTTGTCTCTTCTGTTTTCTGACCTCAAATAATCTAAGGAACTAATAACGGTAATAAATAACAATTAATAATAAGAACAATAATAGTGCATGTATAACATGGACATTGTTTATCACGCAAAGCATGTTCTTCACCTTCTACTCCCTACAACTCCATGAGGCATTTATAATGAAATGTCTAGCAATGGTAGACTTCTTGTTGTGGGGCAGGGTTGGTTCTAACACTTCAAATTATATGATCTCATTTAACTTTCCTATAAAATAGGATGATTATTGTTGTGGTTTTGCAGATGAGGAACCCACAGCCCAGAGAGGTTAAAAATATCCTCCCAGGTCACACAGCTTGGGAGAGGCAGAGCTGTAGAGATTTGGACCACAGTCTTCGACTTCTTAGTGTGACTCTCAGAAGTTAGAGGATAATGAGGTTAAGAACAAGCAAAGGGCCGGGCGCGGTGGCTCACACCTGTAATCCCAGCACTTTGGGAGGCTGAGGCAGGTGGATCACCTGAGGTCAGGAGTTCGAGACCAGCCTGGCCAACATGGTGAAACCCGGTCTCTACTACAAATACAAAAAATTAGCCGGGCATGGTGGCGCACACTTGTAATTCCAGCTACTTGGGAGTCTGAGGCAGGAGAATTGCTTGAACCCGGGAGGCGGAGGTTGCCGGGAGCCGAGATCGCACCATTGTATTCCAGCCTGGGCAACAAGAGCAAAACTCAGTCTCAAAAAAAAAACAACAAGAAAAGGGTATACCCCTTGGCCTTGAGCAGGAGAACACAGTGTGTCCCCCACCCTCACCGTGCACCTTAGGCACAAACAGAAAGCTGAACATCTTGCATGAAGATACCTCATGCTCTGCCTGCCGACCTTTTCTGCAGCCACGGAGCAGTCAGAGACAAAGGGGCCAAGAGGCCTTAGGTGAGGGCTGCCATGCTGGAAAGTTTGGGCTGTGGGTGTGGGCAGGAGTCATGGGTAGAGGTCAGAACCCTTAGTCTTGGCTGGGTGCAGTAGCTCACACCCGTAATCCCAGCACTTTGGGAGGCTGAGGCCGGTAGATTACCTGAGGTCAGGAGTTCAAGACCAGCCTGGCCAGCATGGTGAAACCCTGTCTCTACTAAAAATACAAAAAAAAAAAAAAAAAAAAAATTAGCCCGGCGTGGTGGCACACGCCTGTAGTCCTAGCTACTCGGGAGGCTGAGGTAGGAAGATCTCTTGAACCCGGGAGACGGAGTTTGCAGTGAGCTGAGATTGCCAGTGCACTCCTGCCTGGGAGATAGAGTAAGACTTTGTCTCAAAAAACAAACAACCGCCTCGGTCTTTGTGCAAAATCTATAATCATTTGCAAGAGGCTGCAATCAGGTATAGCACTGGATTTTGTGACCAAAACTAGGTTTCAGGATTTAATTAAAAACAAAAACAATGTCAGGTCATAAAACACAAGACATATACATGATGTGGAAATGGTCTTATTCATTTTTTAATTGCGAAATTCCGAACTATCTGTTTTTTTTTTCCTTTATCTTTTCCTTTTTGTGTGTGTGTGGAGTTAGGTGGGGGGGGAGGTATGGCATATTGTTTTGTTTATCTGCCTCTTTATTATCACTGACTGTGAAATTCTTGAGAACAGGGGCGTCTAAGTGCCCAACACAGCCCTGGTACTTTGTTGAATCAGGTGGCTGTCAAGAGCTGCTGCTTCAGCCCGGCATGGTGGCTTATGCCTATAATTTTTGCACTTTGAGAGGCTGAGGCAGGAGGATTGCTTGAGCTGAGAAGTTTGAGACCAGCCTGGGCAGCAGAGTGAGACTCTGTCTCTGTAAAAAATAATAAAATAAAAATTAAAAAATAAAGAAAGAACTGCTTTGTCTTCAAGGAAACAAGATACACAGTCAACAGTCATTATCTTTTTAGATATGAGACAGCTTGACATGGTGTGGAAGTGGGGGGCTTGCCTGTAGGGAAAGTATGCTGATGAAAAAGAAGGAAAACAGACAGTAGCAGGAGGCAGTGGGGATGTGTCAGGGAGCTGAGGAGTGTAGATCTGGTTACTTTTGGGCAAGTTACTTCTCTAAGCTTCAGTTTCCTCATCTATAAAATGGTTTGCTGTGATGACGAAAGAGATGATGAACAGAATGTGTCTGGCAGAGGACCTGGGCTCATAAGTGAGCACACAGTAAAAGGTAGCTAATATCATTACTGTTCCAATTATTGAGCTTTATTACTTCCTGTGGCTGCATGAAGTAGTGGTTTCTGAATAGAAAGGCAACATTCTAGTTGCCTAGATCTTAAGATGGCAGTGACTTCACTGTAGTTCTCTGCAAGCATCAGAAACAAGCCCTGGCTTATGTAAGTTAGAAACAGATGAGAAAGTAAATAAAGCTGCAGAAGTGGGTCTCAGGAAGGACAGGAATCAAAGGGCTGTCCCTCGGATGTCAGACTGCCTTTGCAAGTTACTTCAGGTCACTGTGCCTCCATTTCCTCAGCTGCTGAGCAGGGGAGGAGAATCACTTCTCCCTCCCTGGGATGGTGCAGAGCACTTAGCAGAGCACTTAGCACAGAGGAATAAGCCCTTCAGTAAAACATTTGAGTAAAGCAATTATTATTTATTATTCTTCAGGGCTCTTTTTTTTTCTGGTGCATTAGCCCTAACATTGACTACTTGGTTCAAGAGTGATGGATGCATTCATTTCCTGAGCAGTTGCTGTATGCCTGGCACCGTTTTAGCTGCTGGCGATCCAGCAGGGAGCAGAAGAGACAAAAATCCCTGCCCTCCTGAAGCTTCTGTCCTAGTGGATGTCACACAGTAGTGGGGCAGGCTGGTCCCCAGAGACAGCTGGGGGACAGATGGAGGCAGTGCAGGCAAAAGCTAACTCCTGTGCAAAGTCTCCCCGGCCCCACTGTGTTAACAGTAAAGTGCTTAGCAGAGGCTCCCACACATAGTAGTTACTATGTAGTGGTAGTTGCTATGTTTATTATTATTATATTATTCTCCTCCCTCATAAAATGGCAGCCTCCCTTTCTTCCATTCCCCTTCCTGAGTTATTTTTTCTCGATAGGGCTTATCTTCCTAGTATACCATATGTCTCTCTTCTCCCACTAAATTGTAACCCATTCATTTTTCCAGGATATATTTGTTGGGTGTCTACTCTGTGCCTGGCATTGCTGTAGATGTTGGGGATGCAGAAAGGAAGAAAAAGGACAGATTTCCATGCTAGAGCTTAGGTTACAGCTGGGTTAGACAGATAAGGAACAGCAGACATAATAAAGAAGGACATGAATTGTGTATTCAAGATTATGAAGTGCTGTGGGAACAGGCCTAGCAGGGTCAGTGTCTGGAGGGCTGGGGCGTGGTGCTGTGTGGTTAAGTTGTCCGGTCAGAGTCAGGGCAGGCTCCATGGAGGAGCTGACGTTAACCTCCACCTGAAGTAGGGGAAGGACAGGCGTTTCAGGCTCTGGGAAGAGCTAGGACAGAGGTGGAGGCAGAAGTGAGCCTGTGGGGGTGAGGAGCAGCCAGGAGAAGCGTGAGATGAGAATGGCGTGAGCAAGGGAGGTAGGAGAACCCGAGCAGCATGCAGTGTGCAGCCTCACAGAGAGCCTGCAGGGCATTCCAAAGATTCTGTCTTTTACTCTGTAAAATGGGGAGCCCTTGCGGTGTTTTTTGTTTTTGTTTTTTGTTTGTTATGAGGCAGAGTCTTGCTCTGTTGCCCAGGCTGGAGTGCAGTGGGGAGATCTTGGTTCACTGCAACCTCTGCCTCCTGGGTTTAAGCAATCCTTACACCTCAGCCTCCTGAGTAGCTGGGATTACAGGTGCGTGCCACCACGCCTGGCTAATGTTTTTATTTTTGTAGAGATGGGGTTTCACCATGTTGGCCAGGCAGGTCTCAAACTCCTGAACTCAAGTGATCCACCCACCTCAGCCTCCCAAAGTGTTGGGATTACAGGTGTGAACCACTGTGACTGGCTTCCTTGCAGTGTTCTAAAAAGGAAAGTAATTTGATCTGACTTGGCTTTTGAAACGGTCAGTCTGGCTGCTGTGTTGAGAAGAAACTAAATCAGGGTCAGGAGCTAGAGCACCAGGACAAACATGCACAGAGCGTTAAGTGCCAGGTCCAGGCTGGCAGTGGTGGATGGGGCCACAGGAATGGACTTCTAGGCTGTTCACTGTTGTATCCCCAGCATCTTAAACTGTGCTCTCCATATGGTAGCTGTGAGCCCTATGTGGGTATTGAGCACTTGAAAGGAAATTGATATGTACTGTGTGTTAAACACACATTGGATTTCAGAGACTTAGTGAGAAGAGTAAGATATCTCATTATTTATTTATTTATTTATTTATTTATTTATTTATTTATTTACTGAGACAGAGTCTCACCTGTTGCCCAGCCTGGAGTGCAGTGGCATGATCTCGGCTCATTGCAACTTCCGCCTCCCGGGTTCAAGCGATTCTCCTGCCTCAGCCTCCCAAGTAGCTGGGATTACAGGTGCCCACCACCACACCTGGCTAATTTTGTATTTTTAGTAGATATGGGGTTTCACTATGTTGGCCAGGCTGGTCTTGAACTTCTGACCTCAGGTGATCCATCCCACTCAGCTTTCCAAAGTGCTGGAATTACAGGTGTGAGCCACTGCACCAGGCCTATTTGTTTATTTATATGAGACACGGTCTCACTCTGTCACCCAGGCTGGAATGCAGTGATGTGTTCATAGATCATTATAGCCTCGACCTCCCAGGCTCAGGTGATCCTCCCACCTCAGCCTCCTGGGCAGCTGGGACCACAGGTCTGTGTCACCACGCCCAGCTAATTTTTTTGTATTTTTGGTAAAGCTGGGGTCTCCCTGTGTTGCCCAGGCTGGTCTTGAGCTCCTGGGCTCCAGCAATCTGCCTTCCTCAGCCTCCTATAGTTCTAGGGTTACAGGCGTGAGCCACTGCACCCTGCCAAGTTATCTCATGAACCAATTCTTTGATGTTAATTACATATTGAACTGATAATGTTTTGGATATATTGGGTTAAATTATTAAAATTAATTTCATCTGTTTTTTCTAACTTTATGGCTACTAGAAAATCTAAAATTACATGTGGGTTGAATCATATTTTCGCTGGATGGAACAATGCCTTGGACGAGGTCAGCATTTAGTGAATCAAATGTGTGGGTGAGGCACAGGTGTTCTGCCGTGAATGAGAAACCGTTGCCATCTTCGGGAAGTTTCCAGTGTGGGAGGGAGGCACACTGCAGATGTAACTGCTAGGAGAGAAAGAAGGCAGGTTGAAATGGGACCACAGCCAACCAGGCCTGCTGTAGCCCAGAAGCTGGAAGAGACTCGCCCAGGAGGGAAGGAAGACACTGGGGTGTTGGGTCTCAGTCTGGGTCTTGGTGACAGCAGTGGGCTGGCAGTGCAGAGGTTCAAGGCCTTGGACTGCAAGTCCACTAAGGTGGCTGGTGGTGTGGGTGGAGGTGGAAAAGGCAGGTGGGGCGAGGGTGAGGGGCAGGACATCCTGGAGAGCCTGAATAACCAGGTATAAGTGATTTCTTTTTCTTTCTTTCTTTCTTTTTTTTTTTTTTTTTTTTTAAGACGGAGTCTCCTTCTGTCGCCCAGGCTGGAGTGCAGTGGCGAGATCTCGGCTCACTGCAAGCTCCGCCTCCCGGGTTCACGCCATTCTCCTGCCTCAGCCTCCCGAGTAGCTGGGACTACAGGCACCCGCCCACCACGCCCGGCTAAGTTTTTGTATTTTTAGTAGAGACGAGGTTTCACCATGTTAGCCAGGATGGTTTCGATCTCCTGACCTCGTGATCCGCCCGCCTTGGCCTCCCAAAGTGCTGGGATTACAGGCGTGAGCCGCCGCGCCCAGCCCCAGGCGGAAATTATTTCAACTGGGTCCTGAGAACTGGGCACTTTTCAAGGATTGTCAGCAAGGAGCAACTTCCCAAATATACATCTAAAAAGATGACAAACTCATGTGGAATGTGGATTTAAGGAGGAAGGTACTTGACTTAAGAATTCCAGGATTTTGGTGGAAGAAGGAAATATGGGCCAGGCACTGTGGCTTATGCCTGTAATCCCATCACTTTGGGAGATAGAGGTGGGAGGATTAGTTGAGCCCATCTGAGACCAGCCTGGGCAACATAGTGAGATCCTGTCTCTACAGTTTTTTTTTTTTTTTGAGACGGAATCTTGCTCTGTCATCAAGGCTGGAGTGCAGTGGTGAGATCTCAGCTCACTGCAACCTCCGCCTCCTGGGTTCAAGCGATTCTCCTGCCTCAGCCTTCCGAGTAGCTGGAGTTACAGCCTTGTGCCACCATGCTTGGCTAATTTTTGTATTTTTAGCAGAGACGGGGTTTCACCATGTTGGTCAGGCTGATCTCGAACTCCTGACCTTGTGATCTGCCTGCCTCGGCCTCCCAAAGTGCTGGGATTACAGGCATGAGCCACTGCACCTGGCCTCAAAAATTCTTATTTTTAATTAACTGGGCTTGGTGGCATGTACCTGTAGTTCCATCTTTGGTGGCACGCACCTGTATTCCCATCTACTTGGGAGGCTGAGGCAGGAAGCTTGCTCGAACCCAGAAGTTTGAGGCTGCAGTGAGTTATGATTACACCACTGTACTCCAGTCTGGGTGACAGAATGAGACCCTGTCTCTAAAATAAATAAATAAATTTTTAAAAGCTGGGAGGTGGGGTTGGTAAATTCATAAAAAATAATATTTCTTGAGTTGAATACAAACAATACAATCACTGTTTTTTCTTTGCCTTGTTTTATTTTTACTTATTTATTTATTTTTGCAGACATTGGGCCTCACTCCTAGGCTGGTCTTTAACTCCCGGCTTCAAGTGACCCTCCCACTTTGGCCTCCCAAAGTGTTGAGATTACAGGTGTGAGCCACTGTGCCCAGGCTGTGGTTTTTTATTTTTTAATTTTTTATTTTTTTGTATTATAATCATAGTGTATATGTTGCATCCTGATTTTTTTTTTTTTTTTTTTTGAGACAGCATCTCATTCTGTTATCCAGGCTGGAGTGCAGTGGCACAATCTCAGCTCACTGCAACCTCTACCTCCCAGGTTCAAGCGATTCTTCTGCCTTGGCCTCCGAGTAGCTGGGATGCCACCGTGCCCGGCTAAATTTTTTTTCTTTCTTTCTTTTTCTTTTTTTTTTTGTATTTTTAGTTCAGACAGGGTTTCACCATGTTGGCCAGGCTGGTCTTGAACTCCTGACCTCAAGTGATCCCACCTCGGCTTCCCAAAGTGCTGGGATTACAGCGTGAGCCACCACATCTGGACACATCCTGATTTTTTTCTTAGTTGCTATTAGGACACAGGCATTTTTGAATATTATATGCACTTTGTCCATGTCTTTTTTTTTTTTTTTTTTTTGAGACGGAGTTTCACTCTTGTTGCCCAGGCTGGAGGGCAATGGCGCGATCTCGGCTCACTGCAACCTCTGCCTCCCGGGTTCAAGTGATTCTCCTGCCTCAGCCTCCTGGGTAGCTGGCATTACAGGCGCTCACCACCACGCCCGGCTAATTTTGTGTTTTTAGTAGAGACGGGGTTTCTCCACGTTGGTCAGGCTGGTCTCGAACTCCTGACCTCAGGTGATCCACCCGCCTTGGCCTCCCAAAGTGCTGGGATTACAGGAGTGAGCCACTGTGCCCAGCCGTCCATGTCATTTTTATTGGGTAGATATTTCTGTTCAGTGACTGTTTCGTTGCTTACTTTATCATTCCTTTGATTTGGATGCTTAGCTTCATAACAGCCTGTTTATATAGATTATGTTTTCTATTTTTCAGTTAATTAAAAAAAAAACAAATTCTCAGTCCTAGGATTATTGTGCATAATGTCTGAATTTTTTAGAATTTCAGGTAAATATTGTGGTTCATGAGATTTGCACAGAAGCTGAATTTGCTGCTTTCTGGTGAGGCACGTGATGTTTTTTGCTGTCCGTGATGCACTAACATGTCATTAACATGTATGTACAGTGTTATATGCTCGCACATGTTTATGTGCAGCCTATGCACCTGTATTGGATTTTTCTTCACTCTCATTTATTGGCAGGTATTTGTGGAATGCCTGTGGTGTGCCAAGTTCTGCTTGAGGCCTTGGGTATTCAGTAGTGATCAAAGTAGATCAACTAGTACCAGTTCTTAAGAGGCTTATTGTTAAGTGGGGGAAACAAGCAAATAGACAAAGAAAAAATAACATTATTGTAAGGAATATGAAATAATATGTACTAGAATAATATGAAGGGATGGTTATTGTGAGGTAAGGGGGTTCATACTGAAATACTGTCTGAGGAATCAGGATTTGAGTGAGACACGAAGACTCAGTAGAAGTTAACCAGAAGAACAAAGTGTTAGCAGAAAAGACAAGATTGATCAATATGACTACATATTAAAGAAAAAGGCACATCTAAGCAACAAAAACTGCAATGGTATTAAAAGCCAAATACAAGACTTAGAAGATATTTGCAATATTTATAACACATTACAAAACACTAATATCTAGAATGTATGCAGAATTCCCAAAAGTCAACAACAAAAAGACAAACAGCCTTATAGCAAAGTGGGTGAAAGATAGGACCATGCAGTGCTCATAGAAAGCAAAGTAGATGGCTGGGCACCGTGGCTCATGCCTATAATCCCAGCACTTTGGAAGGCTGAGGCGGGCGGATCACAAGGTCAGGCGTTCGAGACCATCCTGGCCAACATGGTAAAACCTCATTTCTACTAAAAATACAAAAATTAGCTGGGTGTGGTGGCGTGTGCCTGTAGTCCCAGCTACTTGGGAGGCTGAGGCAGGAGAATCGCTTGAACCTGGGAGGCATAGGTTGCAGTGAACCCAGATCTTGCCACTGCATGCCAGCCTGGACACAGAGAACGACTCCGTCTAAAAAATTAAAAAAAAAAGCAAAGTGGATGATAAATGTGAAAAGATTCTGAATTTTGCTAACAAAGTCAGGTTTTGGAGATCTAATTTCTAGTCAGTAAAATTCATCCTTTCTAGGATACAATGCTAAGAGTTTTGATAAATGCATAGAACTGTGTTACACTGTTGTGTAATTACCACAATCATGGCTTAGAACATTTCCATCGTTCACCCAGATTCCCTCCTGTCCCTTCACAGCCAGTCTCCTTCTCCACCCCCAGCTTTAACCAACCCCTGAGTTGTTTGCTGACCTTACAGTGTTGCCTTTTTCAGAGTGTCCTATAAATGGATTCATACAGTGTGTAGTCTCTCGGATTTGTCTTCTTTCACCTGGCATAATGCATTCGGGACCCTTCCATGTTGTTCTATGCATCAGGGGTTTGGTAGTTTTTATTGCTGACTGGGACTCTGTTGTATGGATATACCACTGTTTGTTTATCTGTTCTCCATTTGAAGAGCATCTGGGTGTTTCCACAAGATACATGTTTCATGCTTTACAACGTGCCAGAAATAGGATGTCTGACTCAAGTGTTGACAAGGCACAGGGTGTTCAGCAGCTCCGCTAGTGAGTGTGTGAGGTCACTTTAGAGACCACCTTGCCAGCAGGTAGTGAAATTGGAAACATGTGCAGCCCCGTTCCTAGGTAAGATTGAGAATTCACAGTTCGTGCTGTATGTTACTTAAGGATATTTAGAGATGAAAGTGAAGGTTTAAAAAATGGGCTGGAAAGATCTATATCAAACTCACTGTCATCATCTGGGGAGAGAAGGGGAGTGGGCTGATTGTGAAGGTCAAAGCCTACTTTAACTTTGCCTTTATTGCTTTTTTTAAATTCAATTAATTAATTTACTTGTGGGGACAGAATCTCACTCTGTCAAGGTTGCTGGAGTGTGAGTGGTGTGATCGTGGCTCACTGCAGCCTCTACTTTCCAGGCTCAAGTGATTCTCCTGCCTCAGCCTCCGGAGTAGCTGGGACTACAGGTGTGAGCCACCATGCCTGTATTTTTTGTAGAGATGAGATCTCACTATATTGCCCAGGCTGGTCTTGAACTCCTGGCCTCAAGCCATCCTCCTGCCCAGTTCTCCCAAAGTGCTGGGATTACAGGGAGGACCCAGTGTCTGGCCTATCTTTAATGCTTTTTTTGAAAAGAAGGTGGATACCTACACATATCACTTACACAGTTTGAAAATATGTAGAAAAGAAAAAAAGTTTGAAAATACATATGACAAGATGTTCATGGTTGTCAATTCTAGGTTCTTTGAATTTTTCTTTTTTTCTTTTTTTTTTTGAGACGGAGTCTCGCTCTGTCACCCAGGCTGGGAGTGCAGTGGCGCCATCTCGGCTCACCGCAAGCTCCGCCTCCCAGGTTCACGCCATTCTCCTGCCTCAGCCTCCCGAGTAGCTGGGACTACAGATGCCTGCTACCACGCCCGGTTAATTGTTTTGTATTTTTAGTAGAGACGGGGTTTCACTGTGTTAGCCAGGATGGTCTCGATCTCCTGACCTCATGAGCCACCCGCCTCAGCCTCCCACAGTGTTAGGATTACAGACGTGAGCCACCGGGCCCGGCTGAGACAGTCTTGCTCTGTCACCCAGGCTGGAATGTAGTGAAGCAATCTCGGTTCACTGCAACCTCCACCTCCTGGGTTCAAGCAATTCTGGTTCCTCAGCCTCCCGAGTATTTGGGACTTCAGGCACAACCCCCGTCTGGCTAATTTTTGTATTTTTTTTAGTAGAGACAGGGTTTCACCATGTTGGCCAGGCTGGTCTCAAACTCCTGACCTCTGGTGATCTACCTGCCTCAGCCTCCCAAAGTGCTGGGATTACAGGCGTGAGCCACGGCGTCCAGCCTGTTCTTTAAATTTCTTTCAAAACAGTTTAGGGAAGGGATATCCTAGGTAAAGATAATAGCATGTGTGAAGGCCCTGAGGCTGCAAAACTTTTGGTGTGTTCAGAGTGTCAAAAGATTCGTGTGGCTGGAAAGGAGTGAACGTCCAGGGTCCAGATGAACAGGTGTTTGGTCATGGAGGGCCTTAAGTGCTTTTTTAAGTCTTTGGGGGTGGCTAAGCTGGGTGGTTCCTGATTTGATTGACCTTTTTGTTGGGTAGATGGTGGATCAACGGAAGCAGGTGGCCCATTTGGGGACTGAATTACAGCAATCCAAGAGAGAGCTGGACTCGGCTCTAGCAGTGGAGAGGAAGAGAAGAGGATGAGTTTGGTATTTATTTTGGAGACAGAAAGGACTTCTTGGGACCAGGCGTGGTGGCTCATGCCTGTAATCCCAGCACTTTGGCAGGCTGAGGCGGGCAGATCACTTGAGGTCAGGAGTTCAGGACCAGCCTGGCCAACATGGTGAAACCCCATCTCTACTAAAAATACAAAAATTAGCCAGGAGTGGTGGCAGGTGCCTGTAATCCGAGCTACTTGGGAAGCTGAGGCAGGAAAATAGCTTGAACCCGGGAGGCGGAGGTTGCAGTGAGCTGAGATTGAGCCATTGTATTCCAGCCTGGGCAACAAAGTGAGATTCCATCTCAAAAAAAAAAAAAAAAAAAAAAAAAAGAAAGAAAAAAAAGAAAAAGAAAAGGACTTCTTGGAGGGCAAAGTTTGAGGGAAGAGTTAGCTAGCTAGAGACCTTCCAAACTGTGCTCAGGCATTTGGATTTTACCCTGTGGGTGATAGGGAACTATTGAAAGTTTTCATTTTTTTCTTTTTGGAGACAGAGTCTTGCTCTGTTGCTTCAGGCAGGAGTGCAGTGAGCCATAGTGGCTCATTGCAGCCTGGACCCCCTGTGCTCAAGCAATCCTCCCACCTCAGCCTCCAGAGTAGCTGGGACTACAGGTGCATGGCACCACCCCCAGCTAATGTTTTGTTTTTAATTTTTTATAAAGATAGGGTCTCACTTTGTTGTCCAGGCTTAAAACTCCTGGCTTTAAGCGATCCTCCCATCTTGACCTCCCAAAGTGTTGGAATTACAGGAATGAGCCATCATGCTCGGCTCTATGGAAGGTTTTGAGGTGGGGCAGGGATGAGATTAGAGTGATGTGCCTTTGCCAGAGAGATTTGTCCAGAGGAAGGGTGACCAGCCTGGAGTCTCTTTGGAATGTTCTAGGTAATGTAGCAGAGATTGTGTCAGTTACCCTCTGGTGGGATGCTTGGCTTTTCCCATTTTTTCAAAAGGAAATGGGAAAAGGAAAAGGTCCTCTGTATGGAAAGTCCCCAGGAATTTATAGGAGAGTGGCTAACGAAGACAGAGTTCCCTTCCGGCATTTATTGTGACTGAGTTTGTTCCATAGTTTTAGTCCCACTTAGGTCATGATTCATCCCACTGGGCCAGCAGCAGCATTGGGATCACGTCAGCCAATCTTCGCACTTAGAGATTTTGAAGAGAGATATCTCCTATCCATGTGGTACATTGCTTTTCACAAAACAAAAGAGTTCATTTTGTCGGTGAAAAGCCCTGGCCAGACCCAGCCGGTGGAGACCAGTAGCTTCCTCTGGCAGGCTGGGCTTCCTATGGTCATTGCAGTCCCTCCCCATTTATAAGGCTGCCTTCCCTGAGAACACCTGGGACAGATGCCCCCCAGAAGCATGCCCTCTGGAAAGGGAGAGGAGCAGGAGGGGGCTTCAGGCATGCTGGGCCTGGGGGGCCACCCCCTGGCCTTTGCTAAGTTCCTGGCTGGTCTGAGCCCTCTTCTTTCCTCTCCCCAGGCCTTGCAAAGGCCATATCTCTTCCTTTTCATGACTCTGGAAATTCCATACATACTTTCTGCATTAGGAAGACATTCTCTGCATGCTGATCTCGTTAAAAAGGAAAAGCCAAGGAGCATCCTGCACCTCCCTCCTGTAAGCGAGCTTTGCAAATGGTAAACTAGATCCTGAAAGGCAACCACTTAAAAGCTTTTAATGGCTTCCCATTATTAGCTTGAGTGCCTGGTGCGTCAGAGGCTCTCAGTGAGCGTGTATTGAATTGCTGAATGCATGGTGGCCCTGGGCGAGGAATCTGGCCCTCACTGTCCCAAGGCTGAGTGCCTTTGCCCTGTGGAGGAAAGCACTGCCTTGGGGTCAGAAATAAGGATTGGCAGGATTGCCTGGGGTTAGAAATAGTGATCATGGGATCAGAGGCAGCAGGTGAATGTGGGGTGTGAATATTTTTGAAGGCTTGGAATGAAATGATTCTTCCAGACTTTAGAGGATTTGTGTCTGCAGATTCTTCTCTAAGGTTTGTGTCTCACATAGTGAGAGAATCAGCCAGCCAGGGAAATGGGACAGGATTTTGTCTCTTTCCCCATTTCCTCTTCTAATGAACTCCTACCTATGCTTTATGACTGCATTAAGGGGTCACCTCCTCCAGGAAGCATTCCCTCATCTCCTTACGCTGGTTCTGAGTGTGTCGTTCCTGCTTGATCCCCTCCCAGCACCATGTGTGTGAGTTCTCACAGCTCACACCCCATAGTATTACTATGTTGTTTCTACAGTGGGTTCCTGTCAGGGGTTCCAAACTTAGCTGTTTAGGAGGATGAGTAGATTGTACAACCACACCAGGCGGGCCTGATCAAATACAGTAAGAAGTGTCCGGATTGGCAAACCAGCGGGTCCCTCTTCTAGATGTTATCAGAGAGATACTGTTAGAGAGAGGTTGCTAGATGTTAATAGAGGCTGCTGTTAGATTCCAGCTCCCTCCTCCCCTGGTCCCTTTTCTCTCCTCATGCCAAAAGATAGACCCAGTGTTGCCAGAGCTTCCACTTTTAAAAGAGAAGCCTTTTAAAATATAAACTCTCCTGATTTTTAAATGTTTTCAGTTAAGTTTTTAAAGGAACATTCATAGGCCAAACCAAATACCTGTGGGCCGTATGTGGCCCCCGGGGCCAGCAGTTTGCAGCTCCTTGGTTATAGGTGCCTCTAACCCATTGCACAAGCTCCCTCAGGCATTTCATGTCTTTCCTTTCCATTCCCCCTGGGCCTAGCAGGGAGCTGGCATGTCACAGTGGGTGCTCCCTAATTATTGGTTATTGACTTGAATGCTAGACTGAGCAAGCACCTCCCTGCTCACAGGGTGTTAACATTTTTCCCTCAGAACTGTTTGTATGTAATGCTATTCTGAATTGCTTCAGTTCCTTACATACTTTAGTGATAGTCTGTATGTGCCTGGAAAAGTCATCATTCCTTAGATTCTAGACAACTCTGTTCTTCTGTTCTTTTCCTTTTTCCTTTCTCTCTCCGTCCCCTCAACATATGTTTTTGTTTTTTGTTTTTTGCCAGTTCTTTTGTATCTGGCCGGTTAACACAGGGCTTCATAACATGGGGTCGGCTGTTATTAAGCAACAGTGGTTTCCGGTAGCTCACTGACTTTGCCCTCTCTGCTGGTAAGCCATTGCTGATTTCCATCAGGGTAACAAGCATGATTTTCAGATTTACCTTCATTTGCAGTGAACAATTATAGCAAAATTGCTTAAAGAAATGAACCTTCAGGTGTGGCGGCTCGTGCCTGTAATCCCAGCACTTTGGGAGGCCGAGGCGGGAGGATCACTTGAGCCCAGGAGGTCTCTAGGCTGCAGTAAGCTGTAGTTGCACCACTGCACTCCAGCCTGGGTGACAGGGTGAGACATCGTCTCAAAAGAAAAGAAAGGAAAAGAAAAGAAAAGAAAAGGAGGGGAGGAGAGGGGAGGGGAGGGGAAGAGGGAGAGAGGGAGGGAGGGAGGGACGGAGGAAGGAGGAAAGGCAGGAAGGCAGGAAGGCAGGAAGGAAGGAAGGCAGGAAGGCAGGAAGGCAGGAAGGAAGGAAGGAAGGAAGGAAGAGAATGAAAGGCTGGGCGTGGTAGCTCTTGCCTGTTGTAGTCCTGGCACTTTGGGAGGCTGAGATGGGAGGAATTGGAAACCAGCCTGGGCAACATAATGAGACTTCATCTCTACAAAACAAATTTTTTTTTAATTAGCCAGTGGCATGCACCTGTGGTCCCAGGAGGCCAAAGCTGGAGGATTGCTTGAGGATGGGAAGTTGAGGCTGCAGTGACCTATGTTCCCACCACTGTACTCCAGCCAGAGTCACAGAACAAGACCTTGTCAAAAAAAGAAAAGAAAGAAAAGGAGAGAGGGAGGGAAGGAAGGAAGAAAAAAAAGAAGGAAAGGGAGAGAGGAAGGAAGGAAGGAAGGGAAGGGAAGGGAAGGAAGGGAGGGAAGGGAGGAAGGTAGGAAAATGGAAGGAAGGGAGGGAAGGAGGGAAGAAAAGAAAGAAGGAAGGAAAAAACCGGTCGGCTATCTTGACGAAAAAAGTCTCAGTCCACTCCATTTTGTGCAGCATTTCCCGTCTTGTTATCTTTCTGGAAAAACTCAGTAAGTCTCTGGCTGGGAATTATAGAAGCTTAATATGCACTTGTAACTGTGTCAGGCTCTCACAGGGAACAAACAAGAGGAACTATAGATTTTTATAGTCTGCAAGAGCCCAGTCCATGCATTTAGGAGGCACAGAGTGAGAGAAAGAGCATTGACAATGATAATATAGCATTAATATAGGTACAATCTGGAGTAATGTTATCTAGTACTACTAATAGCGATATTAAAATGGCATTATATAGATATTAAGCCCTGACTTCGTGCCGGTTTGAACTTTTCCTGTATTAATTCATGTGAATCAATTTTGAGACTCTGTCTCAAAAAAAATATATGTATATAATATATACAAATATATATAATATATACAAATATATATAATATACAAATATATATATATAATATATACAAATATATAATATACAAATATATATAATATATACAAATATATATATATAATATATAGATGTCATGGTGATGGGAAGACTGGGGGAGGAGAGGAGCAGTTTAATCCCAGGATCCCATGGAGAGGAAACTTGTAGGTCTCTTACCCAGTGTCTTCTCCTGCTCTCTGGCTCTGATTTCTGAACTAAGAAAAGTGTGCAAACATCATCTGCTCTCCTGGTTGTATTTGTAAATGCCTCCCCTAGACCCAGCTCTACTTTAGGCCACGTGAGTGACAGTGACCACATCAGTCAGGGATTCTCCTACTGTCCCTGACCCATGTCCGCTTTTGTCTCCTCCCACTCTAATAACAGACCGTGTGGCTTGAACCTCAGCCCTGCTGCCAAGTAGCTGTGTGAGCTTCAGAGCCTGGTGCCTCAGTTCCCTCATCTGTAAAATGGGAATACAAATGGTCCCTGTGTGTTTGGGTATTCAAGAAAATTAAGTGAGTTGCTGCACACCTCACCTCTGGCTCCTTCAACAAAAACATGGTCACCCTCAAACCAAACGTGAACAGGAGGGTGGTGACGCAAACCACATGGAAACGAGAGGCAGACCCAGGCTGGAGTGCAATTGCACGATCTCGGCTCACTGCACCCTCTGCCTTCCAGGTTCAAGCAATTCTTCTGCCTCAGCCTTCTGAGTAGCTGGGATTACAGGCACCTGCTGCCAAGTCTGGCTAATTTTTGTATTTTTAATAGAGACGGGGTTTCGCTATGTTGGCCAGGCTGGTCTCGAACTCCTGATCTCAGGTGATCCACCCGCCTTGACCTCCCAAAGTGCTGGGATTACAGGCATGAACCACCGCCCCCGGCCGCAGATGGGAAATTATTTTTGCACTTTCAGTTGTCCTAAATCTAGAGTTTTCCTTTATCCAGACAGCTGGTGAAAGTGGACGTGAGAATAGAGAGATTTCCTGGTGGGGAAGACCTCCATCCTCCTTCTCCAGCCCCTTCCTCATTATTCCCAAGAAAAGAGCTTCTGGGTTTCTGGGAGAGGCTGAGCAGGTGGAGACACCTGGGCCATATCTGGGTCTCTCCAGAATCCAGGAGCCTGCCTGACGCGTCAGCCGGGGAGGGTTTCTGTGTGAAGTCGGCTTGAGTGAGCCAGCCTTTCATGCATCCTTGTCTTTATTTCTTCCCCAGCTCAGGAGGGGCTGAGTTGTGTCTTAATGAGCAGTTCCAGCTGCACGCTGGGCATCTCCTAATTTACTCTCATTTATTTAGCTCCTGCTGCATGCTGGGCAATGCTCTAAGTGCTCTGCAGGTTTTGGCTAATTTAATCTCCCTAGCAAACCCTTTGAGGGGACTGACAGGATGACCATCCTCATTTTACAGATGTTGGGATTGAGGCACAGACAGTTTATTTTTAATTTTTATGTGTAAAATGTTTTTACTGTGGTAAAATTTACATAATAAAATTTGCCATTGTAACCATTTCTAACTGTACAATTCAGTGGCATTAAGGCCATTGGTATTGTTGTGTAACCATCACCGCTAATCTAACCATCTCCGGAACATTTTTCATCATTCCAAACTGAAACTCTGCACTCATTAAACACTTACTCTCCTCTCCCCCTCCCCTCATCCCCTGGTATCCACAGTTTCTATGAATCTAACTACCCTAAGCATCCGTATAGGTGGAATCATAGTATTCATCCTTTTGTGACTGGCTCATTACACTTGGTGTAAACTTTTTTTTATTTTTTATTTTTTTTTGAGACAGAATCTTGTTCTGTTGCCCAGGCTGGAGTGCAGTGGCACAATTTCAGCTCACCACAACCTCTGCCTCCCAATTCAAGAGATTCTCCTGCCTCAGCCTCCCTAGTAGCTGGGATTATAGTCGTGCACCACCACGCGTGGCTAATTTTTGTATTTTTTAGTAGAGACGGGGCTTCGCCATGTTGGCCAGGCTGGTCTCAAACTCCTGACCTCAGGTGATCCACCCTCCTCGGCCTCCCTAAGTGCTGGGATTACAGGCATGAGCCACCGTGCCCCACCTTAGTGTAATCTTTCAAAGGTATATCTCCGTTGTAGCCTGTGTCACAATTTTATGCCCTTTTAAGACTGAATGAGTTTTTAAATTCATTCCCATTTAACTCTTTGTTTTGTTGCCTGTGCTTTTGGTGTGAGGCACAGACATTTTAAGAAACTTAGCCAAGGCCATTCAACCAGAAGTGGCAGAGCCTGGATCTTGACCACATGGCTTTGCTGCTCCCAGAGTCTTGACCCTGTGCTGGGGCTGACTTCTGCTTTTACATGAGTTCTTGTCAGTGCTTTCGGCAGCTTGATCAGGTAGATGCTGCTTTTCCACTTTGCAAATATGGAAGGGAGCACCCAGCTCTCTTGGGCATGGCAGAAATTCATCAGGGGCGGAGGAGGCACAGGGTACCCACCCAAAAAATCCCAACATATTGAATCACCTTCCAATAATCTATAGCATCATTTATGTTATGCTGCCCACAACATAAATGGCTAGCAAATAATTTGGATGCGACAGAATTGGTGAATGAATTTAATGTAGCTTCAACCTGAAGACCATTATACACTATTAATACCTACAAAATTATAGATGTAAGGCTGGGTGTGGTGGCTCATGCCTGTAATTCCAGCACTTTGGGAGGCCAAGGTGGGCAGATAATGAGTTCAGGAGTTCGAGACCAGCCTGGCCAACATAGTGAAACCCCGTCTCTACTAAAAATACAAAAATTAGCTGGGCTTGGTGGCACATGCCTGTAGTCCCAGCTACTCAGCAGGCTGAGGGAGGAGAATCTCTTGAACCCGGGAGGCGGAGGTTATGGTGAGCTGAGATCACGCCACTGCACTCCAGCCTAGGCAACAGAGTGAGACTCCGTCTCAACACAAACAAAATTATAGATGTCACCTACAGGCCAGTTGGGAGGCATATTGGTAAGTAAATACCCATGACCTCTCCACCCTGCCTAGGATCCAAACTATGAACACTGATGGTTGACTCTAACTCCATATTCTTTTCAGTTTTCTCCCATGCCTACCCCCTGCCCCCGAGCATTCTCCCTCATTGGTGGCCCTGATTTTCTTTTTGTTGAGATAGGATCTCACTATGTTGCCCAGGCTGGTCCCAAACTCCTGGGCTCGAGAGATCCTCTTATCTCGGCCTCTCAAAGTGTTGAGATTACAGGCGTGAGCCGCTATGCCAGGCCAACTCTTATCTTGAATGTTGATGTTTATCATGTCATGGATGAAAAAAAAAAAACCCATGCGTATTCTTTTTTTTTTCTTTTTTTTTTGAGATGGTGTTTCGCTCTTGTCACCCAGGATGGGGATGGAGTGCAATAGCATGATCTCGGCTAACTGTAACCTCCACCTCCTGGGTTCAAGCGATTCTCCTGCCTCAGTCTCCTGAGTAGCTGGGATTACGGGCACTCGCCACCATGCCTGGCTAATTTTTGTATTTTTAGTAGAGATGAGGTTTCACCATGTTGGCCAGGCTGGTCTTGAACACCTGACCTCAGGTGATCCACCCGCCTCGGCCTCCCGTTTGTATTCTTAAATAGTGTATTGTTTCCTTTACTTCCTTTAGAGCTTTACAGAAATTCCATGCTGCCTTCAGCTTCCTTTGCCGCTCTGCATCATGTTGGTAAGTCTCTGCTGATGCCTGCTGCTGTAGCTTATTTTTCACTGTGATAATCTGTTCCATTGTGTGAACTGACCACAGTTGATTGATCTGTTCTCCAAGGACATGTGAGTTGTTCGCAGGTGTCCCCCCACCCCCTCCCGATACAAACAGTGCTGCTGTGGACATTTCATACATCTGGTTGCCTATGTCAGAATTTCCAGGGTATACAGCTAGGACGCAGTACTGCTGTTGGATTTTCCTGGGATTGTAGACTCTCAAATTTGGAATGGACTTCTATGGCCAAGTAGTTCACCTTCAGCAATCATCTCAAAAGAAATGCTCTTGGTGTGATGGTTGAGAGCGCTGTTCTGGAATAGGAGAGACACAGACCTGCTGGGCCTTTGCCTCATTTTATTACTTAGTTCATTATGCAATGAACTTAACATCTGTCTACCTCAGTAGTTTCCCTGTCTGTGAATTGAGTCTGTTACATATATATATATCTATTTAAATATATATATCTATTTAATATATATTAAATAATATATATTTAAATAGATATATATATATTACAGACTCAATTTAACCCTTAGGGAAATATATATATATATATGTGTGTGTGTGTGTGTATATACATATATATTTAAATAGATATATCTATTTAAATATATATATATATATATACACACACACACACATATATATATATATTTCCCTAAGGGTTAAATAAGATAGAGACCTGGTATGGTGGCTCATGCCTGTAATTCCAGCACTTTGGGAGGCTGAGGCAGGAGAGTCACTTGAGCTCAGGAGTGGGAAACCAGCCTGGGCAACATAGTTGGACCCTGTCTCTACAAAAATGAAAAATAAAAAAAAAAAAATTAGCTGGGTGTGGTGGCATGTGCCTGCAGTCCCAGCTACTAGAGGCTGAGATGGGAGAATTGCTTGAGCCTGGGAGGTCGATGCTGCAGTGAGCTGCAACAGAGTGACACCTTGTCTCAGAAAAAATAGAGAGAGAAAGATCCGGCATGTGTAGAGATTAACTCGGAGCCTGGAAATAATAAACACAGAGTAAGTGCTCCCTGCTGTTCGCCTTGTTCCTGTTGGTGTTTAAAGATCACTTACACTTGCAGAGGCAGAACTGATGCCCAGGAGAGGGGCAGTAACTAGCAGAAGGGAAACAGCCCGGGTCCAGTTTACTTCCCCTCAACGTGGGCCAAGGACGCCAGGCAGGATCATAGTCCGGCTGGATTGTGGCTTTCCTCAAGGTGATCTTGACTTGCCCAGGTGGGATTTCACCCCCACTTCCTTCCAGGCTTCCCATTTTAGACTTGAAATGTAGGCCTGTTGGGGCCTCCTCCAGTAGATGTGTGCCCTTGAGCTTGGATACCCCCCTGCCAAGATACGCCTTTCAAAAACAGATAAACTTATCGCAACTGAATAGAAGGGGCTCCCAAGGGGTCCCACCCTGCTCCGGAAGTCTCAGTGAGGAATCAATAGCTGTTAATTCCTGTGCTGCCCCCTGCCTGACATTCCATCCACACTTGAGGCCCAGATTGTAAGAAGGGAGAGCAGGCAGGTCTCTCTTCCAGGAGAGGGACCCGGTTCATCAGCAGGATTTATTCATTCATGTATTACGTCAGGCTCAGCGCCTGGGCTTTTTATAAATGAGGGCTCTGCTGGCGTTCTGTGTTATTCAGATATTCGGTGAGAGACCACCAGAAGCCACAAAAAATTGCTGACATCTGTTGGAAGGCAATCATGCATAATGGATAAGGGTGCACTCTGCAGTTCCAGCAGCATTGATTTGAATTCCCCCTCTGCCGCTTCAAAACTCTGAGATCTCAGCGAGTTGCTTACCCTCTAGAGCCTCCACGTCCTCATCTATAAAACTAGAAAATAAGTGGTACTCACTAGATCCTTACCTTGTTGTGAGAGTAGAATGACGTGCATGTAGAGCTTTCCCAGAGCTGGCATGTGGTAGGTGCTCAATAAACGCTGGTTATTCTCTCTCTCTCTCTCACTCTGTTGCCTAGGCTGGAGTGCAGTGGCGTGATCATAGCTCACAACAGCCTCTGTCTGCCAGGCTCAAGGGATACTCCTGCCTCAGCCTCCTGAGTAGCTGGGACTTGCAGGCAAGTGCTACCGCTCCTAGCTAATTTGTTTTATTCTTAGTACAGATGGGGTCTTGCTATGTGGTCCCTGCTGGAGTGCTGGTTGCTCTCTAACTGGCTGCGAGCCCCGGGGTAGGCACACTGGTACTGGGGCTATAGCAAAATCCGTGCTCGGTAAATCATCATTGAAGGAGCAAGGGTGCTTTACAGTTGTAGAATCTCATAGTACACGTTACTTTGGTTTTTCTCTTCCCAGCTCTGGAGTCCTGGGATCCAAGTGTGAGCCCCATGTCTGCAAAATGAGGCTAGTCACTTGAATCCTCTTGGATCTTGCTTTCCTCATCTGTTAGTGAGCTTGTAGATAGCTCTGACTGTCACCAGGCTTTGCTCTGAGCACTCTGCATCTGTATTCAACCTGTATACTTAATCTTCACAACAGTTGAGGTGGTTGATCCATAGTAATTTCTCGTTGTACAAACGGAGAAACTGAGGCAGAGAGATAAGTGTCTTCCCAAGGTTAACAGCTAACCAGTAGCAGGGCACGCTGGGATTTGAAAGACTCTCTATGTGTCCTAACTGGTATGCTCTCCTGTCTAGAGGTGATCTCTTCCTCCAGGGTTCCAGGTAGATTGGTTGAGATGTGCAATGCGGAAGAGCCTCGGGATAAGTCGGCTAATGACACCCTCAGGCTACCCAGCCCTCGGGAGCTCACAGCAGAGCAGTTGGGGATGCCTTGCAAGGTTACCTGTGCCAGAGTTCCTGGGGTACATATTAAATAGGTAGGACCCAATACTACTTTGCATTTTCCTGGAATCCTAGACTCTTAACATTGGAAAGGATTTCTTTGCCAAGTAATTCGCCCTCATCATTAACCTCTAAGAAATGCAGAGGTGGAATTAGAAGGTGCGTGTCTCTTTCTTTTGCACCACAGATTCTATCGAGTCTCATCTGGCAGCTTCAAGGATCATCCGCATTCTTTCATCTTCATGGAATGTCACTAGATTGAGATGATTCTAAGGGTGAGGTCAAGCATTTGGAGTTTGGAACTCTGCCTTTTGTAGAGATGCTCCCGTGGGACTTGCCCTGCACCCAGTTCAGCTTGCTTGGGATGCATCTGCTGAGCCTGGAAGAGAAGTATGGGTTCAAGGCCAGCGGTCCAGCACTCCCACAGACCTGATCTGTAATAGGGAAGGGTTGCCTCTGTGTGGGTTGGGAGTTTAATCAGCAAGAGTGGATTAGCAGCAGGCTCATTCTGTTTACTCCAGTAGGTCACGGGGCCAAGGGCAAACATACACCCCTCCCAGCCCAGAAACTGATAGCTGCAAAGTTGCACACCCTTCTCCCCAAATTGACAAATATGGTTTTCATTGTTGGAGTAATAAATTATGCTTTTTAAGGATAAAAATGTTGCCCAGCTGTTGAGTGGTTTAAACTTCCAGATGTTCCTCTGCTCAGTAATCAGAGCAGGATGCATGATGGGATCTCTTTAAAAGTTGATGAACAGAATGGTTCATTAAATTTCAACAATGTGCCTGGAATGCCAAGGGGAGGTGTAGCATCTCCCTCGAGGGAAGGAGGTACACATTTCCTAGGGTGCTTGGGTGAAGAATTAGCAAGCAGTAACTGAAGACCAGTTACTGGTCAGGCAGGGAAGCCCAAGTTCTGGCCCCTGCTGACTGTGTGACTTTGGGCTGAGCAGTTGGCCTCTCTGAGTCTTAGGTTTTGTTTTTTTTTTTTCTTTTGTGTTTTTGAGATAGAGTCTCGCTTTGTCGCCCAGGCTGGAATGCAGTGGCGCGATCTTGGCTCACTGCAACCTCTGCCTCCCAGGTTCAAGTGGTTCTCATGCTTCAGCCTCCCGAGTAGCTGGATTACAGACATGCACCACCATGCCTAACTAATTTTTGTATTTTTAGTAGAGTTGGGGTTTTACCATGTTGGCCAGGCTGGTCTTAAAGTCCTGGCCTCAAGTGATCCGCCCGCCTTGGTCTCCCAAAGTGTTGGGATTACAGACATGAGCCACTGCGCCGAGCCTGAGCCTCAGTTTCTGATACTTGCAACTGGGAGCATGTTTTGAGAGCTAGAGAAAGTATTGTTGTCTTGTGTAACATGAAAAAAGCTGTGCGGATACTAGCTAAGATCAATGAAAGGTTATCAAACTCAATCTGATGGTGAAAGAAGATACAGAGATCAAGCCCGTCCGCATTTTTAACGTGGGGACACTGAGGCCCAGGAAACTTGGGGCTTCTTCAAGTAGTAGCTAGGCCTGTGCTGTCCCATATGGTAGCCGCTAGCCACTAGCCGCATGTGGCTATTGAGCAGTCGAAATGTGCGAAAATTCAAATTAAAATATGTTGTATATGTAAATTGCACAATGGATTATAAGACTCAGTTTAAAAAAAAGAAAAAATTCATAACAACTTTTGAAATATTGATTACATGTTGAGATGATAAGATTTCGATATACTAAGTTAAATAAAACATTAAAAATGAATTTCACCTTTGGTTTCTGCTTAGTATTTTTTAATGTAGCAACTAGAAAATTAAAAATTACTGCCGGGTGCGGTGGCTCACGCCTGTAATCCCAGCACTTTGGGAGGCTGAGGTGGGCTGATCACGAGGTCAGAAGATCGAGACCATCCTGGCTAACACGGTGAAACCTCATCTCTACTAAAAATACACAAAAAATTAGCTGGGCATGGTGGTGGGCGCCTGTAGTCCCAGCTACTGGGGAGGCTGAGGCAGGAGAATGGCGTGAATCCGGGAGGCGGAGCTTGCAGTGAGCTGAGATCGCACCACTGAACTCCAGCCTGGGCGACAGAGGGTCTCTGTCTCAAAAAAAAAAAAGAAAGAAAATTAACAATTACATGTGTAGTTTGCATTATATTTCCACTGGGCAGTGCTATGCTAAACTGTGACACAAACGGTGGACTTTAGAGTTGTGCAGGGTACAATCTGCACGGCCATATGTGGCAGGCCTACCAGGTGTGGATGAGGCTGTCTGGGTTCGAATCCTGGCTCTACCAGTAATCAGTTGTGTGGTATTGACTAAATTGTTTAAACTCTCAGAGCTTCAGTTGTTCTATCTGTAAAATGAGTATTGCAATAGTGCATGCTTCATAGAGCTGTTGTAAGGATTAAATGAATTAGTGCATATAAAGTGCCTAGAATAGTGTCTGGCCCGTTTTAAGAGCTCAGTGAGTCTTGGTTGTTGTAGTTGTTACTTTAGTGGTTGTTTTTTAGAACCTGAGGACACAAGGATGGAAAGACTCAGTCTGTCTGTGGCAAACCACGAAAGGAAAGATTAAACAATTCAATGCAGGCTGGGTGCAGTGGGTCACACTTGTAATCCCAGCACTTTGGGAGGCCAAGACGAGCGGATAGTTGAGATCAGAAGTTCTTGACCAGCCTGGCCAGCATGGTGAAATCCCATATCTACTAAAAATACAAAAATTAGCCAGACGTAGTGGCGAGTGCCTGTAGTCCCAGCTACTCGGGAGACTGAGGCACAAGAATTGCTTGAACCTGGGAGGTGGAGGTTGCAGTGAGCTGAGATCACGCTACTGCACTCCAGCCTGGGCGACAGAGCAGGACTCTGTCTCAGAAAAGAAAGAAAGAAAAAATAAATTCAATGCAGTGATTATTAGAGGGGTAAGTCCATCGGGACAAATCAGGGGGCATTCCCACTGAGGCAGGACTTGAGATGAATCTCGGAAGCAGAAATGCTGAGCTTGTTGGGCTGGCCAGAGATAAGAAGGACATTGTGGGCGGGAGAAACAGCACCTACAGGGCTGAGATGGATGAAAGCTCAGTTCAGTCTGGGAACTGCAGAAACTCAGTTTGCCTGAGCAAACTGCAATGTGGCAAGTGGGAAATGAACCCAAGCTAAAAGAGGACAGCAGCTGGGTGTAAATTTTGTCCTGTAACCCATGGAGAGCCAAGAAGGATTTTGAGCCAGGGAGTGACATGATTGGATTTCATGATCAGATCATTCTAACTGCTTTGAGGAGGTTGTCTTGGAAGGAAAGCAAGAGTCTTTGGCAAGAAGATCAAGAGAAGAAAGATTGCTATTTCCAAAGCTCAAGTAGTGTATTTTTCATTGTTGTTGTTAAAGTTCAAAAGTCTTTATATTGAAAGTGGCACGTATGCTATGATCTCACACCTGTAATCCCTTCCCAGTTTATCTGCATGAGAAAAGCGCTTGGAATGGTGCATATCTAAAGGTGGTTTCTGCTCAATGGGGATGTGGATTCTTGTGTCAGGTTGTTGGGGAGGCTTTAGGCTGTGGCTGCCAGCCCATCCCACTGACAGCCAACTTCATATGGATGCAGAGCTTTTTAACCATATCAAAGAGAAGGATAGGAGCTTAAAATATGAAACTCCTGCTTTTGATATGCTTAAATTCTGGGTCTGATATCTTTTTGAAAGAATTAGGTTTTTAATTGAAATAGCACATGCATATATTTAACATCAAATGGGTAAGGCTTTTATGGAAAATCCAGATTCCCCTGCCCTTTTTCTGCCTGTCCTTAGCCCTGTTTCCCAGAGTGAATCAGGGACAGGTCAGTACCTCTAAAGAATAAGCTCATGTTGCTCCTTGTCTGTTGACTTAGACTTCTGGACCCTCAGCAATGTCCCGGGACTCACACTGGGGGAGGCAGGGAGACCAGCATGCCCCCTCTTGCCACTTGTACTTCCCATTTTCCCCCTGGCAAGGTGTGGAACATTTATACTCCCACGCCCACACTTAAGACTCCTGTGCTTTATCTGCAAGGTTAATTCCAACAATTGATAAATGGATGAACAGTGTTTACATTAAGAGGCTTGTCAATGGCCTTCACTGCCCGTCGAAGCAGTCGGCTTTGATCACATGTCCTTTGTGTTCAGCTCTCTCTTTGCCCTCAGCTTTCTAATCGCCCTTTAAGGGGCTATCTGAGGCTGGGTGAGGTGGCTCACGCCTGTAATCCCAGCAGTTCAGGAGGCTGAGGCGGGAGGATCTCTTGAGCCCAGGAGTTCAACACTAACCTGGGCAACAAAGCGAGAGCCTGTCTCTACAAAACATTAAAAAATTAGCCATACATGGTGGAGTGCGCCTGTGGTCCTAGCTGAGGTGAGAGGATTGCTCGAGCCCAGGAGTTTGAGGCTGCAGTGAGCTGTAATTGCACCACTGCATTCCAGCCTGGGTGACAGAGTGAGACCCTATCTCAAAAAAAAGGAACTATCTGGCTTCATCCTAAGAGTAGTTGCATTTTAAACTCTCAGTCAGCTTCTTTTACTGTAAAATGGGAATAATAATTAACAGTCTAAATTCCTAAAGTGATTATGAAGGCTGAACAGGTGATGCCTGTTCCTCAGGCCCCTCCCTTGGGGCCCCTTCAGCCCCATGTGTCCCAGGCTAATCTCAAACTCCTGGGCTCAAGTGATCTGCCTACTTTGGCCTCCCGAAGTGTTGGGATTACAGACACGAGCCACCACTCCCAGCCAGGTTGCTATTAAATTTTACCTTTTTATCCAGGAGCGTGGGTCATCATTTCTTTCAAATAATGCTTCTATTTATGAGATTTTTCTTTGTAGAAAATGTGGGAAATGTTAAGAGTATAAGGAAGAAAATAAGTCGTGTTAACGCAATTGCTGCATTTTTCTTTTTTTCTTTGCATATTTCTTTTAAACTTGAGATCATGTAATGTCAACAAGTTTATTGGATTTTTCTCCTAATGTAGTATTAGTATTTCCATGTGTTGTAAAGAGCAAGCTTTTAGGTATCATTTTTAATGCAATATAATGTTGTAACATCCTATTGCAATGACAGCTTGTCTTTCTCCCAATTTTATCTGCACTATTAGGTATTAAGAATATTTAATGTGGCCGGGCATGAAGGCTCCTGCCTGTAATCCCAGCACTTTGGGAGGCCGAGGTGGGTGGAACACTTGAGGTCAGGAGTTCGAGACCAGCTTGGGCAACATGGTGAAACCGCATCTCCACTCAAAATACAAAAATTAGCTGGGTGTGGTGATGCATGCCTCTAATCCCAGCTACTCGGAAGGCTAAGGCTGGAAAATCATTTGAACCCAGGAGGTGGAGGTTGCAGTGAGTCGAGATCATGCACTGCACTTCAGCCTGGGTAACAGAGCCAAACACTAGCTAAAAAAAAAAAAAAAAAAAAAAAGAACATTGTGTATTTTCCTCTTTTAAATAATGTTGAGATGAGTGTTTTGGTGTATATGTCTGTGCATGTGTGCACATATGTGTGCAGAAACCTATAGGATAGATTTCTGCAAGAATTATCAAGTCAAAGGTTCTAGACATTTTTAAGGCTCTCAATGCATGTTGTTCAGTTGTTTCCCCATTTGGTTACACCAAGTTACAGTCACAAAATTACACCAAATATTTTTTCCTCCATGGAGTTGCTTTCTCATGAAATTGGGTTTCTGAGGCCAGGAAGACTTGGGTCTTGTTGAGGTGAAGGGGATAATTCTTCAGCATTTGTCACTATTTTTCACTATCATTTTGAGTTTGATTTAAATAGCACAGTTTGCTGCGTGGAAAATGAGAGTAGCTTTGAAGGGGCACAGCTTTGAAGGGCACACAGTAGATGATGACATCTACTTCAGAACTCTGGCTGCTACGTGGGGTACGACCATGTTGCATTTTCAGGATGCTTTAGTGGAAATCAAAAGCATGGGATGCGAATGCAAAACCAAAGGGCTTAGGTTCTGCATCTGACATATGTGGCTAGCTGTATGTTCCTAGCCGCGTCACTCAACCTTGCTCAGTACATACCTTCTTCATATGGCGTGCATCTCTTCCTCAGCTATATGGGTGTCCTCGAAAATGCTGAGCATAAGAAAAGTGCATTTGTATCCTCTTTATTTATTTATTATTTATTTATTTTTTGAGATGGGGTCTTACTCTGTTGCCCAAGCTGGAGTGCAGTCGCACAATCATGGTTCATTGCAGCCTCAAATTCCTGGGCTCAATGGATTCTCTTGTCTTAGCCTCCTCAGTTGCTGGGACTACAGGAGTGTGCCACCATGCCCAGCTTTTTTTTTTTTTTTTTTTTTTGATAGTAGAGATGAGGTCTTGTTATGTTGCCCAGGCCAGTTTCGAACTCCTTGGCTCAAACAATTCCCCCTCCTCTGCCTCCCAAAGTGCTGGGATTATAGGCATGAGCTACCGCTACACCCAGCCTATCCTGTTTACCTACAACTTGCCAGTAACCTTGGGCAAATTGCTTGGCCTCAGGATCTTGGTTTTGTTTTCTGTAAAATGGGAATAATAATAATAATAATAGTCCCTAATTCCTAAGGGGATTGGGAAGGTTGAACAAAGTGCTTCCGCTAGATTGCTTGACCTGGTGCCTAATCCTGGTGATTTCTCGTAAAAATCAGTTGTTCTCACTAGTGGAGTCCACCAGACCTGATGATTCCCCAGCGTTGAGTTCAGCCAACCTGCACTTTAGTTCTTCAGGCTGGTTGTATATGGCTGGCTAGATTCATCGTTTGGAATCTTCAGAGTCAGAAGGGACCCATCCAAGTTTGTCACTCAATGGATGACAAAGTAAGGCTCCAGATGGTGAGTGTCTATTTTGGAATTTCATAACTGTTTCCATTTGTGTGTAAAGGAGGATAACACACACAGACTTACATATACACACAAGCATATTTGCATAGGCTGGATTTGGAAGGGTGCACAAAGAAAATGGTCATAGTGGCTGTTGCTAAGAGGCCACCCGGGAGCTTTCTGGGGCCAGGAGAGAAACTTAGCCTTGACTGTATGACTTTTTTACAGTCCTGTTGGAAAATTTTACCATGTGTATCTTTTAGTTCTTCAATTAATAAGCAATGAGTTCTTAAAATTCACCAGGTAGTAAAAGATCTTTGAAAGCCAATCCTGCTTCTTAATGCAAGGAAAGAATCCCTGGGAGTATGCAAAATCTCTGTTGGTTTTGTAGCTGTCTATCTGAACTCACGTGCCCTGGATCCTGGCCACAGGGCTTTCTTTTTCTTTCTTTCTTTTTCTCTTTTTTTTTTTTTTTTTTGAGATGGAGTTTTGCTCTTGTTGCCCAGGCTGGAGTGCAGTGGCACCATCTTGGCTCACCGTAATCTCCGCCTCCTGGGTTCGAGCGATTCTCCTGCCTCAGTCTCCCAAGTAGCTGGGATTATAGGCATGTGCCACCATGCCCAGCTAATTTTGTGTTTTTAGTAGGGACGGGGTTTCTCCATGTTGGTCAGGCTGGTCTCGAACCCCCGACCTCAGGTGATCTGCCTGCCTCAAGCCTCCAAAAGTGCTGGGATTACAGGCGTGAGCCACCACACCCGACCTAGCCCCAGGGCTTTCTAACACTCACATGGACTGTCTGCTGTCTCTTGCTGGCCTCCCAGTCTGTCTCCAGAATATGTTAGACTGAGTCCTAGACACTTAGCCTCTGGTCCCCTGGCAGCCAACTGCTCCTCTGGTTCACCCCCTGGGGCTCCCTGTATAGGGGAGCCATCAGCCTGACTGAGCAGCCCTGAGGCTGGAGTTTTTGGCTTCCTCCTAACCAGCCCCCTTCACGGTCCAGGAGCCTCCCAGCACAGAAGGGAGAATCTGTGCAGCTTGTTCCTTATCCTCCTTTGAACCAAGGCCTGTTCCAAGAACTCCAGGGCCTCTCTGCTTGCACGTCAGGGTTGAGCTGCTCCCCCAGGCCCCATGCACGGAGTTGGCAGCTCCCTGGAAAAATTTCCTTCCCCCTTTCTTTCTGGCAAATACGATGGATTCCCTGCATGGCCCCAGACCATGAGTCTTGAGTTGAGTTCTGCAGGAGCATCTTGCTGGGTGGCTTCAGCAGGGGCAGGGGTGGAAAGCCTGAAGTCCTCCTCTGTCCTGAAAGCCTTTGATCTTCATTCTGGCCCGAAGCCCCTGTGCCGTATTTCCCTCAGCACCGTTGTAACATCTGGTGAGCCAGGCTGTTAGGGCCAAGTGCCTGCTCTTTGGAGGGCATCTAGTTCAATGTGAGCATTTTTTTCTACCCAGCGACCAATTCTGGAAACATCAAAGTGTTTATGAGCCTACTTTTTGTTTCTCCATTCAAAATGAAAATAGCTTTATTGATCCCATGGTGAGGGGTGGGCAGGGTGTGTATCTTCTTGCTGCTGGGATGTTCTACTTTGTTGGACAGAAGGCTATGTGCTTTCTGGCAGGTTACACCTGGGTACATTTCAGTCAAGCCGAGCTGGCTCTCTCCTCATTTCATTCTCAAAGTAGATCTCTTGCTAAGGGCTTCTTACTGAGTGTCTAGTTCCTTGTTGTACAGGTGAGGGAAACTGAGGCCCAGAGTGGATGTGACGTTTCCGAAGGAGAGGCTCTGTAAAGTTCTGAGTAGGTGAGACTTATTATTAGCTGCAAATAACAACAACAATAATTAGAAGAAGAAGCATCTTCTGCCCTAAATCATGGGGCTTTTATTTTTCAGCTGGATGGTGAAGCTTAGTGGCCTCTCCTTTTCTCTTCTTGGAAGCACAAGCCCTGTGTTGTTTATATTTCTCTTTGGCCAGAGATGTATTTTGAAATTTAAATGATAAAGCAAACAAGTCCTGTTTTCACTGACGCTTTAGAAAACTTGCATGAAACCTCTTCACGGTGGTTTTGGGAGCCAAGCGAGGCCAGGTTTTTCTATAAACGTGGGGAGAGGGATGTTGAGGACAGTCCATCCTCAGAGAGTGAATGATTGCATTCATCTTGATTAAACTCAGTGAATCCGTGAAAGGATGGTGCAGGTCCGCCCCCCCAGACTCATCCTTCCATGTGTGTCCTCGTGGCCAATTTGTCTTTGCACGGGATGGAAAGCTGACGAGATGGACTATTTTTTTCCCCTTAAAAATAATTACATGCCAGATGCTCGTTCCAAGTTCTGTGCCTCCACCAGTTAAAGATTTTTGGATCTTTTGCTGAGAATGCTTGTTCAGAGGTAAACTTGTTAGCATCTGAGACAAGCATAATAATAATGATTCAGGTCAGGAGCTACAAAGGACTCTGTGATGAGCAAAAAATAATGATTGAGCCTGGCGCGGTGGCTCACGTCTGTAATCCCAGCACTTTGGGAAGCTGAGGTCAGGAGTTCGAGACCAGCCTGGCCAACATAGTGAAATGCTGTTTCTACTAAAAATACAAAAAATTAGCTGGACGTGGTGGCAGGTGCCTGTAATCCCAGCTACTAGGGAGGTCGAGGCAGGAGAATCACTTGAACCTGGGAGGCAGAGGTTGCAGTGAGCCAAGATCACGCCATTGCACTCCAGCCTGGGCAATAAGAGTGAGACTCCATCTCAGGGGAAAAAAAATGCATATTGCATAAAATAAAACCTTATATATATTCACACACATGTGTATATATGAGATGGGGTGGTCCTGTACATGACAGCTATGGTTTTAAGGCCCCAGTGCCTTTAAGTTTGTTCTTGAAATGGTTGGTAGCCAGTTCTTCTCTCCTTGGCTTCCCAGAAATCCTTTCCAACCCAAGAGCGTCAGAGGTACTTTAAGTAAGCAAGACTTTCAGGTGTTGCTTCTCTGGCCTCCCTCTTTCACATCTATTCTATAAAAAGAGGGTGGCTGCTCAGCCCAATGTAAAGAAAGCGCTTTCTGAAGTTGAATGAGTTTTACATTTCAGCTCTGCCAGTGTGGCAGTATGAACTTGAGAAAGAGACATCCCCTCTCTGACACTTAATTTCCCATCTGTAAAGTGAGATCCACAATTTTACCTTTGCGGGTTGGCACATGGACTGGAGACAATATTGGTAAGATGCTGTGTTCATTTCCTAGGGCTCACATTACAAATTAGCAATGGGCTCCTTTCAACAACAGATATTTATTCTCTTGCAGTTCTGGAGGCTAGAAATCCAAATTCAGGGTGTCAGGAGGGCCATGCTCCACATGAAGGCTCCGAAAAATAATCTCTTCTTGCCTCCTCTTGGTTTTGGTGGTTGCTGGCAATCTCTGGCTTGTGGCTGCAGCAATCTGCCTCCATCTTTACATAGCCTTCTTCCCTCTGTGTGTCTCTGAATTCTCTCTTCTTGTAATAATGCCAGTCATTAGATCCAGGGCCCACCCTGATCCAGCAGAACCTCTTCTTTACTTAACTAATTACCTGCAAAGACCCTATTTCCAAATAAGGCTACATTCTGAGGTTCTGAATAGACATGAATTCTTGGGAGCAATCAACCCAGTACAGATGTCTGGCATTTTATTGCAGACAACATCTGGGCAGATGACAGCATCTGGTATTTTTATGATTGTCACTTACCAGAGGTATGGATAGACATTTCTTGAAGAAGATAGGAGCAAGCCTGATTATTTGAGGAACACGAGGGCCAGATAGCAGAAGTGGAGGGAGAGGTGTGGTTGGCTTGGCAGGTGGAGAGGGGCAGGGATGGAAGCAAGGAGCTTGCTATGTGGGGGTGTGGGAGTGGGGTTGGGGAAACCATATTGCTTTATTTCAGGAGAGAGTGATGTGGCCTGTGTCTTGGTGGTAGCAAAGAAAGCGGAGAGAAAAACGTAGATTTTACATTTATCTGGGCAATTGTGCCAATAGGACTTGCACACGGATTGGATATGGAGGTGAGAAAATAAGGGAATCAAGAATGACTCCTACGAGTCAGGCTGGGTGGTTCATGCCTACTATAGTCCTAGCACGTTGCGGGGCTGTGATGGTTAATACTGAGTGTCAACTTGATTGGATTGAAGGATGCAAAGTGTTGTTTCCAGGTGTGTCTGTGAGGGTGTTGCCAAAGGAGATTAACATTTGAGTCAGTGGGCTGGGGAAGGCAGACCCACCCTTAAGCTGGTGGGCACAATCTAATCAGCTGCCAGTGAATATAAAGCAGGCAGAAAAACATGAAAATGCAAGACTGGCCTAGCCTCTTAGCCTACATCTTTCTCCCATACTGGATGCTTCCTGCCCTCAGACATCGGACTCCAAGTTCTTCAGTTTTGAGGCTTGGACTGGCTCTCCTTGCCCCTCAAACTTGCAGACAGACTATTGTGGGACCTTGTGATCGTATAAGTTAATATTTAATAAACTCCTCTTTATATACATACGTGTGTGTGTGTGTGTGTGTGTATATATATATAGATAAAACTCCTCTTTATATACATACGTGTGTGTGTGTATGTATATATCTATATCTATATCTATCTCTCTCTCTCTCTCTATATATATATATATCTCCTATTAGTTCTGTCCCTCCAGGGAACCCTGACTAATACAGAGGCTGAGGCAGGAGGGCCGTTTGAGGTCAGGAGTTCAAGACCAGTCTGGACAACTTAGAGAGACCTTGTCTCTACAAAAAATTAAAAAAAAAAAAGAATGACTCCTAGGTTTTTGGCATCAGCAACCTGGCAGATGCTGGTGTCTTCAATGGACACGGGGAAGATGGGCAGTAGATTGTGGGCGCAGAGAGTTCTGTGCAGGCATGTTAAATTGCAGATGCCCATTAATGGCCACAGGAGATGCCAACTAGGTACTTGGCAAAGTGAGTCTGGGAATTGAGACCATCATGGTAGGAGATAGCATTTGGAAGATTTTGGCAGAGGTGGGATCCAAATCCATGGGAGTGGAGTATAGATAGAAAAGTGGACATAGGACTAGACATGGCCACTAGTGGTAGGGGTAGAAGTTGGGGAGCTGGAAAAGGTGATTACAAGGAGCCACTGGTGAGGCAGAAAAACATGCCGGGAGCCTAGAGAAGGAAGACCTTCTTAAGGAAGGAGGAGAGTCATCACTTGCAATGTTGCTAAGAGGTCGGGTAGAATGAGTCACACAGAAGTGACTGTTAGATTTGGCATCAAGGAGGTTGTTGACTAACTTGGCAAGAGCGCCTCATGGGAGCAATCAAGAGGAAGCCAGTGACCAATGAAGGTGACTGCTCTTGCGTTCTGCTCTCTCTTCATTGCCTTTTGCTCTTTGCTTAGGCAAATCAGTGTCTTCAGTAGGTTCCTTGAAGGCTAATGTCACCATTAGTATTTACCTACCCATTAGCTCATTTGATTCTCAAAACAACATCTTTGCAGAAAAGGCTGGGCAGGGCAGGCAGGTATTATTCCCATTTTACAGATGAGAAAGCCACAACTTAAAAACGTCAAGTGTTTTTTTTTCAGGCTGTTTCTTAAAAGTAAGAGTTATGTGTCAGGCACCCCTCCTCCACCCCCATCTCGGCATACATCCCAGTGTTTTGTGGTTTGCTACATTTCTTGGTTTTCTTAGCTAGATTGTGAACCCAGTGAAGGGAGGATCTGAATGACATCTCTATATTCCCACGCAGAGATAGCAAATGCTTGCCACACTTGTTACTTTCTCTTGGGTACCCATGGCAGGCATCACTAGCTGATCATGACCTTCTCTTCCTTTGAGCCCAGACTCAGCTTAGAATTCTACCCAGCATTCCAGATAGCCTGTCAACCTGCTGACAGATAAGGTATCATCAACAGGCATTTTTACTGTAGTACTTAATGTCATGCCTGGTTCAGCAAGTGGTTTTGTGACTGATTTAGCAAATAAGCATTCTCTGAAAACACAGTGAGTGAGTTCTATGTCACTAGAGGTAATCAAGAAGAGATCAAATTCATGCACATGGCCGGGTGTGGTGGCTCACGCCTGTAATCCCAGCACTTTGGGAGGCCAAGGCGGGCGGATCACGAGGTCAGGAGATAGAGACCATCCTGGCTAACATGGTGAAACCCCATCTCTACTAAAAATACAAAAAATTAGCCGGGCGTGGTGGCGGGTGCCTGTAGTCCCAGCTACTTGGGAGGCTGAGGCAGGAGAATGGTGTGAACCCGGGAGGCGGAGCTTGCAGTGAGCTGAGATCGCACCACTCCACTCCAGCCTGGGCGACAGAGTGAGACTCTGTTTCAAAAGAAAAAAAAAAAATTCTTGCACAATTGGATAAGGTAAATAGAATTCAGGTATTGGGTAAAAGGTTATCCAACTCTGAGATTATCTGATATTCATGGAGTTATTTAATGAACAGTAGTATCTCTTACCATTCTGGAACAAAACAAGAAACCTTTGAGAGGAATCTCCCCCCACCTCCCCAGATATATAGGAGGGGACAGTGGGCAACACTATTATGGCTCCTTTCTTGTTGTCTTGGCCACTTGGGGCTCTGGTCTCAGCCTTTCTGGATTGCCATAATCTGTTGGGCCCTATGGAGCCAAAGGGAGTAAACAGAATAGTACTGTTCTGGGTTGTTGAGGGATTCGGTGAGATTCCCTAGGTAGGTTTTGGTCAACAAGCAGGCATTTCATAATCCTCTCTACCTCCTGCCCTGCCCTGGGGATTGTGAGGATTGTCTGCATTCCTCTGTGGAACTGGAATGTGGCTGCAGTGATGGTGTCTGCAGAGATGTTGAAGCTGCTCCTCTCTCCTGCCCTCTATCTTGGCCTCGCCCGGTCCTAGCCGGGGTAAGTGAACATCAATCCCATGGACAGAGTCTTCTCTGAAAACTGCTTTATGGATTTTTTTTTTTTTCCCAGACAGGGTCTTGCTCTGTCGCCCAGGCTGGAGTGCAGTGGCACAATCTCACTGCAACCTCAGCTTCCTGGGCTTAAGTAATCCTCCCACCTCAGCCACCCGAGTAGTTGGGACTACAGGTGCATGCTATGATGCCCAGCTAATTTTTGTATCTTTAGTAGAGACAAGGTTTCACCATGTTGCCCAGGCTGGTCTTGAACTCCTGGACTCAAGCGATCTACCTGCCTCAGCCTCCCAAAGTGCTGGGATTACAAGCCTGCCTTATGGATCTTAATGTCTTGGCCCGAGGGCATTGGCTCTGCCTGGCTCCAGAGGGATATGAAGCCATTCCTGGGGGACACCATTGTTTTCTAGTTAATATTATCAGTCCTGTAGTCCAGTGATTTTCAAATTTTAGTGTAGTCAGAATCACCAGAAGGGCTTGTTGAAACCCAGACAGCTGGACCCCTCCCTAGAGACTTAGGATGAGGCCTGAGAATTGGATCTAACAAGCTCACAGGTGACACTGAAGTTGACGACCTTGTATCTCACTTTAAGCAAAGTCTTCCCATAGGAACCATTGTTCCTCCCTGCCCATAGGTAATATCTTCTACTTGGGCCCTCTGCTTCCACTGTGGCCTGCTTACAACCTCACCTACACTTATTAACTAGCAGAGTTCACTGAGTCTGCTTAAAACCTTAAACTTCAAACTATACCACAAGGCTACAGTAGCCAAAACAGCATGATACTAGTACCAAAACAGAGATATAGACCAATGGAACAGAATGGAGGCCTCAGAAATAATACCACACATCTACAACCATCTGAACTTTGACAAACCTGACAAAAACAAGCAATGGGGAAAGAATTCCCTATTTAATAATGGTGTCAGGAAAACCGGCTAGCCATATGTAGAAAACTGAAACTGGACCCCTTCCTTATACCTTATACAAAAATTAACTCAAGATGGATTAAAGGCTTAAACATAAGACCTAAAACCATAAAAACCCTAGATGAAAACCTAGGCAACACCATTCAGGACATAGGCATGGGCAAAGACTTCATGACTAAAACACCAAAAGCAATGGCAACAAAAGCCAGAATTGACAAATGGGATCTAATTAAACTAAAGGGCTTCTGCACAGCAAAAGAAACTACTATCAGAGTCAACAAGGAACCTACAGAATGGGAGAAAATTTTTGCAATCTATCCATCTGACCAATGGCTAATATTCAGAATCTACAAAGAACTTAAATTTACAGGGGAAAAAACAAACAAACAAACAAACAAAAACCCCATCAAAAAGTGGGCAAAGGATGTGAACAGACACTTCTCAAAAGAAGACATTTATATGGCCAACAAACAAATGAAAAACAGAAAACAAAAAACAACTCATCATTACTGGTCATTAGAGAAATGCAATCAAAACCACAATGAGATACCATCTCATGCCAGTTAGAATGGTGATCATTAAAAAGTCAGGGAACAACAGATGCTGGAGAGGATGTGGAGAAATAGGGACGCTTTTACACTGTTGGTGGGAATGTAAATTAGTTCAACCATTGTGGAAGACAGTGGGGTGATTCCTCAAGGATCTAGAACCAGAAATACCATTTGACCCAGCAATCCAATTACTGGGTATATACCCAAAAGATTATAAATCATTCTACTATAAAGACACATGCACATATATGTTTATAGCAGCACTTTTTACAATAGCAAAGACCTGGAACCAACCCAAATGCCCATCACTGATAGACTGGATAAAGAAAATGTGGCACATATACACCATGGAATACTATGCAGCCATAAAAAAGAATGCATTCATGTCCTTTGCAGGGACTTGGATGAAGCTGGAAACCATCATTCTCAGCAAATTAACACAGGAACGAAAAACCAAACACAGCATGTTCTCATTCAGAAGTGGGAGTTGAACAATGAGAACATATGGACACAGGGAGGGGAACATCACACACTGGGGCCTGTTGGGGGATGGGGGGCAAGGGGAGGGATGGCATTAGGAGAAATACCCAGTGCATGCGGGGCTTAAAACCTAGAAGATGGGTTGATGGGTGCAGCAAACCACCATGGCACACGCATATCTATGTAACAAACCTGCGTGTTCTGTACATGTATCCCAGAACTTAAAGTACAAACAAACAAACAAAAAACCTCCACAAAAACCCTATCTCCAGGCTTCCCATTGTATCTCCTGACTTTTTTGAAATCCTGAGCAGCCTGTTCCTGTTGATCGAGTGAATGAGCATTCTCTGAAATTGCAGTGAGTGAGTTCTCCATCACTAGAGGTAGTCAAGAAGAGGTTGGAATCACACACAATTGGATGAGGTAAATAGAATTCATTTGTTAGATAGACTATGCAGGCCTAAGATTGTTTAGTATTCACGGAGTTATTTTGTGAACACTAGTGTCTTCCAGCCTCATCAAGTGGTCCCTCCCTCTGTAGCCCCACATCCTGGTCTTTGATCAGTTCCCTGACACCCTTCCCTGGGCACCACAGGACCTTTGCACTTGCTGGTCCCAGATCCTAGAATGCTTTTTCCCCAGCTTGTTGAAAAGCTGATTCTCATCCTAACTTCAATATCACCTCCTCAGACCACCCCTTCTAATAGACTCATTCCCTAACCTCCATTTCTCATCACTGGATGCTGCTGAATTTCACTGTGGCACCAGTCATAGTCTGTAAAAAAAATTTATTAAATTATTTGGCTCTTTGATTTTGGTGTGACTCCTCCCCTAGAGAAAAGAAACTGACTTTGTCCTTGAACTCTGTGTTGTCTGACACTCAGTGGGTGGTTCATACATATTCTTTTTTTAAAATTAATTTTAATTTTTATTTTACATTCCGAGGTACATGTGCAGGATGTGCAGATTTGTTGCATAGGTAAACGTGTGCCATGGTGGTTTGCTGCACCTATCAACCCATCACCTAGTTATTAAGCCCAGCATGCATTAGCTATTTTTTCTATGAAAGGTGAGCAAATGCTTGTATACAGGCTGCAGAGGGTTAGGTCAAGGCTGAACCATGTAGTCTAAATTTTGGAGTGACTGCAGTGAAGCCCCTCCATGGTGGAAGAAAATGGAATGTCCTTGTTGGAGCTGGCCAGAACTGGGCAGATCCAGAGGCTGGAGGTAATGGCAATAACTCTGACTGCTAATAATAAAATAAGAACGTAAAAGAGTGCTTACAGTGTGTTACAGGCACTGCTTTAAGTGCATTACGTCATTTAGTTTCCACAGTTGTCTCCATGTTACAGAGGAGAGGACTGAGGCACAGAGTATTACAATAAGAAACTTGGCCCACAGTCAGCGAGCAAGAAAGCCTAGATTCATACCTGGGCATATGGCTTCAGAGTCCACACGCTTGGCGCCTGCACTGCACCGAGAGGGGCTGCTGGGCCGGGAGTCCCCCACCTGCTCTCTGTTTTCAAACTCCCCATTTCACACCCATGCCAGGTGTGATGAAATCCTCTAGGTGATGGGCAGTGGACATGAGTGGTTCTGGTTACAGTTGGACTTCACTGGCCTGTCCCACACCTGAGGATATGGATTCTAGCCCATGGGACCATAAGCCAGGCCCCCTGAGGGTCTGTTATTTGTCTGGGAAGTGGCAGCGCTCTTTGGAATCTTGTTCATGACTGACAAACACCCCCACGCCCCTTCAGCCATAATTATCACCTAGTCCCCAGAGAAGGGCCATGGGTGGGCTGACTGTAGAGATAGACGCTTGGGTCTCTGGCTGGGAACACCACATGCAAGAGAAGAGGCCATGGGCTCGCCTTCCATCCAGCTGAAGTCTTTCTGGCCGGGCTGCAGGCTTCATGCAACACCTTTCAACCTGTAAAAGGAAAAAAGAAGGCCGGGGGTGGGCCTCAGCTGCTGCCACTGGCATTGTATCACTGAAGCGTTTTTTGTTGTTGTTTTTTTTTTTTTGAATACCGGAAATTAAGGGGAAATTCGGAAACCTCATAATGGCTTCATGAACCATTGCACTTGGAAAATGTACTTTTGAAAAATTCCCTTGATTTATTGTTTTTCGGAGGCTGTAGATAACATTAGAGTATATTATTCCTATATAATTTCCTGAGTTTTCTATGTCAATTACTTTGTTTTATTAAAGAGAAAAAAGGAACTAATATTGATTGAGGCCCTCCTGTGTGCCAGGCTAAATGGTCATCCCTTTCAGTTGTTAGTTACAAAGTGACCCTATGAAGCAGAGAAGATGAGTATTGTTTAGCGATGGGGAAACGGAGCCAGGGGAGGAACTTGCCCCAGCTCATGGCTAGGATTTGGAATTCTGTCCCAGTGTTCATACTCTTTTGTGTTGTCAGGTATGATCAGCCTATGTACTGCTTCCTTGACTTAGATTTTTGTGGGGTAGAGAATATCAGTTGTAGCTCTAAAGGGGTGTGATTATTTATGATTTTTTTTTTTTTTTTGAGGCGGAGTTTCACTCTTGTTGCCCAGGCCGGAGTGCAGTGGTGCAATCTCGGCTCACTGCAACCTCCACCTCCTGGGTTCAAGTGATTCTCCTGCCTCAGCCTCCTGAATAGCTGGGATTACAGGCATGCGCCACCATGCCCGGCTAATTTTGTATTTTTAGTAGGGATGGGGTTTCTCTGTGTTAGTCAGGCTGGTCTCGAACTCCCAACCTCAGGTGATCCACCCACCTCGGCCTCCCAAAGTGCTGGAATTACAGGCATGAACCACTGCACCTGGTCTCATTTATGAATTTTAAAAATATATGTGTATATGTAATATCTGATTATATATCACATCACAATTTGCTGCAGAGTGAGGTTGTCCTTCCTAAAGTACTTGTCTTGCAAGGCTATGGACAGATACTGGTAATGGAACCTGTGCTCAGAATTGTTGGGAATCTGTAGTTTAAAGGTTTGTCATTTGGAGGAATATCAAGTAAACCCTATGGGGTCAAAAACAAGGTCTAGCCAGGTGCGGTGGTTCATGCCTGTAATTCCAGCATTTTGGGAGGCTGAGGCGAGTGGATTACCTGAGGTCAGGAGTTCAAGACCAGCCTGGCCAACATGGTGAAACCCCGTTTCTACTAAAAATACAAAACTTAGCTGGGTGTGCTGGCAGGCACCTGTAATCCCAGCTACTCAGGAAGCTGAAACAGGAGAATCACTTGAACTCGGGAGGTGGAAGTTTCAGTGAGTCGAGATGGTGCCACTGGACTCCAACCTGGTCAACAGAGTGAGCCTGACTCTGATGATAGTAATAAATAATAATGGTAGCTTCTATTTATTGTTTACTACTATGTGCCAGACACTATTCTAGGTGCTTTTCATCAATTAGCTCATTTCATCTTCGTTATAACCCTATGTTCTAAGTACAGTCATGTACCACATAATGATGTGTGGATCAGCAATGGACCGTATATACAACGGTGGCCCTATGAGATTATAATACAGTATTTTTACTGTACTTCTTCTATGTTTAGATATGATTAGATACACAAATGCTCACCATTGTATTAAGTTGACTCCGATGTTCAGTACAGTAACATGCCATTCAGGACTGCAGCCTAGAAGCAGTAGGCTGTACCATATAGTCCAGATGTGTAGTGAGTAGGCTGTCATCTAGTTTTGTACAAACTCCCTCTGTAATGTTCGCACAACGAAATTGCCTAACGCCGCATTTCTCAGAATGTATCTCTACCCTTAAGCAACGTGTGACTGTCCTATTATCATCACCCCATTTTACAGATGAAGGAGCTGTGGCAAGAAATTGACTAACTTGGCCCAAGGTCACCCATATAATAAAAGGCGGGCTGGGTGCAGTGGCTCGTGCCTGTAATTCCAGCACTTTGGGAGTCCAAGGGGAATAGGATCACTTCAGGAGAGGAGTTTGAGACCAGCCTGGGCAACAGAGGGAGACCCTACCTCTACCAAAATTATAAAAAAATTAGCCGGGCATGGTGGCATAGACTTGTGGTCCCAGCTGCCCAGAAGGCTGAAGTGGAAGGATGGCTTGAGCCTGGGAGGTCAAGCCTGCAGTGAGCCGTGATTGTGCCACTGCACTCCAGCCTGGGTGAGAGAGTGAGATCCTATCTCAAAAATAAAAAATAAAAAAAAAATGAAAAAAAAAATAAAAAAAAATAAATAAAATAATTAAAAAAAGAGCTGGGACTTGAAGCCAGATAATAAGGCAGGCAGAGGGCATACGAAACACCCAGATGGGTCATGAGCCCGTGCATCAGTCAGGGTCTAATGGCTCAGCTGAGGAAGGGAGGTTTAAGGAAGAGACTGTGGACAGAGGTGTTAGGGAAGGTGTCAGAGAAGGTTAAGGAGCCAACATGGATCATGGGGGTGGTACAGTGTTGCCAGGGCTGGGGAGGATTGGCTGCAGTGTGGGGTACCCAGCCGCTGCCATGTGGAGAGGGACCTGTCACTCCTGCTGTGAACTCTCCCTTCTTCTGCCCTCTGACCTCCTGCTGGTGCCTCCCATTGGCTAAACACAGTTGATGGCCAGTGCACTGGGGAGCTGTTCTTGGAGCCCACAGGCATCTGCTTCTTGGCACAGAGCAGACAATGGATTGAGTCGGGAGGGAGGGGAACTAGAGAATACCCAAGTCCCAATGGCTGGAGAGGAGTGAGCAGGTAAAGGGGGTAGAAGGTGAAGTCAGAGAGGCCGGGGTCCACACTACACAGGGCCTTTGGCTTTCTTCGGAAGGAGCAGGAAGCCAGTGGAGGGTTTGAGCAGATGTGTGCATCACGGCCACTGCCATCAGGAGAACGTCTTTCTCTATGCTAGGTGTGAACAGTCACCCCTTCCTCTCCCTTTCTCAGGATGAGTGCTGAGGAGGAAAAGGCCCTTTCCTCCAATGTCTTCAGAGGAGACGTCTGCCCAGTCCAGACTACGTGCCTCATGCCAGCCAGCCTGTAAATGACAGGAAAGAGAAAGGAGCAGTGTCTCAAAAGAGGATATTCTGGAACGTTTGATAATCAGAGCCCATTGTAAAGTCATGTTTTGAGTTACAGCATTTAAATCTTTGTTCCAGTGGAAAACTTTTACAGGCCGTCCTGGGCAAGGCTTGAATCCTGTTTGGATCTCCAAAGGCCTTAAAATAGTGTGGGATGCCGGGAGACTGGCTCCAAAAGGGAGGAGACCTGTGCTGGCAGCCCTGGCCACACCTTGGTGGGACCGGCTCCTGGCCTTGGGGACCCTGCCACTCTCCTAGCTGTGCTTCCGCAGAGCTGGACACACAAAAGCTTTCTTGTCTGGATTTGTTCCCCTAAGAGGGTGGCACCGAACTGGTCCTGCCCATGCAGGAAGCTGGTCCTGTCCAACCAGGGAATGAAAAGTTGGCCAGTATCTTCTCAGGCCACGCTACAGCCAAGTCTCTTTTAATGAGCTGGTTCTCTTAGGATGCCCAGGGGAGGGAGAACACACTTGAGTGGGATGGCGAATGAAGAAGGAAGCGGCTGTTCAGACAGCTTCCAGTTCTGTCAGGTTCTGCTGCTGTGACCAAGGCACCAAGTCATCTGGAAACCCACTGCAGGCAGCAACCTCTTTTTCACCTTTGTGTGCCCCAAAGCTTGCTCCGGGAATCGATGGTTTGGGAAACAATGCTTGCTGTCTTTGAGTCCTCAGTCCTGTAAAATGGGGAAAGTATACATCAGAGGGCATTTGAGAGTAAGGCAAGAAGCGCTTGGCATGTGCCTGGCACATAGTACCTGTTCAGCAGATTCCCTTTCAGCTCAGGGTTAGATCTTCATCCACCTCTTGTTGGCCTGAAGGAAGGGGAGGTAGGTACTATTAGCCCCATTTATTTTATTTTATTTTTTTATTTTTCTTGAGACAGTCTTGCTCTATCACCCAGGCTGGAGTGCAGTAGTGCCATCTTGGCTCACTGCAACCTTCACCTCCCAGGTTCAAGTGATCTTCCCGCCTCAGCCTCTCAAGTAGCTGGGATTACAGGCATGCACCACCACGCTTGGCTAATTTTTGTATTTTTAGTAGAGAGGGGGTTTTGCCATGTTGGCCAGTCTGGTCTTGAACTCCTGACCTCAAGTGATCTGCCCACTTCAGCGAGATTATAGGCGTGAGCCACCACATGTGGCTTATTAGCTCCATTTTATAGGAGGTGAAATTAGACAGCAAGAGGCTAAATGCCATGGCTGAGGTAAGATCTGTGGTAGCATCCAAGTCTTGACCCCAGACTTGGTGTACTTCTCATCACAGATGCAATTTTGTGCCTCATCATCTGACCCAGGAGCTACACATCTGCTTTTTTTTTTCTTCTTTCTGAGACAGTCTCACTCTGTCACCCAGGCTGGAGTGCAGTGGCACAATCTTGGCTCACTGCAACCTCTGCCTCCCAGGTTCAAGTGATTCTCATGCCTCAGCCTCCCAAGTAGCTGGGACCACAGGTGTGCGCCACTACCCCCAGCTAATTTCTGTCTTTTTAGTAGAGACGGGGTTTCACCGTGTTGGCCAGGCTGGTCTTGAACTCCTGACCTTGTGATCCACCCTCCTCGGCCTCCCAAAGTGCTTGGATTACAGGCGTGAGCCACTGCGCCTGGCTAAAGTTGTTATTTTAAAATTATTATTTATTTATATTTGTTATTATATTTTTTATTTATATATATTTTGTTATCTTATTTTTAAAAGTTGTATGGCCCATTTAAACTTTTGCAGAAATAGTTTTTTGAATCCATGGATTTAATGCTTTCCTCTTTAAATTTTTTTTAAGTCAATTTAGAGTTTTTAAGACAAAAACTGGAAAACGGCTTTGCTCTTTTGTGGAACTGCTCTGGATTTTTTTTTTTTTTTTAAGAAAGAATTTTGCTCCATCACCCAGGCTGGAGTGCAGAAGTACAATCATATCTCACTGCAGGTTTCAACTCCTGGGATCCAGTGATCCTCTTGCCTCAGCTTCCTGAATAGCTGGGAATACAGGTGTGCGCTACCGCACCAGGCTATTTTTTTTTTAATTTAAATTTTTTTTGTAGAGATAGGGTCTCTCTTTGTTGCTCAGGCTGGTCTTGAACTCCTGGCTTCAAGCAATCCTACCACCTCAGCCTCCCAGCGAGTTGAGATTAAAGGTGTGAGCCACTGTGCATGGCCTGTGTTGAATTTTTTGTCTCCCCATTCCCAAGTAGCAACTCTGGACTCCACAGAAAGGCCGAGTCTCTCCAAGACCCAGCCGTCTTGGAGGGTCATCTGTCCACTCCTCCAAAGAGGGTGAGACAGGGCCAATAATGAAGTGATCACTGTGCACCAACCCTCCCTCTTGCTTCAGAAGAGACCTTTTCATCCCTGAGCCAATTAATCAATTTCAAGAGATAGCATCTGAGTGAGATGGGTCACCAAGTCACAGAGGCCCTCAGCTCCTGTGCCGGCTCTCAAAGGGGGTTGAATGAGGTGGCCTTAACAGATTGCCTAGTACCCAACTTCCTAGAGTTCGTATAGTAGAGAGCAAGTAGCATAGGGCTAGAAGGCCAGGTCACAATACCCTCTCTGGAGTCTTCTGAATGTATGACCAATAGGCAAGAGCCCCAGTTTCCTGGTCTACAGAAGTGACAGATGGGACCCTACCTACCACACAGGTTCTGAGGATAAAAATAGTGATATGGGCTGGGCACGGTGGCTCGTGCCTGTAATCTCAGCACTTTGGGAGGCTGAGGCGGGTGGATCACTTGAGGTCAGGAGTTCGAGACCAACCTGGGCAACATGGCAAAACCCCATTTCTACTAAAAATACAAAAATTAGCTGAGTGTGATGGTGCATGCCTGTAATCCCAGCTACTCAGGAGGGAACTGCTTGAACCCGGGAGGTGGAGGTTGCGGTGAGCTGGGATCATGCCACTGCACTCCAGCTTGCGCAACAGAGCGAGACTCTGTCTCAAAAAACAAACAAACAACAAAACAGGTAATATGGTTGGAAGAGGTTTATCCTTGCCAAGTTTTTGTAAATCAAACAGCTCTTGAGAGATGCCTGTTTGGCTGTTTTTATTTTTTTAGAGATGGAGTCTTGCTCAGTTGCCCAGGCTGGAGTGCAGTGGCGCGGTCTCGGCTCACTGTAAGCTCCGCTTCCCGGGTTCACGCCATTCTCCTGCCTCAGCCTCTTGAGTAGCTGGGACTACAGGCGCCCGCCACCACGACCGGCTAATTTTTTTTTGTATTTTTAGTGGAGACGCGGTTTCACCATGTTAGCCAGGAGGGTCTCGATCTCCTGACCTTGTGATCCACCCTCTCCGGCCTCCCAAAGTGCTGGGATTACAGGCGTGAGCCACCACGCCTGGCCTGTTTGGCTGTTTTTTTAATAGGAGGTGGGAATCCCTTGTCTTCCTGGGCAGACTAGATGTGATGTGTTCACAGGGAGCTTTGTACAGATTGCTTGAGAGAAGCACCTTTCTTTCCAGAGTGGCTGCTTGGACGATGCCTTCCAAAGCTGCTAAGTCCTGTGGCAGGGGATTGTTGATATTCTTCATGGTTTCTCTGGGGAGCCTCCTAGCCTCTGAATTATTGATGCATGTCTACATTATTATTATTTTTTTTTTGAGACGGAGTCTTGCTCTGTCACCCAGGCTGTAGTGCAGTGGCGCAATCTCGGCTCACTGCAAGCTCTGCCTCCCGGGTTCATGCCGTTCTCCTGCCTCAGCCTCCTGAGTAGCTGGGACTACAGGCGCCCACCACCATGCCCGGCTAATTTTTTTTGTATTTTTAGTAGAGTTGGGGTTTCACCGTGTTAGCCAGGATGGTCTTGATCTCCTGGCATGTCTACATTATTAAAAGGGTCTCTTTGCATGAGTTAGCAGAATGTAGTGCCCTCTCGTGAATGAGAAAAGCCGCCCAGTCCTGATTGCAGCCTCATAATGGGTCTGAAATGACAAGTGTGAAGCAGTGGGCAGAGCCAAGACCACCTTTATTTGTGCATCCGTGCTCTTGGGTGGGTATGTTTCACACAGTTTGTTGTCCTTCTGTCCCTTGCCCATGAGGCCTTAGAAACTCAGCTTGTCTCCACCCATTCCTCTACAACCCACACAACAACTTGTAACCTTTTAATCTTCTTTGCTTCCTAAAGATGCAACTCATGCCACCTCCCCCAGGAAGTTCTCCCTGACTTCCAATCTTTAGAATAGGCTGCCAGAGATCCCTGTGTTAACTGTGAACAGAGCCCTTTTCATCCTCTTGCATCAGAATTCCTGTCTCATCCACTCGACTGAACTTCTTGGGTAGGAATGGAGGTGTGTTTTTTTTTTGTTTTGTTTTTGTTTTTTTGTTTGTTTTTAAGATGGAGTCTCACTCTGTTGCCCAGGCTGGAGTGCAGTGGCACGATCTCGGCTCACTGCAAGCTCCGCCTCCTGGGTTCATGCCATTCTCCTGCCTCAGCCTCCCGAGTAGCTGGAACTACAGGCGCCCACCACCACGCCTGGTTAATTTTCTGTATTTTTAGTAGAGACGGGGTTTCACTGTGTTAGCCAGGATGGTCTCGATCTCCTGACCTCGTGATCCACCTGCCTCGGCCTCCCAAAGTGCTGGGATTACAGGCGTGAGCTACCACGCCCGGCCGGAGGTGTGTTTTACATGCATCTCACTGCCTGGGACAGCGCCTGGAACCTAGCAGGTGTTTTATGTGTGGGGGGTGTTGGTTGTAGTAGTGGGGAAAGGTTTCTTAAATGAGGTGTGTTTAGAATTTAGCCCTTTGCAGGGTATAAAATCTGAGAAATAAGGTGTGTGTTGTGACGAGGGATGGCACTGGGGGCCTGCCTAAAGCACTGGCTTCATTGTGGGGGCTGAGGTGGCTTGTTTCCTTGGAGCTAATGGTCAGAGTGAGGAGCTGGGGACTGAGCTTGGATCTAGATTATTGTTGCATGAATGGCCTAAATGAAGAGTGTTTTCTCAAGTCCCTATAGAAGAGGGAGATCCTCATGGCTTTCAAGGAGTCATGCCCAAGATACAGGAATGGCTCTCTGGTGGACTGGCTGGGACAGAGGGGAGAGGGTGAAAGTGGGGAGGAGGAGGAAGTTTAACAGTATTTGAAGCATTTGAAAGCCTAGACCCATCGTACGCTGAAACAGAGAAGAATGGCTAGCCAAAAATACTGTGTGAGTCTAGGAACTTAAGAATGCTAGTCCTTGACCCCAAACATACTTATATAGCAGACTCAACATTATTGTCTTCCACCTACCGGATGGGATTATGCAAGTGATATGACCCAGAGCATTCTGGAAGCCGGCAGGGGCATAAATAATACATTAGATATGCAGATGAACTGCCCAGGGTGTCTCTGGTCTTGGGAAGAATTCTTAGTAGACCTGAGATAATTGCAGAACAGAGTGTCCTGTTTTCCCATCCACAGCCTCCAGGCCTGGCGAGGATTTTGTGTTCAAAAGAGATTTCCAAGGTGGACATCTCTCTGACACTGGCGATTTTTCTCTCTCACTTGAACAAAACTCGGCGGAAAGGTCACTCCTATTTGTCTTAGCTTCTCTGTCACATCCCACCCACACTTTGAAAGGTCTGTTCTTAGCGGGGTCCCAGGAAGGCTGTGCTGGCCCTGTCAGCCCTGAGCTGGGTGGTAGTCCTTTATCAGAGATACCCATGAGAATCACTCACCCTGGAGCCTTTCCCAAGCACACATCGTGGACCCCTCCAGGGCTGCACATGTGCTTTGTAAGGGCTCTTCAGGTGACTGGAGCTTTAAGAGCTACTGAACTAAGTGGTAATAAAAGTGAACAAAGTAACCAGTCTGGAAATGTCAGTAGAATGGAAAGAAAGAACAGGTGGGAGAGTTCTCCATTTTTTCACGGTAAGACCCGGTTACTTGGCTTTTGTTGAGTCCCTGGTGGGTGTCCATGGTGTCTTTGGCCTTATCTCCCTACTAAACAGGATTACCTGTGTGGGGCACCTTTCCTGGTCTCCTCTCTCTCCAAGGAGCAGGTAGTACTTGGAGGCCGTGGTTAATCACATTTCCTAAGTGAGCTTTTCCTTTCTAGAATGATCCTTGCTCTTACCCTTGCATTCCTACTGCATGTTCCCTCAGGCTGAAGCCTTCCTTTACATGTGAGCATTCTCCTGGATCAACTCCCTGATGACTGGAGCCTGTGCCGTGTGTTTCCAAGTTGCACCCACCACCCACGGAGACTAGCTCATGGCCGAGTGGCAGCTGGTGTAGCTGATAGCTGTGTGGGAAATGGGTCTGCACAATATAAAGACAGCTCACAGGAAAGGGGCCCCAAATGGTACTCTCTTTTTTTTTGAGATGTTGCCCAGGCTGGAGTGCAGTGGCGCAATCTCGGCTCACTGCAACCTCTGCCTTCCGGATTCAAGCGATTCTCCTGCCTCACCCTCCCAAGTAGCTGGGATTACAGGTGCCTGCCACCACACCCAGCAAATTTTTTTTTTTTTTGTATTTTTGGTAGAGATGGGGTTTCGCCATTTGGGACAGGCTGGTCTTGAACTCCTGTCCTCAGGTGATCCGCCCACCTCGGCCTCCCAAAGTGCTGGGATTACAAGCGTGAGCCATTGCACATGGCCTTTTTTTTTTTTTTTTTTTTTTGTTGTTGTTGTTGTTGTTGAGATGGAGTATTGCTTTGTTGCCCAGGCTGGAGTGCAGTGGTGAGATCTCAGCTCACTGCAACCTCCGCTTCCCAGGTTCAAGCAATTCTCCTGCCTCAGCCTCTGGAGTGGCTAGGATTATAGGCGCCCACCACCACACCTGGCTAATTTTTGTACTTTTAGTAGAGACAGGGTTTCACCATGTTGGCCAGGATAGTCGAACTCTTGGCCCCAAATGACACTTTGATAAGTTGCTCTACCCAATCCTAAAAAAGGAAATACAGATAAAAAATACCAACGTTGTATAATACACATGTTGTTGATGCGCTCTGTTGTTGGCAAAAGCTGTGTTGCTGGACGGAATGCAAGTGGATGTGGCCCTTTGGGAAGAATTATGGCCTTTTGGCATTCTCTATCCAAACTACAAAAGCATGTGCCCTTTGACCTGGCCATCTCATGTTGGGACATTGGGATATTTCCCCTACAGAGATAACCTATAGATATTTGTAGGAAAAGAACAGTGCCCAAGGTTATTCATGGAACATTTTTATAAAAGCAAAAGACTGGGAGTAACTCAAACATCTGTGAGTTGAAGACTGGCAAATGATGACACATTGTGCTAGGCAAGATGCGGAAAGGAATAAGGAAGTGCTGTGTGCACAAACACGGGGAGATCTCAGGATGTATTGTTGACACAAAAAGCACAATGTGGAGCGGGGAGTATGGCATGCCATCTTTTCTGTAAAAAAAAAGCATGGGTGTAGAGGGGATGTAAAAATGTGTCTTTGCACAAACTCTGTTAGGATGCACAGGAAACCAACACAAGTGGTGGCCTGTGCGTGGTGGGAGGAGGGAGATGCAGGGAGGGGAGACTGGGTTAGGGAGGAAGATGCATGAAGAAGATTTTTTTTTTCTTTTCAGAGATAAGGTTTCACTCTGTGGCCCAGGCTGGAGTGCAGTGGTGTGATCATAGCTTGCTGCAACCTCAGACTATGAAGGAGACTCTTGATTGCGTATCTTTGGGTATCATTTGAATTTTGAAGCATGAATATATTGAAATCGGGAGCAGCTCAAACATTGAGTATATTATCTATCATACATTTAATTTAAAAAGTTTATAACCTTGTCATGATTAGGCTGGGGTTATGCATTTTTAGGAGGGAGACCCCAGAGGTAAAACGTCAGTTCTTATCACATGTCAAGGTTATGTTCTATTCACGCGACTGATATAAATCCCGGTTGCATATCCCTATAATACACCTGACCAAAGCCAGGTGTGGTGGCATGTGCCTGTAGTCTCAGCTACTGGGGAGGCTGAGGCAGGGGGTTGCTTGAGCCCAGGAATTCGAGGCCAGCCTGGGCAACATAGCAAGACCTCATCTCTCCAAAACCACAAATTTGGCTGGGCGCAGTGGCTCACGCCTGTAATCCCAGCACTTTGGGAGGCTGAGGTGGGCGGATCACCTGAGGTCGGGAGTTCAAGACCAGCCTGACCAACATGGAGAAACCCCATCCCTACTAAAAATACAAAATTAGCCGGGCGTGGTGGCACATGCCTGTAATCCCAGCTACTTGGGAGGCTGAGGCAGGAGAATCGCTTGAACCCGGGAGGCAGAGGTTGCAGTGAGCTGAGATCGCGCCATTGCACTCCAGCCTGGGCAACAAGACCGAAACTCCGTCTCAGATAAAAAACAAACAAACAAACAAAAAAGGCCAACAAATTTGACCAATACTCCTCAAAACTGGAAAAGCTGGTGACCACCACCCCTAGTGCTCCAATAAAGGGCTGTGGGAACAGTTGTGCTCAGGGTGGTACTGGTACAGCCTGGCAGAGGACATGATGCTTGCATAGTGTGGAAAGGCCCTCTGAGATATTGCTGGGCCTTAGGGGAGGAGGTCCAGGCCTAGAGAGGACTGAAGCCCTCCCCAGGGCATGGTGTGGACCACGCTGAAGGGAGGTGGGGTTGGAGACACAGCTGGGAGTCAGATCCCAGGGGCTCTCCTGTGTGATGCTGAATTGCTGGGAAGGGGATGCCAGCTAGTCTCTTTCTCTGTGCCAACCCTGATTGGTTGGGTGGCTGCTGAGAGCCTTATGGTGCCCTGGCTCAGTAGGAAGAGTGTGTGTTCATTTAGTGAGTTTGCCAAAGACAAGGGAAGGGGGTTAGAGAGTAGGTGGCAGATAATGCCGGCCTGGGGATCCTGGAGGTTTTAGGCTGGCAGACCCTGGCTGAGGCTGTTTTCTGTTCTTTTCCTTAGGCCTTGGGAGACCTTTACCTTTTCAGTGCCTCTAAGACAGGGTCAGAGCAGTTTGGTGACAAAGTGGAAGTAAACCATGGGTGAAAAACAGCTCTGGGGACCCTCATAGGCTTCCACTTATTGAGGATTAGGCAGAACTTGCAGCTTGGCCCAGCTTTCGAAACAAGGTGTTCCCAGGAGGTGGAAAGACTGGTTTTCAATCAGATAAAGGTAGGATCCTATGAAAAACTCCTAGGGCCTTGCCGTTCCTATGAAGTGGTAGCTATCATTCACACTCCTAGTTATGCCATCGAGGTAAAAAGAGGTGGAATAAGAATCAGGGACACTTGAAAATAAGAAAAGAGAAAGACTGCGTGCATGTGCATGGGTGCACAGCCTGTACATATGTGTGTGTGTGCCCCTGCGTGCACGTGCATGGGTGCACAGCCTGTACATATGTGTGTGTGTGCCCCTGCGTGCACGTGCGTGGGTGCACAGCCTGTACATATGTGTGTGTGTGCCCCTGCGTGCACGTGCGTGGGTGCACAGCCTGTACATATGTGTGTGTGTGCCCCTGCGTGCACGTGCGTGGGTGCACAGCCTGTACATATGTGTGTGTGTGCTCCTGCGTGCACGTGCGTGGGTGCACAGCCTGTACATATGTGTGTGTGTGCTCCTGCGTGCACGTGCGTGGGTGCACAGCCTGTACATATGTGTGTGTGTGCTCCTGCGTGCACGTGCGTGGGTGCACAGCCTGTACATATGTGTATTTGTGCTCCTGTGTGCACGTGCATGGGTGCACAGCCTGTACATATGTGTATGTGTGCTCCTGCTTGCATATGCATGGGTACACAGCCTGTAACTACATGTGTGTGAGCCTGTGGGTATGTGAGGGGAGTGAGGGACCCTGAGGGACTAGAAACTTCCTTAAAGGCCATTTGAGAGAGTGCTGCTTTCTATACCACCCACCCTAGGGCAGTTAGGCAAAGGTGTGCCTCCCTTTAAGAGGACCTAGCGGTCGGTCTGGTTTACAACATAGGTTATCAGGGAGTAGTACTTTGGCCTGGAAAAGGAACCTTTATTTTGGAAAAGATTTGTAATCTCTGTGGCTTGTTTGATACACATTGGAAACCTGACTGGAAACTCAGGCCACCAGCATCTGTTGGGGGCACATGTTTGCACTTTTGGTTATGATGCCACGGCCCTGGTTCAGGTATCCTAAAGAAGATAATTAATGATGAAAATGATTGGTGTAGATTTCATACCACAGAGCACTGTGGTTTGTATAGTAAGACACAGTGATGGTGTGGACCCATGCACAGCCAGCTTTGCAGATGTTAAGAATAGCGACTTTGCCTGACATAATTGGTGTCTGCACATGGGATTAAACAAGTAAGATTGATGTGAATTTTATTCTTTCATTTTTTATGTAGACTCACTGATTGGGTAACTGTGGAAATAATGTCACAGTGCCTTTTTAAGTTAAGAACATGTAGTTGTGATCAGGAGCGGTGGCTCACGCCTGTAATCCCAGCAGTTTGGGAGGCTGAAGTGGGTGGATCACCTGAGGTCAGGAGTTCAAGACCAGCCTGGCCAACATGGCAAAACCCCGCCTCTACTAAAAATACAAAAAGTAGGTGGGCGCCTGTAATTCCAGCTACTGGGGAGGCTGAGGCAGGAGAATCACTTGAACCCAGGAGCTGGAGATTGCAATGAGCCAAGATCGTGCCATAGCACTCCACTTTGGGTGATAGAGGGAGACTCTGTCTCAAAAAAAAAAATTAAAAAAAAATAAAAAAAGATAAAATGTAGTTATGAAAAGATTTCTAAGCATTTTTAAGCATTTTATATTAAAACAGGAATTCAGAACAAATCAAAACGAAACAATAAAACTGGGGATGAAGGAAACTCAATTTTAAATATAAACTTTGGCAGGTGGGTGGTGAATCCGGGTGTTGTGAGTCATTTGCTGGCTTGTTTGTCACATGGCCTGCTCTATAAGTGTCACCCTAATTGATGTATTCGTTTGGAGTGGGTGCTCTTCTGAGGTTTTTGTTTCCCCCTTTCTTTGGGGTGCACTGTGTGTGCATGGTAAGAACAAGGGCCATGGAATTAGAGAATCTTGAGTTTCTAATGCAAATTCAGTTCCAAGCAGTGTGACCTGGTTGTTTAACTCCTTTGAGCCACCCCCGCCCATGGCCCTCATCTGTACCCTGAGGATAATAGTGTGGGCTTTGCAGGCTTTTGGTGAGCAAGTGAGATGATGTAGCAAAACACCCAGCCCAGAGCCTAGCACCAATTGGTCTGTAATCCATGCTGCACGGACACAGCCATTCTCTGGATGTGGCCTCTTCTGCCTCCACTGTGAGGTCAGAGACTGAGTCACTGCAGGAGTAACCTCTCCTTGGCAAGCAGCGGGAGTCATTTCATCCCAGCCTTTCAGGAGGGTGAATCTGCACCTGGGGTCCAGAGTCTCAGAGATGAGACGTGAGCCAGGCGCTGATTCATCATGATGCAGGCTGTGGAGACTCTAGCCATGGTTTCTCCATGCAGGAGTGAGGTTGGGATAAGGGGTCTTTCTGGGGGCTCTGTGCTCTGTGGCCCCTGCTGCTCCGGACTGGTTCATTGGAGAAACCTGTCACATTCTCTAGACCGGTTGCCACGCCATGCTCACAGTCTCTGTTCTTGCCTTCCTAGGTGGGAAGTGAGTGATGACCCTGAAGTGAGGACTCATCTCTAGATCTCCAAGGGCTGCAGCTCAGCCAGCACTTTACAAGGGTGATCTGGAGCCAAACTGGCCTGTTGGCTGACCATAGGTGACTCTGGGTAGCCCATACCCAGGCTCAGCAGCAGTTGGGGAGCTGCCTCGATTTCTGGTTACAGAATTCCTGGAACTGAGTCACTGCAGTAATTGCTGTGATGAATTGTGTTTACTTTGTGTGGGATTCCAAACTGTAGCAGCAGTGACTACAGCTGGAAGACAGCATGATCAGCAGCTTCCAAGGCAGAGCCTGGCGTCAGAAAGCTGCATTGCGCTAATGCTGAAGCCTGTGGGAGCCTGTTGGAGAGACACTTGGATGTTTAGCGAGCTGGTGACTCTCCTTGTCATGAGTAAGCTTAGGACCTTGGGCAAGTCATCCAAACTCTTCTGGGCAAGTCATTCTCCTGCTTGGATGCCTTGAGGCAGAGAGGCAGTGAGGTGAAGTGGTCAGTGCGTCGACTCTGCCTCTAGCCTGCTGGGGTTTGAATCCACCTGTGTGATGTTGTATGATATTGACCTTTCTGGCTCTCAGCATCCTCTTGTGTGAAATAGGAGATTTTAACAGTATCTATTTCGTAGGGTTGGTGTTTGAATGAGTTAACATATGTAAAGTGAATGGTACAGTGCCTGGCTTCCTGGCAAGATTGCTATCAGGATTAAGGCAGGTTAAGCCCTTGGCACACACTAAGAGCTCAATAAATGTGAGCTGATGTTATTGGTCCTTTATTACTATTCAAGAAGCCTGCCCAGCCCTCCTCCCTCTCCATCCACACAGCAGCCTGGTACCCGCTGTTCTCTAGGTTCTGGACACACGTTATGACATGTTCTGATGATCTGGCTTAGACAGTGGGGCCCTCGAGGTAGGCCCAGAGGACTTGGTCCTCACTGCCTCTGTGGCGCCTTGCACTGGGTCCAGCTGACGTGGAGAGAGACTCAGGAAACAGTGGCTGAGTGTGACTTTGGCTGGCATAGTGGTTGCTGAGAGAACAGACAAGGTTCTCTCTCACGACATACAGATTTCAGATCAGGGAAAGTCCCAGCTGGCATAAGTTTATCGAGCATCTCCCATGGACAAGATCAGCTGTGGGTGGAGCCTTGAAGTACATGGTAGAAGGACAGCGAGTCTTCCCAGGCCAGGGCTTCAAGTGAGGAGACAAGATATAGCCTCCCAGAGAATTCCTATAATGCAATCGTGAAAGAACCATACCCAGCAGGAGGCCGGGGAAAGTGACTCCTGCAACTCTAGGAAGGCTTCCTGGAAGAGGTGGAACGTGAGCAGCATAGGATTTTGAGAGAAGAAATGGAATGGGCTGAGGGAGATTCTGCTGGTGGAGGTTCAGGTTGACCTAAGGGCTGGCAGCAGTGGAGGCCCCCCACGAGTGAGTTTGAGGGGCCTCTTTAGCTCAGTCCAGTTGAGGCAGCAGAGCCTTTCCATAGGGGTGTGGTGTGACCTGAATGTTGGGCACGTGGTCGTAACTGAGCTTTAAAAGTGAATGAGAGGAGCCATGCGTGATGGCTCGAGCCTGTAATCCCAGCACTTTGGGAGATCAAAGCTGGGGGATCACCTGAGGTCAGGAGTTCGAGACCAACCTGGGCAACATGGTGAAACCCTGTCTGTACTAAAAATACAAAAATCAGTTGGGTGTGGTGGTGGGTGCCTGTAATCCCAGCTACTCAGGAGGCTGAGGCAGGAGAATCGCTCCAACCTGGGAGGCAGAGACTGTAATGAGCCAAGATTGTGCTGCTCTACTCTAGCCTGTCTCAAAACAAAAAACAAGAAACAAAAACAAAACAAAACAAAAAAACACTGTCTCAAAAAAAAAAAGTGAATAAAGAGAGAAGAAAGGCGGGGCACGATGCTTTTTAAGTCTACGAGCATCTTATAGCATTGTTTACATCCCAGCTTTTCACTGACCCTTCCTTTACCCCCGCCCCCATCCCGTGGCCCTTGCTCTGTCCTGCCCTTTCTGTACGGCGTTTTCTCTTCCCGGCTCCTCTGCCCCCAGCCCCACGTGCCAACTTGTTTCAGCCTGGCAAGGAGGCCTGCTGGTATCCCAGCCATTTCCTGCCCCAAGGCCGCCCACCCTCCTCCGATCTAGCATGGCCTTGCCCTCCGTAGGCAGGCCTCACCCCTGCGGCAGCCGGGAAGCAGGGCTCCTGTTTTGCCTGTTTACCCTGGCGCAGGGACAGGTAGATCATGTAGCACTGCTGGGATGCCAGCTGCGTAAGTCTCCGGCAGTGGGCACAGGCGGAGGGCAGGGGGCATTCCTCTGGGCTGACTCGAGCCCGGCCTGCCTGGCACAAGACCCCCTGCTCCTGGAGGCAGCTCAGGGGCTTGCTCATGGCTGCCCTGGCTCTGCGCTGGGCCGCTGAGTCATCGCTCAGCAGTGAGGCCTCTGAGTCACAGTGCAGCCCTGGACTGGACAGTGAGTGCCTTGTGGGACCCTCCTGGGCTTTCCTGTCCCTCAGAGCATTTAAAGGGGTCCCAAATTGTCATGTGACCCTCTCTGATGCCAGAGAGACACTCTAGGTCTTTCGCGCCCTGGTCATTTTACAGAACTGTGGCTGGATGCCAGGCATTCAGAGATACATTCCTCAATCTCGGTCCGCCTTACAGGATCCAGCATCGAAGAGTTCAGTTCAAGTCAGCAGCCGAGTTACAGGAAAGCAGCCAGGGCAATGATTCAGCAAGTCCAGGCAGGAGTGAACCAGGCAAGATTTCGGGAGGAGAGGGCTGGGTCGCGTGTCCTGGCAGGGCCACAGGAAGAGCATACACATCTCCTGCGTCTTCGTATTTTGTGAGTGTCTTGAAATGACCTTGAGAATCTACGCAATACCATGAAGAAGCAGGAGCAGGAATACCATTTATCCATTGGCACAGGGTAGCATGCTCAGTGTGCACTGAGGTTGTGAATTCTTGTCCTGACCCAAAGATGCTGATGCTGTCCTTATACCCATTTCACGGTTGAAGAAACTGAAGGTGTAGTAGGAGAAGATACTGACTCAGAGGCACAGAGTTAGAAAGCAGCATGTCTGGGATTTGACCCCAGACCTGTCTGACTCAGTTTACTATTTTAAACTACCCGATTCAAGTTAAGTTTCTCTCCTCTCTCTCTGTCTCTCTTTCTCCCACGTGGCTGCTGGAATCTTCCCTAAGGACCATAGCTGTCTGCAGTGCAGGAAGCCAACTATTAAGGGGAAACAAAAGTGTTCTTAGGAGTCCTGCTGTCACTGTGGATTGAGCCGGTGAAGCCCTGAGGGATTTCATCGCTGAGGTGGATGGAGAAGCAGCTGGGGGCCTTGGCTGTAAGGACCCCTAAGGGTTAGTGTCTGGAGCTTGGGGGATGGGAATGGGTCCCGGTGTGCGGAAATTGGATGGCTCGCTGACCCCAAGGGGAAACCCTTGTTGACGCTGTAAAGTGTCTTCTGGCCTTAGAGAAACCCTCTAGGGTTCAGGTTCCAGCTTCACCCTCCTTTAGTCAGGTGGCTTTGGGGGGGACATTTCTGCTGGCCCTGGCAGACACTGGACTAGAGCAGTGTTTCTAAAGTGTAGCCCCTTCTCTCTCCCGGGAAGGGAGACAAGTGGGTGAGGGGATTGGAATCTGCATTCATAACACACTCCCCAGGAGAGACTGGAGAGCACCTTTCCCGGTGAACTCCCGTCATGTCAGGCCTCAGCAGACTGAGCGGGAACCCCCACCAGCGAGGTTGCTCAGGACAGCGTTTCTCTTGGGCCTGTGTTTGGAACAAGTATCCTTTGAACTAATCACTAACCTGTGAAAATGGATAGACCTCGTGTGAAAATGAAAATGTCTGGCTTCCCTTCTGAGGAGCGGAGGCATGAAAGGTGTGGCCGGTAGGGGTGGGGGCCCCACACCTGTGCAGCCGCCCTGGCCAGAGCCCACAAGCAGCGTCCCCTGGTCATGCCCCACTCCCTTCTCCATAATCTCGCCCCTCCCTGACCAGGCCACCTGACGTTGCCATTTATATTCAAGTTCATTCCGTTGTTATTCTTTTAGAAAAGAGAGATGAGAAATATTTCTTGTGCCTACATCTTTATCAAAAGTAGAGCAAGAAACTTGAGGACTCTGTTTCTAGAAAAATGAGAGTGGGCATCCCTCTTCTCTGAAAGGAAGAATTTCCATACCTGCCCTCTACCCAATGTGTAGACGAAAGGATGAGTGTCCTTTTGGTGTGTGGAGAGCTTTGATGGGGCATGTGATGTGTAGGGCTTAGGGGGTATGCTGGGGTGGCTGGGAAAGGTGGTTGGGTGTCCTGGGAAGGCTTTTATAGACACTGCGTGGCAGGCCTAGGACTCTAAGTGCTTCCAGCCAGCTGTACATACGTATATATTTTTTTTTCTTTTTTTTTTTTGAGACGGAGTCTTGCTCTGGAGTGCAATGGCATGAACTTGGCTCACTGTAACCTCCGCCTCCCAGGTTCAAGTGATTCTCCTGTCTCAGCCTCCCAAGTAGCTGGGATTACAGGCACCTGCCACCACGCCCAGCTAATTTTGTATTTTTGATAGAGACGGGGTTTCTCCATGTTGGTCAGGCTGGTCTCGAACTCCCGACCTCAGGTGATCCTCCTGCCTCGGCCTTCCAAAGTGCTGGGATTACAGGCGTGAGCTACCACGCCCAGCCCCAGCCAGCTATATTAACTCAATGGAATTCTTGTTGAGGACTAAAATGGAGTTTTTGTTGAAGACTAAATAAGTAAATGACAGTGGAGTATTGTCATTATCCCCATTCAATAGATAAGGAAATTAAGGTTTAGAGAGTCACAGTAACTGGTCCTGGCTACACAGCCAGTCAGGAGCAAGGCTAACATTTAGGCCTAGAGTGCTCTCCTAACCGCTATGCCTGGGGTGAGGAGGGAAACCTTCCATCCTTGTGTCATCCCATTTGATATATTAGTTACTGAAGCTGAAGCTAAAATAATCCGAGGGCTGGGCGAGGTGGCTCATGCCTGTAATTCCAGCACTTTGGGAGGCCGAGGCAGGTGGATTGCTTGAGGTCAGAAGTTCGAGACCAGCCTGGCCAACATGGCGAAACCCTGTCTCTGCTAAAAATGCAAAAATTAGCTGAGCGTGGTGGCAGGCACCTGTAATCCCAGCTACTCGAGATGCTGAGGCAGGAGAATTGCTTGAACATGGGAGGAAGAAGTTGCAGTGAGCCAACATTGTGCCACTGTACTCCACCCTGGGATACGGAGCAGGACTCTGCCTAAAAAATAATAATAATAGTAATATAATAATAATCCGAGAGTGCTTACCATGTGCCTACATTGTTCTGGGATACTGAGATGAATAAGACCTCTTTTGGGCTCTTGATGACTTGGTTATAAGAAGAGGCAGCTCGGTTCCCCCAGGGACTCTCAACAGTTAGGGACAGGCTGGGGCATGGTGGCTCCTGCCTGTAATCCCAGCACTTTTAGAGGCTGAGGCAGGAGGATGGAGTATGTCCAGGAGTTTGAGACTAGCCTGGACAGCATAGTGAGGTCCCATCTCTACAAAAAATAAAAAATTAGCTGGGCATGGTGGTGTGTGCCTATAGTCCCAGCTACTCAGTAGGTGAAAGAGGAGGAGATGGGAGAATTGGTTGAGCTCTGGAGTTGGAAGCTGCAGTGTGCAGTGATCACACCACTGCACTCAGTCTAGGCCACAGAGTGAGACTGCCTCAAAAAACAAAACAAAACAAAGCAAAAACAATTAGGTACAGAAAGGGAGGAGCATCCACATTTTCTGACATTGTTTATTGCTTTTTTACCCTCATGTTCTCCCCTCTCCTGGCATTGCCTGGCACTTGGGAGAAGTTTCATAAATATTGGTCGAATGAATGAATGGATATTAAATCATTTGTGTTTTCTTTTGTGAGTTGAAACCGTCTTCAAATGAGTCTTCAAAGTGCTCTGATTCGTATGGTGGAGTGTGATGAAGTTAAACTCTGGGTTGAGAAGAGAGGAAATGTGAGTTAAGGAAATAAAGAGAATGGAGTTGAATGTTCAGAATCTTTGGAGTGCTGTCAGGGATCCATGATTCTGAATTCAGTTATCATCTTTGGTGTGAGAAATCCCCAAAGATTCAAACTTGTCACCAGAAAGGTGGTCTTAGGCTGGGTGTGGTGGCTCATGCCTATAATCACGGCACTTTGGGAGGCCAAGGCGGCTGGATCATTTGAGGTCAGGAGTTTAAGACCAGCCGGTCCAACATGGTGAAATACAACATGGTGTATTTTGTGTCTCTATTGGAAATACAAAAATTAGCCGGGCATGGTGGCGGGTGCCTGTAATCCCAGCTACCAGGGAGGCTGAGGCAGGAGAATCACTTGAACCTGGGAGGCGGAGGTTGCAGTGAGCGGATATTGTGCCATTGCACTCCAGCCTGGGTGACAGAGTGAGACTCTGTCTCAAAATAAATAAATAAATAAATAAATAAATAAATAAATAAATAAAAGATGGTCTTGAGGTTTCGGTTTGGGCATAGGTTACCTTCTGCAGAATGCATGTGAGTGATATGGAGACAAGTTTTAACATGGGCACTTTTTGAAAACAGACATCTTAAATATTGGCCAAAAGGCCAGATGTCAAAGTGGACTTTCTATTTTTGATGGAAAATTTCAAGCCTGTTTTCTGTAAAGGAATGATTATTGTACAAGGATTTCTGGAACTGCAACTGGCCCATAGATGGTGGCCATTATAGTAGTTTCCTATGAAATCTACTAATGTACAGCAAGCAGTTCTGTGACTTTCAGTCACCACTTGGTTTCTTTTTTTTTCTTTTTCTCTTGTGGACTACACTTGAAGATTCTTTTTTTTTTTTTTTTTTTTTTTTTTTTGAGACAGGGTCTTGCTTAGGCCGGAGAGCAGTGGTGCTATCATAGCTCATTGTAACCTTGAGCTTCTGGGTTCAAATGATTCTCCTGCCTCAGCCTCCTGAATAGCTGGGACTTTGGGTGTGTGCCACCACGCTTGACTAATTTGTTTACTTTTTGTAGAGACAGGGTCTTGCTATGTTGCCCAGGCTGGTCTTCAACTCCAGAGCTCGAGTGATTCTCCCGTCTTAGCTTCCCAAAGTGCTGGGATTACCAGCATAAGCCACCACACCTGGCCTGAAGGCTCGTTTGTAATGGCACTCTTAAGTGAGATAAATTGAGTATTTTCTTCCTCACAACCTTCTTATGCTTGTCTGTAGTTGGCTGTCTCATTTTGGACAATTTTGATTGTCGGCTTGGCTCTTCAACTGCCTGTGTTGTTGTATTCTTAGAACACACAGAACAACCAGGTCTGGGCTTCTTATCTTGCGAGGCAGGTGAAGAAAGACTAGGAACAATGTATTTGGGTGCCCACCTCATACCGGCCATGACCTTCTATTGAGGAACAGCAGGTAGATGAAGCAGCTTTCTCATATTACGCCGTGGCTGACTCCAAACTTGAACTCTGGTCTCTGTTTTTGGAGCTTGCTTCCTTCCTACGACCCTAGACTGCTCCTCCTAAATAATTAAGTGGCAAACATGGCACAGACAGTAACCTCACATAAGAAGCTATGAGGTTAGGACAGAAATATCCACTGCTGGCCTGCGAACTATTCACACAGGTCTGACTCCCCGCCAGAGTCCTGGCTGCCCTGGTCCTGTGGAATCCCGTCATGGCTTCTGTCTAAACGGAGCAGGCTCAGGGCCATGCTGAACTTGGAGAAATCTGTGCAGGAGTCAGATTTGGGCTTTAGAGTCACCTGGGGTTGAATCTCGGGCCTGCTATTTATTGAACCTGTCCTAGCCTCAATCGCCTTATCTGTACCATGGGGATGATACCATCTAGGTCGAAGGTAGTTGCAGGAGATTCTCATGCACGGAGGCCCTTGGCCGTCATTTGTTTCTTTGTCTCTACAAGCAGAGAGGCTGAGTCATACAGATCCTGAGGGGAGATCACTTTCTCTTCCCTCCTTTCGTGTGTCATCTCCACCTGGGTGTGGTGAGCCCCAGGAATAATGCTGTGACATCAAGCCCCGTGAACACCTCCTTTCACACGGACCCCGTGACTGGCTGCGGCTGCCAGCGGTGATGAGAACTGATGACACTCCAGGGCTACCAGGAACGGTGTGTGTGCCTCTGGGCAGGGCCACTTCCTAGAACCATGGGGCTGCTCTGTGAAGAGAACCGGCTCCCAGTGAGCTCCAGGAGACGAGGAGCAGGTCCTGGTGGCGGAGGTGCTGGCGCAGGAGGCCGGCTCCTGGCAGAATCGGCTTCCAGCTCTGGGCACTGGGGTGCGGTGTGGGACCAGCAACAGGCTGCTCCTCTGCCAGGAACCGCCAGAACCAAAGTCTTCTCGAAGGCATCTTCAGAAGGCAAGCACAGGGCTGAGCACTCCGGAGAGGAGCCTTTGGGGGAAAACTTTTTCTCGGAGCTTCGGAGCTCAGGGAGTACTATGGGGGAGATTCACTAGGTTGATGCTTTGCTGATAGGCAGCCCTGTAGAGAAGACAAGGCAGCTGGGCATGGTGGCTCAGGCCTGTAATCCCAGCACTTCGGGAGGCCAAGGTGGGCGGATCACAAGGTCAGGAGTTCAAGACTAGCCTGGTCAACATGGTGAAACCCCGTCTCTACTAAAAATACAAAAAAATTAGCTGGGCGTGGTGGCACGTGCCTGTAATCCCAGCTACTCGGAAGGCTGAGGCAGAAGAATTGCTTGAACCCAGGAGGTGGAGGTTGTAGTAAGTCGAGATCACGCCACTGCACTCCAGCCTGGGTGACAGAGCAAGACCCAATCTCAAAAAAAAAAAAAAAAAAAAGGAGAAGACAAGGCGACAACTGTGAGCTTTCTGTCTCCTGTGGAGTTTAGCACTTGGTCAGGTGGCCATTTCTCTCCCTCCTACTCGGTGACCTTCTCAAGGGCAAGGGGCTCCTTGAAGAGTGTCTTTCACATTGAAACATGCACAGAATGGTGGCTTATGACCCATGGTAGAGGCGTGAACTTGGGATGCCACTGTGGACGTGTCCCCAGCCTCCCTCCTCATTGGTGTACTGATATCGTGTTGCCTTGGACCTATTACCTCACCTCTTCCTGGTGATTTCACCTCAATATCCCCTTTCTCCTATGCTTCTGTTTTTCCTTCTACCCTTCCATGTTTTTTTCTCCCAACCATTCTTCTGTATTTTATTCCACCCAGCCACCCTTTCATCTAACCAGCCTTCCACCTAGCTAGGCTTCCAACTAACTATCCTTTTTTATTGAGACAGAGTTTCAAGTGGCACAGTTGGGCCACTTGTTTCTGATGGGAGCCACTTCTCAAACAGGTCGATGACTAGGACTTTGGACAAAAGCATGGGTGCAGGCTGGGCGCCGTGGCTCACACCTGTAATCCCAGCACTTTGGGAGGCCAAGGCGGGTGGATCACCTGAGGTCAGGAGTTTGAGACCAGCCTGGCCAACATGGCAAAACCCTGCCTCTACTAAAAATTGATCAAATATAGATCACCCGTAATTATCACCCATCATTCTGACACTTAGCAATAGTCACCCTTAACATCTTGTTGTCTTGCTTTCAGATGGTTTTGTTTTTGACATGTTTTTTTTTTTAACTTATATTATGACCATCTCCTCTATGTCTTTTAAAGTTTTAAAAACTTGTTTTGAATATCTTTTCCATATTTCATTATGCACCTGTACAGGAAAGGTACTCCATAAGTAGGTTTTTCTTCTCTGTAAAATGGGGAAAATAAGAACCCCTTCTACATGGGGTTGTTGCGAGGATGAGGTGAAGAAAGTTGTCAAAGCCCCTCGCTAGTACCAGGCACAGAGCAGGTACTGGGCGCATGTTGCCTGCTACTGGTATTATTGTCATTGTCATTGCTAATCATCAGCCAAGTCAGTCCTGCGGGGCTTTCAGATTTCCTCTGCTTTTACCTGTTGCAAGGTATAAACCTTTTCATGTGTCTCTGATTGTTTTCTTGGCAGAGCCACCCACACCCCAGGAATTTAATAGGGTCTTGATGCATTCCCAGCTTGCTGTTGAGGAGTATTTAACCAGTCACCACTCCACAGGCAATATTAGGGGTTGCTGAGGCAGCCTCCAATAGTGTGAGCATTCTAATTACTGCAGCAAACTCTTTTAAAAAAATTTTAACTTTTCTGGCTGGGCGCGTTGGCTCACGCCTGTAATCCCAGCACTTTGGGAGGTCGAGGTGGGTGGATCACTTGAGGTCAGGAGTTCGAGACCAGCCTGGCCAACATGGTGAAACCCCATCTTTATTAAATATACAAAGATTAGCCAGGCGTGGTGGCAGGTGCCTATAATCCCAGCTATTCAGGAGGCTGAGACAGGAGAATTGCTTGAACCCAGGAGGCAGAGGTTGCAGTAAGCTGAGATCATACCACTGCACTCCAGCCTGAAAGACAGAGTGAGACTCCATCTCAAAAAAAAAAAATTAACTTTTAATTTTTATTTTTTAGAGACAGGGTCTCGCTTTTTCACCCAGGCTGGATTGCAATGATACGTTCATAGCTCAGTTCATAGTTCATAGCTTAGACCTCCCAAGCTCAAGAGATTCTTCCACCTCAGCCTCCCACAGGTGCACACCACTATGCCCAGCTAATTTTAAAATATTTTTTGTACACATGAGGTCTCACTATGTTACCAGGCTGGTCTCAAACTCCTGGCCTCGGGCAATCCTGGACTCCCCAGATGCTGGAATTATGGGTTGAGCCATAGCCTGCAGCAAACTCTTAAAACATGAGGGGAACTATCTTGTTATAAAGTTGCTTTTCTTTGACTACTGGTGTGGTTGGCCAGCTTTTCATGTTTATGGCTTATTTGTGTTTGTTAACTGGTCATTTCCTTTGGGGTGTTAGCAATTTTTTTCTCATTGATTTGTAAGATCTGTCTTGATTAACTTGTGAATTTTGCAGATGGTGGAACCGGGGTGCCCCACAGTAAGTCCCCTTTGTTAGGCATCCTGTCCCTGGATTCGACACCTCCATTTCTATGGGGGACATTTCTTTACAAATCTGCATCTGATTGTGATACCAAACCATGCTTTGCAAGTGAATACAAGGATCTACCCCATTAATCTGGGCAGTTGCTAGTTTTATTTATTTATTTATTTATTTATTTATTTATTTATTTATTTATTTTTCCGAGACCGTGTCTTGCTCTGTCACCCAGGCTGGAGTGCAGTGGCATGATCTCGGCTCACTGCAACCTCCGCCTCTTGGGTTCAAGCAATTATCCTGCTTCAGCCTCCCGAGTTGCTGGGATTACAGGTGTCCGCCACTGCGCCAGCTAATTTTTTGCATTTTTAGTAGAGATGGGGTTTCACTATGTTGGCCAGGCTGGTCTCGAACTCCTGATCTCATGATCTTTCTGCCTCAGCCTCCCAAAATGCTGGGATGACAGGCATGAGCCACCGTGCCTGGCCAGTTGCCAGTTTTTAATGTTCTCAGGTGAGTGGCATTTGCCAAGGAACTTCTCTCTTCCCTTCTGTCTTCATAAACAAAAAATCCTACTAACTTCAGGTGTCAGTTTAAAAGTCATCTCTTCTGGGAGCCCCACCTTAAACCCCTAAATCAGCTGTTGGCGTCGGGGGTGGACTTCTCCTTTGTTGCACCAATTGCAATTTCTTACTTAGGTGTGTGCTTGTGGGAACATTTTTGTAATATCAGCTTCTCTGCTAAGGACAGCGATCATGTCTCTTTTATCATTTGGTATGTGTTGCTGCAGCACTTAGCACAGTGCTTAGCTTGGAAGCCAAAGCCCAGAGGGGTAGAATGACTTGCTTGAGGCCCCTCAGCTTGGACCTGGCAGATCTGGGACCCGGTGTCTGGGCCCACCTTCAAGCTGGATCCCTCAGGACCCTGTGTACCTGTGGCCAGGGCTTTGCTTTGGTGCCTGGATGAGAGTGGTAAGAGTTGCTGAGGTGCCAGGCCTTTGCCCCCATGCCCGCTGGCATCACTGATTCCAGGTTATTTTGGCTCAGCGCGGATGGAGCGAGATGTAGGGGAAAGGTTGGGACCGGCTTCCAGGTGATTGGCACATCCCTGCCCTAAACCCTGCATGGCTTTCCTGGGCCTGCCATCCAAGGGGAAAGAAGCCTCTTTCCTCACAAGCTGAAGCTTGAAACCAATCAAGCTCCAGGCCAGAGAAGCTGCAGGTGGGGTGTGGTTTGCAGTGGGGGTGGGGCAGGAAAGAAAGGTTACGTGGGGTGAAGGGGTCAGGTCAATTCAGTGTGGGTTGGAATGCTGGGGTCCTGGGTGAGCAGGGATGAAGGACACCTGGGGAGGGGAGAGAGCCTGCCGGCTGGAACTGGGGCCCTGCCAGTCCCCCGCTGCATGAGTCTGGGCATGCTTCCAATCTCTGGGAGCCTCAGCCTCCTGTCTGTAAAATGGAGCTAATGAGGCCTGCCGTCAGGGTTTGTGGGCAAGATTCAGTAACTGGATGCCTGCTCCTGGCCCTTGGCAAGCATTCAATAAATGTTGATTTCTCTCCCACCCCTCGCTCCTTCTCTTATTCTTTTCCTGTTGCTTTTCACACGGACATGTGTTGAATGTGGCAGGATATTTCTTTCTTTTTTTTTTGAGACAGAGTCTTGCTCTGTCACCCAGGCTGGAGTGCAGTGGCGCGATCTCGGCTCACTGCCAGCTCCGCCTCCCGGGTTCACGCCATTCTCCTGCCTCAGCCCCCTGAGTAGCTGGGACTACAGGCGCCCACCACCACGCCCGGCTATTTTTTTTGTATTTTTAGTACATATGGGGTTTCACCATGTTAGCCAGGATGGTCTCGATCTCCTGACCTCGTGATCCGCCCGCCTCAGCCTCCCAAAGTGCTGGGATTCCAGGCATGAGTCACTGCGCCCAGCCAGGATATTTCTAACACAGAGAAATTCTCAGTGGAGGCCGCGGGAACTAGAGATAGAGGTCCTCTTGCCTACCAAAGCACCAGATGGAGGTGACAGAGGCCATCTTGTCCTAGAGGGACCTGGCTAAGAGGATCTAAGACCAGAACTAGTCTGAGTGCTTGGGATTCATATGGGGCTGTAGACGGCAGGCCTGCTTGAACACCAGTGTTCCAATCCCACATCTCATTCTTAGAGCTGTGTGGCCCTGGGCGAGTCTCTTGCCACTATTTCTTCATCCTGAAGTGGGCACCACATTACTGCACCTCAATTTGGACGAGGATTCTCAGGATGGGGAGGTGGTTGAAATCATCCAGGGGTCACTGGAATCAGGATGGTCCTGGCTTTTTCAGAAGGACAAGGTGGTAGGTGCCAATCTGGGGGCTTTGCAGATATTGAACGGCAGCCTGAGGATGGGGATAAACCTGGGTGTGGCAGACAGAATTATGCTTCCCCCAAAGAGGTTCACATCCTGATCTCTGGAACATGGGGATGTCATATGCCATACAGAGAAGGGAAATTAAAGTCACAGGTGGAATTAAAGCTGACCTTAAAAGAGGGAGATCCTTTTAGATTATCCAGAGGGCCCAGTCTCATCACAGAGTCCTTACAAGTGGGCGAGAGAGGCAGAAGAAGGGTTCAGAAACATGTGAGGTGACAAGTAACATTGCTGGCTTTGAGGATGGAGGAAGGAGCCATGAGACAAGGAATAACCGTCCCTAGAAGTTGGAAAAGGCAAGGAAATAGGAACTCCCCCAGAGCCTCCAGGAAGGAACACAGTCCTGCTAACACTCAGTGAGACCCACTTTGAACTTTGTATGTTCAGAACTGTATCATAATAAATGTGGGTGGATTTAAGCCTCTGAGTTTGTACTAGTTTGTTCCGGCAGCCCTAGGAAGTGAATGCAATGGGCGCAGCATTTGATGGCCAGCCTGGCATCCAGCCTGTGGGGAGTGGGAGCTGAGGGCAGTCCAAGGGAAATGTCCTTTGAGTGTGGCACCGGCAGGCAAACCCTTGTTTGGGTGTGATCATCAGTGAGTTGGGCCACTGAAGCTGCCTGGTGACCTGGCAGGGATGGCTTAAGTAGGCAGGGTTTGCAGATCAGCGAGATAAAGGGGCTTGCATAAATTCACATGCCCATGGCTTCTCCCTCTGACAGCGCAGCCCTGCCTCCGGCTGCCTGGCCAGGATGGCGTGTTGGTGCATTAGGGACCCCTTCCTCTCCTGCCCTGCTGTTTAAATTGTTGGTCTGTTGGCGTTCTCAGGAGCCCTTTACCAGTACCCTTAGGCCCCAGACGACCTACTCCTCAAGCTGATCATATCTGCTGGCTGTGTCCCTGCTCTGGGCCCAGCACCCTCATGGTTTTCCATAACACGTATCCCAACTCCTGCTGATGGGACCCTCGTGAGCTGTCTGTGTAGGGAGCATGGCTGCCCCTGGGTCTGCTTTCCTGCCCCTGACCCACAGGAATAGGATGTGGCAGAGTGGGGGCCAGATGACAGAGATGCTGGTGCTCTCTGAGCTGAGGCCCACTGCTGACCTGCTGGTGGCTTGTCCTGCTCTTGGATCATAGGCACTGGGACATCCTGCCTTCCTTCAGTGTCCCCTCCCACTCCCTCTCCTTCAGCATCAGAGGAATGAAGGAGGCCTGGAGGAGTAGCCCCTATCTAATAGAGACAGGAGTGGGCTGGGTGAGCATGGGGTGGTCGCAGGGGGAAGGGGATAGGAGATGGAGAGAGGAACCTGCTATCTGGTGGGTTCCAGGATGGTGACAGACAGTGGCAGAAGCAGTGCAGAGACCTTAGTTTGTGCTGGAGGTTCAGTTAATCACTGGTGAAGGCAGACATCACTGCAGGAGACCAGACTGTTATGTATTGTCTGTGCATTCATATTAGTACACAGGGAAGATCTTGGGCTCCGAGACCTAGGCAGATCTTGCCTCCCATCTGCCGACCCTCCGCAGATGCTACACATTATGCCAGGTAAACACATTATCAAGGAGCCTTGGGCCGTGTTAGAGGAAGGCTCCTTGTGCCTGTGAGGAGTTTGCACTAATGCTATGTGTGTTTGTGTGTAAGGCTTGCATTCACTGATTCACTGTAGAGGATGACTTGAAACCCAAGTCATCAGCTGGGCAGTGCATGGGCTGCTCGCCTGAATGGTGAAGCTCTACCAAGTGGTTTCCACCTAGGGCCTGGCTTAGCTGGCCTCAGATGCCCTTCTCAGTTCTGCTCAAGACCTGCCTGCGGCCTTCCTCGGGCTTGCTTGCCCAGAATGCTAGGAATGGCCAGGGATACTGCCTGGGCATGTGTTTGGCCTCAGCCAAGGTCAGGCTGTCAGGAAGGAAGAAGGGGGAGGGGCACACTTGCCTGGGAGGGTGGAGGAGGAGGGGTCCAAGCCGCCACAGCCTGGCAGTCCTTTTTTGTGCAAAGGAGACCCATCAGCTCCTCTGCCTGGAACACCCCCATTTACTCCTCCGCAGTTAGAGGGGTGGGAGGTGAGGAATTTTGTGAGGGGAATTATCTCTGATCTTGATGTGCACATTCCTCGGCAGTATCCCGGGCTTGGCCAGCTTGCTGACACCTGGCTGGAATAACAATGAGCGATGCTTCTGGAGGATGCTCCGCTGGGGAGGGCTCTGCTGAACCAGCACTTACTCCCTGCTTTTCGATCCTCACTCTGCCTTCCTGTCTGACAAAGGCCGGGCTGTTGGGATGGTAATGCCCTCTGGGCTGGCCTTGATTGAAGGTAAAAAATGAACTTCGAGGATAGCCCCTGTGGCTGTGCAGTCTCATTTTTTATGCAGATATGTTGGGGGATGCAGAGACATGGTGGCGGGTGGGGTGGGGAGAAGGGGACTGGGAAATCTGAGACCTGAAGCTAAGATCTGAGATGTCATCCTTTATGGAGCATCTCCGGATGAAAATGTCCCAGAGGCCCTAGGTCACTCACCCTCTGCCCCCTAATAAAATCACTGTTGCTGCCTCCTGCTGAATCTGAAGTATGCCTTCACTGAGGGCAGGACGTCCATCTCAACTATTATCAAAGGAAAACATAACAAGAGGCAACAGCACAGCCCCCGGGGCATGAGGCTCCTTCCTCTGTGATCCCTCTGTCCTTGTCTGCCAGTGTTTTTTTCCTTGACTTTTAAAATAATCTTTTTCTTATTATGAAATAGATATTTATTTTGCTTAACAAAGAATTCTGTAGTCCTTCTAGAAGCTAGGTAACTCTTCTAAGTCCTTTGCAAATATTAAGTCATTTAATTTAATCCTAGAGCAGTTCTGCGAGGTGGTGGGAAGACCTAGAGAGGTTAGGGTCCACCTTAGCACTAGCTCTCTGAGCTATAAGGCCTCAGGGTCTGTGGCATTCCCTACTCACTGAAAAGAAGGGAATTTAAAACATGAGTTCCACCACCCAGAAATGAAACAGTGTTCATTTCCAGAATCCAGGCATATGGTTGATTTTACCAATTTCCTGTCACTTGAATCACAGTTTTTTTTGTTTGTTTGTTTTTGTTTGAGATGGAGTCTCACTCTATTGCCCAGGTTGGAGTACAATGGTATGAACTTGGCTCACTACAACCCCGACCTCCTGGGTTCAAGCAATTTTCGTGCCTCGGCTTCCAGAGTAGCTGGGGTTACGGGTGCATGCCACCACACCCAGCTAATTTTTTTGTATTTTTAGTAGAGATGGGTTTTCGCCATGTTGGCCAGGCTGGTCTCCAACTCCTGACCTCAGGTTATCCACCCTCAGATTATCCACCCTCCTACACCTCCCACAGTGCTGGGATTACAGGTGTGAGTCACTGCACCTGGCCCACAGGTTTTTTTTAATAGTCCTGTGTGTATAATTTTGCATCCTATTATTTCTCCTTCCTTTTAACATATATATATATATATATATATACATATATATGTACATATATATATATATGTATGTATTATCTCTTTACTTTTTAAAAGTTTCTCAGACTTTAAGAATTACTTAAAATTTCCCAAAACAAACCCACAGGCACTGCTGTGATCTTCAGGCACACTTTGGTATTCAGGAGTTGCTTCTGCTGGACCAAAGTCAATAACAAGTAGCTTAAGAAGCTGTAGATGGCAGAGATAATATTGACTGGAGGCTTAGGGGTCTGGTTCAGGGTGGACTCAACAATTTTGCAAGTTCTATATTGTTAAAATTACAATGAATTATTTATAAGCAGTTGTTAGTAAATCATGAAGTTGGCATTATTATTCTTTATTTATTTATTTATTTTGAGATGGAGTCTCGCTCTGTTGCCCAGGCTGAAGCGCAATGGCATGAGTTCGGCTCACTGCAACCTCCACCTCCCAGGTTCCAGTGATTCTCCTGCCTCAGCCTCCTGAGTAGCTGGGATTACAGGCATGCACCACCACACCCGGCTAATTTTTGTATTTTTAGTAGAGATGGAGTTTCATCATGTTGCCCAGGCTGGTCTCGAACTCCTGACCTCAGGTGATGCACCCACCTCCTCCTCTCAAAGTGCTGGGATTACAGGTGTGAGCCACCACGCTTGGCCTATTTTTTATTATTAAAAAACAAAATGATGCTGATGCTTTCAAATATGTATTGCAGTCTTATTACTTAGTATTGAGCTTTGCAGTGTTGGACTAATATCACAAGTCGAAGGGACAAAGAAGATGGTAGACAATACCAACTGTTTCCCATTAGGCTCTTTCCCTCCTCTTGTTTTTCTGAGACCTTAAGGGCCTGGTTGTTTCTACTGTTCCCTGCTACTTCATAACCTGCAAGCTTGAGAATGTTTGTCATTTACAAATTTTACCTTATAGTAGAAGAACATAGTAAATAATTGTACCAGATTGAGTAGTGTCCCCCCAAAATTCATGCCTGTATGAACTTCAGAACATGGCATTATTTGGACATAGGGTTTTTGTTTTTGTTTTTGTTTTGAGATGGAGTCTCGCTCTGTCACTCAGGAAGGAGTGCAGTGGCGTGATCTCGGCTTACTGCAACCTCTGCCTCCTGGGTTCAAGCTATTCTCCTGCCTCAGCCGTCCGAGTAGCTGAGATTACAGGCACCCGCCACCAGGCTTGGCTATTTTTTGTACTTTTAGTAGAGACAGGGTGTCACCATGTTGGCCAGGCTGGTCTCGAACTCCTGACCTTCAGTGATCCTCCTGTCTCGGCTTCCCAAAGTGTTGGGGTTACAGGCACGAGCCACTGTGCCTGGTGGACATTGGGTCTTTTTAGATGTCATTACTTAAGATGATATCATATTGGATTAGGGTGGGGGCTAAAGCCAATGACCCATGTCCTCAGAGGAGAAGAGAGGGACATAGGAAAGAAGGATTTGTAGAGATACAGGGAGAAGGCCATGTGACCACAGAGGCAGAGATTAGAGTGACACAGCTACAAGCCAAGGAGCTCCAAGGATTGCAGGAAGCCACCAGATGCCAGAAAGAGGCAAGGAAGGATCTTTCATGGAGCCTTCAGAGGGAGCACAGTCCCGCTGACACCTTGATCTTGGACATCTAGTCCCCAGAACTGTGAGAGAGTGCATCTGCTGATGTAAGCCACCCAGTTTGTAGCAATTTGTTATGGCTGCCCTCAGAAACTAAGACAGTAGCCAACACAGAACCAAATACCCTTTGGGGATTGAGGGAAGTGGAGCGGGAGAATGAGCGGCACTCCCTCCCTTTACATAGGACTACTTGGTAAATATTTACTGAATGAAGGAAAGCTGAAGTATCTGTAGAACTGGCCATTTCATTCTGCATTTAGAGCTCTGGGAGCTCTTGAAATGTCTAGACAAACATCCTCTTCAGCTAGAGGAAGCTCCTTCTCCCACTTACTAGCTATGAGATCTTGGGCAGATGGCTTAACATTTCTGGGCCTCAGTGACCTTACTTGCAAAGTTGTCTGGGTCAAGGCAATGATTAAATGCGATGATGCATGTAAAGCCCCAGCATGCAGCCTGAAAATGTGAGCCCTTATTATTTATACTGTTTGCCAAAGTGGTGAGTAGTGTTGCTGAATATGCCGTGTGTCCTATTAACTCTGTGACGGCCACAGTCACGTCTCCTTTCTGCCTCCTCCTCCTCCTCCTCTCTGTCCAGTGACTAGGGAGGGCAGGAAGTTCAGAGGGTGAAATGCTGAATTAATTCCTGTCCTCCTGGTCTATATTCCAGATCACCCTGTGGGTGGGTTGAAAACCATGCCCTGTCTACCTCCTCTGCAAGGAAAAAATAAAGACAGAGAGCAAATCTAAAACACGCAATGCAGAGGAATGGTTACTGCCTGCTGTGTGCCTCTCCAGGGAGCACCAGGAGGGGCTGTGTGGGACAGGGACACTGCGTATAAGTGACACTCCTCCACATTTTGGCCTGGAGTTAGCACATACAACTGCCTTTTTGCTGACGCGATGCCCAGGAGCCCTCTCAGGGGATGGCAAATCTCAGAATAAATGTGTTTTTTACTCATGGAATGCAGGGGAATGGATATGAAAACTTTTGTATCAAATAGACATTAGCGAGGAGAGGGATGCTTCACATCCTAGGTTTGTGTGATGTCGGCACAGCTGATGAGGTCTTTGCAAATTTTGCTGCTGAGGAAGGGATGCGCTGGACTCCCAGTGTCCAGGGGCCCTCTGCTTGTCTGTCCTTAGGCAGAGTCCACCAGAATCGGGTAAAGTATGTGACTGCCTCTTAGTGTAGGGCATGACGTCAACTGTGAGGAGAAGAGATCAAGATACAGCTCTTTGGTGGTGTTTTTTGACCCATATCCAGGAACTGTTCCCACACCCAGAGAGGAATATCTGCAAGTTCTGGTGCCAGATGTTGATTCAAAAACAAAACCCAGCGAAGCATCTGTACTTTTTTTTCTGATTGTATTAGAAGTACAGTCCACAATAATATATTGTACATTTAAAAATAACTGGCTGAGCGCAGTGGCTCACGCCTGTAATCCCAGCATTTTGGGAGGCCAAGGCAGGCGGATCCCCTGAGGTCAGGAGTTGGAGACCAACCTGGCCAACATGGCAAAACCCCGTCTCCACTAAAAATACAAAAAAAATTAGCCAGACGTGGTGATGGGCACCTGTAATCCCAGCTATTCTGGAGGCTGAGGCAGGAGAATCACTTGAAGCCGGGAGGCGGAGGTTGCAGTGAGCTGAGATCATGCCATTGCACTCCAGCCTGGGGGACAAGAGTGAGACTCCGTCTCAAAAAAACAAAAACAAAAGAACCCTCAAAAAACTAAAAGAGGCCGGGTGTGGTGGCTCATGCCTGTAATCCCAGCACTTGGAGAGGCCGAGGCAGGCAGATCACTGAGGTCAGGAGTTCAAGACCAGCCTGGGTAACATGGTGAAACCTTATCTCCACTAAAAATACAAAAATAGCCGGGCTTGGTGGTGGGTGCCTGTGACCCAAGCTACTCTGGAGGCTGAGGTGGGAGAATCGCTTGAACCCAGGAGGTGGAGATTGCAGTGAGCTGAGATTGCGCCACTGCACTCCAGCCTGGGTGGCAGAGAGAGTATCCGTCTCAAATAAATAAATAAGTAAATAAGAGTTTAATTGGATTGTTCGTAACACAAAGAAAGGGTAAATGTTTGAGGTGATGGATGCCCCATTTACCCTGAAGGGATTATTATGCATTGTGTGCCTCTATCAAAATATCTCATGTACCCTATAAATATATATGCCTGTGTACCCACAAAAATTAAAAATTAAATAAAAAGTTCATTAAAAATAACTTCAAACACTACAGAAATGTTAAAAGTAGAAGTGACCTTTCCGTAGAATGTCATGCCTGTACTTTGGCAGAGAATTTCAATGGAAGCATCCAGAAAACCCTGGCTCGGAATCTGAGCTTGATTATTTCAGTGTTTCAGGTCTCACATGGGGGACAGTCTTGCCACTGTCAAAGGCCATCATGAGAGTTACAGCAGACTTTTGATGAAATTATGTCCACAGTGGTCCCTGGTCCTTTGTGGTTTGAGATATATTCTTTGTCCCCACGCCTGCCCCTTGCTTCAGATCTTCTAGGAATCCAGATACATTAAAGCAAAGTGACGGGACAGCCCTGTCCATTTCCTGATCTGTTGCTGACTGTACCACTGAGCTGCTCTCTCCTACTGAGCCCCGCATGGTTCCTCCTGTTTTCCTGCCCTCTCACTTGCTGGTGTTGGCCTGCTCTGGCTGTTCTGCTTGGGGTTAGGTGAGGATATGGGGCAGAAGGCTTCCAGCCTGGAGCGCCTATGGTGTCCCAAGACAAGGGCCTGCCTCTGGCCTCTGGGTGTGTCCTCCTGCGAGTTTTAGAGAAATCTGGGCAGGCTCAGACTGAATGCCTGCTTCTCCTTGCAGCCTTCTGAAGATTCCCATGACACACACCTGATTTACCTTCAGCTCTTTTACTTGCTGGGTAAGCACAGCCCTGGATTACTTGGCATCTGGAATTAACTGAAGGGTAACACTTTCTTAACCTTATTTGGAAAATGAATAGGAAGGAGACCCCTTCTAACTTCTGGAAGCACAAAAGTGTGTTTATCCTTCAGGAGCATTCTTGGCTGCTGAAAAATCATCATGGCTAGCTTTCACTTTCACGTATTGAGCTAGTAGGTGGTATCAATAGTAGCTAATATCTATTTCATGTTTTTTTGTGTAGGAGGGACCCGGCGTGCAATTTGCATGGATTGTCTCATTTTATCCTCCCAGCAGGTAAAAGAGCTGGGAGGGAGTAAAGGGAGTTGTTAATTTCTGAGAAGGAAGGTGAAACTTAGGAATGTTAAATACCCCTCTTGGTGTACACAGTATGCAATGGAGGCAGGGTGCAAATGTGCTATGGAGATTTCAGAGCCTGGGCTTCCCAGAGGAGGCCTTTGCCCCACAGAATCTTTGCTCCATTTCTCCACTTTGCTGCCTCTATGAATCAATGATTCTGTGTTGTCCATTTTTCCTTTGCAATCTTTTGCCATCTCTTCATTAAAAATGGTCTCCATCATTCTGGCCAAGCACAGTGACTAACATACAATAGGTGTGCAGTAAATGTCTAGTGGATGAATACCCAGTGTGAACATTAATTGAGCACCACTAGCTGCCAAGCAGCCAAGCACCCTATATCTGGGAGATGTAGAATTTAAGGCTGTGTAGTCACTGTCCTCAAGCTGCTCACAGCTTTGTGTAAGACACTCAAGGGAACATGCAAAGCTCAGGGCAGCTCAATTTGGGGCGAGGGTTATGGAGAAAATACAGTCTGCATGCTTTTAGTACATGCAGTTCTGCATCTTGGGGTGCAGTGCTAGAGTGAATGACACAGTAGAGGTGACAGGCTTAGGATTTAAATTTGATAATGTCATGATGCCATGGGAGCACTGGAGAAGGGGCAGCAGTGGATTCAGCTGAGAGTCGCAAGGGGTTAATGAGAAGATTGGGAAAGGCTGCACAGAGGAGGAGAAGGGCTTTGTAGGATGAGTAGAGGTTCACCAAGGGTGGGTAACAGTTAGAGGAACAGCAGGTACAGAAGCCCAGAGGAGAATCAGTGAATGACACATCCACCATGTCCAGAGATCAGGGATGGTTGCAGCTGAAGCTAAAAGTGTAAGAGCTTGGACTGTGGATCTTCAATCCCAGTTCATCTTATTCCCACCCATATGGCTGGTGCTATGGTTTTGTCACCTGTAACACAAGTATGAGACTGGTACCTTCCTAGGAGGGGTGTTGAGAGTCTGAGCCACACTCAAATTCTTGGTGTGCAGTGTCTCTGATCTGAAATGTGCACCGTGAATGTTAGCAGTGGGTATTACCTTTGGCCTGATTGTGAAGCGGGTTTGAGACAGAAGTGAAGCAGTTCAATTTGTTGTGTGATCTTCTTCTTCCCCAAAAGAAGGTTTTCATCCTCCTTAAGGCTTTTGCCCACCCTTCCCTTCCTTCACATCCCTGGTGGGTACCCTTCCCACCTGCAGGAAGCCTACTGATCTTTGAGTTTTGGCCTGCCACCTGGCCCTTCCCTCGCTCTGCAGTCTTGGTTGGCCTCCAGGTGTGTGTGTGTGTGTGTGTGTGTGTGTGTGTGGGTGTGTGGCCCTGGGCTGCACTGTGCCTGCTGGAGCAGGTGCAGTTGCCCTTTCACCATGCGTGCTTCTTTGGATGTGACCCCTTGGGTGCCTGTGTATTTAGAGTGGAGGAACGTCCTCCACTATAATGATGAGAAGTGTCATTGCTAGTTGCACTCAGTTTTCTATGGTGTTTGGGGGAGAAATTGGGGTGCTGGATTTTGGTTTTAACTCTTTCCCACCTTAACCAGTGACTGTGGAAAGTTGCACATCGTCCCCTTCCTCACAGCTGGGGTCTGTTCTTCCTCCGGGTGTTACGGTTTGTGAGAGCCAGGAGGGTACACAGAGGTGGCCTGATTTCTGGAGCCATAGCAAGAAGGGAGAGGTGTGTGTCCTCTCTGTCTCTGTCTCTGTCTCTGTCTCTGACTCTGTCTGTCTCTGTCTCTGTCTCTCTCTCTCTCTCTCTCTTCTTTCTCCCTCTCCCTTTTTCACATGTTGTTTTCTGATTATAAGAGGAATACTTCATCATTAGACATATTTCGAGCCTCCGTTCCTCATCTATGAAATAAGCATAGTAAAGGACTGAAGGATTTAAAGGGATGTGGCCAAGTGTGCAAAGTCATATGTGCTCAATAATTTATTTTCCTTGTTTTCTTTTCCATTTCCTTCTTCTCCTCTAAGGCGCTCCACATCTCCGTGATATAGCGTGTACTCCTTTCCTCATTTTCTTTTCTCTGAGACAAAGGGAAGTTCCTAGTTCTGCTATTTCCTAGTTCAGTGACCTTGGACAAGGCACCCTGGGGAGCCTTAGCTGCTCATATGCACAAGCTTCTAGCAACTGCTTCCAAGGGAAGGGTGGGGAGGAAGGGAGACCCTGAGTGTTTGGACCCCGCCTGTGCTCAGCACAGAATGGAGCTCAGTAAGGGCAGGTCGTGGGCTCCTTCTTCTCCCTTTCAGCAACCATCACTCGTATTCTTTTTTATCTCCAAGGCCTCATGCTGGAAAGAGATTGATTGCTCTCTGAGCAGTAAGTCCTCTGAAACAGGGTTTCTCTGGGGAGTTCTGTGGCACCCCTGCCTTACCTGGGGGACCTGGCAAAGAGGCACCCTCCACCCCCCCTCACCCTCAGCCAGGTTTACTGAACAGAGTTACGGGGTTGGGCCTCCGGATCTGCATTGGAGCAAGTCCACAGGTGGTGCTTAGGCACACTCAGGTTTGAGAGCCACTGACCTAGAGGGGAAGACTGGGAGAAGCCTTTTAAGAGACCAGTACTGTGACTTGCACCATGGAGACACCTGGAAAACATACAGTGATTCACACACACGCCCCAAACAGCAGTGTGTGTGTGTGTGTGTGTGTGTGTGTGTATGTGTGGTTTCACACTTGGTTTGCTATGAATGCTGTAATGCCACCCAGTTCCCACAGAGCTCTGGGGACTCAGGTTCCCCAAGTCAGGGTTCTTTTCTGGAGTGCTATTCTGACAGGTTTTTATTTTTATTTTTTTAATTATTTTATTTTATTTTTATTTTATTAGTATTATTATATCTGACAGGTTTTTAATACAGTGAATTTGTATGTCTCCTGTGTATTTATTTTAGCTGCTCCCTTCTTTCCCCTTCTCTCCCTTTCCTCTCATCTCCTCCCGCTTTCGTCCTTTACCTTTCCCTGGATGATATTAGCATTACCCGTACACTCTTCCCATCTCCTGGCCCCTCCAGTTCTGAAGGGATGGGGACTAAGTGGGATCTGTCCTCTAAGCAGGCGGAGGAGGGAACCATGTCAGCTCCTAGGTGCCCCCAGAGCACCTGCTGCCAGTTTTCCACAACTCCTGTCCTCCGTGGCGCTTGGGTGACAGCAGAGCAGAGCCGATGTGCCTGCTCCTGGTCATGGGCTGTTCGTGCTGTCATCGCTTTCATTTGCCCCATCCCCCCAATTTGGACTTACCCAGAATCCTTGGGCAAGCTAGATGGCTGCCAAAGTTTACTTAGCGAGATGTGCCTGCGTGACTTGAGTAGAGACCTGCTTCTGAGAAAGTCAGAAGTGCATTCCAAAGTCAGGAGCGTGACCTCCCCGGAAGCCCAGCTAATCCAGGTTTTAAAGAGGAGTTGGAACAAAGGTGGTGCTTATGGGATGTATGGAGCTGTGGGATGTGGGAGAGGACAGGTTTAGCAGAGTGGCGTGGTGGAAAGTTTCCTCTCGCCGAGGAGGACAACTCCCCAGCGCCTGAGACAGCGGGAGCTCAGAGCGCCTAGAATGTGCCCAGATTCTAAAGTGAAGCAGGCTGTGGTGTGATGATGGCCCCCGAGGGGACTTGCAGTCTTATGGACCTGGGTTCAAGGCCACCCTCTTCAGCCACACAAACTGGGCAAGGGGCCCGCCCTTTTCACGCTGCTGTTTCTGTAACTTTCAGATATGAGACCTGTCTGTGGGGTTGTGAGGATACATGGGGATTAAGTGGGAAATTAAAAGGGTTTTCTTTGTGACTGGTGACTGATAAATGCCATTTCCTTTCATCCTCCTTATTTTGACATTAGCCCCAACCTCTACCCCGAGGGTCTCTCTCTCTCTCTTCCCAACTTAGATTCCTCTCAGGGGACACATAGACAACCCAGAAAAGCAGCTCTGATCTCTCGTGGAGCTTCCCTGAACTCCACACCGCACATCTACTACTGTTTAGGATAACATTTTGACTTAGTCCTTAAACGGACTATTTCTCATAGTCCTGTTTTGTAAATGAGATTTTAAGCTCTTTGCAGACAGGGACCAGTATAAACTCTTGAGTCTCTGTCAAACTTAGTGAACTTTCTTTCCAGCCTGGGCAACATGATGAAAACCTCTCTCTACAAAAAAAATACAAAAATTAGCAGGGCATGGTGGCTCGCACCCGTAGTCCCAGCTACTCTGGAGGCTGAGGTGGGAGAATTGCTTGAGCCTGGGAGTTTGAGGCTGCAGTGAGCCATGATCACGCCACTGCACTCCAGCCTGGGTGACAGAACCGGACTCTGTCTCAAAAAAACAACAACCCCCCTCCCCCACAAAAAACCTTACTGAACTTTCTTGGAGAACATGCACACTGTAGAACCTTCTGTATTTGGAATCTTCAAGTGCAGGTCCTGCTGTTCTGTAAAGAACTGTCACCTTGAGTCATTGTTTGACGGCTCAGGTCCTTGGCACTTTACCCCTTTGTTCATGATTGATTGACATTTGGACCTTTGCTGACCTTTCCCTGAGGGATTTTGTGGGCATAGTCAAACAAAAGGAAATTGAAAAAAAAAACCCCACAAATTTTGAAGGTCTGTCACTTGGAGAAGAACAGTGTTCATGACTCTTCTTCGTCATTTCAGCATCTTAATCATCTTGAGCCTAAAGATGAAGGAGAGTGGAGGTGAGCCTGATTAAATGGGAGCTTTTCCTATATTGAGGATCTACTAGGTGCAAGGACCTCACTTGGGTTATCTCTAGCCTTCCCCCAACTCTGCAAGGCATTTCACAGATATGGATGCAGGTTCAAAGAACTGAAGCTTAAAGCTTCGCAGATTTGGAAGCCTCAGAGCTAGAATTCTCCCCCTAGCCTGTTTGTCTCTGAAGCGTTGGTTATTGCTTGACATTGCATCCCTCCCTCTTTTTTCCCTCTCTTCCTCTTTCCCTTCCCTGCCACTGTCTGCCTGTCTTCCTGTCTGCCTCTCTTTCTGTCTTAAAATTACTGTTGCTATTCCTTACTGGTCTGGTCTGGTCTAGTTAATTAAAAAGAAGGCTATCGTGAGGTAACCCTGGGATCCTTATTGGCACAGTCATATTCCCATAACTTTTAGGTGCCTGAGTCCTAATGGATCTGTAAGACAGTGCCCATCAGCGAGAAATACCCACAGCCTCCCTGGATGCTGCCCACAGGCATCTTGCAGATGAGGGTGTTTGCCTTCTCACCTGCAAGGGGGTGGGGAGAAGTGGCCAGGGGTGGGCTGTTCTGGGGACGCCTGCCTCCCCACTCCCTGAGCCTAGGGGGAATGATATTATGGCTTCAGGCCACAACTAGACACATTATCTACTCTGACAGGGAGCCAGTCTGGAGAAGGATGTCATGGATGACGTGAAGAAATTACTGAGGGAAAAAGAGCAAGGCGTGAGCCCTATTGGGGCTGTTTTGGTCAACTCCTGGCAGTAGATGATATTGATGCTTTGGAAATCTCTATTTTCCTTGCATTTCCCAGCAAAGTGCCATTCCCATCTCTTTCTTTTAGAAGCTTCTTATCCTATGGCTCTGCCTCCAGTCTTTCTCATCACATAATTCTTCAAAGGCAAGGCAGACTAGTGGTTAAGAACAAAGACCCAGGGCTGGGCGTGGTGGCTCCTGCCTGTAATCCCAGCACTTCGGGAGGCCAAGGCCGGGGTATCAGTTGAGGTCAGGAGTTGGAGGCCAGCTTTGCCAACATGGTGAAACCCTGTCTCTGCTAAAAATACAAAAATTAGCCGGGCGTGGTGGCAGGTGCCTGTAATCCTAGCTACTTGGGAGGCTGAGGCAGGAGAATCACTTGAACCCAGGAGGTGGAGGTTGTAGTGAGCTGAGATCACGCCACTGCACTCCAGCCTGGGTGACAGAGCAAGACTCTATCTCAATTAAACAAAACAAAACAAAACAAACAAACAAAAAAGAACAAAGTCTCCGGAGGCAGTGCCTGGGCTCGTATCCTAGCTCTGTCTCTTGCTGACTCCTGCATGGCTTGGGCATACTTGGGCTTTGCTGTGCACCAGTGTTCTCGTTTCTTAGTGAGTTCGTATCTCACAGCATTGTTGGAGATTACAGGAACACAACCAATGCTCTCAGAACCAGCACTCAGGAAGTGTGGTAATTACATGCTCTTCTGGGCTTCTGGTCATGCCACCTTCGACGGACAATGCGCCAGCACCCACCAGTTTAAGGACCAGTTCCTCCTCTAGGCATTGTGCCCAGCGCACCCTTCTCATGGAGATTTGCTTCTCACTCTGCATCTGCAGGTCTTCGCTGGGTGATCTTGGGCAAGTCACTTTACTTCTCCAGGCCTTACTTCTCAGCTCTTCAGTGAGGACATTGAACGAGATTATTTCCAAGGTTTCTTGTGTGCTGACGTACTGGGGCCTCTCACATTCTATGTGGTCCAACCTTTCCTCCTGTTCCTCAGCTTCTGCCAGCCCGCCAGGGCAACCTGGTTATCAACAAATGTCCTCGCTTATGGACATGTCCTGCTTCTCTGGAAATCTTAGTACAGCCTGAAAGCTCCATGAAGTCAGGATTGTGTCTTTCATGTTTGATATGATTTCTGGCTTCTAGCACTGTGCTAGGAGCTAGCACGTGAACACTGTCTGTGTAGCTGGAATTAATCACCCACTATTCCAGTCAACAATTCCTTTTTTCTTTGAGACGGAGTCTTGCTCTGTCCCCCAGGCTGGAGTGCAGTGGCATGATCTTGGCTCACTGCAACCTCCACTTCCGGGTTCACGCCATTCTCCTGCCTCAGCCTCCTGAGTAGCTGGGACTACAGGCGCTCGCCACCACGCCCGGCTAATTTTTTTTTTTTTGTATTTTTAGTAGAGGTGGGGTTTCACTGTGTTAGCCAGGATGGTCTCGATCTCCTGACCTCATGATCCGCCTGTCTCGGTCTCCCAAAGTGCTGGGATTATAGGCATGAGCCATCGCCCCCGGCCCTTTTTTTTTTTTTTTTTTTTCCGAGATGGAGTCTCACTCTGTCTCCCAGGCTGGAGTGCAGTGGCATGATCACTGCTCATTGCAACTTCCGCCTGCTGGGTTCAAGCAATTATCCTGCCTTAGCCTCCCGAGTAGCTGCGACTATAGGCGTGCACCACCATGACTGGCTAATTTTTTGTACTTTAGTAGAGACGGGGTTTTGCCATGCTGGCCAGGCTGGTCTTGAACTCCTGACCTCGTGATCCACACGCCTCAGCCTCCCAACGTGCTGGGATTACAGGCGTGAGCCACTGCGCTCAGCTTTCCAGTCATTTCTTAAGCGATGTTGAGTTCCCAAGCACTGTGCCGGACACGCATGGGTTGCTGGAGGCTGGCAGAACCCGAATGTCAGTATTCCTGAAGAATGGCTCTAAGCAATGTACCTTGCAGAGCTCAAGCAGGGCTCTGCTGCATCATGCCCATGAAGGTGCCTGCTGGTAGAAGGCTGGTTCTATACTGGCTGCTTGCCTCCTCCTTGTGGAGACCCACATTGTGTCTGGCAAAGTGCAGAAGGAAATCAAGCCCTTAATAACATTAGGGAACTGGACTGGGTTCGGTTTGCATCTCCCGAGTCTGACTCGTGGGAGTAACCACCATAATAGCAGCGCTGTGCTGTTGAGGGTGACTTTGACTATCTGCTTGTGTTGTGAGCCCACTGTGTGCCGGAGCACTCTCTATACATTCAGTCTTGTCCGCAGATGAACTCCAGTGGACACATGTTTCTATTCCTTATTATTATTATTATCATTTGTTTTTCTGAGATAATAATAATAATATTATTATTAATATTATTGTTATTATATTATTATTATTATTATTATTATTATTATTTCAGATGGAGTTTCACTCTTGTCGCCCAGGTTGGAGTGCAGTGGCACAATCACAATCTCAGCTCACTGCAACCTCCGCCTTCTGGGTTCAAGTGATTCTCCTGCCTCAGCCTCCCGAGTAGCTGAGATTACAGGTGCCCGCCACCACACTCAGCTAATTTTTGTATTTTTGGTAGCGATGGAGTTTCAACATGTTAGTTAGGCCGGTCTCGAACTTCTGACCTTAGGTGATCCACTTGCCTTGGCCTCCCAAAGTGCTGGGATCACAGGTGTGAGCCACCACACCCGGCCTATTATTATTATTTTTTGAGACAGGGTCTTACTTTGTCACCTAGGCTGTTGGCTCACTGCAACCTCCACTGACTTCCTGGACTCAAGGAATCCTCTTACCTCAGCCTCCTGAGTAGCTGGGACTACAGGTGCGCCACCACTGCCAGCTAATTTTTGTATTTTTTGTAGAGATATGGTTTCACCATGTTGTCCAGGCTGGTCTCAAACTCCTGGGTTCAAGTGATCTGCCCGCCTCCACCTTCCAAAGTGCTAGGATTACAGGCATGAGCCGCTGTGCCCGGCTTATTCTTTGTTTTATTGAACAGATGAGGAAACACTTTCAATGAGCTTAAGGGATGTGCCCAAGGCCACACGGTTGTGACCACAGCATGAGGATTCACACCTTGGTTCCTGTGGCTCCCATCCCCCCTCCCCTGAATGAGGAATCGGGTGAGTGTGACGGGAGCAGGCACTCGAAGGCTTGGGAATTCCAAAGCAGCTGATCCATGTCATCCCAGCACACGTTAGGGAGGAAGTGAAACGAAGCAAAAATAGAGCCTGTCAGCGGGGGGACAGCTGCCGCTTTCTCTGGGAACAGATCTCCCCGATTTATCTTCCAGGTTAGGAAAGCCCCAGCTCCTGGGGTACCACAGAGAAATAATGTGAGCACAGCCAGAGAAATTGCCACCTCTCCCTTCCTCAGAAGAAGATAAAGGAGACATCGTCTTTTTGGCATCAGTTTTGAAGAAATCTTTTTTTTTTTTTGAGATGGAGTCTCGCTCCTGTTGCCCAGCCTGGAGTGCAATGGCACAATCTCGGCTCACTGCAACCTCCGCCTCCCAGGTTCAAGCGATTCTCCTGACTCAGCCTCCCAGGTAGCTGGGATTACAGGTGCCCGCCACCACGCCCAGCTAATTTTTGTATTTTTAGTAGAGAGGGGGTTTCGCCATGTTGGCCAGTCTGGTCTCGAACTCATGACCTCAGGTGATCCACCTCCTCGGCCTCCCAAAGTGCTGGGATTACAGGCGTGAGCCACCACACCCAGCCAGTTTTGAAGAAATCTTACTTCACAATCCTGAGAGAAAGAGAAATTGAGGCACACTTAGCATGTGAGACTGATTTCTCACTTCTGCTGCTACAACTGCTGCCCCATTGACCGGGTCTCAGAGGTGTTATAATTAACATCCTCTGACTCTTGCTGGTACTAAAATTAACAACATGACTGGTCCCTTCTGCAAGAGAGGGAAAGAGATACACACATGTGCACATACACGCACACACATGCCTGCACACACACACTTGCACGCACACATGCATGCACACACATCACACACACACACACACACACACAGACACATGCGGAGTCCAGAAGGCTCAGAGACAGAGAGAGAGAGAGGAAGGCACAGCCACACACACACTGGGAGACACTTATTATGGCTCCCCCTGCAAACGGTGCTCCCCTCAAAGCTTTAGGACCAGGGACGCCTTCCCTCACTTTCTGTGTTCTGTACCTCATACCCCATTTACCAGCCTGTGCCAACCCTGTATACTTTAAGTCTTCAGTTACCAAAGCATCCATCTGCCCGTCCTATATTGAGGGGGAGTGGATGCGCAGAGGTGGTCTGTTGGTGTTGGGTAGGGAATAGACGCAGCCTGTTTTTCGTTTTTCTTCCAAATGTCTTCGGCAGGGCCTCAGCTAGTGGAAATACCTGGTGGGGAGGGTCAAGAAGGAAATGACAGTGGGGGGAATGGGGAGGGATAGCATTAGGAGATATACCTAATGTTAAATGACGAGTTAATGGGTGTAGCACACAAGCATGGCACATGTATACATATGTAACAAACCTGCACGTTGTGCACATGTACCCTAAAACTTAAAGTATAATAAAAAAAAATAAAATTAAAAAAATAAAATAAAAAAAGAATTCCTATTTTAACTTTGGAAAAAAAGAAAAAAAGAAGGAAATGACAGATTTGGTCCTGACAGCCTGGGAGGCAGAGAGGAGAGAGATGGAGCCAAGAGAATGGGGCTGGGGCCACGTTTTCTTGTGGGGCAATTCCGTGTCACTGGGCCAGAGCATGCTTATTGTGAAGACTTCCCCTCAGTGTCCTCTGGGGAAGGGTCAGCTGTGAGGCAGTGGGGCGTGAGAATACGATGAAACAGGGAAACCTGGAAGCTGCCGATTCCCAGGCCTTGAAGGGGTGTTCTGATGTCTTTGACATTCCAGCAAACATATTTTCACAGGAAAACTCAAAAAATATAAACTCCCTTTTTATAGAAATAATGTGCATGGAGAAAAGTGCACATGTCATATGTGTATCGATAGCTTGACGAATGTTCTCAAACTGAACCTGAGTGTGGAGCCAGCACCTGGATCAATAGAACATTTCCAGCATTTTGGAAGCCCCCTCCCAGTCAGTCACTCAGGAGAACTTTGTCCTGACTTCTAACCACACAGATTAGTTTAACCTGTTTATGTACTTAATCTAAATAACATCATCACACACTCCCCTGTGTCTTGCTTCTTTCACTCAAAATTATGTTTGTGGGATATATTCATGTGGTACGTGCATTTTCAGATCATTCTCACTGGTCGCTAGATTGTGTGCATATTTTAAAAAATCCATTCTACTGTTGATGGGCATTTGAGTAGTTTCCAGTGTTTGGCTGTTATGAATAGAGCTGCTGTGATATCCTTAGACTTGTCTTCTGGTGAACATATGCACACATATCTGTGCATTGATACCACGGAGTGGAGCTGCAGGGTCATAGGGTTTGGGTATATTCAGCATTAGTAAATAGTGCAGAACAGTTTCCCAAAGTGGTTGTTTATCCTTTTTCAGAGTGTCTGTTCACCAGCACGTATGAATTCCAGTTCCACATCAAAGCCAATTATTGGCATTGTGTGGTTTTTAAATTTTAGCCAACCCATTACAGAAAGAGCAAATGAAAGGAATCTAACAGCAAGTAATCAGGAGAGAAAAGAAAATGCTCCCTGAGAAAGCATTATGATTTCATGATACGGGAAATCCCGGTGTACAATGCCACACATTGTGTACTTTTGCAGGCGGAGGGCGAGGTGCAGCCACCTTCTTGTGAGCATCAGGGCAGTCCTTGCCATTGGTCAGGGACCACCACTTGACTGCAGTAATACCCAACAGACCATGTCATAATTCTTCCTCAGGTGACAGAGCTTTAATGGATCCGACCCCAACAGAACAAACTTGGCTTCAGACTTGCCTGTGGGCCTCAGTAAATATTCAACAGACTGTGTCCCCTGTTCACTCCCCTGTCATTAGCTGAGGCTGGTACCATAAATCACAGCTCCCCTTCCTGTTGTAAGTGGCCCCTCTCAGCTGACGGTACTCCAGTCCTGACATTCAGGAGCAGTGCCTCTCCTGGGCTGCTTCCCAGGGCTGGCAGGTCTTGGTGGTCACTTGTAGGAGCCGAGGAGTGAGTGTGTGCAGTCCTGGAGTCACTGCTGTGGGGTGACTTGCAGGAGCCTCTTCCATTTGATGTGAGAATGATAGATCCGTCAAGCTCTTAATATGTGCCCAGCAACATGCTAAGTCCTTTATGTTGTTTATTGCAACCTGTCACAGTCCATTCAGGCTGGTATAACAAACCACCTTAGACTGGTAGCTTGTAAACAACAGAACTTTATTTGTCATGGTTCTGGAGGTGGGGAAGTCCAAGATTAAGGCTCAGACATATTTGGTGTCTGGTGAGGGCCTGTTTCCTGGTTTAGCAATGATGCCTTCTTGTTGGGTCTTTATATGGTGAAAGGATCAAATAAGGTATTTTATACCTCTTTTATAAGGGCACTAAGCCCTCCAGCCTCATGACCGAATCACTTTTCAAAGGCCTCCCCTTTTGAGATCATCACCTTGGCAGTTAAGAGTTCAACGTATGAATTTAGGGGTCGGGGGTGTAGGTAACAAACATTCAAAACATCATACAACCTCACAGTAGTTCTATGAAATGAGTAGATGTTGTTTACCACCATTTTCAGATGAGGAAATTAAGGGTTAAAAACATTTCCCCAGAGTAAGAAACGTAGTAAATTTGGGAGTCTAACTTCAAACTGTAATTTTTAATTACTGTACTTCCTTCTTCTTTTCTCTTAGGGGCTGTTTAGATACTTGAGCTTCCTTTTGAAGCCATCTTCCTCTTGGGTCTAAAAGCTTTCAGGTAGATTTAAATGGGACAAGAAGGCCAGATGCAGTGGCTAACACCTCTAATCCCAGCTATTTGGGAGGCTGAGGCAGGAGAATCACTTGAACCTGGGAGGTGGAAGTTGCAGTGAGCTGAGATGGCACCATTGCACTCCAGCCTGGGCAACAGAGCAAGACTCTGTCTCAAGGAAAAAATAAATAAAATAAATAAATAAATAAATGGGACAAGAGGAAGTGACCTGCAGAGCACATATTGGGTTCAGATGTAATTATCTGCTTTTTCAATGATTTTAAGAAATTAGAACCACTGTTTTTCTCTGGCTCTTTTCATGACTTTTTTCAAATGTTGGTTTTCAGCAGTTCAACTATTATATACTTAGGTGTGATTTAAAAAAATATATATCCTGCATGGGATTTGCTGATATTCTTATATCTATAAATTAATGTCTTTCACTGAATTTAGAACACTTTCATCCCTTCCCACCCCCGATATTGATCTTGCTCCATTCTCTTCTCTCCTTTTGGGACTAAAATTACATGTCTGTTAGGCTTTTTGATATTGTCCTACAGGTCTCTGAGGCTCTCTTCAATTTTTCAAATTTTTTTCTGTTATTCAGATTAAATAATTTCTATTGGCCTCTCCTCAAATTGTACTGACTCTTGGTTCCTCTTCAGTCTGCCGTTAAATGGATCCAATTGATTGTTTCAGATTTTTTTTTTAATTGTAGAATTTCCATTTGGCTCTTTCTTTGCTAAGCTTTCTTATCTTTTTATTTACTAAGAATACATTTTCCTTTGAGTCTTTGAGCATAGTTATAATAGCTGCTTAAAAAACCCTTGTCTGCTAATTCCAGAAACTGGGTCATCTCAGGATCATGGGGACGGTCCCCATAACTATCTTTTTTCTTAAGAATGGATTACATTTCCTGTTTTTGTTTTCTTTTTAGTTGTTTGTTATATTGAGCTATTATAAATTATATCACAGACATTGTGAGTGATACTTGGTAAGGACTGATTCTGTTTTGTTCCTCCAAAGAGTAGTGCTTTTTTGTTTCAGTAGGTAGTTAATTCAGTAATCTAAGACTTCAAATTCTGACTCCCTAGTATTGGGCAGCAATATAAATTGCTGTTTAGTTCTTTTGGCTTTAACTGGGCTACTCCATACAAACTTGGCTCAGGAGTCACTTAGTGACTTAGGGAACATTTGTACACAGAATTTGAACTCCCCTTTTTGGAAACTCTCTTTTTACCAGGATTTCTTCTTTCACTTTCACCTATTGTGTTGCCTTGATCTCTGTCCTGATGTTTCAGTGCAGCAACACCATCTGAGTGTTAGCCACTCACATGTTGCAGAACCGGGCCTACTCTCAGACTAAAATTGACCAAAAGCAGGAACTCACTGGCTTGCTGAATGTCCAGGTCTTGATCACACTCCAGAATGTCCTACTTTTGGTCATCAGGTGCCTAGATTTTTTAGAAATCTTTGTTCTAATTTTTAGAAATATTTGTTCAGAGTTTATAGTTGCTATCTACCAGGGAACTGCTTCAATAGGAACTACTCAACCATTGCCAGAACCTTCTTGAACTTTCTAGAAACACTGTCTTATTTATTTTATTTTATTTTTTAGACAAAATCTTACTCTGTGCTCTGCCACCCAGGCTGGGGTGCAGTGGTGTAATCTTGGTTCACTGCAACCTCCACCTCCCGAGTTCAAGTGATTCTCGTTCCTCAGCCTCCCAGGTAGCTGGGATTACAGGCACCTGCCACCACACCTGGCTAATTGTTTGTATTTTTAGTAGAGACGGGGTTTCACCACGTTGGCCAGTCTGGTCTCAAACTCCTGACTTCAGGCGATCCACCCATCTCAGCCTCCCAAAGTGCTGGGATTTACAGGCATGAGCCACCACGCTTGGCCTAGAAACACTGTCTTATTTAAATAAGAAAGAGTGTCTCTCAGAATGGAAAGAAAACAGCTTTGGAGTCAAACCCAACTTGGATGCAGAATCTCACTCTATCTTGTTTTTTTTTTTTTTTTTTTTTTTTTTTGAGACTGAATCTCACTCTGTCACCTAGGCTAGAGTGCAGTGGCATGATCTTGGCTCACTACAACCTCGGCCTCCTGGGTTCAAGCCATTCTTCTGCCTTAGCCTCCTGAGTAGCTGTGATTACAGGTGTGTGCCACCACGCCTGGCTGATTTTTTGTAATTTTAGTAGAGACGGGGTTTCACCGTGTTAGCCAGGATGATCTCGATCTCCTGACCTCGTGATCCACCCGCCTCGGCCTCCCAAAGTGCTGGGATTACAGGCGTGAGCCACCGCACTGGGCTGGATATGTTTTTTAAGAAGAAAACGTACCTTACTGTTTCCTTCGTGATTTCTTCACTAGCCGCTGCAAGTGTGTGTGGCTCTGTGCATTGTGGGCAGGGTGAGGCAGCTAGCTTGATTTCCATTTTGGGAATGAGTGGTGCCTCCTCATGGAAGACTTCTTAAAACAGGAGATGGGTGCCCTCTGTTATTCTTGTATGGCAGGCAGAATAACGTCCCCCTAAATGTCCACATCCGAATCCCTAGAACCTGCGAATATGTTGCATGTCAAAAGGGACTTTGCAGATGCTAGTAAGGCTAAGGACCCTGAGGTGGACGGATGATTTTGGATCATCTGGGTGAGCCCAATATAATCACATGCGTCCTTAGGAGTGGAAGAGGGAGGCAGAGAGTTATTCAGAGACAGAGATATGGCCACAGAAGCAGAGTCAGAGATGCCTTGGTGTTGTATTTGAAGATGGAGGAAGAAGCCACAGCCAAGGCCTATGAAGCAGCCTTTAGAAGCTTGGAAAAGCAAGGAAACACATTCCCTCTCAGCCACCAGAAAGAAATGCAGCCCTCCCAACAGCCTGATTTTAGCTCAGTGAGACCCATGTCAGACTTCCAGAAATGTAAGATCATAAGTGTGTGCTGTTTTATTTTTTATTTCTTTTTCTGTTTTAAACCACTACGTTTGTAAACATTTCTTTGGCAGTAATCGTTGCTTTTGATGGAAGTTGGAGCAGTGGTCAAGCTCGTGGGCTTTGGAGCCAGTCTGCCAGTCCGCCTTGTTTCAAACCCCTTTTCCTTTCTCTCTTTCTTTCTTCCTTCCTTCCTTCCTTCCTTCCTTCCTTCCTTCCTTCCTTCCTTCCTTCCTTCCTTCCCTCCTTCCTTCCCTCTCTCTCTTTCTTTCTTTCTTCTTTTTTTTTTTGAGATAGAGTCTCATTCTGTGGCCCAGGCTGGAATGCAGTGGTGTGATCTTGGCTCACTGCAACCTCCGTCTCCTTGGTTTAAGCGATTCTCATTCCTCGGCCTCCCAAATAGCTGGAATTACAGGCATGCACCACCACACCCAGCTAATTTTTGTATTTTTAGTAGAGACAGGGTTTCACCATGTTGGCCAGGCTGGTCTTGAATTCCTGGCCTCAAGGGATCCACCAGCCTCGGCATCACAAAGTGCTAGGATTACAGGCGTGAGCCACCGCGCCCAGCCTCAAACCCTTTTCCTGTGATTTTTTTTTTTTTTTTTTAAAGCTGTGTGACCTTGTGGAAGTTGCTTCACTTCTCTGGGCCTCAAATTTCTCATCTCTAAAGTCGGTTAACAATAATCTACAACTCATAGTTTTTTGTGAGGATGAAATGAGGGTTTCATACATGCAGAAAGCCTGGAAGTAAGTTTTAGCTGTGGCCATTCTGGGCAGGAATCCCTCACTAGGTAACTTAGAGCGGCGGATCAGGGCACAGACTTGGGAGACAGACTGTCTAGCTTCAGATTTAGGCTTCTTACTAGTCTGAAGTAGAATGGTTGTTTGTTCCTCCACTGCTTCATCTGGAAAACAGGGGCAGGCATCCCAGGGTGTTTGAGAGATCATATCAGATGGAGAGGCCAGAGTTTTTAGCCGATACATCATAGACATTCCCCAAAGGACAGTTATTGTTATCATTGGGTGGATGGGGAATATTGAGCCTCCAGCCCTAGGCATTGTGGATCAATTTGTTCTTCAGTTATCTTTGGAATAATTTAAATACACTGGATTGGGAAGACAAAGCTATCACCCTCCTGATGGGAGAGTGCTGGGTACCTAGCAGGTGCTCAGTAGTTAGTGAATGAATGAGTAAGAACAGAACAGGTCCTAGGCCCTGCCCTGAAGAGGCTCACAGTGCAGGACAAGGCCTGGAGTCAGGCCAGGGTTTTGTGGTTGTCTTTAAAAAGAAACAAAACAAAGAACTACTTCCTACCAGCTGACCCTAAACCCCTCAGCTCCCTGCAGGGACCTCTCAGCCCTGCAGGGGAGCCCAGGCTATGTGCCAGGCCTGGCCTTGCTGTCAGCTTTCTAAGCCAGTCACAAACATTCTCCTCTCAACTTTATAATGGATGCCCCCCAGCCTCCTCTCCCCTCTCAGGGTGCTCCTGAGGCTATGAGCAGCTGGCAGTTCCCTGTCTGAGAGGTCCTTCGTACCGCAGGAGAGGCAGCTCTCACCTGAAGGCCTCCCTGGACACCGGTCTCAACTTTGTGTGTTACCAGTTATGGAGAATTATTTTTAGTGAGTTACACTCTGTTAGGGCCAAACACAAGGAGGAAAGAGTGACTGAATACTGCTCTGAGTCAGTGACTGTGACAAGACTGTTTTTTTCTTCTTCCCTGTTGCAGGCCTGATCTTTTGGCCAGAAGGAGATTAAAAAGATGCCCCTCAAGATGGCTGTGCCTGTCAGCTGCATGGAGCTTCGTTCAAGTATTTTCTGAGCCTGATGGATTTACAGTGATCTTCAGTGGTCTGGGGAATAACGCTGGTGGAACCATGCACTGGAATGACACACGCCCGGCACATTTCAGGATACTAAAAGTGGTTTTAAGGGAGGCTGTGGCTGAATGCCTCATGGATTCTTACAGCTTGGATGTCCATGGGGGACGAAGGACTGCAGCTGGCTGAGAGGGTTGAGATCTCTGTTTACTTAGATCTCTGCCAACTTCCTTTGGGTCTCCCTATGGAATGTAAGACCCCGACTCTTCCTGGTGAAGCATCTGATGCACGTTCCATCCGGCGCTCAGCTGGGCTTGAGGTGAGGCTGTCCTGGCTGGTCACGGAGGGTTCACTGGGATGTGGCTGGTGTTCTCAACGAGGTGGCATTTAATGAGCACCCTCTGTGTGGTTGGCGTGATGCTGGGTGCCTGGGGGAGACAGATGGAACTAAAGAGGTCCTTCCTGGAAGCCGTTACTGTTCCCTGCCCTGACGTGTGTTATTGTACCTGTCACCATTTTCTGATGTTCCCAGTTTACGTATCTGTCACCATCTACCTCCCTATAAAGTGCCTCTGCTGTTGGTTCTGTGTCCTTAAGACATTGTGTGGCATTTGGCACAGTCTCTCATGCTGCAGAAAGGGTAAATTAAGACAGGATTGTTAATGAATGAAGACATGGGAGATTCAATGGAAAGATATGCATGGGGGGATAATTTCTTGGCTCTGTGCTCAGAGCTAGGAACAACATAAGGCCATATGGCTGGTGCTGTGAGGGTTGTATGTGGGCAGATGCATGTGGAGGCAGACAGGCCTGGGTATGACTCTTTAACACATACACACTGCATGCCTCCAGGCAGACTGATGGATTCCTTTCCCTGCAGTGAAGGGTTAAGTATTATCACACGTCACAGGACTGGAATTGAAGATCGCCAAGTAGACATTGAAATGCTGACCACATGACAGACACTCAGCATGTGGTGGGTGATGTTGGCTGGGGGTAGCTTTTGGGGATGGTGGACATTTCTTGGCCCTGATCTTTCTGAGCAGAGCCAGGGAGGCAGTGCTGGACTCTGACCTGGGCACAGCTGGTTGGCGTGGACAGTTGATTAAAGGTCACAGTTTCCCTGCAGCCCATGGGAAGGCAGAGTGACAAGTCAGTGGCAGATGAGGAAATGGAGTCTCATGCCAGCTGGAGGGAGGGAGCAGCTGGGTTGGCCACAAAGGCCTGTTGCAGTTCTGCAGCTGACAAGTGGAAGGACTGGCCTCTCAGGTCCAGGCCTGGTGGCCTGGGAGGCTGCTAGCTCTGAGCGATGAGTGGTGCCAAGGTGCCTGAAGGAGAGTTGCAGCTCAAACAGCAAGTGGTCCAGCTCTCAGACCACTTGAGGCCACCTGGCATGTGGCGGCCAAGACCACAGTTGGGGCGGGGCCTTGAGTCTGATTTTGATTGGATTCCTAGTTCGGCTCATGCCTGACAGCACTTTCTCAGACAGGCTTCCCTGACCTCCTAAGGTAAATAATGTCCCTCTGGGTGTTACATGCTGTTCTCACCCATAGCTCTTAGATGTGTTCTAATTGTATATTCATATGTGCAATTTACTGGGTTTCCTGTCTTTCTCTCACACTAGAAAGTAATCTTTCTGAGTTGAGGAAATGCATTTGCCTTGCACACAGGCTAGACACATACATAGTAGGCATTTTATTTGTTGCATCACAGTTGCCTTGATCAAATATGGTGACTCTCCGTGGTTTTCTCTTGGTTTCTTTGAAAAGGTCAGACAGAAGGGAAACACTCTTTTCTTGAGTATATATATGACTTAGCCCAGCAATCCCACTAGGAGAGCAATGGTTTATCCATTATACAGTTGAGCGCCTGGAGGCTCTGAGGGGCCATGTACCTTCCCCAAGGTTATTTATCCAGGAGAAGACAGAGCCAGAAGCTGAGAACTGCCTCGTGTTTTATACCAAACAAGGCCCCTTCAGCTGAAGACTTTTCCTTGCGGTCTTGGGAAGGGTGTGTGTGACGGTGAGCTGCAGCAGGTGCTGGGCTGTGCTTGACTGTGGTCACGTAGGGGCAGGCAGAGGAGCCATTTCGGGGGGCTGCTGAGGGTCTGGAGAGAGGCTCACAGTGGTGAGCAAAGAGGTTCTGGGATGGGAGGGGATCAGTTGGGAAAGACAGAGGCAGATACTCCCCACTCCTTTGTGCCTTCCCAGTCCTCTCTCACCCCTTCCTGCCCTCTCCCCACACCCTATCGTGGTGGCAGCTGTGCCTCACTTATCACATGGTCCATAGCTCTGTTTTTTCCCCTTTTATCAGTTACTGCCTAGAACAACCCAATTGTGGTGGTCTGGGTTATCTCCCACTCTTCACAGTAGGGCCAGAGTGGGCTCAGACACCAAAGGACACAGAATGGTTATGGCAATGAATAAGATTCCTTCTCTGTGTCAGCAAGGATGCTGATGTAGTAATAATCTCCATTTATTAAGCCATGCTGTCTACAGGGCACATAGCACATGTTTTTCCATTCAAACCTCAAAACAGAGCTATGAGATGCGCACCATTATGATGATTATCTGTTTTACTGTTTTTTGTTTTGTTTTGTTTTTGTTGTTTTTTTTGAGACTGAGTCTTACTCTATCATCCAGGCTGGAGTGCAGTGGCGCAATCTCGGCTCACTGCAACCTCCACCTCCTTGGTTCAAGTGATTCTTGTGCGTCAGCCTCCCAAGTAGCTGGGACTACAGGCGTGCGCCACCATGCCTGGCTAATTTTTGTTGGCCAGGCTGGTCTTGAACTCCTGACTTCAAGTGATCTGCCTGCCTCGGCCTCCTAAAGAGCTGCGATTACAAGCGTGACCCACCTTGCCCGGTCTGTTTTACTGTTGAAGTAACTGGAGCACCCAGAGGGAAATCAAGTGTCCCTAGAGAATACAAGCAGCATTTGGACAGCCCTGTCTGACTCCAAAGCCACTGCACAACATTGCCTGGAGCTGAGAGATGCACATTCTCCCTTCTTGGCCACTGGTGACTGTGACCTTGGGCAAACTACCTCTGCTTTTTGGGCCTTAGTACATTCATTCATAGAGAAGCTGGCTAATTTCTCTTCTCAGCCTGGAGACTTGAGAGTGAAAGGGGCACTGTATCACTTACTCTGGGATGACAGGTGTATACGAGGATGTAGCTGGGCAAGCCAGGCCTAGTGGCTCGCACACTCATCAGTTAGATGGTGGGTGCTGGTGCTGCTGGTGCATCATGCATACAAGGCTGGCTCTCCCAGTTTTCCCTGGACTTTTGCCTGAACAGTTTGCATTTCTACTCGTGGTGCAGGAGCTTGCTGTTCTGATTTCATGTCACAAGCCTGCTTTCAGCCACTTAGAAGAGCCCTGTTATCCCTGACTGCCGCTACAGCAGTCCCAACCTGTGTTGTTTTCACTTGATGGGCTCCTGGAATTATTGACAGCACACTCTCTAGTCGTACGGGCTGCCCTGCCACCTACACTGACATCCTGGCCAGGTTCCTGGAGATGGCCTGGCATCTTGGACCTGTTCCCCACGGGGTGCCTGGAGCCTCTGATGGTCTACCCAGGGTGGCAATGAGGGAAAGGCTGTGACTTGATCATCTCCAGGGGTTCTTCGGTGAACAGCCCAAGGTTGCTTAACAGCTGGTGTGTATGAATACCTGGAATGTGCCAGTTCACCTTCTAATCTGGCAAGGAGAATGTGTCTCCTCCTTATGCATATGAACAAACTGAGGTTCAGTGAGATCCAGAAAGCTGCCACGGTTACTGATGGAGAGAGCAGAGAAGCTGGTGTTTGCAGTCCCATCTGTCAGCCTTGACACCCCTACTCCTGTCCAGCCAGTGTTTTCCAAAGCGTGCTGATGAGCAATGCAAGATGATTTCATGTTATAGATAAGAATAAAAAAATTGTTTTGTGTTTAACTCAAATTAGAAAAAGGCAACAATTGGTATGTGCGACCTGTGGTTTTGCAGATGATACTGCTTAGGATGTTGGTACTTAAGAAAAGGTCAACTTTTCAAAAATACTATTAGTGACATGTGGACCTAGTCCTCCTGAAGAGGACTACATTGGGGCACCGGTAATTGTTTCTATTTGCGGTACTCTGGCTGTGTGGCTCTGGCCACGCCACTGGAGGCAGTGTCTGAGCCTGTGACTTGAGTAGTAGCTCTGTGTCATGTCTGCTGATTCTCCCCAAATCCTGAAGATTCATGATGAAGTGACTGGCCGGCTTGGTCTGAAGCTAGATTGAAAACAATAAGGATCCCAGAACGATAGCACTTTACAATCCTATAATTTGGCTCAAATTGCCTGCAGTTACTATCTCAGCCCTGCCTGTTATGTTCATTGAGCACCCAAAGTTTTTCAGTCAATTCCTGAGTTAATTATTCTCTGGGATTGAATTATGAAATAGTAAATATTTCCACTATGCAATCAATTGGTGACTTATTCATGTATTCATTTCATTCATTTAGTCTCAATAAATTGAAGATAAGGGCTGAGCACAGTGGCTCACACATGTAATCCCAGCACTTTGGGAGGCCGAGGTGGGCAGATCACCTGAGGTCAGGAGTTCAAGACCAGCCTAACCAACATAGCGAAACCCCATCACTACTAAAAATAGAAAAATTAGCTGGGTGTGGTGGCATGCGCCTGTAATCCCAGCTACTCAGGAGGCTGAGGCAGGAGAATCATTTGAATCTGGGAGGCGGAGGTTGCAGTGAGCCGAGATTGCACCACTGCACTCCAGCCTGCGTGACAAACTGAGACTCCATCTCCCAAATAAATAAATAAATAAATAAAAGATAATATTACCTACCCCATGAGTTTATTATGAGAATTAAATAAGAGAACATATTAAAAGGTTTCATTCAGTGCCAGGCATATAATATGTACTCAGGGAATACTAGTTTTTTTTAAATAAAATTTTAAAATGGGATTAGAAGGTCAAAGCATATAGGCATAAAGGTATAAAAAATATTGAAGATGAGTGAGTTACTAAAATTTAACATTACGTTTAGCTCTGAGCTTCCTAATTAGCACAACATGCTAAGTAGGTTATATTTGTATCTAAAGTAAAGATTGGCAAACTTTTTATATCAAGGGTTAGGTGACAAATGTTTTCAGCTTTGCAGGCCACACAGCTCTGTACTGCTTGTCAGTTCTGCCTTTGTATCTGGAAAGTAGCCATAGATAATATGTAAATGAGTGGGTGTGGCTGTGTGCCAATAAAACTTTATTTACAAGAACTGGCAATAGGCCTTTAGGCTGTAGTTTGTCCTTGGCCTAAATAAAGGAAACATGTTTGTCTTTCAAAGGCAGAAACTCCTCCTGGATCATAAACATTGAAAAAAAAATTGTTACAAGATGCAATATTTCTGTGAGACTTGTTAAGCAGTATATGCGCAGTGCTTTCATTAGGATTTTACAGAAAACTTAGAAGATGGCCTTCACATGGCTAGTTTCCTTACTGTTCATTCAGCAGACATTTACTGAGGGCTTACTATGTCCTAGGCTCTGATATCCATACATGGTAAAACGTAAAGGCATGTGCATTTTGGCAGGGGGTGCTGCATTGACAAGGAGTGGTCTCGGTGACAGTTTTGGGAAGTCAGTTTAGAACAGTATTGGACACACTGTTCCATCCCTGAATTACACACAGGCCTCAATGCTAACTTGAGTGGGCTTTTGGTCCAGCAGGCCTGGGCTCCAGGGGCAGTCACTCAGCGTCCTGCCTCAAGAGTGGTTGTGTCATGAAATCTTGGCCCTCTTTGACTGATAGCTACAATTATTTGAAGAGTGTGGTTTTTAGAACAAAACTAAATCTGTTTTGAAGCTCTGCTGTTTTATACCTGCTGTGTGATCTTGCTCAAGTTTTTATTTTTATTTTTTTCTGTATAAGGGATTTTATTTTATTTTTATTATGTATGTATTTATTTTATTTTAAGTTCTGGGGTACATGTGCAGGATGTGCAGGTTTGTTACATGGTAGACGTGTGCCATGTGATTTGCTGCATCTATCACCCCATCACCTAGATATTAAGCCCAGCATGCATTAGCTATTTTTCCTGATGCCTTTCCTCCCCCCCCCCGCCCCCGACCCACAGGCCCCAATGTGCTCAAGTGTTTTAATCTCTCTGAGCCTCACTTTCTTCATCTGCAAACCATAACACCTCTGAATCTATTTGTTACTCTAATGCTAGCTATCTAGTGTTTGCTCTCTAAATGTTAGTTCCTCCACCTGGGGGCTGGGCGGGCGGTGGCTGACCTCACCCCATGAAGCTGTCTCCTGGCTTTCCCAGCTAGAGCCTGTGGGTATGAAGATTGCAGCCCCCTCCTCCTGGGGGAGTATTCAGTGTAACAAGCCTTGAGAAAACACTGGCCTGTGGAATTCCAAAGTTAATGAAGGGAACAGATTCCAAGAGGGTCTCTGTTTGACCTTCCACTCTTTCCCCAACCCCGTTACCCCTGAGCGAGTTTGGGGGCAAGCATAGGTTTGTAGGCACTGCAAAGAAGAACTCTCACGCTGTGGTGCAGGACCGTGGCCTTGGCCTCTGGATATCTGGGCCAGGTGGGTGCATTTGGGCCTCTTCCCTACAGCGCCTGGTCAGACTGCAAGAGACATAGGAAGCAGCCAGGGCAGGCTATCTTAAGAGGAGGGAGCATATTTGATAAAGTTAGAAAATGATTCTCAGCTGTCCATAGGAAGAGCAGAGTAAGGGGCTATGTGAGAAGTTTGGAAGATGGCCCAGTTCCAAAAATGAAGAAAGAAAGTAAGAAAGAAAGAGAGAAAGAGAGAAAGAAAGGAAGGAAGGAAGGAAGGAAGGAAAGAAAGAGGAAAGAAAGAAAGAGGAAAGAAAGAAGGAAAGAAAGAAGGAAGGAAAGAAAGAAAGAAGAGAGGGAGAGGAAGGAAGGAAGAAAGGAAAGAAAGAAAGAAAGACAGACAAAGAAAGAAAGACAGGAAGGAAGGAAGAAAGGAAAGAAAGAAAGAAAAAGGAAGGAAGGAAAGAAGGAAGGAGGGGAAGAAGGAAGAAAGAAGGAAAGAAAGATTCATTATTCTGTCCTCTGAACCTGAGTGAAGAAAAATACCCTGTCCTTTGTACCTGCGTGAAGAGAGAAAAGAAAAGAAAAGAAAAGAAAGAAAGAAAGAAAGAAAAGAAAGACAGGAAGGAAGAAAGGAAAGAAAGAAAGAAAGAAAGAAAGAAAGAAAAAAAGACAGACAGGAAGGAAGAAAGGAAAGAAAGAAAGAAAAGGGAAGGAAGGAAGGAAAGAAGGAAGGAAGGAAGAAAGAAGGAAAGAAAGAAGATTCATTATTCTGTCCTCTGAACCTGAGTGAAGAAATATACTCTGTCCTTTGTACCTGCGTGAAGAAAGAAAAGAAAAGAAAGAAAAGGGAAGGAAGGAAGGAAAGAAGGAAGGAAGGAAGAAAGAAGGAAAGAAAGAAGATTCATTATTCTGTCCTCTGAACCTGAGTGAAGAAATATACTCTGTCCTTTGTACCTGCGTGAAGAAAGAAGAGAAAAGAAAGAAAAGAAAGAAAGAAAGAAAGAAACGAAGGAAGGAAGAAAGAAAGAGTGTAAAGAAATAAAAGGCTGTAAAGAAATAAAATAATGTAAAGAAAGAAAATAATGTAAAGAAAGAAAAGAAAGGAAAGAAAGATTCATTACTATCCTTTGGACCTGAGTGGTGTTTTCAGTTAAAATGAGTGGAGTAGAACCCAGAGATCAGGCTTTTGAGGACGGTAAAGCCTCAAGATACATTCTGTTTCTGGCTCAGGGAACCTTCAGGGAAAAGGCTTTGGAGACCAAGCTAGGCAGGGAAGCGCCTTTGCTTATCATGCTGGAGACCAGACTGAGGCAGTGAAGTCACCATAATTGATGGGCCACACTAGACTGGAGCCAACCATGGCCCATTGCTGAGACTCTGGGCCTCAGGGTGGCCTTGGCTGGAACCTGTATTCCAGTGGCCCTGGTGGCTCTCTTCCCTCTCACCTTCCCAGGAGGCAGATTATTTCCCTGTGGTGGGGGTGAGGCGGTGGCGTGGGGGCTTCTTCCCTCTCTCTCTGTCTTGTAGCCTTGTTAAAATAGTGGCCACACGCTGATAGCTGGATTTCCAGTGCAGTTGCTGGGGATGGGGGTCTTTCCCTCTCATCTGTCTGTCACCCTTTATCACTCCACAAGGGGTGGGGGTACTGGACAGAAAGAGTGTGTCCCACCTGATTACTGGGAAGTGCAATGGACACCCCCACCCCCCGTTGACTTATCTGGCTCCAACCGAAGAACAGCTGTTGGTGGTCAGGTCTCTGAGTCACTCAGTAGCTTGGGACTGGGTTCAGTGGGAGATGATGGCATAAACAAATAAACACTGGCTGGCCCCCAGCTCTCAGCTTTCTGCTCACTGGGGGGCCCCAGAAGCTTCCTGTTGCGTCTGCAGGGAAAATAAGGATACCCATAATGAAAATAGTTTTCCTGATGGAGAAATGCTCTGGGGAGGTTGTTGAGGCATGTTAGAAAATCCCTGAGGCTTTCTGGCTCTGTGAGCTAAGGGAGGACACTTGGCCTCTCTGGGCTTTCGCTTGCTCCTTTGGGAAGCCTGTTATTGTGAAAGTGAGATGATCTGGGAGGTAAAACTGGCCAGTTGTCCATCTCCCCTCTCTGAACATGATGCATAGTAAGCCCTGAATCTCATTTAAATTTGGAAGTCAGACTGACTTTGTGACTGTCCTAGTTTCCGGCTGTTGAGTCAGCTCAGGCAGTTCTTGGGACTTCTGTGAGTCTCTGGCTCCCCGTCTCTCAATGGGGTGACAGTCCTCGTCTTGTGCCCCTCACGCGCTTGTTGAGATGACAGATGAGTCACCTCTGGGAAACTGCCTGAGAGCTGGATGACACCACTCTGTGGGATTGCATTTCATCCACAGAGACATCTGGAAAAGGAGGCAGAGCAGAGCCTGACTTTTGATTATTTGGGGAGGGAGCCTGGAGCTGGTGGAAGTGAGGGCATAGAGCACATTCCTTTCAGGCCAGGCAGTGCTTGGCTGCTGAGGCACCGGTGGAGACCTCATGATCTGGTGGTCCGCCTCCCTCTTGTGCTGTGTGTGCCTGGAGCTCTCTGGCTTCCTTGGCTTTCCACTGTCTTTCCCAAAGCCTCCATGTATTCTAGAATCTGCTATGGAGTTTCAGGGGGATCTCTGTATAGTGTGAATATCTAGCTCTGAAACACAAAAGAGAAAGCTACAAAGGGCAACGTAACAAAAGCCGTATTCCCACCCAAGGATTAGCACATGCTCATGAGGTGGCATGCTTTGCTTTGGATCATTGTCTTTATTTTATTTTATTTTGTTTATTTATTTATTTATTATTTATTTTTTGAGATGCAGTCTCGCTCTGTTGCCCAGGCTGGAATGCAGTGGTGCAATCTCAGCTCACTGCAGCCTCTGCCTCCCAGGTTCAAGCGATTCTCCTGCCTCAGCCTCCTGAGTAGCTGGGACTGCAGGCGCGTACCACCACACCTGGCTAATTTTTTATATATTTAGTAGAGATGGGGTTTCACTGTGTTAGCCAGGATGGTCTTGATCTTCTGACCTCATGATCCCCCCACCTCGGCCTCCCAAAGTGCTGGGATTACAGGCATGAGCCACCACACCCAGCCTGGATCATTGTCTTTAAAGAAATTTAAAAAAAAAAATAGATAAATGGGAAGTCTATGAGCCTTGTCTCCCATTCCCCATCCTTCTCTTCATACAAGTACCTCTCCTGAACTTGGGGTATAACAGGTCATGCTCTTACAATTTCATTACAAATCTATTTGAAGATCACTGGTAGCACCATTTTGTGTGTTTTTAAATTCTTAGGTAGGTGACATAACGTATAAGATGTCTGCACTTTCCTCTTTTCTCCCGGCGCTATGCTGGGCAGATGATGCTACTATGCTTGTTCATTCATTCCCTGGGCCACAGAGTCTTGGGTTGTTTCCAGAATTTTGCTTTTGTAAACAATGCTGTCATGAGCATCCTAGCACAGGGCTGCAGGTGCATGTCTGGGTGTGTCCCAGGAGTACAGGGCACAGAGCATGCACATTTGCAGCCTGACTGGAGGTTGCCACATCACTCTCCAGTTGGCACTATTTCCTAGGTTCCTTCCCTGAGAGCCTGGGAACTTCTGGAAGGCAGGAGTGGGTGGTGTTCACCACTATATACCTCTGCCAGTCAGCATGCCCCACACCATGTACCAGCTCATGACACGCCTGAATGGGGTGAATTCTGGAAGGGGACAAGGCAAGTGCCAGGGCAGGTCCAGAGTCTGGGTGTGGAAGGAGCAACATAATGGGGGCCCCTTGCAGAAGCAGCAGAAAGAACAAAGAAATAGGGGCCTGGAGTGGGGGTGTGAATGAAGACATTGCTGTTGAGAAGATACTTGTGAAGAAGCCAACAGCGTTGTCTGGGCCTGGCTGGATATCATGAGGCTGGACATGGAGGTCCCAGGCACCATTGCTGTGGGCTTTTGGGGAGTTGGATGCACAGTGGAGAGCTGAGGAGGAAGTTGGGCTTGCTGCAGAGGGCTGCTGGAGGGGCTGGCTGGAGTCTGGCTCTGGCCCTCACTCACTGAGGGTTATCCAAGTGACCCATTGCAGGAAGAGGGGTGGGGGACCCAGAGTTACTGTAACCACTTTATGAGTCTGTCTCAGCCAGGATCTGGGGCTTCTAGCAAAGCCCACAGCACAGGCACATTTTAGGAAAGGCAAGATTGAGATGCCCTCGGTGGCCCAGAAGGACACTTCAGGGCAGCAGGGCTGTAAAGGTCAGGAGGGGGAAACTTCTGGAAGGAAGTTGAATGTTGTGGGAAAAAGCTGACATAAATGAACAAGGAATGATTTTTTTCTTTTCTTTTTTTTATTTTTCTTTTTAGAGAGACAGTCTTGATATGTTGCCTAGGCTGGTCTCAAACTTTTGAACTTGAGTGATCCTCCCACCTTGGCCTCCCAAAGTGCTGGAATTATAGGCATGAACCACCATTGTACAGCCACAAGGGAAGATTAAACATAGACAGTTTGAGAAGAGTTTTTTTTTTTTTAAATTTCTAATTTTATATTTAATAGAGATGGAGTCTCACTATGTTGCTCAGGCTAGTCTTAAAGTCCTGAGCTCAAGCGATCCTCCTGCCTTGTTCTCCCAAAGTGCTGGGATTACAGGCTTGAGCCACTGCACCTGGCCAAGGGTACTTTTTTTTTTTTTTAAGAAAAATATCGTTAGAAATAGAAAATTTGGATTTGGTAATGGATAGTGCATACTATGAAATAACCTTTTTACTTCTTCAACACTTCCCATGATAATAACACTAATACAAGATCTTTGGTGAAAACTTAGAATGCGTAGAAATGTGTTGGTGGTTGAAAGAGAGCCCCATAACCCTCCACTGAGGAGTAACCTCTGTTTGACCTTAGAAATAATACCTGTGAACAGAATGGCCAACTTGTCCTGGTTTGCCAGAGACTTTCCTGGTTTTGGCACGGAAAGTCCAACACTCTGGGAACCTCCTCAGTCCTGTGCAAACTGGGATGGTCGTTCACCCTACCTGTGAATTGAATGATACCACTGAGCATCAAGCACTTTGACAGTTCACAAGTCATTTCTAGTGCTGTCATTGTGTATACTTGGTTCCGGCTGTGTGCAAGGCATTGTGCGAGGCTGCATGTTCTGGAGCTACACCAGAGCTCCAGAGCTGAAGTTCTATTTTCTTTTTTTTTTTTTTTCACTTTTTATTTTAGAATCAAGAGATGCATATGCAGGTTTGTTACAGAGGTATATGGGATGCGGTTGAAGTTTGGAGTATGATTGAACTCATCACGCAGGTACTGAGCATAGTATCCAGTAGTTTTTCAATCCTTGTCCCCCTCTTTTCCTCCCCTTTCTAGTAGCCCTCAGCATCTATTGTTCCCATCTTTATGCCCATGTGTACCCAATGTTTAGTTCCCACTTATAAGTGAGAACATGCGGTATTTTGTTTTCTGTTTCAGCATTAGTTTGCTTATGATAATGGCCTCCAGCTGCATCCATGTTGCTGCAGAGAGCGTGATTCCATTCTTTTATATGGTTGCATAGTATTTCTTGGTGTATATGTGCCACATTTTCTTTATCCAGTCCACCACTGACGGGCATTTATGTTGATTCCATGTCTTTGCTATTGTGAATAGTGCTGCCATGAACACATGGGTGCGTGTGTACTTTTGGTAGAACAATTTATTTTCCTTTGAGTATACACCCAGGTATGAGATTGGTGGGTTAAATGGTAGTTCAACTTGGAGTTTTCTGAGAAATCTCTAAACTGCTCCTCACAGTGGCTGGACTAATTTACATTCCCACCAACAGTGTGTCAGTGTCTCCTTTTCTACACAGGCCCACCAACATCTGTTATTTTTTGACTTTTTAATGAAAACCATTCTGATTGGCATGAAATGTATCTCATTGTGGTTTTGATTTGAATTTTTCCAATGACTAGTGATGTTGTGCATTTTTTCATGTTTGGTGGCTGCATGAATGTCTTCTTTTGAGCAGTGTCCGTCCTTGTGCTTTGCCCACTTTTTAATGGGATTATTTGCTTCTTTGCTTTTTGATTTAAGTTCCTTATCGATTCTGGATATTGGAACTTTGTCAAATGCATACTTTGTGAATATTTTCTCCCATTCTGTAGCTTGTCTGTGTACTCCCTTGATAGTTTCTTTTGCTCTGCAGAAACTCTTTAGTTTAATTAGGCCCCAATTGTCAATTTTTGTTTTTGTTGCAGTTGTTTTTGAGGACTTAGCCATAAATTCCTGTCAAGGCCTATATTGAGAGGGGTATTTCCTCGGTTTTCTTCTAGGATTTTTATAGTTTGAAGTCTTAAGTCTTTAATCCATGTTGAGTTATTTTTTGTGTGGTGATAAATAGGGATTCTGTTTCATTTTCTTCTGCATATGGATAGCCATTTATCCCAGCACCATTTATTGAATAGGAAGTCTTTTCCCCATTGCCTCTTTTTGTCAAGTTTGTTGAAGATCAGATGGTTGTAGATAAGTGGCTTTATTTCTGGATTCTCTATTCTGTTCCGTTGGTCTGTGTATTTGTTTTTGCACCAGTACCATGCTGTTTGGGTTACTGTAGCCTTGTAGTATAATTTGAAGTCAGGTAATGTGAGGTCTCTAGCTTTGTTCTTATTTCTTAGAATTGCTTTGGTCATTCAGGCTCTTTTTTGGTTCCATGTGAATTTTAGAATAGTTTTTTCTACTTCTGTGAAAAATGATGTTGATAGTTTGAAAGAAATAACATTGAATCTATAAATTGCTTTGGACAGTATGGCCATTTTAATGATTTTGATTCTTCCAATCAATGAGCATGAAATGTTTTTCCATTTATTTGTGTCATGTCTGATTTCTTTCAACAATGTTTTGTAGTCCTTGTAGAGATCTTTCACCTCCTTGGTTAGAAAGTATTACTAGATATTTTATTTATGTGTGTATGAAGCCCTGTTTTCTATCCTTAAGGAGCTTACAACTTGTCTTTGGTATGCAGTAGGGGCATTTCACTTGTGAGAGTGGGGGTCTTACTGTAGCCTGGGCAATACCCTCTTTTATTATTGGGTACTAAGGATTTAAGGATATTTTTGTTCTGGTGGGTTATCCAGTTTTGCAGGTTGGTACCAATGCTGAATTTGACTGCCCCTGGCCCTGCTGTGCAGCACTTTCAGACCCCTAAATGATGTGACCCATTCTGGGGCCAGCTCAGTGTTTTACAGTGATGAAGATGATGTTGATGATGATGATGATGATGTCAACATCCATCATTCTGAGGTGTGTGTCTATCTCTGGCCTCGTTATACCTGCAGAACATTCATGTGGTAGCCAATACCTGGGAAAATAATCCCACTTGCCAGGCAGCAAACCGTGGCCCTCCGTTAGGGGGATGGCATCTCACACTCATGAAGTGTTGAGTGTATGGGTCCCTGGCCAGCTTTGGCAACTGTGAGGCAGGCATTATGCTTCCATTTTACCACTGACAGACTGAGGCCGGTGATGGGGAGCACCTGGGCCTGTTGGCTTGTCTGTGGTAGGCCAGGCTGGCTACATAATATGTGGGGCTCAGTGCAAAATGAAATATGGGCTCTCTTGTGTAAAAATTAGGAAGAATTTCTAGATGCTGACAGCAGAGCTTTAAACCAAGCTCGGGCCCCTCTGAGCCAGGAGCCCTGTGTGCCTGCACAGGCTGTATGTCCAAGGAGCTGGTCCTAGGGCAGGACTAAGGTTCAGGCTTCGTATTGACTTCCATGACCAAGCATCCTGGGTCCAGGCTGTGTTTTGTGTGTCTGCAGAGCTCTGGTCTATCTGCTGATAAGTCCCTGTGGTGCTCAAAGGTACCTGGCTTCCTTGGAGAAAAGTTTCTCTCTCCCCTGCCCTTCCCCAGCCTCAAAATACACAAATGCTCAGATGAATACTTAAGAATCCAACTGGACCAGCTTCTGTCTGTGACTTGATGACTTAATGTGATTTTGGGGGATGCAACATTGGGGGTGATGCTTTAGCATGCCTTCTCTCTCCCACTCAGGAACATGGGCAAATGCCATGGGCTGGGAGCTCTCACCTGCTCTTTTGTGCTGAGCTTCACTATCTCTTCTGGGCACAGATTGGTTACAGGGATATAGACCACCTGTGTGGTGCCCTGGGGGTTATGTCCACGGGGAGCCTCACATGAAGAAGAGAATTTCCTTTGGGATGTGTATTTCTTGTGGTCTTAGCATGCTGGCAATTCTTATTTTTGGCATCATTTAATCCTTACAACAACTTTGTAAGGTTTTCACATCCATTGGTCATTTCTGAGTTGAGCACCTCAACTCAGGTGAATGTGTTTGTATGAATGTTTGTTGAGCACCTACTATGTGCAGGGCAGTGTAGTAAAAAATTGAGGACCTGTGGGTTTTTTTTTGAGTATATATAATTGTGTTCTTCTGTCATTTTACATGACTTTCACCTCATTTCATTGCTGTAGCAACACTGTGAGGTTGTTGCTGTCACCCCCATTTCTCAGGCGAGGAAATAGAGGTTGAGTCAATCTCCCATCTTGGATTTACCTGACATCACAGTCTGAGTCTTTTGTGGCATGTGCAAGAGTGCACTGGCTTTCGGGGCCTGAGCTGGCTGGCCTGGATTGAATCCTGGCTTTGCCATTTGCAGCTGTGGTCTGAGGCAAGTTATTTAACTTCTCTTGACCTCGGTTTCCCCATCTGTAAAATGGGGCTATACTAGTTGCTCTGTGTAGGAAGGGTCTGAGGTTTCAGTAAGATACATTTTGCACAAACCCCACACACACCAAGTATCCATGAAGCCTGGTTATCCTTATAACCTCAGAGCGGTTTGGAGAGGGTTAGGAACTTGCAGATGGTCACATAATCGGTGTATGGCAGATCTTGGGCAGAGCTGGACTGGTCTTCCTAATGAGAGCTCCTTTCCCCACTCTGCTTTCATGGACAGACCCTAATGACCACCTGGGTTATGTTTTTGTCCCTGTCAATTCCTTTGTCCTTGCTGATAACCTAAGGGAACCTTGAGAGCCAGAACGAGACAGGAAGAAAATGCCTGGCTGCTGCTTGCGGGGTTAATTAAACCATTCCTGGGGTTTCATTTGCTCTCTAGTTAGCACCAAAATAAATCCTCCAAATGGCTTTGAGCCTTCCAGTTGACATTGCATTTTGAATTCTGACAGCACCAGCATTTTACATCTTCCTGAGGATGATAAATGTTTAGATAGCACCGAAGATAATGGTAAAAGGAGAAACTGGGGGTAGTTCAGGCTGTGGCTGAGCAGATTGTAACTCTTTGGTGTGACGAATGGGTGAGAAGTTGCTTAAAGGACACATCTGATGTCCCCTGCTCCTAGGGGTTGAGAGGGGGATGGGGGGTGGACTCTGTTTTGCCATCCGGAGAATCCATTGCCTTCCCGATGCTTCTGGGGTCTCATGCTTGAGTCTTGTTTCCATGCGTTCTGTCAGATGTTAAGGTCTTGTGCATAATGGTTGAGGTGTCAATGTGCAGGCGTTAATGTCACCATTCTTATGTAATTGTTACCCTTTATTGAGTGCCTACTATGTGCCAGGATTTAAATATTTCTCTCAGCAACCCAAAGATGTAAATGTCATATCACCTTCATTTTACAGATGTGAAAACAGGCTCGGAGAGGCTGAGACACCCAGCCATTAAGGACTCAGCTGGGATTCCCAGCCTTCCCTGGCACTCTCTCTTTTTTTTTTTTTTTTTTCTGTTTTGAGACAGAGTCTTGCTCTGTCAGCCAGGCTGGAGTGCAGTGGCACAATATCAGCTCACTTCAACCTCCCTCTCCCGGGCTCAAGCAATTCTCCTGTCTCAGCCTCCCGAGTAGCTGGATTTGCAGGCATGTGCCACCGCACCCGGCTAATTTTTATTTTTAATTTTTTTTGGTAGAGACGGGGTTTCACCATGTTGGCCAGGCTAGTCTTGAACTCCTGACCTCAGGTAATCTGCCAGCCTCGGCCTCCCAAAGTGCTGGGATTACAGGTGTGAGCCACCATGCCCGGCCTTCCCTGGCACTCTTGAGCATGTTTCCAGACCGCCTGCTTCCTACCCCAGACATGTCAAAATGCGGTGCTGTAAATGACAGGGCTCTGGTCCCAGATGGACAGCCCGGGCCCTTTGAAGACACTCTGGCCTTCAGGAGTCTGGATCTTTATGCCTGATGGAACTGACACGGGCCTGCTATGTTTACAGTGCCTGTTCTCCTGCAGGGTCTCCGGAAGTCATCAGCCGTGCTGGCCAGCACTCCGGAGGATGACAGGAAATTCTGCTGCAGCTCTGTGGGCTGGCTGGGGTGCATGCTGGACAGGGAGCGGGCGGACAGGGCTGGTAGGGAGGAAAACACCACTGAAATAGTTCAGACCGTATTGTCAGTGAATTCCTGGATTAGTATGCAGTGCTGCCAATGATCAGATTTGGGTCAGGAAGCCCAGATGGCAGAAAGATTGTGTTAAATCTTTATATTTTTCCACGAAATCCTCACCGTTTCAGACCCTGTTTTCTAAGCTATCACCCTAATAATTGTGGATTTTGGATTTCCAAGGCACGTTTTATAGTGGTTGTAAGGAGGGGATGGTTGGGTTGGGGATTGGGATGGGAGGGGGGTAGCTGAAGAAATAAGAAAGTGCTGCAGAAAGGAGCACATTCCACACCCAGCTTCTTCCTGATTGTGTTTCCCTCCAAGCAGCGAACAAGAGGCTGATTCAAGTGGCTCAGTGGCCTCCCTGCCTGGAGTTGGGTTCCTATGCCTTCCAGTGACTAAGGAGGAAATTCCATTTCAGTTAATCTGTGGCCGCGCATCACCCATGGCATTCTCTATCTTAATTTTATGGCTGCCTCATCTTTTTGGAATTCGCCTTCTTTTTGTGTGTTGGGTGATAAGTCAAGGAGACATATGGCACAGCTCCACAAAATACAACCACATTTTAGTATTCCGTACACAGTCCTTTCTGGGCATCCCAGGCTTTGTATTTTCACGTTGGTCGGCCGTGAGGAGGGTGGATCTTCATTATCTGTGCATGCATGTGCATCCCTTCATCCCTTCCTCTTCAGTTTCTTTTCTTTTTTTTTCTTTTTTCTTTCTTTCTTTTTTTTTTTGAGATGGAATCTTGCTCTGTCACCCAGGCTGGAGTACAGTGGCGTGATATTGACTCGCTGCAACCTCCGCCTCCTGGGTTCAAGCGATTCTCCTGCCTCAGCCTCCTGAGTAGCTGGGATTACAGGGTTGTGCCACCACGCCCGGCTAATTTTTGTATTTTTAGTAAAGACGGGGTTTCACCATATTGACCAGGCTGGTCTCAAACTCCTGACCTTGTGATCCGCCCACCTCAGCCTCCCAAAGTGTTGGGATTACAGGCGTGAGCCACCACATCCAGCCTCCTGTTCAGTTTCTTAACCCTTGATGGGACTCCCGGCTAAACACCCCCATTGTCTGGGACCTTGAGATTAGATGCAGTAGCACTGCTGGTTTCATGGTGGACTTTGAGTCGGATGGAGGAACTCCTTGGAGTGCGGGAGGAAGGGCTGCGGAAGGTGTCTGAACTATCGTAGCAGTAGGGTCCCTGCCACAGGGAGGTGAGGCAGCCATCATCACCAGTCCTAAGAGGTACGGTCACCCTCCGCCTCTGTCTCCCTCTCCAGTCCCCATCCAATTTCAGCTTTGAACCCAGCTGCCGGGTCTTCAAAGCCTGTTCTGACTTACCCAGCAGAGTTGGTTGCTCTGTCCTCTTAGCTTATAGACGCTGCCCGTTTTTTCCCCACGTGGCCCCTGCCATTTAGGTCCATGTCTCTCGTGATCCTGTGTGTATTTCCAGTGGAAGGACAAGGTTTGGCCCACTGTATATTTGAAGGCCCTCAATATGGCGTTAGTTCGTATTTACTGATGGATGAAGAACTCTGAGGAGATCTGGTTGAAAGAGACTTTTAAAAATTAAAGGGAAATGGGTCACGCAGGCCGCGTTTTTGTCCTTGCCTATTGGCTACTTTTGCTATTCAGATCATCTGTGAATGTAAGTGACTGTCTGCTGTGTTCGCAGTGTGGTTACTGGGAAAACAGAGCTCTCTCTCCCCAAATCAGGTGAAACTACAGGAAAACAGTAGGCAAGAGTCTTCAAAGTGATGCATCTCGAGAGAGAGAGGGCCTGGGTCTGAATCATGGCTTTGTGCCTTACCAGCCTGTGATTCTAGTCACTTTACCTTCTGAGCCTTGTTTTTCCCAGCTGCAAAATGAGTGTGATAATAGCGCTTGCTTCAGGGGATTGTTTCAAGGATCAGTTGAAATAGTGCACACCGAATGTTTGGCATATGTGCGGAGCTCTTTGGGGGTGACTCATGGGCAACTGTTTTTCATTTAAGAACTGAGTGGATTGGACCTTTAAGAACTGCTTTGGTCCCACTGTCATGGGAGGTTAGTGCTGTCTGGAGCAGGCATGGGGATGTGGTGGTACAGGGTAGGGTGTAGGGGTCCCCAGAATTGGGGGCCTCCGTGTTGGAAAGGGACAGTGGGCAGAGTCCATGCAGGCGCTCTGGGGCTGACAGGGACCTGGGACTTCTTTCTGAGAGGCAGTGACCAGCCAACTGGAGTGGAGGGTTGTGGGGAAAATGTTTGGCCAAAGGATTTAGGAACCAGAGAGAAGCAGGCACATGATGCTCCTTTTCTTGGTGGGGTGTTCATCAGGCCTGTAGCTGCCACAGTCATCACTGTGGCTGAGATTCATACCTGTAGCACCAGAGTGGGAGGCAATTTTTCCAACATGGGGCAGAGGCTGGGTGTGTGGGGATTGGTTGCAAGGTGCTGGGAGTGGGGTGCAGGGAAGGGCCTCTGCACACCACGTCCGTCCTCATCCTGCTATGAGGTCAGCTCTGTACATGTGCTGGAAGAGCAATTAGCGGGGTGCCTAAGCAGTGTCCATCATGGACGTGGGTCTCTGCTGGCCACGCAAGGGGAAGATGGGACTGGTGGGAAGATTGGGGAGATGGAAGCGGGGGCAGTTGTGTGCGAAAGGTACAGGGTCGTGGAAACATGCACAAGAAAGTGACATTTTAGAAGGTGGTTTTTGTTCCATAATAAATTTATTAGCTTTGGAATCTGACTCTATTGCCTTGGCTTCTCCAAACTTTGGTGTCCTCATCTGCAAACTGGGGATCACAATCTCAGTTTTGCAGGGAATGTGAAATCCTGACCTGAAATGATCACATGTGTAGGAAGCTGACAAAGAATGCTAATTTTCTTCCTTCTTTTCTTTATGGCCTTTCCTTGGTAAATCTCTGTGTGATTGATAACTCATGAAGAACCTACCAGTCAAATCAGTTAAATTAAATGACTTCCTAATGATAATAATTAGATTAGTAACTAATAATCATAGCTGACATTTATCTAGTGCTTATTAACTTCTGGGCAGTGCGAATTTGGTCTCATCTGTTAAATAATTTAATTCCTGTAATAATCCTAGGAGGATGGTGCTATAATTAGCCCCATTTTACAAACAAGAAAACTGGAGGATCAGAGAGGCTAAGTATAATGTCTAATGTCACACTGCTGAAAGTGGCTTGCTGGTGTTCCAGCCCCAACAGTCTGGCTCCAGAGTTTGTGCTATTAACCATTATATCAGTCTGCTGTGTGTGTGTGTGTTTGTGTGTGTGTGTGTGTGTGAGAGAGAGAGAGAGAGAGATTGTGCATTGTACGGTGAAGAGCAATAGAAATCATTATAAGGCATTCCTGTGCTACAGTCTTGGTGGGTCAGGCTTACTTATAGAAGCTGTGAGAAGGATGGGGCTATGGGCTTTAACTCAGTTCTGACAATCTGTCACTCCCAGAACCTGAGGCAGGCTGGACCTATAGACTTCCACCTCCTCTTCCTCCTGCCCTGAACCGTCCAGGGACTCAGAGGAGGTCAGACAGGTGGGACTCCCAGAATAGTGACCTCCTCTGCCACTTGCAGCCTATGTCGGGCTCCTCTTATAGAGCCACCCCCTTGCTTATGCTGTAGTGTTCCTTTGTTCTGGCCATAGTTTTCCTGGGCCTGTGTCAGTTGAGTGCGTCCAGATGCAGCTGGGTTGAGACTCAAAGCCCTGAAGATACCGCAAGGGGAGTGCTCCTGTGTGCAGTTGCTCTGACCTGCACAGCAGGTCGGAGTGGCCGCCGGTCCCCGGCTGCCAGCTGTTTACCTGGCCGGCCTTGCAAAGGCTCTTCAGGGCCAGGCCCCAGCCGGTGAATCACTGAAACTGATCCCCGTGGCCACTGTGAAGTACGGGACTGGAGGTCTCCGGAGGAGATGGCAGCTCTAATAAAAACAGGCTGCCAAACCGCAGAAACTGTATAAGCCTCTGTTTCTCATCCTCGCTACCACCCCTGCGTAGTCCCTGTTTTACAGTTGAGGAAACCGTGGCCCAGGGAAGGTCGGGAACTTGTCCAAAGGCACAGTCATAGAACTAGGGCTTACACCAGCTGTGTCTAATAGCATGCGTGCCCCCTCTGCTGTGCTTTTATTTGCTTCTTGGAGTGCTGTTTAGAGAAATTGATGGTTCTTTTGTTGTGACTAGGGGTCCGCACTATGGGTGACCTCCCTGCTCCCTTTGGCCTCAGGCCCTTATCTTAGGCGATGGCCAAAAGAACAGCTTTACATTCAGTAAACTGTTTTAACTGAACCTCACCACAGGTTTACGGGTGGTGCTCGTTTCATAATGGATAAAGAATGGGTGTGGCTCAGTGTGGGGAAGTTGGTGGATGGGGAGAGGGCAGCAGAGTAACCAGCTTTTAGTGGAGACCTGGATTTGAGTGCCCTGAGTTAGGTGAGCCTTTGTACCTGTTTCTTCACTTCTTGGAGCAGAACATTAGTTTCTCCAGATCCCACATGTGATAAAGTTCTGTGATCCTGCAGTTTGAACATCCTGGCATTCAGCTCAGCCCACTGTGCAGAAATCTATACTAAACATGTAGACAGTTTAGGAAGAGGGATTGTTTATTGTGTTGAATGTTATAGAATAATAGCTACTTAAATTTTGGAGCACTTGCCATTCATCTTCCAAGTGATTTCTACGTGTTGACTCATGTAACACAGGCAACCACCCTATAATAAGTACTATGTTTACACACCCACTCTACAGATGAGGAAACTGAGGCTCAGAGGAATTAAGTAATCTGCCAAAGATCCCTTGGCAAGTAAGTGGCTAAGGGGGGATTGGAACCCAGGGAGAGAGCATAATCCTAGGAGGAGATTCTGCCAAGGTACAGCCCTCCACGATGGAAGGGCAGCAGCCTCCTGTGAGCTGACTCACTTGAGTTATTCCACACCATCCCAGTGGAGAAGTTGGATTATCCCTATTGTGATAGAGGAAGAAAGGTGAAGGAATTTGCCAGAAATTATAAATGGTGACATTCGCATTGAACACATGTCCACTGACCCCAAATACTGGGTCATTTTATATCTTTCCCTCCCTTCTTTTTTTTTTTTTTAGACTAGTCTCACTCTGTCACCCAGGCTGGAGTGCCATGGCACGATCTTGGCTCACTGCAACCTCCACCTCCCGGGTTCAAGCAATTCTTCTGCCTCAGCCTTCCAAGTAGCTGGGATTACAGACACCTGCCACCAGGCCAGACGAATTTTTTGGATTTTTAGTAGAAATGGGGTTTCACCATGTTGGCCAGGCTGGTCTTGAACTCCTGACCTCAGGTAATCCACCTGCCTTCACCTCCCAAAGTGTTGGGATTACAGGCGTGAGCCACGCCCACCCACCCCCTTCACACCCCACCTTGTTTTTTTCTTTTTAGTAGAGATGGGGTTTTACCGTGTTGGCCAGGCTGGTCTTGAACTCCTGATCTCAAGTGATCCGCTTGCCTCGGCCTCCCAAAGTGCTGGGATTACTGGTGTGAGCCACCACGCTTGGCCTCTTCCCTCCCTTCTTGCTAACTTTGAAGCTCAGCTCCTTGTCCAAGAGCCTTTCTGTCCAGGTGTTTTCATGGTGCCTGTGCCTTCTGCTGGTTTGGAGTGAGCGGTTTCCACAGCATCCTCCCATCAGCCATGCATTCCTCAGGGTCAGGCGCAACATGCTCTTCATATCTGCTCCCTGGCACTTGGCCTTCAAACCAGGAATTCACTGCACCTAGCCTGATCCATTGACCTGGGCCCAGTATAGGCCCTCCCATGTTGGGAGGCCATGGGGTGTTAAGGTTAATGCTGGGCCACACATGACTGTGATGAGTCCCTTTCTCTCTGCTGAAGAACGTGTTTCCATGGGGGACAGGGGCAGTTAAGCCTGGGTTCTGTTGGGCGCTGCTGCTTGGGTGGGTCCAGTCTGCCCCATGTGGGGTCTGCATTCTATGCCAAGTGTTGGCAGGTTCTGCCAGGTAGAGCTCTTCAGTATGGAAGCACTTCCCTGTGCTCAGCCTCTCCCCGACTGTGCACATTTCCTTCTCTTCTGCTGGGGAAATGGAAAACAGCTGACCACTGATTCCTTGAAATCACCTACTCAGACACTCCAGGGTCTGTGTGGGATTAAGTCGTCCGCAGTCTTTCCCTCCCTTAATCTCTTCTAACCTTCCTCGAAAGTGCCGTTTCCCACCCCATTTTAATCATGCCCTTTGCTCTCGCCTGGACATCTCCAGGGGCTCCAGTGCCTCTCTAAGTGAAGGGTTTGGGGCCACACACATGGCTGTCTGTTCTCTCCAGGCCCACATGCAGAATCCAGCAGCCCCCTGGCCTCACACCTGCTTTTCAGTAGTGGCTGGGACTGCCAGATGAATAGGCTTGAGGCAGCATACGAGTTTGCTATACACTTGCTCAAAACATTAGTGGACTCAAAACCAAAAAGACAACCCAGTTTCAGAATGGGCAGAAGACTTGAACACACATTTCTCCAGAGAAGTTATATAAATGGCCAATAAACACATGAAAAGATGCTCAGTAGCCATGGTTGTTAGGGAGATGCAAATTAAAACCATGAGATACCCCTTCATACCTACTAGGATGGCTGTAATTAAACACCACCACCACCAACAGCAAAAAAAAAAAAAAAAAAAAAAAAAAAAAAAAAAAAAAAAGGCAGAAAATAGCAAGTGTTGGTGAGGATGTAGAGAAATTGGAACCCTTGTACATTGCTGGTAGGAATGTAAGATGATACAGTCTCTGTGGAAGACAGTTTGGTGGTTCCTCAAAAAGTCAAGTATAGAATTACATATGACCCAGCAATTCCACTCCTAGGTGTATATCCAAGAGAGTTGAAGGCGTATGTCCACAAAAAGCTTTTACAGGCATGTGCACTACTCACAACAGCCAGAAGGTGGGAACAACCCAGATGTCCAATGTCTGTCCGCGGAAGAATAGCAAACAGTATTCAACTGTAAAATGGAATGAGACATTGATACATGTTACAACATGGATGAACCTCAAAAATGCTGTTCTAGGTGACAGAAGCTAGGCACAAAAAGTCACATATTGTCTGATTCCATTTTTATGAATTTTCAAGAATAAGCAAAATTATATAGACAGAAAGCAGATTAATGGTTGCTGGGGGCCATGGGGAGTAGCTGCTTAATGGGTACAAAGTTGTTGTTGGTTTTTTTTTTTTTTTTTTTGAGACCGAGTTTCCCTCTTGTTTCCCAGGCTGGAGTGCTGGAGTGCAGTGGTGCAATCTCAGCTCACTGCAACCTCCACCTCCTGTGTTCAAGTGATTCTCCTGCCTCAGCCTCCTGAGCGGTTAGGGTTACAGTCATGTGCCATCACACCCGGCTAATTTTGTATTTTTGGTAGAGATGGGGTTTCACCATGTTGGCCAGGCTGGTCTCAAACTCCTGACTTCAGGTGATCCACCCACCTCGGCCTCCCAAAGTGTTGGGATTACAGGTGTGAGCCACCACACCTGGCCAATGAGTACAAAGTTTTATTTGAGGGTGATGAAAATGTTTTGGAACCAGATAGACATGGTGATTATACCACATTGTGAATGTACTAGACAAACGTCACTGATTTTGTACACTTTAAAATGGTTAATATTACTTTATGCAGATTTTACCTCCATTAAAACAGTTATGACATCACAGATCCCATCAGGTTAAAAGAGGACATGTGGGCCAGGCTCAGTGGCTCACACCTGTAATCCCAGCACTTTGGGAGGCCGAGGCGGGCGGCAGATCACCTGAAGTCGGGAGTTTGAGACCAGCCTGACCAACATGGAGAAATCCTTTCCCTACTAAAAATACGAAATTAGCCAGGCGTGGTGGCACGTGCCTGTAATCCCAGCTACTTGGGAGGCTGAGGCAGGAGAATTGCTTGAATCTGGGAGGCAGAGGTTGTGGTGAGCCGAGATTGCATCATTGCATTTCAGCCTGGGCAACAAGAGCGAAACTCCATCTCAAAAAAAAAAAAAAAAAAAAAAAGAGGATATGTGGACACTATGTCTGGCACTTAAACTGGTGGATTCTATAGAGATGGGATGGGTTCATTAGCCCCATTCTACAGATGAGAAAGTAGAGGCTCCATTAGAGCACACAGTGTAGAAGTGGAACCAGGATTGGTCTGACTCTAGAATGCTGCTTTTGATCACTTTTCTATGTTCCTCTTCCTCTACAGTGGACAGGTTTTGTTTTGTTTCGCTTTGCTTCAGATTCTTGGCTCATGCCAAGTGCTGTGTGCCATGGGTACATCACCTGACCCTGAAGAGCCCAGATCTATGTCTTTTCATGCAACCTTGCCCTGTGCTTTCCACATATTCACATCCTTCACAGTCAATCCCACCCTGGCCACTAGGCCAATAGGGACTCCCCACATCCCACTTACAGGGGGGCAAATATTTATAGCCAAAAGAAAACAGAAGATGTGGGTTTGAGTCACAGTTCCACTATGTGGTCATGGATGAGTGCCTTCAACCCTCAGTACCTCAGTTTCCCTAAATGTGCAGTGGGAGAGCATGAGAACACTTATCTGATGTCTTCCCTGGGGTTTTGTGAGGATTAAACACACCATGTAGGGGCAAGTGCTTTGAGAATGGAAAAGCACTGTGCAGACATGAGTGATGTGCATGATGGTTATTGTTAGATGTTCTCTCCTGGAATCAAGTTCAAGCTTCTTGCATACTCAGCAGAGAACAGACCCAAACTCCCGAATCTAGTGCTGTGGCATGTGGTTGGTGCTCAATAATGATTTGTTGTGTGAACAAGTGCATGAATGAGTAGTAGGTCAATGACCTCAATGTGGGCCTGGTCAGGATTTAGATTTCTTGTCTTTGTGTGTGCTCAGCCCAGGACTGAATGCACAGCAGGCTGTCAGGAAGTAGTCATGGATTGATGTGTCCGTATTCGCCATAACCAAGCAGGAGATAGATGATTTCGTTCTGGTCTCTGGATTTTGGCTGCATTTTCTCTCATAGTAGGAATTATTCCCGGAAGATCCAAATGCTCAGCTTTGTCCTCCTCTCATCCTGGTGAGGCGTGTGATCCAGGTGAGAAGCAGGGAGAACTGGCCTTCCTGGTGGGAAGTTGTGGGCCATCACCTTAAGCTTGGCTTGTAGTGGTGGGAGACCTGTGTTCCTTCCTTCCTGAGCCCCACTTCCTCTTGATTTTATTGTATTTTTAGCAGCACTGAGCTGAAGCTTTCTGGGTTGCATGTTAGAGGCAGCACTTCTTGCACAAGCTAGGGGAGCGTGAGTATCGTTTCGGTTCTGATAGCAGGATGGATTGTTATGTATCCTTTCTGATGGAGGCTACCAAAAGCTTTAGATGTTAGGATGGATTATCTCACCTTGCACAAGACAGTGAGTGCTAGAGTTTAAGTTTTCTCCTCTGCAAAATAAGGAGTGGCAGTGAGACTTAGAGCATCTCTCAAGCCCACTTTGGCCCAAAAGTTCCATGACTGTGGCAGTCTAGAGTAAATGTGTTTGATAGCCCCTAGTTACAACTCTCTTCTGTCTCTTCCCCTTTCTGCCTGCGCTACCATCTAATCCATCCACGCAACCACCCATCCACCCACCCACATTTCCTAGCCAGCTCTCTGGACCAGGCCTTGTGTTAAGTCCTGAAGACACAGAAAAGGCTAAAACAGCCCCTGGTCTTAAGGACTCACAGATCATGAGGAGGCGATAGATACTGGAATAGAAGGCAAAAGTCAAATGTCATGAGTGCTGGGATTCAGAAAGGTGCAGGCTGCTCTGGTAGCAATAAAGGAAACCAGCTCTCCCTTGAGATCCCTTTCATGAGGGTTATAGCCTGGATCCTGTGATGACCCAGGACAGACTGGTCTTGATCCAGGGGAACCATATCAGTGACCTCAAGAGGCCCCTTTTAGCCACAGTAATCTATGATGTGGAGTTCTCAATTGCTGGCTTTGCTGGAGAAAGAGAGAAGGAAGAAATAGAGGGGCCGGTCAGCCCTCCTGTACATTTAGTTTGCGGTCTCAAACCTCTGTTTCCTGGAGCTGCAGGCTGTATGTGTGGGAGGTGCACAGCAGTGGCTTGGCCGCCCCAACGCGCCTACAGCCCGCTCTGGGGACAGCCGTCTTTTGGCAGAGTCTGCCTCTGCAGTGGTGGCAGCTGGCCCAGGCAGACCTCCTCTCTGTCCGGTTAGTCAGCGTCTGGTGGCCAAGGGCAGAGTGGAGCCTGTGTTTCCGACAGGCCAGCTGCCCCTCAGAGTGAGGCAGCGCCGTGATTCTGAGGGTGATGCTGGCGTTCGCCCCTCAACCCTGTCCCCCACAAGGAGATTACGGACAAGGCAGCATTTCTAATAAGCAGCCTCTGCTTGCCCCGTAGCAGATGAAAGACTGCGTGTAAGAGTGGGTAATTTTGGGTTTTCCTGATGAAAGTAGTTGACATTTGTGCTGAGACCTCATGCGCTCTGCAGCGCTGCCTTTCATCTCTGCTCTCAAAGCCCTGCTCATCTCTGCCATGACTCGGGGGCGGCCTGCGCCACCGGAATTCAGTTGGGCCAGTGGTGAAATATAGAGGAAATGGTGGAATGACCCCTGAAGGCAGTGGATGGGGGAGTGGAGACAAGTCCTGACTTTCCTGGTGGAGGGGATGTTCCTGGGGGTGTGGAACTGTGTATCGGCCCATGCAGCACAGCCAGGGAAAGAGTGTGGATCTTGGAGCTTGGTATGGCTGGCTAGATTGGAAAGGCAGCTCCTCCACGGACTTGCTCGGTGAATGGAGGGCATCCTTTCTCTTCCCTGATCTGTGTCCTCATTTGTCAGTGGGAATAATAGAATAACATTACTACCAACGACGATGGCTTTCACAACTGGAACCACTAGGCCCTCAGGAATGTTTACTGGCTTCTAGTCTCATTGATAAACTGAAGCCATTGTGCCATAGCTCTAGAGAACTGGCACTAGGGGCTTGCATGATTCATCTGAGTTCCCCAGACAATGCTGGCACATAGTAGGCCCTCCATAAAGTAAGAAGGGACACTTTGCTCCTGACATCCATACAGCTCCTCTAGCTTTGCAGAGAAAGCCCTAGAGAGAAAGAATGTGAAGGAACAAAGGGTCAGGTTAGGTTGTGCAACCTTTCTGATATGCATTTGTAATGCAGTGAGCAAATGCACAAGCCTTGAGTCGCTGCATTCTTTTCTAACCACCCAAGAGATAAGTTGAACCCCCACTCGTAGCAACCTGGCCACTTGTCTGTTTAGTCAGCCCTGGAATACCTCCACTGACGGGGCACTCACTACCACTGAAAGATGGTGTGCAGAATTCTAATGTTCTTCCTCTCGCGGGGTCGTGGGGGCTTTCTTCCAGTTCTCTGGGTTCTGATCGTTGGGGCTGTCCTGACACCCTTCTTCAGATGACCGCTGTCAGGTTGGTGAAGGCAGTGCGCGTTGGGCCTTCCCTCCCTAGAGATGTGATTGCACGTCGGGTACCAGGAGCCTGGCCAGCCCTCAGCTTCTGCTAACCAGGGAGCAGTGAAGCCCGGTTTACTTTTGTTGGCTTGTTTATTTTCTAATGTCACCTGCCTCTGCACTTTAAGTAGTATTTGGGCTGTTATGGAGTGTGCACATTCTAACACAGCACCTTGTCAGCTGGCTGAGAAGCTGAAAATTCTCGGCATTCCTCCTTGATGTCAATTACTTCAAGGAGCAGGAAGGTGACTTCTTTTAACAAGTGGAAAGGATTCAGGTAACAAAGCCATTTCCTCTTCTTAACCCTCTACTGTGGAAAGTTATTGACTTAGCGACACAGTCTGTTTATCTGGGCTTCAGGAGCAGGGCTTTGGAGACTGAAGGCTTCTCCCCACTTTTGTGCAATGTTATATATTTTTTCTCACTCTTCATCCAGTCTGAGTGGGGTCTGCCCCCTCCCCTGAGCAGTCACCATCCTGCTACCCACTCCGGCTCTATTGGCGACTGTGGCATAGGGTGGTGGAAAGGACGCTGGACTGAGAGCCCAGAGATCAGATGTCTGACCTTCCCTCTGCCTGGAAGAGCTGCCTGGCCTCTGATCAGGGTCCCTACCTTCGTTTTCTGGCCTCACTCACTGTGGCCCACCATCCAGCAGTGCAGGTGTCCTGGGGACTCGGGGAAGGTCAGAAGTGGAAGGAAAGCCTCCAAGCCCTCGCATGCAGGCCCACCATTCCACTGTCAGGTTTTCTTCCCTTTCCTTCTGCTCTACATTTTGTGCCAGCAGTTTGGGGGTCTCCTGAATCTTATCCCTTCGCAGCGGTAGGCAGGTGCAATTTCTGGCCAGTCACTGAACATGAAGAAGCATCTATAGGCGGAGTTAAATCCAAAACACTTGGCCTGACACACCTGGCCTTGAAGTCTCCCCCAGCCTCTCCTCTTGTCCCCAACAGTGGTTCATGTTCTAGCCACACAGAAATTGAGGGGGTCCTGTGTTATCTGTGTTCCTGCAGACAGAGCTTGCCTAGGACAGCAAAAGTCATCCTAACATAAAAATATGCATGAATAAACTCACTGCCAACATTCAGCCCACCCACATCCAATGATAATCAGTCATTTACTGATGGCCAGACGTTGTAAACATCTGTCAGTCCACTGCAAGAACAGCAGAAACTCGTAGCTGACCTCCATTTGGCCTACTCACTGAATTAAGTGATGTTACTCATTCGCTTTGTAAAAGCAAACTGAGTGAGGCCCCAGGCTCATTGAAGACTCTGTGGGTTACCCAGAAGCCCAACTTTCCAGATTCAATATTTTTTCTATTTCTTAGCTGTGTTACCTTGGGCAAGTTAATTAACCTCTCTGTGCCTGCATGTTGCATCTGTAAATGAGACTAATACTAGTACCCACCTTCTAAAGTGATTATGAGCATTAAATGAATTAGTACGTTTAAAGGCTTAGAACAGTGTTTTATGATACGATAAACACTCAATAAATGTTAGCTATTGATATTGGTGTGCCCAGAAGGCTTGTTACTACTAGTTGATTTATGTGCTTGCCAAAAGTTGTTGTGTTGGTAATTAAGTACGACATAAACTAATGAAAATTGAGTTTATAAAGAGTTGTTTTATGAAAAGTTTAGTACTTTGGATAGAATGGATAATATTGATTTGCTAAAAAAAAATTGTCACCAAATAACTTAAAGGCAAAACAGCTGTAAAAAATTGTAAAACCATAGTTTGTATTCCATATGCTTTACAGGTGATTAACTTTGGCACTGCTTTAAAGAAACTGAAACCAGGAATTGTAGATGTTGACTTGTGAGTGTGTATTTTGCATGGAAGATGATTTGCATCTCTAGTCAGCGTGCCAAAAAAAGATCCTACCCTTTGATTGGTTAATAAATATGCAACTATAATAAAATATTTAAGTGTTGGTCCTTAATGATTGCCTACATTTTCAATGAAATGACAGTGGCAGAACTGAGGAACAGGGGTTTTTCTCTCCAAGGCAGATCAGCTGCCAGAAATTGCACGTTTTGTACCAGCTGCAGGGTTTCCTGGAATCAGCAAAGGCCTGTGAGAGGCTGCATGAACCACACACGCTTACTGACACCTCCTGTGTGCCGAGCGCTGAGTAGTGCTGAGGATATAGCAATTGGGGAGCACTAGCAGAATCAGGGTTGTTAACCGTGGAGAAGAGAAAGGAAAGATGATGTCTCTCTATGCAAATCAAGGGAAAGTGATTTAAAAATGTTAAAAAAAAAAAGTTAAGAGAGGTCTTCGAAAGGTGTTTTGCAAAATGATTCCTTGGATTAATGATGAAGGAGTGGAGTGAAGGAAGTTTATATTTTGTGAGAAAACGTGTGCTAAGGAAGGCCTCGACATTAGATTCATTCTGTACACAACTCAGCAAATTAGATCATAGTTTAAAATGATAATTTCAGGGGCCGGGCACAGTGGCTCCTGCCTGTAATCCCAACACTTTGGGAGGCCGAGGAGGGAGGATCATTTGAGGCCAGGAGTTTGAGACCAGTCTGGCCAACATATCGAAACCCCATCTCTATTAAAAAATACAGAAAATTAGCTGGGCTTTGTGGTGCATGCCTATCTTCCTGTCTACTTGGGAGGCTGTGCATGAGAATCACTTGAACTCAGGAGGCAGAGGTTGCAGTGAGCCAACATCACGTCACTGCACTCCAGCCTGGGTGAGACTGCGAGACTCTGTCTGGAAAATAAATAAATTTAAAAAAATTATAATTTTTGGTTCATGTTTTTTTTTTTTTTTTTTTTTTTTGAGGCAGAGTCTTGCTCTATCATCTAGGCTGGAGTGCAGTGGCGTGATCTTAGCTCACTGCAACCTCTGCCTCCTGGGTTCAAGCAATTTACCTGCCTCTGCCTCCCGAGTAGCTAGGACTACAAGCATGTGCCACCACGCCCGGTTAATTTTTGTATTTTTAGTAGAGACGGTGTTTCACCATATTGGTCAGACTGGTCTTGAACTCTTGACCTCGTGATCTGCCCGCCTTGGCCTCCCAAAATGCAGGGATTACAGGTGTGAGCCACTGCACCTGGCCAGTTCAGGTTTCAAAGTATAAGATCAATCTTATTTTATGTATAGTTTATGTGTAATTATAAATTGTATACTAATAAAGTCATTTTTATAATTCTTTATTTCTTTTTCCAAGATACCCACCCCCCCCCCCACCAAGGAGGGCTAGGACAAGTGACAAAAGTCACCCCAGATCACAGCCAAATGGGTAGAGCTAGGAATCCGAAGTAGGTGATGAAGCTTGATTTTTCAAGATGCTGCAACCCCTCTCCCCCATATGCTACATTAAATATCTGGACCTATTTTAAGTGGGTTCTTTTCTGGGGTAATGAGGTTCTCTTCTGCCTCAGTTTTCCATGGCTGCAGAGCTCCTGCTGTTCCTTCTGCCTAGTTCACTCTTCTTTGCCTTGACTGCACCTCTCTGAGCTACCTTCCTACCTCCATCCTTGCATTCATTAGGGGTTTCTTTATGTGTCCAGCTCACTGTGGGACCCAGGACTCCTTGAAGAGGGAGATCTTGCTCATCCATCTGTGTCCCCCACTCTACTGCCAACACAGTGGTAGGAAGGGAAGGCGGCAGGCTTAGGCGAGGTCCTGCAGGCTGGACAGGATCTGTCACCATTACTTAGCCCAGGCCCATCTCTTTACTTCCAGACCAACTGGTGTCACCATAATGCCTTCTGGCAATTTGAAGATTCTGGCAACCTCTTACCGGATGCAGCTGGCAGGATAATCCCTGTGCATTAGCCACTTTCAGAGGTATCTGGGCCCCCAAAAGAGTCACGGGAGTCCCAGACATGAAGGAGCATTAGTGGCCATCTCCCCACCTTGCTGTATCAGCAAAACTGCTAAGCCCTGACCCATATTTTGGGCAGTGCTCACCCTATCTCATTTTATCTTACTGTATATCTCGTTTGTATCATTTTATTAGGTATCTTATTTTATCTCATTATATGGTAATCTCATTTGCTGGGTAGACCAGTGAGGAGGGCTGGGACAAGTGACTGGAATTGCCCAAGGTCACAGACAAGTGAGGTTTAGAGTTAGGACTCCGAAGCAGGTGGCGGAGTCACCGTTGAGTTCATCATAGCGATGCTGGCTGCCTCAAAGTACTGTTTTAGTTAATGCTCACAAGCAACTCTGCGAAGCAGACGGGCCATTCATTTGTGCTTCACAGTGTGGGAAACTGAGTCAGAGCAGGTTCATGTCACACAGCTGATAAATGACAAAGCCAGATGTGAAGCCTGTGAGTTGGATTCCAACATTCATCTTTGATGAAGCGTTCAGGTTGGGGCCTGGTGTGGGACATGCTCAGAGGAGGACGAGGAGGATGATTTGGGGGAGGCCTCAGAAGGCGTTCCTGGTCTGAGTGTGCTGCTGTCACTGCCTTGGTTTGGGTCCCCGCTTCTGAGCAGGATCTTCTATTGGCAGAGGGTTCAATGCAGTGGGTGCCATGAAGGAAGATGTCTCCCCAACAGCATCACAGTCTCAGGGACTGTTCACATCACATTAAAAGCGCTGAGACTCTGGCTTTTGGTGAAAACGGCTATTTTGTCTTGTTCCACGGGAGCTGGGAAGAGGAGACTAAACACAGGAGCCTCCCCCTAACCCAGGGGCACATGGAGAAGGAGGAAGGCAGCCCATGCTGGGGAGCAAAAGGGAGAGAAGGCGAGGGCCAGAGCCCTGGGAAGTGTCAGATCCTGGTGTGCCGCGCTTCTCCCAGGTTGTATAATCAGCTGTCACTTCAGCATTTCCCTGCATCAGCCTTCCCAAGTACAGATTGAACATTAAACAAACAGTGACGGCTTTATAAATATTTAACTCCCACTGTTTAGGAATTGCTCGGGGCAGGAGACAAAATAAGAGTTCCTGGCTGTCTGCTCCATGCCCCCTCTGGCATGGTGTTGGAGGCCGGGGGTCAGAGATTTGGGGAGTGGTGGGCAGCAGCTATTCTCTTCTTCCTTTCCAGGGGGATGTGTTTGGGGACACATGTCTGTGTGTTCATGGAGCTGTTAGGGCCTCTTCTAGAAGCCACCAGTTTGCGTTTTCATACAGTGGCTGGGATCCATCATTGCTGGTGTTATTCCTTCACATCAGAGCAAACTTCTTCCTTTCTTTTTTATATATAGCAGCTTTATTGAGATATAATTCACATATAATTCACCTGAAACTCACCCATTTAAGGTATACAACACAATTTTTTTTGTTTGTTTGTTTCTTTGAGACAGAGTCTTGCTCTGTGACCCAGGCTGGAGTGCAGTGGTGCCATCTTGGCTCACTGCAACCTCCGCCTCCCGGGTTCAGGCTATTCTGCTTCAGCCTCCCGAGTAGCTGAGACTACAGGCACACACCACCATGTCTGGCTAACTTTTGTATTTTTTTTTTTTTTTTTTTTTGAGACAGAGTCTCACTCTGTTGCCCAGGCTGGAGTGCAGTGGCTCGATGTCGGCTCACTGTAAGCTCCGCCTCCCGTGTTCATGCCATTCTCCTGCCTCAGCCTCCTGAGTAGCTGGGACTACAGGCGCCCACCACCACGCCCGACTAATTTTTTGTATTTTTAGTGGAGATGGGGTTTCGCCGTGTTAGCCAGGATGGTCTTGATCTCCTGACCTCGTGATCCGCCCACCTCGGCCTCCCAAAGTGCTGGGATTACAGGTGTGAACCACCGCACCAGACCCCAACTTTTGTATTTTTAGTAGAGATGGGGTTTTGCCACGTTGCCCAGACTGGTCTTGAACTCCTGGCCTTAAGCGATCCACCCACCTCGGCCTCCCTTAGTGCTGGGATTATAGGCAGGAGCCACGGTGCTCGGCCAACACAATTGTTCTTAATATATTCATGGAGTTGTGCAACCATCACCACAATCAATTTGAGAGCATTTTGATCACCCCAAAAAGAAATCGTTTTTATTAGCAGTCACCTCTTTATTCCCACAATTCTCTGCGTGCTAAGAAATTGTTGAGCTACTTGTACTACAAATATACCTATCCTGGAATGGTCTTTTGTGCCTGGCTTCTTTCACTTGGTGTAATGTTTTCAAGGTTTATCTGTGTTGTAGCATAGATCAGCATGTCATTTCTCCTTAGGGCTGAATACTGTTCCCTAGCACAAGTATATTGCATTTTTAAAAATCTACTCATCTGTTGATGAACATTTGGGGACAGCAAAGCTCTAGTTGAAAAATCAAGATGAAAAATCAAAAAAATATAGTTGAAAAAATCAAAAAAATCTAGTTGAAAAATCCAGCATCATGTGATTAAGGCCAAACTCAACTTCACAAAAGAGAGCCTCTACTATTTTGGGAAAGATCTAGAAGGTTATCTGTAAGCATATGGTGGATGTTACAATGTGTTCAGTGGACACGCCATTCAGCTTTTATTCAGCACTTACCATATGGTGGGCACTATGGTAGGATTCATTAATTAATTTATTGAAAATAATTATTGAGATTATATAGTCTTGTGAAAAGATTTATCAGAGGCTGTTCTGTGAATTTTAGAGGTTTTTTGTTTTTGTTTTTTTTTTGAAATGGAGTTTTACTTTTGTTGCCCAGGCTGGAGTGCAGTGGTGCCATCTCGGCTCACCGCAACCTCTGCCTCCTGGGTTCAAGCGATTCTCCTGCCTCAGCCTCCCAAGTAGCTGGGACTATAGGCATACACCACCATGCCTGGCTAATTTTGTATTTTTAGTAGAGATGGGGTTTCACCATGTTGGCCGGGCTGCTCTCGAACTCCTGACCTCAGGTGAGCCACCCACCTCGGGCTCCCAAAGTGCTGGGATTACAGGCATGAGCCACCGTGCCCAGGTGAGTTTTAGACTTTTTTGGGGTGTAAGAATGGGAGCATGAGTTTGTGTTCTCAGCTCGTTTCATTTGATTTCAGATGTCAGCTCTCTTTAGGAGAGAGGCGTGGAGAAAAGGTGGGACTCTCTGCAGTCCTGTTCTTGTTCTGCCCACTTCCCTCCAGTCATGGTCTCTGGCCGGCTCTCTTCTCCCCAGAGTGGTTCTTTTCCTGCCCCTGGTGTCCCTCTAAGACCCAGATGTTTCCAGCACCCATTTGAGAGGCTGATTCAGCCCAGGCAGTGTCTGGCCTAGGGAAGGTGACTGCAGGAAATGTTAAAAAATGGGGGCTGTTATCATGCCTGAGCATCGCACAGTCCCTCCGTTGTGACTAATTGTAGTGGTTGTTGTTGAAGGGCTGCCCCAGGTCCCCCTCCCTGGACCGGTACACTCACCCCAGCTGCCGAGACGGCGGCTGCTAATGTCCACTGCTGCTAATGTCCACAGCACCACTTCTCTGGAGATTAGCCTTCCTCCAACTGGAGCTGCTTCATCCGGGAAGTTGCTCACCCTGCACCAGCCCTGGCTGACTCAGGGGTGCAAAGGGCTGCTCCTCCTTGTTTCCATGTGGGGTAAACTCCATGGTGCGGTTCATGTTCCAGGGCATCCTGTGGATGGCCTGAGTTGGTCCCCAGCCGAGACCACCTCCTTCCCTTGCCTGGCTCTGCCACCTTCCCTTCCTTTCTCCTGAGGTTGCTCCCTGTTAAATCACACAGACAGACATTCCCTCCTCAGGATCTGTCCCCGGGTGCCCACCCTCAGACACTATCCGGCAACACGTTCCCTTTCCTGAGTCCCCTCTGATGATGTATCTGACTTGGAGATCCTTGGCCTGCTGGCTCTCTTTTCAGTTCTGTTCTGGAGAATAGAAGCTTCCTGGGCTGGCCTGTTGAGTGTTTTGTTTGGTTGGTTTTGATTTCCAAGTCTTTTCAGGCTAATCGGACACGAGGAAAGGTCTGCATTGAATCACAGCCTTGGCACTGTTCCCCCCTTCCTTCCCTCCTCCGTTCATTCCCCCGAACATCCTTTTCTGTGCCGACAATGACCTCAGCAGAAAGGGGAAAAGGACGTGGGAAGGCTGCATGGGAAACTCATGGAACTTGGTAGCAAACAGCTCTGGGTTCAAGTCCGGGCCCTGTTGCTCAGGAGCCAGGCACTCAGTTGTGGTGGCTTCTCTAACCGGGAACTTCTTCTATGAAAATGGGACTATTCGTCTCTACTCCTTGCATTATTGTGGGGATCGGAAATAATCTGGGTCAATGATGTGGTGCAGTGACTAGCATCGAGGGGACACCCTCTCCACACAGGCTGGAAAGACATCCAGAAGGAGTCCTGGGCTCCCTCACCACGCAGGGGCTCAGCCTCGCCAGATAGTTGTCATCACCCATCCAGGCCCGTTTCTGGTCTCATTGCTTTTGTTCATGTACTTTCCTCCTGGGTTGCTCTTCCTTTTCTCTCTGACCTGTCAAAAAGCCCCATTGTAAGCAACATTTAAATGCTACCTCTTCCATGAAGCCCTTTTGGATGCCTCTTAGGGGGATGAGTTCTTTCCATCCTAGCACTGCTTGCTGCATGGTCCAGGATCTGTGGGGCCTGTCTTCTTTACCACTTTGCTCACTTCATGAATGTGGGGGTGTATGAAGAGTATGATGAAATTAGAGGCTATGTTCTGGAGTCAGACTGATCAGTACTGGGATTCTGGCCATACCCCCTCCTTAGCTGGGTGACTTTAGGCAACTGACTGTACCATCCTGAAAGTCATCTGTAAGCCGTGCTGACCCCCCAACCACAGGACACTTGTGCCCGCTGCAGGTGCTCTGTCAGCAGTGACTTCTCACTACCTGGCATCCTCTGAATTCACGAGCAGTTTGAAGAATGAGCAAATACTGAGCAAAGCTCATAGGATTAAATACACACAGACCTGTGTAAGTTAACACCAAGCTAAGGGTTAAATACTTTACAAAAATTCTCAGTGCGGTTGGTGGGTGAGAAGGGCTGTCGTCCCCTCTGGCTGCCTTGCCAAGCTGGTAGAGGGGCCATCTCCCACTACCTACTGACAAAGATTCTTTGCTTGACCCAATTACCCAATTTAATCAGACACTTAAGTCTTTTCCTAGGCCCATCTGTGTACTTCCTGTAAAATCTAGTTTTAGCAAAAAACTCTGCTGAGTCAGTTTGGTAAGGACCACCGGCCGTCAATATCTTCCATATCTGATAGATAGGGTTCCTCATCTTCTACCACCCTCCAGATGATGTCTGGTCACCCTGGCCTGCCTTTAGCAAGAATCTTGATAGGTTGATTTAACCAGAATCCCCCTTACTCCTGATGTTGCCTGTTAGTAATTTTCTATCCTCTGACCCCCACCCTGCTTCTTGGCTGTGAATTTCCACTTGCTCAGGCTGTATTGAGTTGAGCCCTATCTTTCTCCTACACTGCAAATTCCCATTGCCGTGGTCCCTATACCTATCAGGATGGTCCTGAATTGTCTTCTTTATCATCTGCTCTGCTCTGCCAGAGCTTAAGCCCAGGCAGCTGAGTTAAAAGTGTGACCAAATGGACCATCTTGTCCCTGAAAATTGGGACCTAAGCTCGATTCCGAGATTTAATCATGGCAGAGGAGTTTACTCTGCTAACCACCATCACCCCACCCTATCCCCCAGAGGGGTGCGGTGAGTAAGGGGGTGGCAACTGGTTGTTTCCAATCTCCCATCTCTCTCTGGCCCTCCTCTGTCTCTGGCCTCCCTTCTCCCTTTGAAAGGGACACAGTGCTGCTCACAGCCTGTCCTGCTGCGGTGGCTGCAGAGAGGGGCTGAGAATAAGCCTGTGTCCGAGGCAGCCCTCCAAATACAGCAGGGCTGGGTTGACCTTTAAATAGATGGGCTCTGGGCCACTCAGTTCCTGGAAGTTTGAAGAAAGTCAGCCTTTCAAGTGATGCGACTTCCAACCTCAGGAAAGATCGCTGTGTTTGTAAAGGGTATAATTTACTGTTGCTTTTGCACTTCATGATATGCGGCTGCACAGCCAGTGGGAGCCAGCATGCCAGAATTAGGAGGGGAAAATCCTCAAGTATTTTAATATACCCCTACTTAGAAGCAAGATAAACATATGTATTGTACTTTGGGACAGAAGCAAGGGGGGTTTAGCGGGTGGGAAAGGGAGAGTCCTGGCATTGCATGAAAGGTCTTTTTAAGCTGAACTCTGAGGGTTTTCAGTTTTTCATTTTTCTGTTTTTTTTTTTTTTTTTTATTTGTAAGCAAAGCTGGCATGAGCAAATGATGCCAGGATCTACTTGGCTGTGTAAAAGCTGTAGTCCCTCCTCAGACAGGCAGACTGCTAGAACCCTCCCTAAGCCATAAACTAGTACACCGTTTTGCCTCGCCCAATTAAAAATGATTGGGTGTGGGTTGTCATCACAGTTGACTTAGATGATTTACTTTCTTCCAGGAAATCTTCCTCCCAACTCTTGCTTTGCAATTAGGCAAAAGAAAAATAAATGTTAATATGTTCTGTGCTCCCAGGGAAAATTTTTTTAAAAAGAAAATAAAACACTTTGGGAGGCCGAGGCAGGCGGATCACGAGGTCAGGAGATCGAGACCATCCTGGCTAACACGGTGAAACCCCGTCTCTACTAAAAATACAAAAAAAATTAGCCGGGCATGGTGGCGGGCGCCTGTAGTCCCAGCTACTCGGGAGGCTGAGGCAGGAGAATGGCGTGAACCCGGGAGGCGGAGCTTGCAGTGAGCCGAGATCGCACCACTGGACTCCAGCCTGGGTGACAGAGCGAGACTCCGTCTCAAAAAAAAAAAAGAAGTGTCAAGGTCATGAGTGTCAGGGAAAGACTGAGAAATGGTTCCAGACTGAAAGAGACTAAAGAGATGTGAGAATTAAATGCAAAGCTTGATTCTGGACAATTGTCAAACCTTGGATGGCTGGGAGCGTTAGATGTTAGTTACGTATCTGTGTCAGCTTCCTGATCTTCCTATAGAACATGGTCCTAAGGGAGAATGTCTTTGCTTTAGAAAAATACACATGGAAGTACTCTGTAGTGATAGGGCTTCAGGTCCACTACTCCCTCTCACATGCTGTAGGGGAAAAGGATTTGCTGTGTGTTCCCAGCACGTTTGTGATTATTTCACAAATAACAATAATTAAAAAAAACCAACCTCTGGTGGGGCGGTGCGGAATTATTATTATTTTTTTTTGGGACAGAGTCTCACTCTGTTGCTCAGGTTGGAGGGCAGTGGCATGATCTTAGCTCACTACAACCCTCAACTCCTGAGTTCAAGCGATTCTTGTGCCTCAGCCTCCCAATTAGCTGGGATTACAGGCATGCGCCACCAGGTCTGGCTAATTTTTTTGCATTTTTAGTAGAGACGAAGTTTTGCCATGTTGGCCAGGCTGGTCTCAAACTCCTGACCTCAGGTGATCCAACCACCTCGGCCTCCCAAAGTGCTGAGATTAGAGGCGTGAGTCATCATGCCTGGCAGTAATCTTTTCAGTGGAGAATAAAATAAACCCGGGTTTGAATTCTGACCCTTTAAATTTACTCAGGGTTTGACTTCAGCCAGGGAACATAACCTTTCTGTGCCTCAGTTTCCTCATTTTTCAAAACAAAGATGGTGTGTGTGTGCATCTCCATCTATGAGTTGTTGTGAATAGGAATGTAGGGGCCCCAGCAGGGTGTGTAAAGGTACCAGTTCCTGGGGCGTCAAAGGTTTTTCTTTCCCTTCGTACCCCCTCACTGACATGCCCAGGTCTGTCTGTGTAGAGCAGTGGGTGGATTTACAGACTCCGCTGAGAACCCCCTTATAGCATATTTTCAGGTTCGTGATGATATCATGGGCTGTGACCCTGGGAGTTTAATTGGAATGAATTTCAAGGTTTTGTTAAACTTGGCTAGAATCTTCCTATATCTCCAGCAAGATATTGATGGGGTTTTTGTTGTTGCTGTTGTTTTTGAGACAGGGTCTTGCTCTGTCACCCAGGCTGGAGTTCAGTGGTGCCGTCACTGCAGCCTCAACCTCCCAGGCTCAAGGGATCCTCCCCTTCAGCGTCCCTAGTAGCTGGGACTACAGGTGCGCTCCACCACACCCAGCTAGTTTTTGAATTTTTTTGTAGTGATGGGGTTTCACTATGTTGCCCACGCTGGTCTCAAACTCCTGGGCTCAAGCCATCTGCCTACCTTAGCCTCATAAAGTGCTGGAATTGCAGGTGTGAGCCACTGCACCTGGCCAAGAACTTGGTGTTTCTTATTTCCAAGCTTATCTCCTCTGTTATTTGCTCCCAGGGAGACCCCTTTTCCATTTATGTTTCCAGGGTGCTGGGGGGAAGTGATTGCCCTCATCTCTTTTGCCCAGCCACCAAACCCAGTGCAGACTCTGCTGAATGCAGGCCCCATCTCTGTATTTTACTTATTCCATTTCCTGTCTTGAAGGTGGGGGCACTATGTTTATCTCTAGGACCCTGACTGGCTCATCATTGAAAGCTTATTTTGTGCAAAGCATTGTTCTGAGCACTGTGTGTGTATGATTCTACTTCATCCTCTGTAACCCTAGCAGTCCGGTCAAATAGTATCATTTTATAGACAAGGCAACTGAGGCACAGAGCAGCTCAGCAGCTTGCCCAGATCACACAGCTGGAAAGTGGTAGAGCTGGAATCTGGATGGGTGCTGGCAGCCTGGCCTCAGAGTCGGTGCTAACCACTGAGCGGCACTGCCACCCAACGGATGGGAGCCTGCAGGATGAGGCCATGGGAATTGATTTCACTCAGCGCGAGCCAAGCAGAACTCCCGTCCAGACCTCTGTCCACCACCCTAATAAAGCCAGTGTTTACACAGGCTGGAGGTGCTCATCAGATGTTTTTGCCAATCCCCAAATACGGCCAGGGCCAGAAAGTGAGAGGGGTGCCTATTATGTAAGGCCCTGCGGCTGGTCCCCAGACAATGCCACTTCCTCGCTTGGCGCTGTGTGACTGCATAACAACGGGTTACTCATTTCCTCTGGAAAACTTCACAGGGCCTCTTTGCCCCATTTCCTCCTCCCACCCCATCCTCAGGCTTCCTCTGTTGAATTTTCTCCAGATTCCTGGGAACACCACCATGGAGGGCCTGGCCTTTGGCGGTGGACAGTCTGTGGCTGGGTGGGAACGTCAGGAGTGGGGCCTGCCTCTTTGCTGGGAATGCCGTGCACTCCCAGCCCACTTGCCCCATGCCAGCACTCGAGGCAGGTGAGGCCCAGCCATGGGTATAAGGTGCTCCCAGGGCGGGATTAGCCTCAAGGAGGCAGGGGGTCCATGTTTCTGCTCCTCTCCCATTACTAACGGGTGTCTGCTTTAGGTTTGATCTCCCTCCCTTCTGCCCCTCTCCTGGTAAAGGGATGAATAATGAAGGCCTTCCTTGGGAAGTCTGAGATGGATTACCCCAAGGAGGCTCGAACATGGGAGGACATGCGAGAACTATTGTCACATGAGTTTTCTTTCTATCCTGTCTGCAGGACTTCGCAGGTGAGCAGTAACGGAAATCAGCCCCGTTTATTCCTCCCAGCACCTGCCTTATCCAACTCCCCACGCTGTGGCTGAGTCCCAGCCTGCTATGGAAGCATCACTGGACTCCCATTGAACTCTGTGCAGATTCGCTGTTCGTAGACATGGTACCTGATGGACACCAAGCTACGTACAGCTTCAAGGCCCCTTCTTTCTTTGCTAATAAAAAATAAAAAATAAAAACATAATACACGTTATATTTCTATCTTATAATACACATTTCTTATTTTTATCTCAATAAGCTGATATATAGTAGATATACACATCTCTGACTGTACATACATACACAAACACACACACACGTACATGCATGTATATGCGTATCTATCTCCAATGCATGTGGAGTGTTGTGCCAGGTCATCCTCACATTTAATTTTTCTGTTCTATTTATCATTCTTAAGGATTGTCAGGCATTAGGGATTTATCTATAGCAATTTGGATCTTAGCAGTTCTTTTCATGGGTTATCTTATTTTTTCCTTCCAACAACCTTGGAGGCTATAAAAGGGCATATTATTGCCCTTTTATAGATGGGAATTAATTTATTAGCAAACTCAGTTTCATGATTTTTTTTTTCTTTTGAGATGGAGTTTCGCTCTTGTTGCCCAAGCTGGAGTGCAATGGCACGATCTCGGCTCACTGCAACCTCTGCCTCCCGGGTTCAAGCGATTCTCCTGCCTCAGCCACTGGAGTAGCTGGGATTACAGGCATGCGCCACCATATCTGGCTAATTTTATATGTTTAGTAGAGATGGGGTTTCTCCATGTTGGTCAGGCTGGTCTCGAACTCCCAACCTCAGGTGATCCACCTGCCTTGGCCTCCCAAAGTGCTGGGGTTACAGGCGCGAGCCATTGTGCCTGGCCAGTATCATGGATATTTTTAAAGTGCTTGTTGTGTGTTGGGCACTACTATGTCCTGCATTTAGAAATAGAACTCATTCCTATTCTCTGCTTTCCCATGGAGAGAGGCACAAACCTGCGGGTATAGGTGGGTATAGTTTCTTAATGTGCACACCATCGTAAAGTGGAGACCCTGTGCGTGAGATGTGTGCTGTGTACAGGGTGGGCAGGAGAGAGACTGGTGAGGGGATGATGCCCTTATGCTGGAAGGGGCAAGATGAAGCCTCTCTGGGTTTGGTGGGACCTTGGAGACATCTGCCTAGTGTGTGGTCACCCAGAGGCCAAGGATGTGCTGTTTCTACTTGCTTGCTGCTTTCTCTGGGAGTGGCCATTTCTTCCAAGGCAGTGTAAGAGCCTGGGCATAGGAGCCAGGCAGAACTGTGTGGGGATGTTGCCTCCATAGCTTTCTAGATGAGCAACCTTAGGAAAGTTTGAACAGTTTCTCTACATCCTGGGTTCTTCATCCATGAAATGGGAATTATTGTTTGAGCCTCTAAAGTGAGACAGTCAAATGAGATGGGCATTTGAAGCCTTCAGCAGGGTTCCAGCCTCACAGCTAACTCTCAACTAGCTGTGATGGTTACAGAGCTGTAGGTTGCTCATAAGTCAACATTGTAGTTGCTGGAGCCATCAACTCAGCTATAGGATACAACACTGAGCCCTTTTCACTATCCTTTGATGGGTCTCCTTTTCCCTAGTATGGGCCATCGGCTAAGGTGATTGAAAAAGGGCCTTTCATGTTTTCAAAGGGGCAAAGAAACTTCAGTAGTTGGTTGGGCATTTTATTGAGTAGAGGTGACTCCATGCAGTTCTTTTTGGGGGAAGGATGCTGCACATTCCAGGGTTTAACAAAAATTTATTGAATGCTTACTTTGCCCCAGGTACCTGTCTTGGTAAAGGTGATAAATAAGACAGCCTCATCCTCATCTTCATCAAGCCACCAGTCTGGTGGTGGTGACTGGGGTGGGGACTGCTGAGGCATTGGGCCCCTTGAAGCCTTCCCTCTGGGTGTCTTCCTCCCCAGGATGGTCTGGGCTCTCTCGGGATGGGAGGAAGTTGGTCTGAAAGTGCCTCAGTGATCGCTGAAATAGGTTTGCCAAAGATAGAGGGGAAAGAGTTGGCCAGCCTTTGTTTAGGGACTCCCAGAATGGTCTTAGGTCAGGAAAGAGTGAATGGGTACATTTCTCCCAATTTCTGGGCTGGAGATTCCAAACTGACTCCTTCATGGCAGGCTTCCTTATCTCTGCAACATTTGTTTACATGTTCCCTTCATAGATTTCTAACAGGATGAAGACTTTGTTCCTTGGGGTAAGGGTCTACCTCCAGGTGTGTGGGGAAAAGTTGAGAAGCTGCTAAATTCTTGGCTTTGACTTATCAATGGTTTTTCGGAGGGCCTGGAGCTGGGCTGGGACTGATCAAATTTGGTAATTGCTTAGGCAGCCTCCACTTTTGTTGCTCCTGGGGCCAGATGGCGTTGGGCTAGAAACAATATCGGGGAGTTCTGTTTGGTTTTAACTGCTGTACCTGGGTGCTCTGTTATCCAACCAGGCCCTCTCCTAAGTTCTCTTCTTTTTTTTTGAGACAGAGTTTCACTCTTGTTGCCCAGGCTGGAGTGTAATGGCGCTATCTCACAGCAACCTCTGCCTCCCAGGTTCAAGCCATTCTCCTGCCTCAGCCGCCGTAGTAGCTGGGATTACAGGCATGCACCACCACACCCAGCTAATTTTGTATTTTTAGTAGAGACGGGGTTTCTCCATGTTGGTCAGGCTGGTCTCGAGCTCCGGACCTCAGGTGATCTGCCCGCCTCGGCCTCCCAAAGTGCTGGGATTACAGGCGTGAGCCCTGTAATCCCGGTGCCCAGCCAGTTCTCTTCTTTTTTTAAGCCTCTTCCTTTAGAAGGAAGAAAACATAATCTATATGCTGGCTGGCTCTACACAGCAGCAGGCATCACAAGGGGTTTTTGTCTGCTTTTGCTTCTGAAGGTGAACCCACTATCTATTTAGAGAGGCCAGGTCAGGGTGTGTGTGTGTGTGTGTGTCTTTTTCCCTAGGGTGGGTATTTTCATTCAGGAAGGTGTTGTTATGATCCCCTGTTGTAGAAGAAGCAGTGAAGTTTTAGGGAGATGAAGTGCTTTGTCTGATGTCACACAACTGATAGATGACAGAATCACATATGTATTCAGGGGTCTGGTCCAAAGCCTAGAAGAAGGTGAGCCATGCGTGGCCCGATGGCACAGAGCATGAGCTCTGGTTGCACAATCGTGGGAGGTTACTTAATCTTGAGAAACCTCAGTTTTCTTATCTGTAAAATGGGACAGTATGTATCCCAAAGGGCCATTTTGACCATTTATCAAAGTCAGTTTCTCCTCCGTATGGAGCGGAGAACAGTGTCCAGCATGCAGTACGTGCTCTGATGATCTTGGCTGTAATGACCATCCTGGTTAGGGTGGATTTGGCCAAAAGCTGGAGTAACTGGTAGCTTCCTGATCTGAGAGGTGTCAGTGGGTGGTGTGGCCCAAAGATTGAGAATCTTGTCAGGGGTGGCCACGTGAGGGTGGAAGTGGTTTGAATGAGGAATGGTCTTGAGGTAAGAGTTGGACAAACAGTGTCTTCTCTCTCTCTCTCTTTTTTTTTTTTTTTTTTTTTTTTACTTTTTTTTGAGATGGAGTTTTGCTCTTTTTGCCCAGGCCAGAGTGCAATGGCGCGATCTTGGCTCACCACAACCTCCGCGTCCCAGGTTCAAGTGATTCTCTTGCCTCAGCCTCCCGAGTAGCTGGGATTACAGACATGCACCACCCACGCCCGGCTAATTTTGTATTTTTAGGAGAGATGGGGTTTCTCCATGTTGGTCGGGCTGGTCTCCAACTCCCGACCTCAGGTGTTCTGCCTGCCTTGGCCTCCCAAAGTGCTGGGATTATAGGCGTGAGCCACCCCACCTGGTCGACAGTGTCTTCTCTAAGCAGAACTGTAGCCCTGAAGCGCCCAGGCTAGAACTCTCTATTGAATGAGGATCACTCCATTGTGCCAGCTGCTCTCATATTGCTTTGATGGCCTTTCTCAGAAAGGAGAAAGGTGGTGCTGGGTGTGGCTTTGGCTTCCTATGGCCGCCCCAATGCTGGTCTGACACTTTCTGAATCTGGTTTGTGGTTGGATCTGTGCATCCTACCGCTCCACTCCATGTCCTGGCCTTGGAGAAATCATTTCCCTCCCGCCGTGATTGTTCACCTTCAAAGGTCAACAAAGGCAGTAGGCACTGCTGAGCTCTTGCAGCCTTCAGGGCTGAGCTGCTTCCTCTCCTGCTTCCAGTGAGGGGTTGCTTGAGGGTGCCTTTAGGAAGGAACCTCACCCCTAATGTAACTTGAGCAGGTCTTTGCTCTAAACTCTTCGCTGGGAACATACCCTCCCGTGGGACTTGGCATGGCACCCACCTCTGCAGAGCCACCTGTGCCACAGAATAACCTCTTCTCCCTAGACACACTGTGTGTCCTTGGTTGGATTCTCTAGATGGGAGGGACCGGCTGAAGCATAACTGTGTATGTTCACATATGTGCCTTGGAAGAGTTTTATACAGGAAAGGATTTGTAAATCAGAAAAATGAATGCTGGTATCTAATTTCCTGTCCCCGTTTTAAGTCCAGACCAAGTCACCTAACCCCTCGGGCTTGCAGCCCGCATCATCCACTGGGTGATTACCTTGAGTTATCTGGTTCAGTCCCTTTGCTGTGGGCACCCTCTTTACCTCTACAAGTAAACTGCAATTAATCTGACAGCAGGGGCAAGGGAACTGACGAGTCTTGGGTGCAAATCTTGAGATGCTTTGGCACATTATCTAATTCATTGTTTTTCTTTTCTTTTTTCTTTTCTTTTCTTTTTTTTTTAGACAGGCTGGAGTGCAGTGGCACGATCTTGGCTCACTGCAACCTCTGCCTCCTGGGTTCAAGTGATTTTTGTGCCTCTAGCCTCCTGAGTAGCTGGGATTCCAGGTGTGTGCCATCACGCCCAGCTAATTTTTGTATTTTTAGTAGAGACAGGGTTTTGCCATGTAGGTCAGGCTAGTCTAGAAGTCTGGCCTTAAGTGATCCACCCTCCTTGGGCAGGGTGCCACCTGCCTGAAAGAAAATGCCCACCCTAGGGAAAAAGACACACACACACACACACACACACACACACACAGAGAGAGAGAGAGAGAGAGAGAGAGAGACCAACGTGGCCTCTCTAAATAGGTAGTGGGTTAACCTTCAGAAGCAAAGGCAGACAAAAACCACTTGTGATACCTGCTGCTGCGTAGAGCCAGCCAGCATATAGATTATGCTTTCTTCCTTCTGAAGGAAGACTCTAGGATTACAGGAGTGAGCCTGGCCCCAATTCAATTCAATCTTTATGGGCATCGAACAAGGGCATTATTTATTACCCATGGTTTACAGAAGTCAAACCCAAGTCTCAGAGAGGGAAGACATTTTTTAGTCTCACTGCGAAAGTAACAGAGCTAGAATTTAGTCTCTGTCACGCTAAATCGTGCTACATGCTCCGTCTAGTTCAGAGCCTGTGTGGAGGTCGACACTGGAGTCCCTCAGTTTTCCTCATCAGGCTCCTGGTCTGATTCTTCCAAGATCAGTCTCTTTCCCTCAGCGGAAGCCAGCTGGGAATCACTGGCCTTGTAACCTCTTCAGGCGACCTCCTTGGGATGTTCACAAGGAGCATAGCCATCTGGAGAATGATACTGTTTTTTCCTAGGGCTGGGATGGGGGTGGTATCCCTCACATCATTCCAGAAACAGCGCCAGCCCTGCTTTTATCAGCGGGGGCCACAAAGAGGCGACAAGCCCTGATCAAATGTGAGCGAGATTGACAATCTCAGCACTTTCCAGGGAAAGGATGCCGTCCCACATGGCTTCAGGCCTCCGAGGAAGCCCCATCCTGAGACAGAGAGACCCCAAATCACAGTGTGTTTCCTTTTGGCCAGAGATGAGGCTTACTCATCTCAGACAGCTGTGTCCACGGCATGTTCCTCAAGGACAGCTGCTCCAGATGAAAAGAAGAGATGCTCCCAGAGCCTTGAGGGGCTGCTGATAGGAACCCAAGGCCTCACCCTGGGGCTGTATCCTGTGGCTTCAAAAATATATGTATTTGAAAGCTTCTAGCAAAACAGATTACACAAGAACGCAAATGTAAGATCCCTTTGGGATTCTAACTTTTTTTCTTAAGGTGTTTAAAGAAAAATGACACCCTTAAAAAGAAATGCCATTTGTTTTCAAAGCTGCAGCACCAGAGGACATGGAAGAGAAAGGCTGAAGTGTCCCTGAAAATGAGTGAAGATTCCAGTCTGTTTTTACTAATGTCCAAAATCTTAGGTTTATTGCCTTTGCGTTCCTCTGCCCCAGGGTCTCTGTGTGGCAGGCGAGTGGGTCTCGTTCGATGGTGCAGTCATCGTGTGGCGGAATGCATGCTCACACAGGGAAGTTGGTTGAGCGTCTCCTTTGAGCAGTCCTTCCTCTGGTGAGGTGCACAGGCGGGCATCATGCCCATTTCATAGATGAGGAAACTGAGGCTGAGAGGGATGCTGCAATTTAGGACTTCTGGGTGATATCACAGAAGCCTCATTCTCTTTTGTGGCATGTACCTTCTCTATTTGGGAAGTTAAATTGGACTATGGGGATTGGACCAAGGGGTCTTCTTGCTTCCGCTTTCTCTAGGCCAAGGCTTTGCAGTTATGGAGGAAGAAAGAGCTGGGGTCTGTCTTGGCAACCCTGTGACTCTTCTCCCCTATCCTCACCTGCCTTCTCACTTGACCAACATATTTTAAGGGCTCCATGTACAAAGGTGGGGCTGTGGCCCTTTCCCAACCAGCACCTTGGCCCTGTACCCTGATATGGGATGGTTAAGGCACACAGGCTTCATGGATGGGGGCCTACGACCGCAGATGGAGCAGAGGTGGACAGGGTATGGTCCGGCAGGTGGAGGTGCTGGAGAAAAGCCGCGTTAGGCAGCACGGGAGCCAGGTGCGGGGTCTCTCAAAGCCTCGAGTCCCTGGCAGTGCTGTGCTCTGTGAGGACTGCTTTTGACTGCAGGGCACTGACACTCATACCTTTTGCTTCTGCAGCTGACCATACTCCCTGGAGCCTTCTCCCGAGGTGCGCGGGTGACCTTGGCACATACAGCCATCATGATGGTACTTTAAGTGGAGGCTGAATCATCTCCCCTTTGAGCTGCTTGGCACGTGGCTCCCTTGGTGTTCCCCTTTTACTGCCAGGACACTGAGATTTGGAGAGGTAAGTGGCTTACCTGAGGCCATGTGCTAACAGAGAAGATGAAGAGATGATTGAAACAGGCCTAAGACCAGACCTAAGGGTCTGTACATTTTCCACATACTTTCCATATCTTTAGAGGCCTGACCAAAGCAGATCTTTTCCTTTCTTCTAGGTAAGTCCAAAGGCACCTGCCTGCTGGGCCCACTGTTTTCTAACTTTCCTAACTTTCTGATCCCTTGGAGGTGATAATCAAATATTCTAGTCTGAGGCATTGGGATACATGGTGCTAGGTTCTGAGACTCTGCGTCAGGCCTGAACCCTGCATTTTGTGGAGGTGGGTGGGAGAATGTTCCCCTGGGGAACATGCCTAGACACGGGGGACAACAGTTGCCCTCATGGGGAGGTACCTGTTTACTCGCTGTTATGGGACCGCTTTCACAAAACCACTGCAGGTGAGTGAGTTCCTGCTGAATATCAGGCCTGGTGTCTCTAGACTCATTATTTCCCCCACCCAACCCCTATGTTAGTTCATCTCGAGCCACATTTTTATTGCCATAATCCAGGCCTGGACAGGCCAAGATCTTTTAACAATTTTAATTACTGAAAATAATAACTGCATTTTTTTTAAAGCCCAACTTTTGGTAGAGTCAGCCCAAAATACAGTCTTTGTGTTGCCATCTGGGAACTGGATTTGGAATTGTTCTTCCATGAGACTGCAGAGCAGAACGGCAGGGCCAGAGGTCCCACGAGCTGGTCAGACCCGGTTCTGCTCCTTGCTGGCTGAGTGACCTTGGGCATTGTGATTCATATTCTCATCTGCCTTCAAGTGTGGTTACGAATGCTTTTTATCCTGCTTATCAATTTCTATGATTGCCATAAAATATTAACACAAATTTAGCATTTATATAACATAATATATTAATGCATAGTTTTTTTGTGGGGGGGGGCGGTGGAGGGGCAGTGTTGAGACAGAGTCTTGCTCTGTCACCCAGGCTGGAGTGCATGGTGTGATCCTGGCCCACTGAACCTTGACCTCCAGGGCTCAAGGGGTCCTCCCACCTCAGCCTCCAGAGTAGCTGGGACTTCAGGCATGAGCTACCACACCTGGCTAATTTTTTGTATTTTTTGTAGAGACGAGGTCTCACTATCTTGCCCAGGCAGGCCTGGAACTCCTGGACTCAAGCGATCCTCCCACCTCGGCCTTCTAAAGTGCTGTGATTACAGGTGTGAGCCACTATGTCCGGCTCACGTCCAGTTATCTAGGGCAGAGGTCAGACATGGATCTCTCCAGGCTAACATCAAGGAACCTGTAGGCTGCCTTCCATTCTGGAGACTGCAGGGGAGAGTCTGTTCCTTGCTCATTCTGGATGTTGGCAGAATTTGTTTCCTTGAGGTTGTAGGGCTGAGATCCCGTTTTCTTGCTGGCTGTCCAGATGCATTGAGCTTCTGGAAGCCTCCTCGCTAGGCTTGTGGCCTCCTCTCTCCATTTTCAAGTCCAGCAATGGTGGGTCCAGTTCCTTTTAGGATTTAAATCTTTTCTCCCTCTTTCTTTTCACCTCTGTGATCTCAGCTAGAAAAGATTATCTAATTTTAAGGATTCATGTGATTGGACTGGGGCCACCCTGATAATCCAGAATAATCCCTACTTCAAGGTCCTTAGGTTTAATCACATCTAGGAAGTTCTATTGCCATGGGAGGCAACATATTCACAGGTTCCAGGAAATTCCGACATGGGCATCTCTTTGATTGGAATGAGGGGTGGCAGGTATTCTGACACAGTACCTCAGAAGGGTTGCTGTGATGATGAAGTGAATGGAGACACGTAAAGCGCTTAAAATATTATGTAGAGCCATGTGAATTTGGCAGCATTGAATTGTTGACCTATAAAAGGTCAACTTAATAGTATCTGGTCTATAGTAAATCTTCAGTAAATGTTTGCTGTCATTACTCTAGTGGTAGAAATGTCATGCTTTATTTAGCCAGTTTGCTATTGTTGGGCATTACTTTTTAAAGAGTTATTATTTTGTTATTATAGTATATATGTGAACACCGTGATCATCATGCCTTTGCAAATTTTATTCTGATTTAGGGCAATGCATGTCTTTCCAGGCCACACTCAGTCTCCTGCTCTGGTGCCAGTGTCTCTGTGGCCTGAGGGGCCCCTCTTTCTTGCAGAGCCCCTCATCCAGCACCAGCTCAGCTCTGGGCCATGTGTGTGGGGTGGGACTTTTCTCTTTTGGGAAGTGGGCCATGCCTCTCCTTCCTGAGACCATCCCCTTTGGCTTCCTCGGGGCCCTTGGCTCTTTGAACCAGCCTGCAGGGCACCACACCTGTGGGCCCATTTTTGTCAGGAAACGACTCCCTTCCCAAGGGCACCCTGAGTCCCAGGTCCCCAGGCCCACAGATGTTGGGCCCTCAGAGTGTGATCCCATGTCCCCAGCTCTGTAACTCCCTGCATGTGGCTCTTAAGACTCACAAGCCCATGTTTGCCTTGGCCAGACACTTTCGCCTGTCAGTTCTGCCAGTTGGGAAGTGTCATCCCCACTGTGTGAATGTGGAAGGGATAATGAAGAATTTCCACGGCTTGCCTAGGGTCGTTGAGCAATGTGGAAGGGATCATGGAGAATTTCCATGGCTTGCCTAAGGTCATCAAGCTGGCATCTCAACCCAGGTTCATCTGCCTGTGATGACAGGAAAGAAATCAGGTGTGATTCTGTTCTTGTTGACCCATAGCCACCTCTCTCATTAAGGCTTCTCCTGCAGGCAACTACACAGCCAGTGGTGGGAAAGCACCTAATTTACATCTTCATGCATTGAAACTGATGTCACTCACCTCTCCCCCTTGACCTGGAAGAGCCCCTGAAGGCTGCCATAGGGGAAATGATAACCCATTCTACAGCTGCTGAAACTGAGGCCCAGGGAGTGTCCAGAGCTTTCTGAGGTCCACCATGTACTGTTGACCAGGATGAGTGATAGCCACCTGGTGACAATGTTGAAGGTTCTCATTCAGTAGAGCTGGGTTCAATTCTGACTTGCCTGACCAGCTGGTGCCTCATTTTGCTCTAAGTATTGGAGCCTCCAGCTTTATTTTCTTTCAGTGGGAAAGACTGTGAGATTCAGTCCCTCCTTGAAGCTGCGCATCGACTCTCCTGTCCTGGGTACTCTTTAGGTAGTGGCTGTTCTGAAGTGGCTTTGGAAACCCTGGAATGAAACTGTCATGTCCAATGCTGAGATTTGTATAAACTGTCATTTTAACTGTGATTATTATTCCTTAGGATTTGAGAAATAAAATCTGAGGAGGGAGCAGGACCTGCCTCAGGGCCTCCTCTCCAAGTTGAGTGACCCATCTTCCCAGGTCTCCTTTTGTTCTGTCTTGAGCCTCTCTCCTGAGGTCCTGAAAGAAGAGAATGTGCTGTTGTAGGGGGCCTGGAAATGTCCCATGGACCATCTCGTGACTCAGTAAGATGATGTGTGTCCTCTGGGGACAGAAGGAGGTCCTGCACAGAGTGTTCCTGCCCGTTGATGCCCTCCCCAGATCCTAACGCGAAGTCTGACACATAGTAGCCTCCCGGTAATCTTAATAAGCAAAAGGACACATTTCTCAAGTGATCTTAGCACCATTTCATGCAATCAATTCCAGCCCAGCCCTTTATTCTGGCCAGCCCTGGTGGGTCCATTAGCTGCAAAAATTAGTCGTGCTCAGTTTTAATGCAAATGACTAAGTATTACTTTATTGAATTGATTAATAAAGAAGCTCTCTTTGTATGATATCAAGACCATGAAGAAATTGCAAAGACATAGGTAGGGTCTACAGCAGAGTTTCTCAGCCTTGGCGCTGTTCATATTTTGGGTCAGATGATTTGTTGTGGGGGCTGTCCTATGTATTGTAGGATGTTGCTCGGCATCTCTGGCCTCTACCCACTGGATGCCAGTAGCTCTGTCAGTCGCAACCCCAGCTTCCAGTTGGGACAACCTAAAGTGTTTCCAGACATTGCCACATGTTCTTTTGTGGTGGTGTTGGTGGTGGTGCGTACATATGTGTGTGTAAAAATCTCCCTTTGTTGAGAACCACTAATCTAGAGACCACCTAATTAGGGCTGACGTGGGCTCTTCCACAGAGCCTTCTCCTTAAAGACAGATAGGTTGATGGACAGTTGGATTTAGGGAAAAGAAAACTGAGTTGAGGGTTTAAAGTGAATTTCATCCCCAATGTGGAAGATGAGCGTTCCGTTCCTGGCTGTAGGATGTGGAGCATGTTACTCCACATGTGGGAGAAAAAAATCATCCCATCTACTTCAGGACTTTTGTGTGATTAAAGAGGCAAGATAGTCTAGTGCTTTTCATTCCATGCGCACTCAATAAAAAATAGGGGTTATATTTATGAATAGTAACAAAAAGCCTCTTAAGGAAAATTATTTTGGGCCCTTGTTCAAGGTTCAGTTGACCATTTATTTTTAAAGAGATGGGGGTGGCCCAGGCTGGAGTAGAGTGGTGCCATCCTAGTTCACTGCATCCTCAAACTCCTGGGCTCAATCGATCCTCCTGCTTCAACATCCCAAAGTGCTAGTATTATAGGCATGAGCCATTACACCTGGCCCATTTGACTATTTTTTCTGCTTGATTGTAGAGAAGGGAATGTAAGTCATGAAGATCTAAACTATAAAACCTGCGTGGCTTAGAGGCTGAGCATGGATTGTGATTTAAGGAAGCCCCAGGTTCAATTTCTGGTTCTGCCACTTGCTAGCCATGGTGAGACCTTGCCCAGCTTTCATACTTTCAGGTTCTTTGTCTGTAAAATGGGAACAATAAGAGTACTGACCTCACCGGGCTGTTGTGCTACTGGCTGTGCTGCCTGAATGGGCCCTCCTTTATTTGAATCCCTCTGCCACAGTTGTCCCATTTTTTTTTTTTTTAAATGGTGACCCAAGTTCCATTATGGACGATCAGGCATTCAGGGGAAGGAGGGATCCAAAGCAGAGACAAAAGCAGCCAGCCAGCTCATCCCCTCTGCAGCTGATACCGAGGAGGAGGATGCCAGTGGGAAGAAGCGTGGCCATATGGCTGGCAGGATGCCTCACTGGTAACAGTCAGCCCGGCCCCTTTGAAGTGGTTTTAAGACCAATTTGGTAACTTGATTTGGAAAGTGGTATCGATGACTCCGAGGGCGCAGGCTGCTCATTAGCTGCTGTCTGGGCCCGGCAAATTGGTTTAAGTGGAATGAAATTGGTTCCTTCCCTCCCCGTGCTCATGGCTGAGGTCCAGGCCCGATTGTAATGGGAACCTCTCCTGGGCAAAGGACATAGAAAAGCTTTCCGGGGAGTCTGACCCTCTTTTTTCATATGTGAATTCTACTTTCCCCTGGGGGTCAAGGCAATAGGCTGATAAAACATAAAAATGAACCTGAAGTGGGTGGGGTGAGTGTGTGTGTGGGAAGTTGGATCAGAGGAGAATGAACAATGAACAGTGGCCGAGTGTTTTTCAAGGGCCAGTTAACCATTCCCCTGTTGAGACACTGTGCTTGATGCATTTTTTTTCTTTTCTTTCTTTCTTTTTTATTCTCCCATATTACAAACACTGCTGGGAGGAACATCCGCACATGCTTTCTTGGTCACTTATGTGAGAGCTCATCCAGGATTTATACCCTGAGGCGACTTCACTGCCGTGGAGGCTAAGGAACATTTTCTGTTTCATAAGACGCGATCACATTGCCCTCCAGAACAATCATGCCAGTTTACACTCCCACTGACTGTACACAAGAGCCCTGTTTTCCCCCATCTGGTCACCCACATTTGATAGGTCAGAATTTTGCTTTTTGCCAGTCTCATGGGGGTGATGCCATTTCTGGTAGTTCCCCTGATTGCCAGGGGGATGAGCAGCCTGCCCTCAACTGCCCCATGCTGAAGGCCCTCCAAAGGCAGCATGAATCCTCACAGTTCCCAGCCTGTGCCCTGACAACCTAGGAGGACACGCTGGTCTGGTCCATTGCTTATCTGAAACGATTCCCTTTCCCTGTTCCTTTTGTTGCCTTGAGTGTCAGTTTTGGACCTCCCACTGAGCAGTTTTTTCTGTCACGTAGCCATAGACAGGACTGAGTTCTTTGGAAAATAATCACATCCCACTGTTGTTCCCATTCGTTCATTTTTTCCTTCAACTAACCAACATTATTCAGCACTTTACTCAGCACAGGATGTGGAACCGAAGGCCTGGCTTTTGGGACACTCACCGTCCCCAGTCAGCTCTGTGTCCTAGGGAGAGACCCATGAGCTCTCTGGGCCTCCTTTTGTTTCTCTGTAATAAAGGACTAAAGCTACCAGCCTCGCTGCGGGTTGGAAAAAAGAAAGAGTTAGTGTAACACATGTGAATGTGTACGAAGGGGTTTAGAGACAGACAAAACATTGCACCAAGGCAGGGCTCGCTGGAGTGCAGACCCAGGAAAAACACTGCAGGCCAAATTGCTTCTGGTCTGTCAGGGTACCAGCCACACATCCAAGGCAGGGAACTTAGGGCGATTGGCCTTTCTGCTCATGCTTACTCTCCCAAGCTTGTTGGGTTATTATCATGCACAAGCCATTCAATCGATTGTATTGGGTGCCTAATATATCAGACACTCTTAGGTGCTAGGGATGTAAGAGCAAGCAAAACAGACATGGTTCTGCCCTTGTGGGCTGTATAGTCTAGTGGAGGAAGGGGGAAGAGGTTAAGTATTTGTAGGAAGGTGAACCCCATGTTAAGAAAGCATCTTCCATCTTTCAAATGTTTCCAAGTAGCTGGTTATTCATGATAGCGAGGAAATGGTGGTCATCTCCATTGCTCTGGTAACTAGTTTGTGTCTGAGAAAGTGCTGATTTCCAAGAAAAGGAAAGAGACCACGGATGAATGATAGCAAGACTATTAAACAGGAATACAAAGAAGAGCTCACATTTATTGAGCACCTACTATATGTGCTGGACCCTCTTGTAAGAGCTTCATACAAATTAGGCAGACAGGCAATATTATTATCCCCATTTGATCTACAAGGAAACTGAGTACAAAGTGATAGCTTTTCTGCAGAGCTTGTGCACAGGGGCCAAAGTTTGGGAACAATGCCTTTCTTTAATTTGAAAGTATCTGTTGTTGGTGTCACTTGTTGGAATTCCTAGAATCCCAGAAAAGTAAGTTTAAGTTTTCTTCTGCCAGCATCGGTCAGCCTACCTTTGACCCAAGGTCACGACTCCCTCCCTCCTCCCTTCCCTTCCCTGCTCTGACATTCTTACCTTGTTTTTGAGTTCCTTATTCCCTAGCTTCCTCCAAGCAGCAGGCTCTGGGAACAGTCCCGTTCATTTATATAACAAATATTTATTGAAATGCAGACTTGTTGTTTTCATAATACCTGTGTACAAGTTAAACCCGTGGTCACTTGTTCATGTGCCTCTTGTTTATGACAAGAGGTGGTCCCTTGTTGAAAGCCTGTCACATGGCAGGTACTCAGTCTTTTCTTTCCTTCTAATAAGTAGGTGAGTATTTTCCTTGGTTTGCACACGAGGAAATGGAGGCTCAGAGAGCTTAGGTAGCTTACTCAAAGCCACACAGCTGGGTTAAATGGGTTCAGCACCATGAAAATCTGACCTTTAATGTCTGCACTCTTATTCTCTGGCTTATTGGGAAAGAATTGGACAGGGATGGTAAATGGAGTTGATGGAGGCAAAGAGATAATTACTGTTGCTCAAAGGTGGATCGAGAGAGTTTGGGCAAAAACGGAACCACGAACAAGCCGTTGAAAGTCCCCTCATCCTGGACCTGTGGTCTGTCCTTTGTAACTGCTCTTTTTTTGGCATTCCCTCTGTCTCCTCTGCCCATCCCAATGCCAGGCACACTGAGCCTGTAGGGATTTACAAGGTGGGCCTCAGGTTTCTCCCCTCCCAGGTGGGCATAGGAATCACTGCTTAGCTTAGATTTGGCAGAATGAAAGAGTCAGGCAGAGTCTCACCCGGCCCTGTTTCTTAGCTGCTTTGACACCTGGGGCAGGTTTTTGGACCTCTCTGGACATGGCCAGCTGTGTTGTGACTGCCCACCAGAGGCTGGGTCTGTGAATGGAAGACTGAAGAAAAGGCGATGATCACAGTCCAGGGACAAGGTTTCTGAATCTTGTGAAATAGTTACAAATACTATGAAACAGGAATACAAAGAAAAGCTCACATTTATTAAGCACTTACTTTGTGCTATACCCTCTTGTAAGAGCCTTGTACAAATTAGGCAGACAGACAATATTATTATCCCCATTTTACCTATAAGGAAACTGAGTGCAAAGTGACAGCTTTTCTGCAGAGCCTGTGCACAGGGGTCAAAGTTTGGGAACACATTGCCTTTCTTTAATCTGAAACTATCTGCTGTTGGTCTCATTTGTTGAAATTCCTAGAATCCCAGAGAAGTAAGTTTTAGCTTTCTTCTGCCAGCCCCGGTCAGCCTGCCTTTGACCCAAGGCCATAGTAAGTTCCAGAGTGACTTCCCGTCTGTTTTATTATCCCTGACAAAGGGATACAGTATTGTGCGGTGGCTGTGGATGGCGTGTAGTAGTGTTTTCCTTCTCTTGAAAAGCAGCTGCTGAGTGGTGGAGCACAGAGGTATTCCCTGAGCCCCAGCTTGTGCCCATGGTAGGTCCAGGGCGTTTGGGGGAAGGAGACCGACTCTAGGTGGTCCCGTCTGGTTTCTCAGGGGAGAAAATTCATAGATCCATCTCCTAGCTGTCATCCAATTCTGTGTAGAAGGGGAAAGCCAAGGTTGCCCTCAGATTTTGATCTTGGTTCACTCTGATTTCTCTATGCCAGACTAGTAGAGCTTCAGGGAAGCTTGGTGACTATGACTGGATGAATTCTGTCCCCCTTAAAACCATAGGTTGAAGTCCTACTCACCCATACCTCAGAACGTGACTGTGTTCGGAAATAGGGTCTCTAGAGAGGTACAGTTAACTGAGCTCACGTGGCGGGGCTCCAATATGGTCAGACTGGTGGGTGTCCTTATCAGAAGAAGAGATTAAGATGACAAAGGAGGAGTGAAGACCACGTGTAGACACAGGGAGGAGGTGGCCATCTACAAGCCCAGGAGAGAGGCCTCAGAAGAAACAACTCTGACCACACCTTGATCCTGGACTTCTGGCTTTCAGAATTGTGAGGAAATAAACCTCTGTTGTCTGAGCAACCCAGCCTGTGAAAATTTGTTGTAGCAGCCCTGGCGGATCAATACAGTGACCATGAGCAAGTCACTCACCCTCTCTGAACCCCCTTGGTCTCAGCTCTAAAAAGAAGCCTGAGAATTTCTGCCTCACAGGCTGTGGTAAGAGGCATCAGAAATAGCCGACTTTCATCGGAGGCTCACTGCGAGCCAGGGCCTGTTTAAGCCTTTTCCATGTCTGAACACACTTCATCTTCATGTGTAGCCTTTGGCTGGGGAGGGGAGATACTATTGTTCCCATTTTACAGGTGAGGAGAGTGGAGCACAGAGCTGTTAATTAACCTGTCCCATGTTAGTCAGCAAGGAAGGGGCTGGTCCATATGTGGAACTTCGTAGTTGTACTCTGGTGCCCACACACCAGATCACTATGCCGTCCCAGCTGTTGTTACAATAAGACTATGTAGGTGAAGGGCCCACCCAGTAGTGCCTGGCCTATGGGACACATTGAAGACCAGCCCCCTGTGACCAGAACCTCCCATTTGCTGCATTGAGTTTGGAATGTTTGAACTCCAGGAGCTGTGTGTGTGTGTGTGTGTGTGTGTGTGTGTGTGTGTGTGTGTGTATCTGTCTGTCTCCCTCTCTCTCCTCTCTCCCCTACCTTCCTTTTCTTCCCTCCTGTTTTTGGGAGGGAGCTCAGCCTCCCTTCACTGCCACTGCCCATCAGCATCCTCTCCCTATTCAGCCACCCCCACCCCCCATCCCTGGTATTAATTGACTTTGGCTCCTGTCCTGGAGCTCAGCCTGGCACCCAGACCTGCCGTGCTATACTAACACCTCTCACATGGTTAAACCAATGGGGGTGGCATTTAGCAGATGACGCTGAAACCCGTGAATCTGCCCTTTCTCACTGGGCCCTCACTGCTCTAGAGTCCCCGCCTCTTTTACGAAGCGGCTGTCATGGTTGATGGGTGAGTGTCAGGCCCCACCCAGGGACAGGGAGGCCCAGTGCCGGCTGTGGAGTTACCCAGACCTTACGGTAAAAACGCATCACCCTGAATGGGGGCCAGGCCAGGCATCGGCCCAAGCCGGCCCTGCCCAGCGGCTGGATTCTGACTCGCTGTGCCTTAGTCACAGGCCAGAGACTCTTCTGCTTCCAGCTGAGGCTGTCCCCTGCCTTCCCTGGCGGCCCGGGTTCCTGGAAAAGCTGTGTGCCAGAGGACGGGAGTTTCCCTCCAACTTAAGCCATTAGAAAGCTCATTTATTGAGCACTTACTAAGTGTCAGAGACTGTGCTAGGCACTTTACATGAATCTTCTCATTTAATCCTTTTAATAAACTTCCGGGGCACATGCTCTTCTAATCTCCCTTTTACTGATGATGCAGGCTTGACAGTGGGAATGCTAACCGCAGAAAGCAGCTCACCTCACTTGGGTGCTACTGTGTGCCAAGTCCTGGGGTTAGCACCCAATAGCCCCGTGGCGGCATGCTGTTATTACTCTCCCTGCATAGGAGTGGGAGGCTGAGACCTGGGTGTTTCTGGGTGTCCCAGCTCCTGTATGCCATCTGCCTGTCCAGCCCTTAGCCACAAAGCTGTTGTGCCATGTGGGGAGATGCGGCCAGTTTCCCAGGTGAGGCTGGTCCTGCTTCAAGCGTGGGAGCTCCAACCACTGCTCCACGCTGCCTCCACTCCTGAACCTGAAGGTGGAGGAGTTTCCCACTGTCTCAAATAAGCACCGGGGCCCAGGGGTCACCAGGCTCAGATGGAATTTGCTTAAAGGACTCTTGGGAGAAAAGCTGATTGGGGGATGGGAAGAGACAGCTGGCAGTCACTTAGGAGACAGATGTGTCACCAGAACTAAAGACTGACCTGGGAGGACTGACTTTCACCCAAAAGGGCCTGGGCTGGGAATTCTCCTTTATGTCTCCTTCCCTCACACTCAAGATTCAGGTGCTCACAAGGAGCACCTTCGAGTGAGGAGGTGTAGGAGGGAGGATGGCTAACAGCTCAGTCTGCTCAGCACTTTTACAGTTTATAAGCCATTTCACAGACATTATCTCACTCCATTGGGCAATCATATGGGAATGCAAGCCACTGTCTTTTCTTTTCTTTTTTCCAAATGGAGTCCTGCTGTGTGGCCCAGGCTGGAGTGCAGTGGTATGATCTTGGCTCACTGCAACCTCCGCCTCCCGGATTCAAGCAATTATCCTGCCTCAGCCTCCCAAGTAGCTGAGATTACAGGCATGTGCCACCATGCCTGGGTAATTTTTGTATTCTTAGTAGAGATGGGGTTTCACCATGTTGGCCAGACTGGTCTCGAACTCTTGACCTCATGATCCACCTGCCTCAGCCTCCCAAAGTGCTGGGATTACAGGCGTGAGCCACCATACCCTGTGCCCCTGTCTTACTGAAGAGGGAACCGAGGCTTCCTTAGAGAGGGAGAGGACCCTCCTGGGAAACTTTCATCCCACCTGCTCCTTCTACCCCAGTGCACTGCTGGAGCTCAATATTCCTGAGGCAAAGCTCCCTGCACAGCAGTGTCCACAGCCGTGTTGTTGTCATACCCGTGCACTAGCAGAGAGCTCAGGGGTAGGGCCCTGGGTAGGAAACCCAGGGCAAGGCCAGTGGGTAGAGTTGATGCAGGCCTCAGGCTGATCAAAAGGAAGACAGCGTCACAGCATGGATCTGACATCTGAGGGACGTCAGATCACAGAAAGGTCTTGAGATTAGAGCTGAATGAATACCCCTAGGAGAAACTAAAAGGCGTGTAACAAAGGAGTACAATATCAACAGCAAGCCTCCCCCGGTCATTACATGCCTAGACTGTGCCTGAACCTCACATTTGTCATTGCACTGGTCCTTGGCACTGTCCTTCAAGGGAAGAACTGTTTGCCCTATTTTGCAGACTAAGAAACACATCCAGGAAGCAGCTGAGCTGGGAATTAAGCCCAGGGTTGATCCCAAAGCCTCCCTTCTTTCCATGCTGCTCTGCTCCTTACAAAAACAAAAACAGAATTCCTTTTTTTTTTTTTTTAAGATGGAGTCTCACTCTGTTGCCCAGGCTGGAGTGCAGTGGCATGATCTCGGCTTACTGCAACCTCCAACTCCTGGGTTCAAGCGATTCTCCTGCCTCAGCCTCCCGAGTAGCTGGGATTACAGGTATATGCCACCACGCTCGACTAATGTTTGTGTTTTTAGTAGAGACGAGGTTTTACCACATTGGCCAGGCTGCTCTCGAACTCCTGACCTCGTGATCTGCCTGCCTTGGCCTCCCAAAGTGCTGAGATTACAGACGTGAGCCACCGCGCCTGGCCAAAAAACAGAATTCTTTCAATGTTGCTCTAGGAAATTTATTTTTAAAAAATGAATTTCCTTCTGCAATGCCTGGCTCACGACCGATTGTAGATCAAGAAACAGATCTTGGGCCTTTGCCACCCAAGCAGGTTCAGAAAGACTGCCCTGGCCTCCATGTGCCCAGGGAGGCCAGAGGAGCCCACAGTTTCACTGTCTCAGCAGAGCTGGAGGAACCTGTTAAACTGTCTAAGAAGCTAATAAAAAAATCCCAGTGAGATCATGTCTGTTAAAGCCCTTTGAGCTCCCTGAGCTCTGAGGCTGTCTTAACACTCACTGTCTCATTGCTTACTCAGCACAAATTTCCCCAGGGCTGCAAAGCCCCTTCCCTGTTTCCAGACCCCTGGTTTCCTCACTCATTTCATTTGATGCTTCCTTTACATCTTGAAGATCTGCCATTTTTTTCTTTAAACACCCTATTCTAGAAAGAACTGGCATGTTTTGGGTACCTATTTTGTGCTAAGTCTTTTTTCTCCATTGGCTTTATAGTCATACTTTGAAACAAAATGTAATATGTGCCCTCATTTTCCGATGAGGCAACAGAGGCACAGTCTGGGGAGCTCAGCAAGGTCTCATGTTTTAGAATCACAAGCTGTGTCTGCACCTAGGTTGTGCCTGCATTTTTTTTTTTTGAGACGGAGTCTCGCTCTGTGGCCCAGGCTGGAGTGCAAAGGCGCGATCTCAGCTCACTGCAACCTCCACCTCCCAGGTTCACGCCATTCTCCTGCCTCAGCCTCCCAAGTAGCTGGGACTACAGGCGCCCGCCACCACGCCTGGCTAATTTTTTATGTTTTTAGTAGAGACGGGGTTTCACCATGTTGGCCAGGATGGTCTCGATCTCCTGCCCTCGTGATCCGCCCGCCTTGGCCTCCGAAAGTGCTGGGATTACAGGCGTGAGCCACCGCGTCCGGCCCGTGCCTGCATTTTTCAGGTCATTCTCTCCAGTAGGCAGAAGCTTCTCTGTCCTTCCTCAATGGGAGAACAAGGACCTGTCTGGAATTTGGCTCTGAACTGATGGTTATGGCACATTACTTATTCTTGCTTTGAAGGTCAGGCTGGGCAATCTCTGTCCTTTTGAATTGTCCTGGAGTATCTTGGCCCCGATCTGCTGGGAGATCACCCTACTGCAACCTCCCTGTGCAGGAATGCTTTTACTGGACTCTGCATAAAATGAATGAACAGATAGATCTTGATGTTGGAGATATCAGCCTGTAGATTGCCTGAGAACCTGACTCAAACCCCACTCTTGTCTCCATCTGCAAAAATCAGGCTCTTTGGAATACCTTTATCAGGGGATGGCCATAAAGATTGTTAGAAAAATAAATTATAATAGCTAACATTTATTTAGTATTTAGTATTATAGTAACGTTTATTTAGTATTTAGTATCAGAAACCATTCTAAAGTTTGCTCTGGTAGCAACAGCACTATCCACACCCCTCCCAAATTAACCATGAGATAAATTGAACGGGTAATTTGCTTCCATTTTACAGATAAAAAAGCTGAGACTGAAACTCTAACTTGCAGAATTGGGCTGAAACCCAGATCTCCTGAGATTAGGGAAGACATTCCCTTCTCCCTACTCCAAGAAATCTGTTGTGAGCTCATTTCTATGTGGACTTCCTAGATGACTGGAACATTTTTTTTCTTCTTTTCTTTCCTTTCCTCTTCTTTTCTTTTGTTTCCTTTTCTTTTCTTTTGCTACAGCTCACGTAGGTGCCTCGTTCATAATTTCTCCTTCCCAGTAGAATCCCAACTACAGAAGATACATACATAAATGCAAAGCATGGTCTAGGCAGGTTGGCTCCAGGACTTTGGAGAAAACGTGCACAAAACTTGAAATACTGATCATCTTGAATATCTCTTAATTACTAGCAGTAAGGCACAACCATATGCAAAAAGAAACCAAAACCATGGACTTTTGCCACTGCTTGACATTGCTCCAAGAAAAAACTTGCCTTTGAGGGTGAAGTTGACCTCCGTTACTCTTAAGTTTCCTTATGTGCCTCAGAATGTTATTTGAGAATCATTCTGAGGGATGACAGAGGCCTGCAATACCTATGTCTTAACTAGAACAGATGCTTTGTGATGAAATTGTCTTGTTGTGGTTGTGTGACTGCTGTGACTGAGACTCAACAAGTACCCACTTTTTTTTTTTTTTTTTTTTGAGACAGTCTCACTCTGTCACCAGGCTAGAGTGCAGTGGCGCCATCTCGGTTCACTGCAACCTCTGCTTCCCAGGTTCAAGCGATTTTCCGGCCTCAGCCTCCCCAGTAGCTGGGACTACAGGCACGCACCACCACCCCCAGCTAATTTTTGTATTTTTAGTAGAGATGGGGTTTCACTATGTTGGCCAGGATGGTCTCGATCTCTTGACCTTGTGATCCACCCGCCTCGGCCTCCCAACGTGCTGGGATTACAGGCATGAGCCACTGCGCCAGGCCAACAAGTACTCACTTCTACCTGTGGGTGTGGTTCAGCGCCCCCAGTGCCTCTCCCAGGTGGGAGTTGCCTGCCTTGAGCAGGTGAACAAACTGAGGCCCAGGGAGTGGCTTCCCCAAAGTCATACAGTGTAGAAGAAGGATTCGGGCCTCTGAGTTCGTGGATTCCTCCATGAAGCAATGACTGAGCTGCTGCTCTGCAACTGGTGCTCGGCTTGGTCCTGGGGGTCTGTGAGCTCTGTACCATGGGCCAGCGCTTTCTGTGTGCTGCCACATTTATCCTTTGCACCACCCTACAAGCCTGTCCTCCAGGTCCTCCATCCTTTATTCAAAACATTTAGGATGAATTATGTTTGGGAGTTTATCCTGTTTTGAGATTTTAGAAACGCAATACAGTACGCATATCATACTATGTGTTATGGGCTGAATTGTGTCTCTGCAAATTCACATGTTGAAGTCCTAGTGCCAAGGACCTCAGAATATGACTGGATTTGAAGGTAGGGCCTTTAAAGAGGTAATTAAGTTAGAATTAGGCTATTAGGGTGGGCCCTAAGCCAACTGGGCTAGAGTCCCTGTAAGAAGAGGAAATTTGGACAGAGACACCAGGATGCGCACACACAGAGGGAAGGCCATGTGTGGACACAGTGAAAAGACAGCCATCTGCAAGCCAAAGAGAGGCCTCAGGAGACACCCAACTGCCAACACCTTCAACTTGATCTTCTGGCCTCCAGAATTATGAGAAAATAAATTTCTGTTGTTAAAGCCACCCAGTCTATACTCCTTTTTTATGGCAGCCCTAGCAGACCAATATACCGTGTGTCTGGGGCAGTGCCTCTAACCAAGCCCAAAATTTCTACAGGGAAATATATTAATTTTCATAGTAAGTGGGATAAATAAAATCCATAAATAGCTTCATGGTAGTTCAGGTCAAGATACTAAGTTTCCAACACACAGTATAAGAGTTATGCCCAAGAGTCTGTAATCCCCTCCCCTCCCCTGCCCTCCCCTCCCCTTCCCGAGACAGTCTCTGTCGCCCAGGCTGGAGTGCAGTGGTGCAATCTCGGCCCACTACAACCGCCACCTCCCAAGTTCGAGTGATTCTCATGTCTCAGCCTCCCGAGTAGCTGGGATTACAGGCACGTTCCACCATACCCTGCTAATTTTTTTTTATTTTCAGTAGGAATGGGATTTTTTCATGTTGCCCAGGCTGGTCTCAAACTCCTAGCCTCAAGTGATCTGCCCGCCTCGGCCTCCCAAAGTGCTGGGTTACAGGCGTGAACCACCACACCCGGCTGTAATATCATTTCTATTCTGCAAATAAAAAGCCAAGCTCCAAGAGGCTTAGTAATTTGCCCAAGATGCCCAATTAGTTTCTGCAAGGGCTAAATTTGTAGCTGGGTAGTTGGCCTCTAGGCCTTTGAATTTGCCTGTCATACTGTACCACCTCTTTGACAGAGATAGCCTGGGTTAGTGCCCTCTCAGAGCTTGGGGAGGTAGACAGGTACATCTACAACTATAGTATGTCACAATGGAGTGTGAGAAGGGCATCTGGGACCCAAGCTCAAGGGGAAGAGCCTTGGCTTTGGCCCCAGCACTCAGCTGTTCCAGGTTGAGCCTTAGTGCTTGTTCCACAGGAAGGATGGTGCAGAGCCAGGCTGGCAGGGCTGGGGCTGGAGCTGAGGCTGAGAGGGGCCTGCCCCTCATCCATCCAGCACCATCAAAGGCCTTTCCTTGGCTGGCAAGAAGGGAGCTCTGAACAGTCTGCTCTGTCTTTCCATACTGTGTAGGGACAGATAGGGAGCTGTTGCAGGAGAAAGAACTGCCACCTCTTTTCCAGGTTCCGTGGTGAAGGGAAGACACAGCTCTGCAGTTTAATTTTTTGTTGTTGTTGTGTTTTTTCTGTTTTTGTTTTTTGAGACGAAGTCTCGCTCTGTTGCCAGGCTGGAGTGCAGTGGCGTGATCTCGGCTCACTGTAACCTCTGCCTCCTGAGTTCAAGCGATTCTCCTGCCTCAGCCTCCCGAGTAGCTGAAACTACAGGCACGCGCCACCACGCCCAGCTAACTTTTGTATTTTTAGTAGAGATGGAATTTCACCATGTTGGGCAGGATGGTCTGGATCTCTTGACCTCGTGATCCGCCTACCTTGGCCTCCCAAAGTGTTGGGATTACAGGCGTGAGCCACTGCGCCCTGCCAGTTTAATTTTTTTGTAAGTCTCATGTTTCTCTGCAAAACTTGAAAACAGGGTCTGCTTCACACTTGAGCTAGAGCCCTCCTTTTAGCAGAAGCTTGTTCTTATTTTTTCATTTTTATTTTATCTTAAGAATGGCCTGTCATAGGCCTCATTATTATGGTAGGCACTATTATTACTATTATTATCATCATCACTATCATTATCACTTTTTATTCTCTCTAGTGATTAACCAGTCATCACTGGCCTAGCTTGCATGGTGGTTTAATGCTTTTCAAACAACTTTTCAACCACCATTTACCTCTACTTTAGCTACTAGTACCATCCCTATTTTGCACATGTGGAAGTGTAGGTTCAGAGATGCCAAGTCACTTGCCCCAGGTTGCACAGCTTGGGGATGGCAGGATCCACACTCTGCTCCCGAGCACTAGGAAAAGCACCATGATAGCCTGTGACATGAAGCCCTCTACAGACTCAAGTTTCAGGGGTGGTTTTAAACATGTCTTCTGGCTGGACACGGTGGCTCATGCCTGTAATTCCAGCACTATGCGAGACCGAGGTGGGCAGATCACGAGGTCAAGAGATCAAGACCATCCTGGCCAACATGGTGAAACCCCATCTCTATTAAAAACACAAAAATTAGCTGAGTGTGGTGGTGCAAGCCTGTACCGTGCAGCTACTCAGGAGGCTGAGGCAGGAGAATCACTTGAACCCAGGAGGTGGAGGTTGCAGTGAGCCGAGATTGCGCCACTGCACTCCAGCCTGGTGACAGAGCGAGACTCCGTCTCAAAAAAAAAAAAAAAAAAAAGAAAAGAAAAGAAAAAAAAGTCTTCTGCAGGCCATGGGGGACATGGTCTTCATTTTATAGGTGAACAGACTGAGATACAGGAGGAGTCACTTGCCTAGGGCCAAACAGCTCGTTCCTCTTCAGGCCTTCCCGGTCCTGGGAGCGAGTGTTTCTCTTTGCCTTGGGAGGCTTTGCAGCTTGTGCTGCGCAGCTGATAGCACTGCAACCCCTGAACATGCACACACACACAAGGTGCACACAGGCATGCGCATGGCGGGGAGGTGTGGGTGCACTTTCCAGCTTCCCTGCCGTGCCTCGTTCTGCAGGGCAAGGCCGAGAAACAGCGGGCAGCCTGTGTGATATGGGGACAGACATGTTCTCAGATCTTGGCCATGGTTTCTAATTCCCTGGCACCAGAAGCCCTGCTGGGTGATCAAAGCTGAGTGCCCCTAACAGAAAGCAGAGAGGCACATGGGAATGACAGGTGGTGAGGTGAAGGGAACACGGGCGTGGCATCAAACAGGATGGACAGAGTGGTTGGTTGGCTGATCTAAGTGTGGAGGAGGTTGTAAACTATTCATTTAAATGAATATATTTATTCAGCACCTACTATACCAACCTTAGAAAACTTCATACTTTCTGTTTTTTTCTCTTCTTTTTTTGTTTTTCTTTTCTTTTCTTTCTTTTTTTTTGAGACAGAGTCTGGCTGTGTCGCCCAGGCAGGAGTGCAGTGGCGCGATATCCACTCACTGCAACCTCCGCCTCCTGGGTTCAAGTGATTGTCCTGCCTCAGCCCCCCGAGTAGGTGAGACTACAGGTGCACACCGCCATGCCCAGTTAATTTTTTGTATTTTATTGGAGCTGGGGTTTCACCGTGTTGCCCAGGCTGGTCTCGAACTCCTGAGCTCAGGCATCCGCCTGCTTTGGCCTCCCAAAGTGCTGGGATTACAGGCATGAGCCACCATGCCCGGCCCATGCTTTCTGTTTTATTTGATCCCCTTTTTGGGGAAGACAGGGCAGGTTGAAAGGTCTGCTTTCCAGGGGAGGAAACTGAGGCTCAGAGAGGAGAAAGTCAGGCGCCAGAGGTAGATGAGAGCCAGGATTTGACCCAGTGATTTAGGATTCCAAGTCCAAGGCTCAAAGTGTGACTTGACAGCTGCAATCTGGGATCTGGATGTGTGCCTTCTGTGGCTCGGTGACTCCAGAATTTTTCCAACATCTGGTTGTACGGAATAACAATAGTAGCACGAATGATCCCATAGCTGACAGCCACGGGAGCCATGTGCCAGGCCTGGTTCTAAGCACATGTCATATTTGAACTCACAGAGTCCTCCTAGCTCACTGTGAAGTGGATACTATCGAAGGGGAGTCTTAAGGGTTTCAGTCAGTTGTCACGGTCACAGCACCAAGATGGGAACCCAGCAGGTGGCCTGGGTCCTCATGGTTTGCTGCTGTTCTGTGCTGCCCCTTAGCGGGGTGGGGTGGGGTGGGGTAGGTGGGCTCAGGCCTGCAGAGCTTCTGTGTGGCTCTAAGGGAGAAAGAGCAGAAGGGAGATTTGGGATGTCTTCTGAGTGCTAGCCACGTGAGTGCATTTTACCAAGCGAACTGATGACTATCAGTCCCCTGATTGCTTCCTGTCTTATGTTTTTATCTTATCCACGCATTTAGTGGGCATTTATAAAGGAATTCTGGTATTCTAAATATTCTACACTCTGGGGATATAAAAGTTAAAAGACCCAGGCTGGGCGCGGTGGCTCACGCCTGTAATCCCAACACTTTGGGAGGCCAAGGCGGGCGGATTACGAGGTCAAGAGATCGAGATCAGCCTGGCCAACATGGTGAAAACCCATCTCTACTAAAAATACAAAAATTAGCTGCACGTGGTGGCACGTGCCTATAGTCCCAGCTACTCGGTAGGCTAAGGCAAGAGAATCGCTTGAACCCGGGAGGCAGAGGTTGCAGTTAGCCGAGATGGCGCCACTCTACTCCAGCCTGGCAACAGCGCGAGACTCTGTCTCAGGAAAAAAAAAAAAAAAAAAAAAAAAGACCCAGTGCCTACCCTTAAAGGAGCTCTTCTTATTGAAACTCTTTAAGGAAAGGAGGCAGGAAACAGACATCTTTAATGGGCCAGAGGCTGATTTAGGCTGTTCAGACATTGTTAAGCTGCTCAGCATCTGAAGTTCAAAGAGGCTGAGAACAAACCGGTTAGGAAATGGCAGAAGGGGGTTGGGACCTAGGTGAGCAGCCCGTCAGGAGCCCCTGGGTGGCTTGCACTCCTAGCCCCAAGTGCAATATACAGGTGAGGCGCCTGCAGAATTTTCATTAGGCTGAGTTCATTTCTGGAAGCAGGGAATTGGCATCCACTTAACCATCCCTAATGCCTGCCTTTTCATGTATGTCTGCACTTACTTCTGGCCTTCCCCGGATGCAGTATGTGATTCCTGGAAGGGGTCTCCTGTACGTCGTAGTTTTGTCATCTTCAGGCAACCCAGGATGACATGATTTCTGGAAATTTCCCTGATTTCTTTCTGCTTCACTCTCCCTCTTTTGCTAGAAGGGATCGGCTTAGGCAGCCATTGTGGTGTTCATTCAACATGTCCAGTACAGCCTGTTACTGCAGTTTCCAAGTTGGAGGGTCCGTGAGTCTACTCCCTTTTTTGAACAGAGGGGTACATGGGGAAGCTGAGCCTCTGATGAATGGGTTGATTTGTCCCAGGTCACACAGCTTGAGGGTGGCAGAAGCCAGATCTCAGGTCACAGAGTGGCTCTCCTCCATTTGCCTCCCTGGTCTTGCCTCCTGGAGGCCTGTAGATAGGAGACACCCTTCCTGGAAAGACAACAGCTTGGGGACATTACAGATAAGGCTGGGCGGGTGTGCCTAGCTAGCCCAGAATAAAAGGATCACCGAGAGAAGTTAGGAATCGACCTTCCTTGAGGTGGGTTCTGCAGATAAAGATGCTTTTGAAGTTCAGTTGGTGGGAGATAGGATCTTTGTGGCCTTCTGGATGGATGCACCACGATAGGGAAATCAGCAAGCTGAAGATAGGGAAAGTGAACACTTATCACTGAAGGCCTCTGCAGGGTTTGCTTTGAGGTACTTCCTTCCTGTCAACCCTGTTCTGGAGTCTGTCTCCATTTTTCAGACACAAAAACTGAGGCATAGATAACTGTTTTCTGTTTTTTGTGGGGAGAGAGTATTATTGTTTCAATTTCCTGGACACTTCAAAACATAGGGTATTTCTCATTATGCAATAGTTTAATTGAGCACATACTGCAGGCCAGGCATGGTGCTGCATGCATTCTGGAAGTACAGGAATGAGTTGGAAGTGCTCTTTTTCCTTAGAGATTTTTTGTTCTCTTGTGTGTGTGTTTGGGGGTGGGGGGGGCGGGCGGGCACGAATAGGGGAGGAATTTAGATGAGAAATCAGATAATCACAGCCAAGGTGCCTGCCTGGGGACACAGGGTGCCATAGGCACACAGAAGGGCCCAGGGTGTGGACTTAGGGTGGTCAGGGGAAGGAAGGAGTTTGCCCAGAGAAGAGGCAGGAGGGAGACAGGAAAGGTAAGCAGAGGCCAGATCCTAGAAAGACCATTTTGACTTTGTGCTGAGGGCGATGGTCTCATGATGCAGATTTTAAGCAGAGGTGAGAGAGGGAGAGATTAGCATTTCAGAAAGCATGGCCTCTGCCATAGGAAGACAAGATCAGAGGGAGGTCCAAGCTGGTGGCCAGTGGTGACGGGGCCTGAGCTGGAGGAGACAGGGATGCACTGGAGACCCAAGAGAGAAGTCCCTGAACGCGGTGCACGAAGAGCCTCTGGGGTTACAGGAAGGAAGGGGTAAAATGTTCTTTTCTGTGTCCAGCTTAGGCCACTGAATAGATTCGGTGCTGTGTGTTGTACTAGGAAATGCGGAGGTGATGGGGATTGTTTGGGCTGGAGTCTGGAGGGGCTGTGCCCCACCCCAAGCTGGGTGAGCATCTAAGGTAAGTGAGGGCTGTGCCCAAGACTGCATGAGCAAATCCAGGTTCTCCTACCAGCAAGCTGCCTTGAAGACTCTGAGGCTGGAAATGTATAACCTTGTCCGTACCACTGAGCACCTGTTACCCATACACATTACTGTTCTCCAAACCACGGAACAACTTGAAGGATTGTTTTGCCAGACTAAAAAGTGAAGAAAGCACTGGTTTCCTTCCATGGTGTTCCTCTTTAAACCACACCTTCTCAACCTTGTTTAGGGAGTGGGGATGGCCTTCAGGAGCTCCAGAGGCCCCCCCTGCCCGAGTCTGACTCCTGGTTTCTGGCTTCAACAATGACTAACCTGTAACTTCACATTTTGGTCTATAAAGTGGGTAGAAATGTAGCACCTCTGCATTCTCCAGGTTTGTTGTGAGGACGAAGGAGATAATGAATGTAGAATTTTTTTTTTTGAGACGGAGTCTCGCTCTGTCGCCTAGGCTGGAGTGCAGTGGCGCGATCTCGCCTCACTGCAACCTCCGCCTCTGGGGTTCAAGCGATTCTCCTGCCTCAGCCTCCCAAGTAGCTGGGCCTGCAGGGGCACTCCCAGCTAATTTTTATATTTTCAGTACAGACGGGGTTTCACCATGTTGGCCAGGATGGTCTCAATCTCTTGATCTCGTGATCCACCTGCCTTGGCCTCCCAAAGTGCTGGGATTACAGGCGTGAGCCACCGCTCCCGGCCATGAATGTAGAATTCTGAGCCCAGGGCTGGCTCACTGGGAGTGGGCCACACATTTAGGGGGTTGTTGTTGTACACATGATCATCGGTGGCACTGCTTTGCAGCCTAATGGTTTTTGACACATGTGTTCCTTCTTAATCCTTAAGCCAGCACCTTGAGTTGGGTGTGATCAACTCATTGAATTTTTTAACTTCAGCTGTGACATTATAGATCATCTAGCTCTGCTGTGACCTTATTTTGTAGATGACAGGGCTAGGGGTTACCATCCCTCTTAAGGCCTAGGGCCTGGGTGTTCTCACACCCAGGTTGCGGTTTTTGTCCTTGTCTTCTGGAGGTTCGTCTGCATTTTATTTTTTTTTGTTGACGATTTGTTGACGAGGCTGGAGTGCGGGGGTGCTATCTCGGCTCACTGCAGCCTCTGCCTCCTGGGTTCAAGTGATTCTGCTGTCTCAGCCTCCCGAGTAGCTGGGATTACAGGGGCACACCACTGCACCTGGCTAATTTTTGTATTTTTAGTAGAGACGGGGTTTCACCGTGTTGGCCAGGCTGGTCTCAAACACCTGACCTCAGGTGATCGCCCACCTCGGCCTCCCAAAGTGCTGGGATTACAGGCATGAGCCTCCATGCCTGGCCTCATCTGCATTTTAGGGTCCCTGTTTTACAAAGGAGCAGTCCCTATTTTACTTGCAGATGGGCAGTAGTGTCAGATCCTCACTGGGGTGGTCAGGGAAGAGGAGGTGTTTGGAAGAGGGCCCCAATGGACCTCTGGCCTGCGGGATTGAGATCGGGCTGGCCAGCTCTCCTCTCTTTCCTCAACAGAGTCTGGGTCTCACCCTGCCCAGCAGCTTTCTCTTCTTCCTAGAAGTGCCCAAGACAGGATCTTTTCAGTTCTGAGATCTTCCACCCCTCGCACGGCAGCCTTCCTGCCCCTGCCCAGGCTGACTTCACACCATGCTCTGTTATCCCAGGTCCTAGGCTCGCATCGGCCACTTGCCACCATGTTGGTGACTGCCTGCCCTCTACCTTGGATGGTGCGGTCCACGGGGCAGGACTGGGGTTTGCCATTTGTGTGTCCCTGGTGCTTCTCTCAGTGTCTGACACCTGGTGAGATTTGCCACCTGTTTGGTGCATGGGTGAGTGTGGTTGTTTACACTAGCGTTGTTATTGGAAATCACTCAATTCTTGTTCTCACCCACTCCTGCCTCCTCTGAGAAAAAGTGTGGCAGAAAAGTTCCCTGAACTACTAACACAGGGGGATTTAGCACTCTTAGATATTTTTAACTTTTCCATAGAAAGGCAGCACCCCCCACCCCCCTCCACCCTTTTTTTGAAGCAGCAGCATTTACAAATATTGAAACCAACTTTGTACATCTCCACTCTGACTTCTGGGCCTATTTAATAAATATTCACTCAAACATGTACTATGTGTCAGGCATGATTTTTGGCACTTGGGAAACATCAGGGAATGATGTTTGGGGAGGAAGCTGATCTAGCTGGGGCCCAGGTGGGGTTGGAATGGAGGAATGGAGTCCTGCCCTAAATCCAGCATGGCCTTTGTCCTGCGTGCCTTGGGACCTGGTCCTGGTGGTTCCCTCCACTTCTCTGATTCTTGGTTTGAATATATATTGACTGAAGAGTTGGAATAGAAATATCTTCGTATTCTGTTTTCAGTTCTAGGATCGTTTATTCGTCCAGTAACGTTTGTCAGGGGTTGAATGTCGAGTGGAGAATGGCTGAATTTGCACTGTGAGGGAACTCACAGCTGGAGGGAGATCCCCACAGGGACTGCGAAGGCTTATTGCAGATGAAGGAGTGCCATGACGACGATGACCCCCAGGAGCGTCCTTCCAGGACAAGCAGATGGGTTCAGGGAAGGCTGGGCAAAGAGGGGCAAGTCAGCCATGCCTGGAGAGGAGCAGCATCTGCTGGGAGTCCTGTTTTGACAGTTGTCATTCCCAGATGTTCGGTGGTGTGTTCCCTGCAGCAGGCCTGCATGCACCTGGATGTCAGAGTGGGAGGCCATTAGCTCACTGGTTCAGAAATAGTTCCTGGTTATGCCTGTCTTGTGGTGGCCCATTCTCAGCTTGGCGGATACAGCAGCGACCAACCGAAGCCACCAGTGGGAGCAGAACTGGAGGATGGAGGTCCTCGGAAGGGTTCTAGCCACACTGGGCTTCAGACCCTCCAGAGTCAAAGCCTGGCTTCCTTCTCCTGCTGGAGGCAAAGGCCCTTATTGTTTTTTTGTGGCTGCAGTAACAAATTTCGACAGATTTGGTAGCTTAAAACAACAGAAATTTATTGTCTTACAGTTCTGGAGGCCAGAAGTCTGAAATCAAGGTGTCAGCGAGGTTGACACCCTCTGAGGTGCTAAGGGACACCCTTTCCTTGCCTCTTCCAGCTGCTTGTGGCACTGGATGTTGCTCGGCTTGTGGCAGAATCATTCCAATCTCTGCTCTTGTCTCCACGTACCTTCTCTATGTCCGTCTCTCCTCATGTTTTAGGGCCTCCAATGATCTCATCTCAAGATTATTATTTTTAAACAACTTTATTTAATTTTATTATTATTTTATTGATTTATTTTAAGAATGGGGTTTTACCATGTTCCCCTTGCAGCTCTCCTACTCTTGAGCTCAAGCCATTGTACTGCCTCAGCCTCCCACAGCATGGGATTACAGGCGTGAGCCCCCACTCCTATCCAAGATTCTTAACTTCATTACATCAGCAAAAGCCCTTTTCCCAAATAAGGTCATAGGCACCAGATTCTAAGGGCAATATCTTTTTTCGGTGGGTGAAGACAGCATTCAACCCACACTAGTAGGCCCCAGCACTTCTGGGGAAAGCCAAGGTTTAGACCTCATATCCAGATGCTCTTTTCTGTGGTTTTGTCACTTTTTCTTATCTTATATGAGAAATATATACATATTTTAAAAAGGTAATTAAAATTTTGTTGATATAATTTCACTTTCACATTGAGTAAAAGCTGCAAGAAGAGTACAAAGAACTCCCTCATATACTTTACCCAAGTTCACCAATGAAAAAATGTTGCCCCCTAAGTGGGTATAATGTACACATTTTCTCACAGCCAGTTGGCAGATTCATCAGAGCCTCAGGCTCCCCCTACCCCTCACAGCGTCAGACAGAGAGTTTACCATGGGGCTGGACAGTTATGATTGGTTTCTCAGGCAGCTGCTCACTCTAAGGCTTGCTGTAGGCTCTGGCGTTACATCTGTCACTGGGAATGTGGCATCGTCCTGGCACAGTCACAGAGAGGCCAAAGACACAGCTCTGTTCACCCCCCATTTAAAGCCAAATGGCCATCCTGGGTCCTGGGGGACCCTTCCTTGTTCTCTCCACTCTGCCCTTGGATGTGTCAGTTGCAGGCACTTCAGATGCAGTAGAGTTATTTAGAGAAGGCGGCTCCCTGCACCGCCTGCTGCCTTTTGGTCCATTTTGAGCTGGGTGTCCGAGCCTCTGCCCTACATCTAGGAACTAACAGAGTCAGGTGTTGGGTGCAGAACAGAGATTGGCAGGAGATGAGCAGGCTGTTCAGAGTCCGCCAGGAGCTCTGTGCTTGAAGCTCTGAAGAGCTTCCATCCTACCTTCCTGATGATGCAGACTTTAGGTGAGGGGGAGAGGCAAGGAGGTTACAGGATTTACCTTTTGGAAAGACTACTTTGATATGAATGCAGAATCAGGGATGGAAAACCAGTGAAAGAGAATGTCACAATAAATAGTATAATTGAAAGTCCAGTTTTAGAGGTTTTGCCAGAGGCACATGGAGGGGGTAGCTTGCTTGGTTTGCATTAAATTAAATTGCATTACTTAGAGTCCCTATAAATGCTGGTGGATCAATGTAGCTGATGGTTTCATAACAAAACAAGAATGATAATAACAGCGTCTAAGAGAATGCAAACGTTAATAGTACAGTGTTGTTTTTGATCCTGCCACTGTATGGTATTGAATTTACCTGGGTTATGGAGTCTCATAATTGTACCAAAAGCTGTGGAAAGAGTCAGGGAGAGTATTTTTGCCCCCATTGTGGGGATGAGGAAGCTAGAGGTGACCTGAATTGCTGAGGTTCATGCACCTAGTAAGTAACAGAGCTGCACTTGGACCCTGAGTCTTAGAAAAAACCCCACACTAGTTCTTTTGCTGATTTCTGAGCTATGCCCATTTCTCTCACTATGGAATTGTTTTCCACTATACCTCTAGGAAGCTAAACTGGGACATAACTGGGGCACAAGATGGGGGATGGAGCTTGCCCCTCTTCTCAGCAGCCAGATAAGGCCTTGGGAGCAGTGAAGAGCTTTCTGTAACCTGAACTGCCTGACATCCTTGCCCTTAGCCACGTGGGGCTGTTGAACACTTGACCTGGGGCTGTAGCAGCTGAGGGACTGCAATTTTTGTGTGAATTAATTTCAACAGACTTAAATTTAAATAGCCCTCCCTATGTAGCCAGTGGCCACCCCATTGGACAGCATATGTCAGCGCTGTAAAAGTCAAGTGTGAGCCACAATGGGACATAGGAAGGACTTTTCAGGAAACCATTTGACTGTTGGGATTCTCCTTTCATCTTTTAGGGGTATGGTGGGGAGTACCTGCTGACGGGGATATTAGAATGCCTTTCTTTTTTTCTTCCCTTGATGTGCCGAGACTCCATGCCCCCTGTCACGGGTATCCCAGAGCTATGGCTAGTGGGTTTGCTGGCTGAGATGGGTCCTGAGCCCTAGGCCCCTTTGCCCCAGAAAGGAAAATCCCGAGGAGGCAGCTGATGCTAGCCCTGGAAGACTTTAATTCGAGGGTGGCACACCTGACAACGCCTTGGGTAATGAGTGTTTGTTTCTGGAGGCTCATGGGACACCCACCCCAGGGCTGATTGCAGGTTGGATGCTGTTTGGTGAGAATGGATGCATACCCACCCGCTGATGACAAAGGGACAGGTCAGAAGGACAGGGCCTTTCTTTGAATGGAAAACCTGACCCGGGATCTCTCCTGGAAGATGAAGAATGAACTGGGCAGTGAAGTGGGGAGAAGGAGAGGTTAACTTCTGGGGGGCTTAGAGAAGAGGGGGGAAGGAGGAGAGGAGCCTGGGATTAGTCCCACGAAGGCTGCGCTCTTGTTTGCCCAAGTCTCCTCCTGTGTGGGACACAAAGTGGGCTTGTAATACAATACTGGCTCAAAGGAAGAAAAACGGCAGAGGCTAGCACTGGGGCCACCCTGAGCAAGTGGTGTGTTCATCTGTGCATGTTCTGGACAGTACCACGAGGTCAGTAAATGCTTCTGCCTGGCATCTACCACAAAGCTCATTCCAGAGGGTGCTCTGTGGCCCTGCCAAGAATAAGGCCTCGTCAGGAAAGGCTCACCCTGTATTTTCCCAGCCTACTTTGAGCCATCTCCTGAATAAAGGACAGCTTGCCTGGGCAGTACCGCTCCTGCCACAAAGACGGAAAGGAAAAGTATGGCAAGTGCTTTAAGACTCCTTTTAATGTCAGCTTTCTACATCCAGATAAGGAGAAGAGCTCACGATGGTCCTGTAACTTGCCAGACATCTCACAGGAGATTCATTGCTGAGTCTCTGAGCACACACAGGCTCCCTTTACAGACTGGAAAAGTCTTTCTGGTCAGTTTGCCTCCACTGACATTTATTGAGCGCCTGTAGTATGTGCTTGGATGCTGCCTTGAGAGGGCGCTTTGGGTTTGAAGGCTCCGGAAACGTATGACTTTGGAGCACTCATTCCTATTCGGTGCTGACCTTTGTTCACATTTGTGCTCAGCCAACAATCCTGTGTAGGAGAGTGGAGCCTGACAAATGTTTATGGAAGGTCTGCCTGGCTGACTCCATACACAGATTGCATAGGGTTTTCCAAATGGCAGCTGGGGAGAAGTTCTGGATCTGTCAGAACTGATTGGGAGAACCTGCAAAACAGGCAGGGGTGTATACGTCCCTTTTCCAAAGTGACCCTCCTGCCTGGCTTTTGGGAACAGGATCTGTCCTCGATGGTCCCTCACTAACTGCCTGGCTTCCTAACTGTTGCAGGTCTGGGGATGTCTGTTGTTAAGACACCATGCATCTGGATGCCTGTTGAGTGTAGAGTGCTGGCTCAGCTGTAGGGTGGGGTGGGATGGGGGGTGGTTTGAAACCTCTTTCAAAAATACCATTAGGGAGACACCAAGACAGCACTGACGTGGATGCAGAACGTAAGTGCTCTTGGAGATGAGGTCAGCACATGAAGCTTCTCTGATTTTACAGTTGCCACCAGGGACGCAGGATTATGTTCCTGTTAACTGAAGACACAATGAGAGGCCTGGCTTAGGCAAAAGCTGGCCAGTAGGGTGTATCAGGGAGGCCCTAAAAGGGTTAGTACAGTGGGTGAATTGTATCCCCTAAATAGATATGTTCAGGTCCTAACCCCTGTGCCCTTGAACGTGACCTTAGTTGGAAGGATCTTTGAGGGCGTAATAAAGTTATGGTGAGGTCATCTTGGGGTATGGTGAGCTCTTAATCCAATGAAGGATGTTTTTCTAAGAGAAAGGACACGTGGATACAGACACACTCTGGGAGGAAGGCCATGTGATGATGGAGGTGGAGATTAGAGGGATACAGCACCAAGTCAAGGGAGGCCATGGATTCCTGGCAGCCACCAGAAGCCAGGAGAGGCAAGGAAGGGTTTCCCCTCAGAGGCTTCACAGACAGCACGGCCCTGCTGTCCCCTTGATTTTGGACTTGCAGCCTCCAGAACAGTGAGAGAAAACATTTCTGTTGTTTCAAGCCACCTATTTTGCGACCATTTGTACCCTGAGAATCTAATACAGAAGGGAATCTCATCCTATCTTGAGGTGATGGCTTTCCTAGACTCCATTTAGAGCAAGGAATTGCATGTTTATAAGCGAACTTTGACACTTGCCTCTGCTGATATGGCTGGGAATCCTCTCTTTCATTCTTCATTATTAATGGGTATTTATTATGTCATAGGACTTGTCATTAAATCTGCTGAAATCTGGTAATCCAAGCCTCCAACCCATAGTTTGCATCAACCAGGTGGCGACCCCCAGGCTCTGCTGGTTTCCATTCCTTTATCTTGATTCCATTCCTTTATCTTGATTCTCCCTGGCCGAGAGCTTTTCTGACCCACCTAAAATCTGTTCATTTCAGACCCCGGCCTTTCCAGGATGCCTTTTGGAGCCCCTGCTGGCCACCACATATCATGTTCTGAAGTTCTACAGCCCTCTGAGTTGGACACTGACCATCTGGGGGCTCGAGTCATCCTCAGATTGGTATGCAGCCATTCAAACATTCCTGTTTGTTTCCTGTGAGTCAGCATTGTGCTGGGCTTCCAAGGAATCTGCAGTCCTCTTCACTGCCTCTTCCTGAGTACTCACTGTGTTCCAGGCTTCTCTCAGCCCTTCCTGGGTACAGTGCTAGGAAGTAAAGAGTCATATCCACTCCAGTAAATGATTGCTGAGTGGATGAATATAGCTATTTTCACCACCAAGATAAAGATGGGAAAGTGAGACTCAGAAATAAGAAACTTGCCTAAGGTCTACACAGTTTACCAGTGCAAGTGCTGGGATTGAACCCTGGCCTGTCTGACATAGAGGCCACTATTGGCCCAGGACAAAAGCTTGTCTGCAGAGGACAGAGCAGGAGCAGCGCTGTCCATCCAGTCTGGGCGATATTCTTTGCAGTGGGCCCAGGGGTGATAGGAACTTGTTGCATGGATGAAGTGGAACTTTTCTTCCCAGAAAAGAAGACAAGAAGACAGGGCTCTGACACCCATGGTCTCCAGCAGCCCTTTTTGCCTGGAGCAAGTATGCCCAACCCCCCTTTGGCTCTTGAATAAGAAGGAAAGGCCTTACCATATGAGCAGGAATTGTGCATCCAGGCATGTGGCTTACTCACCTTTCCTGCTATGCCTAACCTTCTCTTCTCCTTTCTCTGTCTCCTCAGACCCTCAGGGGGCACACATTTCAGCATAAGCTACAGAGTTTTGTCCGCATTCACATTCCTCTCCATCTGCCATGATTTGTTTTTTTTTTTTTTTTTTTTTTTTTTGAGATAGAGTCTTACTCTGTCACCCAGGCTGGAGTGCAGTGGCGCAATCTCAGCTCACTGCAAGCTCTGCCTCCCAGGCTCACGCCATTCACCTGCCTCAGCCTCCCGAGTAGCTGGGACTACAGGCGCCCGCCACCATGCCTGGCTAATTTTTTTTGTATTTTTAATAGAGATAGGGTTTCACCGTGTTAGCCAGGATGGTCTTGATCTTCTGGCCTCGTGATCCGCCCGCCTCGGCCTCCCAAAATGCTGGGATTACAGGCATGAGCAACCACGCCCAGCCGACTTGTTTTTTTACTAGCCGTCAATCTCCAACCCTCTGTCACAGCCTAACAGGTGCCAGGGGGAAGACTTAGGACTGGGGTCTCATCGTTGGTTATGGGCACTTTAGGGTTAAATAAAGCTATGTAAGACACCTCCCCAAAAAATAAAAACAAAAACTAAAGACCACCAAAGAAAGTAGGAAACCTCAAAAAACTGAGAATCACTATTACCTTAAAGCCCAAGTGCTCTAGGAGGAGGCAAAAGAAAATGAAAACAGAGCAGGTTATGACTCAGCTAACTGATGTCATGGCTGTTACATGTCCCATCTCATGTCATCTAAATCAGGGGCCAGCAAACTGACAGGCTATCAGTTTTTGTAAATAAAATTGTATTGGCACATAGCCATGTCAATTCTTCTATGTGCTATCAGTGCTGCTTAGGTACCATTATAACAGCAGAGTCTGGTCCTGACAGAGACCCTGTGGCCTGCAAAAAGCCTAAAATAGTTTCTGTCTAACCCTTAAAGAAAAAGATTGCCAGCCCCGGTTCTAAACTGCACTTCTGATTTCTAACTAGTCGGAGCTATTTTTTTATGGAGGGCAGACAGTTTCTCATTTGCTCTGCATAGCAGGCCTTGGCAGCCGAGGGCCAGGGAGGAGCTTGCCCAGATCATGCAGCCAGTCCCTACACAGCTGGCATTCACCTCCAGGTCTGCCTGACCCTGAAGCCTGCACCCTGATCCCCTGCTCCTCTGCCTCCATCCCCTGCTGGGCCTCTGCAGGAGACGGTCCAGGCCCACACTGCTTAGAGAGGTTTCCAAGAGTACATGATCTGTTAGGGATTGTTTGTGACAGTTAGCTTTCAGGTGAGAGCTCTTGAGAAGACCGCCTATATCTCTTCCCATGCAATAGCTCCAGCCCCCTGCCCTGCACTGGCATAGAGCAGGGGCCCAATAATATTTTTTGATTAAAGGAAGGAATCAATGAAGAGGGCAGCCCTCAAGCCAGGGCACTGCAGTGTAGCATAGAGCAGCCCAGCCTCTGGAACCCATGCCAGGCCACGAGTTCCAGTCTGCTATGACCTTGGACAAGGTAGACTACCTCTCTGGGCCTCGCTTTTCTCATCCGTAAAATGGGGATAAGGACAGCATCAACCCCAAATGCCCACTGTGAGGTTACAGGAGCTACTGCAGGTTGTGTGCATGGAACATTCTTAGCATATCTGTCACCACCGGGACAGAAACGGGCTGTTATTATCGAGGCTTCAGGCTGTTTACTGAGGATTCTTTAGAAATGGAGAAAGGAAGAGTAGAATGCTGGTCTTCGGACAGTCCGGCCAAGTGAGACTGTCAGGCAGATGACTGTGGTGAAGATGGCCCAGCAAGCCCCTCCTCTACTCAGATCGCCCTTGGAAAAGCCAGTCTGAGAATTGCTGTCCTGGTCTCTTCACTGGGGCTGGGAAAGGCAAGGCATCTGGCCTCAGCCTCCCTGGACACCTGCTCCTGAGGAGCCTGCAGATTCCTCAGGAACTACTGCTGCACTCCAGTGTTGGGATGGCAGCAGCAAGACCTTCAAGCTGCATGCTGGGGCGAAGTTCTGCCCCAGGGGCTTGTGTTCACCCCAAGACTGTCAGTGCGCCACCCATATTGGTCAGGTGCTTCCCAGTGGCCTCCGTGGGGCAGGCCACTCCAGCCGGCCAGCTTTCTTGCTTTGCAGAAAGTCACTGGGCTGAGCAGCAGGCAGGGAGTTGGGGAGCCCCTTGCCATTTATTTGCTGGTCACTCACAGGGTGTTCGATGGTTTCAATTGGAGCTGTTGAACTGTGGCCTAAGTCAATTATCACTGGGTTGCTCCTGCTTGAGTTAGATGTGCCCCAACCCAGTGGCACAGTGGAATCAGCTTTAAAAATAGCTGTGCGTTGGGAGACCGAGGTGGTCGGATCACAAGGTCAGGAGTTCAAGACCAGCCTGACCAACATGGTGCAACCCTGTCTCTACTAAAAATACAAAATATTAGCTGGGTGTGGTGGCAGGCACCTGTAATCCCAGCTACTCAAGAGGCTAAGGCAGGAGGATCACTTGAACCCAGGAGGCAGAGGTTGCAGTAAGCCGAGATCCCGCTATTGCACTCTACCCTGGGCAACAGTGCAAGACTCTGTCTCAAAAAAAATAATAATAAATAAATAGAAATAGCTTTGCCAGGGTTCCGCTCCCAGAGAAGCTGATGACATAATTGCTCTGGGAAGGACTGGGGCATCTGTGCTTCTTGAAGCTCCCAGGTGATCCTAATGTCAGCCAAGTTTGAGCTGTATATTAAAAAAAATTTTTGATTAAAACAAATTTTTAGAGAGAGAGTCTCATTCTGTCACACAGGTTGGAGTGCAGTGATGTAATCATAGCTCACTATAACCTCGAACTACTGGCTTCAAGCAATCCTCCCGAGTAGCTAGGACTACAGGTTCATGCCACAATGTCCAGTTAAGTTTTTATATATGTATATATTTTTTGTAGAGATGGAGTTTTGCTATGTTGCCCAGGCTGGTCTTGAACTCCAAGCAATCCTCCTGCCTTGACCTCCCAAAGTGCCAGGATTACAGGTGTGGGCCACCATGCCTGGCTGTTCAGCTGCATTTAGTCATTTACCTGTGTGCCCTCCCTTGCCATGTGTGCACACCTGGTACCTGAAGACCTGGGAGACGAATCAATGACAGGGGTACATAGGAAATAAGAATAATGGAGAGAGCCACCAGTTAGTGAGCCGCGACTACTGCCAGGAGCTACACTAAGTACTCACCATGCTGCTAGGAGGAAAGTTCTGAAATGTCCCCATTTTATGGATGTGAATACTGAGGTCATGGGGGTAAAATAACATGCCCAAAGGCACAGAGCTGGTACTGTTGGAGTCAGAACTAGACTTAGGTCCCCTGTGATTCCAAAGTGCTACCTTTGCCTTGGCCACCCCTGCTTGGACTTTCAGTGAGGACAACTGTGTGTTGGGATTGTGGTCCACACTGGAAATCCCAACTAGGTCCCACCTGATGGAAAACTAAAGTTCCTCATTACTTCTAGTGCCAGTGTAGAAGCTGACCCAAGTTGCCTTTTTGAAAAAAAAAAAAAGAAGGCCAAACACGGTGGCTCACACCTGTAATCCCAGCACTTTGGGAGTCTGAGGTGGGTGGATCAACGAGGTCAGGAGATCGAGACCATCCTGGCTAACATGGTGAAACCCCATCTCTACTAAAAATACAAAAAAATTAGCCGGGCGTGGTGGTGGATGCCTGTAGTCCCAGCTACTCGGGAGGCTGAGGCAGGAGAATGGCGTGAACCCGGGAGGAGGAGCTTGCAGTGAGCCGAGATCGCACCACTGCACTCCAGCCTGGGGACAGAGCGAGACTCCGTCTCAGAAAAAAAAAAAAAGAAGACATAGTTTAGGAAATTCAGTATTTATTTCTTGGCCTCTCAGCAGGGCTTTATATTTTCGAAGGGTGGGCACTTAAATTACACAGATTGGGTTTTTCTGTTCCTCTTTGAACACTGGGCTGTGTGAGGAGGAGGAGGAAGAAGACTGAATCTTACAGAGCTGAGATGATCAGATACTGCCGGATGTGCCATGGGGCCTGGAGAGCTGACGTTGCTAATATATCACCCCATTGGTGCCTACAGTTTCCATTCTCTGATTAGAGATCATATTTCTTTGACTTGATGCTCAAATGCCTCTGAGTTTGATCCTTTCTCATATCCTGAATTCTATTTCCAGTTCCCCAGAGTTTTATCCTAATTTTATCCATTATTGAAGTTTTCCCAAAAAAAGTCAGCATCATCATCATCATCATCATCATTATTATTAATTTTTCTTTTGAGATGGAGTCTCACTCTCACCCAGGCTGGAGGGCAGTGGCACAATCTTGATTCACTGCAACCTCTTTCTCTCGGGTTCAAGCAATTCACCTGCTTCAGCCACCTGAGTAGCTGGGACTACAGGTGCGCACTGCTACACGGCTCTAACTTTTGTATTTTTTAGTAGAGATGGGGTTTTACCGTGTTGGCCAGGCTAGTCTCAAATTCATGACCTCAAATGATCCACCTGCCTCGGCCTCCCAAAGTGCTGGGATTACAGGTGCGAGCCACTGCACCCAGCCCATCATCATTATTGATGTCATTTATTACACAGCATTGTATTTCCAAAGAATAGATACGGGTGAGAAAACAAAATCAGTAACTCTTCCTTGACTAATCAGATTGTTTTCAGATATCTGATATGTTTTGTCTTTACATTAATTAATGATTTTATATAGTCATAGGTGTAGGGAATAGTTTGTAGTCACTTTTTTTTAATCCTAAAGCGGAAACATTTTTATTATAATATATCCTAAACATTTGATGTACCCTAAATATTTTTTCATTTTATTAAAGCAGCTTACAAATGATCATTTTTAGAGAGTATATAATGCTTCATCAAGTGGACAAGTCATATTCTAAATCAGTTCTCTGTTGTTAAAAATTAAAGTGCCTAGTAGTTTGCCGTTACACTTCTAAGGGTGCCATGAGCATCTTCGTGCATATAACCTTTTTCTTCTTGGAAAATCTTTTGGACAGATTCTCAGCAGGATTATTGAGTCAAAGGGCACAGTTTTATGACTCTTGTCCCACATTGCCAAATTACTTTCAAATAAGGTTGTTTATGCTGCTTCCATCAACATGTGGACATGCCAGTTTCACCACAACCTCATCAACACTGGGTATTATTAGCTTAAAAAAATTATCATTCAATGGATGCAGAATGATCTCTTGTTAGATTTATATATTTTTTTATCCTTAGTGAGGCCAATTTTCTTTTTTGCCTCTGTGTGTTTACCAACTCTCTTTGGGAATGCTGACATTGGCTGCTCCTCCAGCCAAGTTCGTTACTTTCCATGTGGATGCCTTCAAGTTGAGCCAGTTGCAACGCAGCCTTGACTTAAAATGAGCGAGCTTCAACATTGAGCCTTTGTATGAAATTCAGCTTAGCACACTGGCCCCTGAGTTTGAAGGCTGAGATTGCAACACCCTGCTCTTCACGTCGTGGGGTTCTGCATGAAATCACTGAACTGGCCTTATGGTCTTTATGACTTCAAACTTAACAGTTGTCCCCCTAGATTTGTCTTATGAGCTAGGCAGGGTTTTTCTTCAGAAAGCTTTGAGATACAGCTCCTTCAACTATTTTTCGGTTTCCTAGCTTGAAAAACGAAGAGAAGAAAAGTCCCTGTGTGTTCATGTTGTCTCTTTATTTGTGGGGCTGTTGTGTTTCTAGATGGTTTTTTCTGGTTTTCTCTTGCTGCTTCACTCACCACATCCTGTGGAGCTGGAGGCTTCTCTAGCCCTGTTTGTCTCTGCCTGTCTGACATTGAGTGCCTGGAGCCCTCCCTAGCTCTCCAGCTGGAACCTTCCTCTGTAGGAAGGCTGAGGCTAGCAGGGAGAAGCCAGGATGGATTTTAAAGAGCCTTGTTGTCTCTAAGGAAGAGTGGAGCTTACATCTTTGGGTTTGCAGAAATGCCCACATTCAACTCAGGGGGAATAAAAGGATGGGAGTTAGAATTTCAACTTGCAGTTGCAGAATCTCAGAGTTAAAAGAAACCTCAGAGGTCATCTCTTCCAACCCTTCTCCAGAGCAGCTTTAATTGCCTGTGTGGGAGATTCAGGGCCAGCAGCTGCAGCTTCCCTTTCCCTGCCTCTGACTTGCCAGGTGAGTTTAGATGAGTTCCTTGCTTTCTTGAGTGTTTATTATTATTACTAATAAACAAGAGGATGAATATTTGAAGTTCTTCTGCTGTCTTAAAGCCCTCAAACTCCACTGGCTACTGAAATCTTATATGCAAGCTTTATACCTGTAACTTGTTAAAGGAGAGCTGCTTTGATAAAAATAGGGTTATAGTCCTCCTGCTGAACCTCCCATCTCCACCTGGCCCCCAGAAGTCACTCAGGAGGCTCTCTTGACCCCCTAGGGATTTGTGGAGTACAGTTGGAAAGGGTGGCACTGTGACCTATGGTTATAATAACACCGGCACCTACTTATTGAACATTAACCAGGCATCAGGGGCTTGGCACAGGTCATGTTCAGTTCTGACAGACACTTTGGGGGCTCTGTATCCTTATCCCCATATCATATATCAGGTCTGAGCCTCAGGGAGGTGCTCGTTGCTCTGCCACACAGAGGTCACACAGGAAGGAAGTGGTGGAGACTCAGTTCCAGCCCAGGTAGCTCAGCAGCAAGGCCTGTCTGCTTCAGCTCTGAGCTTTACTGCCTCTTTGTGACTTGTGACCTTCAACCTGACACACAGCATCCCAGCCTTCCCTGGAGTTTGGTTTTTTGAGTTGTCATCCCACCTGCCATCTCTGACAGCCCCAGTATTTAGTGTTTTAGGTGCTCCCAGATCCACGATGTGTAGTAATAGGCTAAAGGCATCAGTGTTCTCTAGAATACTTCGTACCACTTAGCAAATAGCCTCTGTGACGCCACTGGTTTTGTGATTTTCCCAAGCAAACTTTACTATCCCTTTCTTATTGTCCTCATCACTTACTCTTGTTTGCACAAAGCCCAGGCTCTAATTTATTCCCCTTGTCCTTAATCCTCTCATCTCTTTCTCCAGGTATCACCCTCAGAAATAAGGATGTGCAGTAGGTCTGGTGGGCATCTGAATGAGGATGGCCCCCAGGGTGTGTACATTTCCTGGGGGGAAACTGAAGCTGGAGTCTGGGCTTCTCAAGTGTGGGTTCTGCCCCTGAAGCTGTTTTCTCACAATGGAGGCTCCAGGTACTTCCTAAGCCCCCATCTGCTGCAGGAGATACCTGAAGAAACTGTGGACAGTTCAAAGGTTGGATTATTTAAGAAATCTTGGCTGGGCATGGTGGTTCACACCTGTAATCCCAGCACTTTTGGGAGGCTGAGGTGGGCGGATCACTTGAGATCAGGAGTTCGAGACCAGCCTGGCCAACATGGTGAAACCCCATCTCTACTAAAAATACAAAAAAGTTAGCCTGGCATGGTGGCACATGCCTGTAACCCCAGCTACTCGGGAGGCTGAGGCTGGAGAATTTCTTGGACCCAGGAGGTGGAGGTTTCAGTGAGCCGAGATCATGCCTCCACACTCCAGCCTCGGCAACGAAGCCAGACTCTGTGTCAAAAAAAAGATACCTTGTATCAGTTCTGACACTTGCATTACTAGCTGTCACCCAACACCTTAGTTCCATAAGCTTGAAGGCTTCTTATCACTATAGGATTAAGTCTGTAAACCGCAGTTGTAAGTTCGGTGCCTTCTGTCAACTGTTCATCTCCCCTGGTTGCAGGCATGTTCTCACCCACGTCCGTGGTGATGGGTGTTAGGTGACAGCATGCTTCCCCATGCATTGCTGGGCTATCCTAGTGACAGTGTTATATTTACCCCAGCATCTGATGAGCAGAGCAGAGTCAGGGCTTATGTGCTAATGTCTTGTTGCTCTTCTCTTCTCTTGCATGCTTACTTCCACACTGTCACTTCTTTCAAGCTGCTGATCACAAGTTACGTCTTACAGGAAGTTCTCCATGAGTAGCTTACTTCTCTTTCTCTTTTTTTTTAAGAGATAGGGTCTTGCTCTGTCACCCAGGCTGGAGTGCAGTGGTGCAATCATAGTTTACTGCAGCCTCAAATTCCTGGGCTCAAGCAATCCTTCTGCCTCAGCCTCCCTGAGTAGCTGGGATTATAGGTGTGTACCACCATACCTGGCTAATTTAAAAAAAAATTTTTTTTTGTAGAGACAGTATCTCACTATGTTGCCCAGGCTGATCTCAAATTCCTGGCTTCAAGTGGTCCTCCTGCTTTGGCCTCCCAATGCACATTCCTGAGCCACCACATCCAGCCTTAGTTGTCATGTTTTTGTTTATTATTATTATTTATTATTATTATTATTAAACGGAGTCTCGCTCTGTTGCCCAGGCTGGAGTGCAGAGGCGGCACAATTTCGGCTCACTACAACTTCTGCCTCCTGGGTTCCAGTGATTCTCCTGCCTCAGCCTCTTGAGTAGCTGGGATTACAGGCACGTGCCACCACACCTGGCTAATTTTTTTGTGGTTTTAGTAGAGATGAGGTTTCACCATATTGTCCAGGCTGGTCTAGAACTCGTGAAAACAGGTGATTTGCCCTCCTTAGCCTCCCAAAGTGCTGGGATTACAGGTGTGAATCACCGCACCCGGACCATTATTATTATAATTTTTTTTGGAGACAAGGTTTTGCTTTGTTGCCTAGGCTGGAATGCAGTGGCAGAAACATAACTCAGTGTATTCTTGAACTCCTAGACTTAAGCTGCCTTGCTAATGTATTTACGTGTGTGTCTGTGTTTGTAGGTCTCACTATGTTGCCCAGGCTGATCTCAAACTCCTGGCCTCAAGTGACCCTTCCGCCTTGGCGGTTGCCATTTTTAGCATTATTGTTATTTGGACATTGTGATTAATACTTTACACAAATGACACAATTTAACCTGTACCAAATAATCATCTTTCATTTATTGTCTAACAATAAACTCAACCAAATGTGTAAGTTCATCTATCTATTTGTCCATCTGGTCATCATCTAATCACCCAACAGAAGTTTTACCAAACTCCTTTTTTATATTAGGTGCTAGGTGAACAAAGTTGAAGAAAATGGGTCTCTAACTCAATGAGCTGGGATTCATCCACGCATTCAAACGATCACAAGTGTTTGCACACTGCTCACTACCCTTGCTTGTTGATGCCAGCCTTGAGTCCAGGCTTTCCATCCTTGTCAGCAAGGTGTTCCCACAAAGTAGCTCCCATTTGCTATGATATGTTTGCCCTTCTGGTCCTGGAACCTTCATCTTGGTGACACAAGGCCTGAGCATCTGTCATATAAACCTTTGCGATGCAGGCTGTGTTCTCTAGGAAACAGACGCTAAGATGTAGATTAGCAAGTAGGATGTTTATTATGGGATTCCTTTGGGATCAACAGCTGTGAAACTGAAGGAGAAGAAACCATAGTTGGGCAGAGGGAGAAGTGGAGCTGTAACAATGTCCCAACAAAGGCCAATGCCAGAGGAGCCTGGGAGCTAGACTGATCCTTCAGAATTGTCCTGAATTGAGGTGAGGGTTGATCAGTCATTTCATGTGCCCCCGACCCCACCACCCAAAGGATGCCTAATCTTGAACAAGGTGATTGTATTCGGCCAAGGCAGTTCCCAGAGAGGGCTGATAGCTGATGGTCATCTGCCAGCACTTTAGTAACTGCTTTAGAAGAAGCCTGGATGGAGAAACATCTGCTTTGTTTTTTTGTTGTGGTGGTGGTTTGTTTTCAGTGAAAGGGTCTTGCTCTGTCACCCAGGTTGGAGTGTATTGGCATGATCATAGCCCACTACAGCCTTGATCTCCTGGGCTCAGGCGATCCTTCCACCTCAGCCTCCCAAGTAGTTAGACCTACAGGTCCATACCACAGCATCCGGCTAATTTTTAAAATATTTTTGTAGAGATGGGGTCTCACTGTGCTCCCCAGGCTGGTCTTGAGCTCCTGGCATTAAGCGATCTTCCTGCCTCGACCTCCTGAAGCGCTGGGATTATAGGTGTGAACCACTGTGCCTGGCCAAATATCTGCTTTGCTTACCATTTTATCCCCAGTATCTAGTACATAAAAGCACACAGTATTGGGGGGAATGGAATTACCTAAGCTTTACGGAAGCACTGTGAGTAATTCATTTAGCAAATATGTATATCTATTATGTTCCTATGACATGTCAGTCACGATTACTACCCTTACGGAGGTTATAGTCTAGGGGGTTTGGGCTGAGCGGTGGCTCAACACTGACTTCCTGGAAGAGGCAACCTGCATACTGGGGGCGTGACTTCCTGGACGATGGGCTCTGGGCCAGCGTTGGGCTCAGTGTTTCCTGGGTTCCCTAGAAGGTGGCTTATTGAGCTGGAGACTTGAATGGATATGGGATGTTTTCTCAGGGAGGGGGCTCTCTGTTGCAGCCCACCTCTGGGCGCACCTGTCCACCATAGGAAATTCCCTGCTTCACTTACCTTCATTGACGTTTGAACTCCCAGGAGCCTGGAACTTCCCCAGGTGCCCCATTGGCTTGGTGACTTTACATCATTACATCAGTTGAGTAATTGAAGAATGGAGGAACCATTCTTTTGAGCTAAGTGGAAAAATATATTTTCTCCTCTGTGAGTCACCAAAAACTACAGCTTCTTTTTTTTTTTTTTTTTTTTGTTTGAGACAGAGTCTCGCTCTGTTGCCCAGGATATAGTGCAGTGGTGCAATCTTGGTTCACTGCAATTTTCACCCCCTGGGTTCAAGTGATTCCTTGCCTCAGCCTCTTGAGTAGGTGGGATTACGGGCATCCACCACAACACCCAGCTAATTTTTGTATTTTTAGTAGAGATGGGGTTTCACCATGTTGGCCAGGCTGGTCTTGAACTTCAGACCTCAAGAGATCCACTGCCTTGTCCTCTCAAAGTGCTGGGATTATAGACGTGAGCTACCGCGCCCAGGCTTAGAGCCCAGCTTATACCCAGTTACTTAGCTTCTGTGTGTGTGTGTGTTTGTAAATGAACTATTATATTTCAGGAAGTTCCTAGCAGGGAGGATGAGATGGAATCAGTGAATTTTAGATCTCAAGGAGAACTAGAGATTGCTTGGTCCAACCTCTTTCCTCTGCAAGAGGGCCCTTGTGGGGAAGGGACTGGCCAAGGCTACCCAAAGAGCTTGGAGAGAGGTGCAGGGCATGTGACCATGTGCAAAGCATTTGCCAGTAGAGTTCGGCATTTTTTCCTGGCGCGTTCACCTCCTGACAGGGCACCAGGAAGGTGCTGCACAGCCTGGCATGTGGTGGGTGGTGTTTATCTGCACAAGTCACCCAAGTGATCAGAACGCTTTTACGGAAAACAATGGCTTTGATGTTCTGGGTGACAAGACCAAAGCATGCTGGCGGGAAGGGAGGTTTTTGGGGTTAGAGAAATGAAAACTATTTACATTTAGGGCTGACTTAATAACTTAACACCTCTGAAGTGGGAGGATGTTTTTGAGGGAAAGTTGAATGTAAGTGTAGTACAAAAAGGAAAGTTTGAGGTAGAAGACTAGGAGTGGAAATACTTCTAATGGCTCAGGGAAAACGTCCTGGTAAGGTTGAACTTCCAGATGCCTCCTTTCTTCCCACACCCCCACTGCATCCTCTGTTTCTACGGTGAGATTTGCATGGCACTTTACAGTTTCCAAAGCATTTCCTCACATATTATCTTCTTCAGTCCTCCCAGGAGGTGGTGCCACCAAAGGCTGTCTGACCACACCTGCGGCTTTTGGAGGGAGCTTGGCTTGGAACCCAGGGTTCTCTGAGTCAAAATCCTTTTTTCCTGGGACAGTGGTGGTCCTCACATTCCCTTCAAGACTATAGACTTTAGAAGCCCAGTCTCTGGCGCTAGACTTCCTTCCTTCACCTACCAGGCTTCTCCCTCTGCAGAGGTCTTGGGCGCCTTTTGTGACCATTCTGTGACGTGGTTTCTTGAAATGTAAGATGGGGATAATGTGAGCACCTACCCACCTTCTTGGGTTGTTGTAGGGATGAAAACATCTTCACAGTTCCTGGCACCTATTGGAGTTGGATAACGATGTTAGGATTACTTGAGGCTGGCTTTCCTACCTTGTTTTAACAGCAGCTCTAGAGTTTCAGAAACATAAGGACTGGACTTTTGGTGATCAAATCTAAACACTCTCCAGTAAAATCAGTGATGCTGCTGACTCTGAGTCTTTAATCATTCTAGTCTCTTCACCCTCTGAAAACAAGAGGATGTGTAGCATAGTGAGCAACAGCTGTGTGCCGGGGACTCAGCATTAAGTAGCATGGGATTACTCATGACTTCGCACTCATGGCAGCCTCACAGGTAACTTTGTCAATTTCTTTTTTTCCTTTTATATTAAAAAAACAAAATGGCTGGGTTCAGTGGCTCATGCCTGTGATCTCAGCACTTTGGGAGGCAGGGGAGGGAGGATGGCTTGAGCTCAAGAGTTCCAGACCAGCCTGGGCAACACAGTGAGACTCTGCCTCTACAAAAATAATTAATTAATTAATTAATTAATTAATAAAATAAATGAATCAATTAAAAGAATTAAGAAAAACAAAACAAAACTTTTTGAATCAGTAAAGCATTTACAAGACACAAAATCCAAAAGGTATACAAAGTTTTCCAATGAAGACTGCCAACCCTCATGTCCCCAGACCCCTGTTTCTCCTCCCTGGGACACAGTTGTTGCAGGTTTCTTGCTCCTTCTTCCTGAAAGAGTCTGTGCATTATTGAAAAGAAGATGTGTGTCCATGAGTACATCTACAGACGAGTGTTGAGCACCTGTTGTGCACAGTGGTGGGGGCAGTGTGATGGGAGTACACAGGGCAGGGAGACACGGGTCTGGGCTCCCCTGAAGTTTGCAGCCGTATTAAGGGCTCGGCCTTACAGTGCGTGGGGCCTCGGCTTCAGAGGAAGGGCTGATCTTGGGGCTGGCTGCTGCTTGACTTGGAGTACCTGCCTCCCTCTGGCCTCCTGTTGAGGCAGCCTGGGGTCAAATCCCAGCTCACCTATGTGCCAGGCTGCTGGATGGCTCGGATGTGGCCTAATTATTTCCTGATGGCCCTGCCAGCCTGGCCATGGGCTGTAGGAACAGTAGTAGCCATCCATTTTTCTTTCTTCTTCTTGGACGGAGGTGGTGGTTCAAATGAAATTTCAGCCTTACCCTTTGTAGTTTTCTACGTAATAAATCCTAACATCTGTGATTAAGGTGACATAGGTTTTTTTGAGAAAGGCTTTGATTTCTTGCTTGCATGGATGGTTAATACTCCAGGCTCTTCAGGGTGATTCTCGCCCTCTTGTTCTGTAGCTTGTGGTCCTTATTTATTTTAATATAATTTAAAACTTGCAGAAAAAAATTATGAACATATGAAGAACTACTGCACACCCAGATCATCAGTTGTTAACTCACACTCCACCCCACCACCAAATACGCTATTTTTTCCTGATCCATTTGAGTAAGTTGTAGACATGCCCTTTCATCCCTAAATATTCAGTGTGTGCTCCCCAAGGATAACGACATTCTTTTACATAACGACTGTATAATTATCAAACTCAGGAAATTTAGCATTGCTGCAATTGTATTATCCAATCCTCAGGCCACACACAATTTGATCAGTAGTCCCAATAATGTCCCTTTTGACTATTTTTTCCCAATTATGGATCATTATTGCATTTAGTGGCTGTGTCTCATGTTCCCCAGTCATACTTGACTTTGATTTTTTTTTTTTTTTTTTTTGATATAGAGTCTCACTCTGTGGTCCAGGCTGAAGTACAGTGGCATGATCCCAGGTCACTGCAACCCCCACCTCCCGGGTTCAAGTGATCCTCCTGCCTCAGCCTCCCGAGTAGCTGGTATTACAGGCGTGTGCCACAAAGCCTGGCTAAGTTTTGTATTTTTAGTAGAGACGGGGTTTCACCATGTTGGCCAGGTTGGTCTCGAACTCCTGACCTCAAGTGATCCACTCACTTTGGCCTTTCAACGTGCTGGGATTACAGGCGAGAGTCACCGCACCCGGACGACTCTGACATTTTTGAAGAGTCCAGGTAAGTTGTTTTATAGAAACACTCCTCAGTTTGGGTTGAGACTGTTATTTTTGAAAGCTCATACTGCACCACTTGCTTTAATTCTGTAATCCTCAATGGTCCCCTATGGCTGCTGATCACGTCCGCGTCTCTGTAGATAAGAAAACGGAGCCATCGGGAAGTAGAGTGGTTTGTCAATAGTCACATTCCCAGCAAGTGGCAGAGCTAGGATTCAAATCCAGACTATCTGTCCTGAAACCTAATTTGCCTACCAGGCAACAGGAATAAGGACAACAATTAGACCCTGAGAATAACAAAGTGTTTATCAAGCACCCACTCTGAGCCAGAGGTTGTGTTGAGCACTCTGCAGACACTGCAGTACAATACTCCCATCCATCCCACCCCAGTCCAGGAGCAGCTGTTTTATGTTGTTGTTGTTTTGAGACAGAGTTTTGCTCTGTCGCCCAGGCTGGAGTGCTGTGGTACAATCTCAGCTCACTGCAACCTCTGCCTCCCAGGTTCAAACAATTCTCCTGCCTCAGCCACCCAAGCAGTTGGGATTACAGGCATACGCCACCATGCCCAGCTAATTTTTGTATTTTTAGTGGAGACAGGGGTCTCGCCATGTTGGCCAGGCTGGTTTCTTTCTTTTCTTTTCTTTCTTTCTTTCTTTCTTTCTTTCTTTCTTTCTTTCTTTCTTTCTTTCTTTCTTTCTTTCTTTCTTTCTTTCTTTCTTTCTCTTTCTCTTTCTTTCTTTCTTTCCCCTTCCTTCCTTCCTTCCTCCCTCCTTCCTTCCTTTCTTTCTTTCTCTTTCCTTCCTTCCTTCCTTCCTTCCTTCCTTCCTTCCTTCCTTTCCTTCTTTTTTTTTTTGACAGATTCTCACTCTGTCGCCGAGGCTGGAGTGTAGTGGCGTGATCTCGGCTCACTGTAACCTCTGCTGCCTAGCTTCAAGTGATTCTCCTGCCTCAACTCCCCGAGTAGCTGGGATTACAGGTGCCTGCCACTGCCCCTGGCTAATTTTTGTAGTTTTAGCAGAGACAGGGTTTCACCATCTTGGCCAGGCTGGTTTTGAACTCCTGACCTCATGATCCTCCCCTCTCGGCCTCCCAAAGTGTTGGGATTACAGGCGTGAGCCACCGCGCCCAGCCTTCCAGGCTGGTTTCAATCTTCTGGCCTCAAACGATCTTCCTGCCTAAGCCTCCCAAAGAGCTGGGATTACAGGTGTGAGCCACTGTGCCCGGCTGAGTAGCTGCTTTTTTTTTTTTTTTAATCCTCGATTTACAGATGAAGACCAGAGAAGCTAGGCTGACTTCCCATGTTGACACAGCAACTAACTGGTGGGGATCAGCTCAGAGCTGGGCAGACTATGCACTTCCCACCCTGCCCTGCACCCCATGCTCGGCTTGCTGGATTTGATAGAATCTAGCAAGCGTGGGGGCCAGGCTCTGCTGACTCCCTGTGAGAAGCAGTGTCTGTTTCTGTGTCCTTTTCTGGGGCCTTCTCCAGAGGGAAGGAACATATCCCAAAGCTGGAGCTTGCACTCAGGAGCTTCCCAGGGGAAACTGCTCCACTCTCTGCCATCTACAGCTCTTGCAGGTACCATAGTCTACCTCCATGATCTATTTGCAGTGGGCGATGGTGTTTTGATGATTTCCACATCATGAACCCAAGTGCTGTTGCTGATTTCGAAGCTTGTTCACTGTCTCCTGCCAAGTGGCCAAGGGCTCCTACCCTAGCCCTTGGTGGCTGCTCCTGGCTGCCATCTGCCCACCCAGTTGGCCCCACTGCCTGGGCCACGTTCTGGTGGCATCCAAGAACTGGTAGCAGAGATGGTGATTAGTCAATGTGTGTTATACCCTGGGTCTCTCCATCTTTCCAACAGAGACCTGCCTTACATGTAGGACTGCCTCCCCTTGTTCAGGTTACCTAGCCCTTGTGCAATTCACCTTCTGATTGGAGAAGGAAGACAATACGGCCCTGCCTCTCGGCCTGTAGAGAGGAATGGATGATGTGAAACTGTGGCATGCTTGATATTCTGCTGGCAGAGAGGAGAACAGATGTTAACACAGAGCACACCTCTGCCCCGAACCTCCTGGGAGCCTTGGAGGTCCTGAGTCAGCCTGTCCTTGGCACTCAGGCTCTTCAGACGTCAAAGCACAGCGTTGGGCCCAGCATGACCTTCTGCGGTCCCAGGAGACATCAGGGAAGTGTTGTCAGTGTCCTTAGAAAGCCCATGGCTTGCTCGGCCACATCAGGTGCAGGGACCTCAGTCAACCACACAGCAGGTAGATATCCTTGAGAACTGTGTCAGGTGGGAGGATAGCCAGAGGGTCTGGGGGCAGCCACCTGACCCTTCAGTCCCAGGATCTAGCACCTCCCATCAGACCTTCCTCTTCACTCCCTGTTTCTCCCACCAATTATTGGCATTGGCATATTTCTGAGCAAGTTCTCTCCTTGTGGCCTGTCACTCTGTGGGTGGGAAGTGACCCCCTGCTGAGCAGGTTCAGTGTTTTGAGGTGGGGCTATGACCTTCTGCTTTGCACCGGGCTCTAAACACCCTGGCCTGCCCAGGATTCTTTGCAGCTCCTGGGAGAAGCTTAGAAATTTTAATTTCCTTAATTTCCATGGAACATTGCTTTGTGTGTGTGGCTAAAAACATTAATTAAAAACATTAATCAGTTTGGCTGCCTTGGAAAGAGGTTCTTTTTTCTGCAGGAGCCAACGTGCTGGGTTATTGCAACCCCATCTCCCCAGCCCCTTACAAGGAGGAGGGGACAGGACATCAGCTTGCAAACCAACACTTCAGCCCTGTATTTGTGGATTTGTCTCTTGGTGTCAGGCAGACTCCTTAGCTCCTCTGAACTTTAGTTTCCACATCTGTAAAATGGGAAGAAAGGTTATGTGTCTCCTGATTTCTTGGGGACTCTGTGTGTGTTCAGTGAGGTGCCAGGAGGACAGTCCTTAGTGAAATGTCCTCTACAGAATTTGCTAGTAAAGGCGCTGTTGTTATAATTAGCTGGATTTCCCTGGTAGTTTACAGACTGCCTCTTCTGCGCACTGTCTCATTTAATCCTGTCAGCGCACCTGGCAGACGGGTAGTGTTTGAATCCACTCTTTTTCACAGATGAGTACACTGGAAAGGGAGGGTTACAGCCAGGCCTGGAGCTGAGAACCTTTGATGGAAGCCCCAGGCTTTGGCCCAATCTCATTGCCTTCATTTGCTCCCTTGGCCCCATGTGCTGAGTCCCTACACTAAGTTACAGTGGTGAGATAGAAAGAGGGGAGGCCTTTTCATTTCCTCCTGGGAGGAGAGGAAGAAGTTAAGTCTCTAGCATTTGCCTAAGTAGTGCTAATAAAAGCTGACATTTCTATGGGCTTATAATATCCAGAGACAAGTGCTAAACTCTGCAAAGATTCTCACTTAACACCAGGAACAAGCCTCTAAGATGAGAAACTGAGGCTCAGAGAGCTCAAGTTTGAGTACTTGTTCAGGGTCCTAAAAAGCCTCTTTAAGTAGTAGAACTGGGACACCAACCCAGGAAGCCTGAGAAGAGCCCACCGTCAACCAAGAGGCTGTGCCTCTGCCCTTTTTGGGTAACGAAGCAAATTCATTTTGACAATAAGGCTAAAAGTGCTTTCCTGGTCACAATGCCTGAGGCGTGTGGGAGGCTGCTCACTGGGGAGCCCAGAGGCGCTGAGGACAGCATCTTTCTGCGTGCCTAGCTAGTCAAGGGGACTTTTCAGAGTAAGGGGGAATTCACTCTGTGCTGCTGGGAACTGGACTCTGAGTGCAGGATGCGTTAAGCCTGCACTGAATGGGAGGAGGCGAGGACTCTGAGGCTTGCAGAACCACTGCAGATCTGTCCGTGATACCAACACATCTAAGGAAGGAATATGACAACCAGAGTGCCTCAGAGAAGACAATTATGGCCAAGTTGTTCCTTGGGGAGAGATGAGGAAATCAAAGTGGGGAATACAAGCCACCTGCCCGCCGTTCTTGCCTGTGGGGCAAGGATGTTTCACCAGCTATTCCAGAGTTGAGAGCAAATTCCCCTTCAGAACTTTTCAGCGTTCTTTATTCTGAGTTTGTGCTGACTAAGCTTCATGTCATTCATGATTTGGCTGCCAGTGAGGATGGTGGGGGGGCCTGAAAAGGGAAAAGGGCACCGTACTGTAAATGTATGAATGGGGTTTTCTGTGGGGGCCACACCGGAGCATCACAGTTCTTTGAAGGACAGGAGAGAAGGTCAGTGCCTGGATCCCCAGGCTAAGTACCAGGCGCTGCTTTAGGATAGCCTAGAAGGGTGGCCCCTGGGCCTCATTCTCCACACTGTCCCACCCCTTTTGACCACCTCATCTAGCCATCTTGATGATCAGTTAAGATAAGAATCTCTAGTGAGGCTACATTTTTTTGTTTCCTGAATAATGCATGATGTCCACTGAACACATGTTACTAGATGACAGTGTTGGGCTCAGATAAAACTTACAACAAAATTAATCTGATGCAGCCTCCATGGCTCACATGATCCCCACCATGTATGAAATGGGCTGGGCACCCAGGGACAGGCTATTCTCAGAATGGGGTTATTGGGTGTGTTTCTTATTCCTCTCTACCTAGTATTCTTGGAAGAAGGTGAATGAAAATGCTCTAGTAGGGGAGGGAAACATGATTAATGGGTGGGGGCTTATGAGTCAGAAAGACCCAACCATCACTTCTGCCCTGACTGCCTGTGTGACTTCAGAAATGGGGGATATCAAAGCCTATCTCATAGGATTAAACAGTTTAATGTGTATAAAATGCCTAACACAGTGCTTGCCACATAAGCATTGCTCATTAAATGTCTTCTCTTCTTGTGCTCCTCATTCAGTGTATAGTAAATGTGCAGTCCTTATCTTTTAAATGAATGAAACATCTCATTACCAAATCTATTCAAGGTAAACATTGATATTAATATGTATCCTTTTTGTGTGTTTCTAGAATCCTGTTACACCTGGGATTTAGGCACTTTCAATCTGAAAAAATACATATCCTTTCAGCACTCTGGACGGACTTGAGAACTGTCCTTACGTGACCTAAAGCTGGAGTATTTTGAGATTGGAGAATTAAGGTAAGCGACTTTATCTTCCTGATCCTTGTGAAACCAAAAATAGCTTTTGGAGTTGACGACCTCCTGCAGCACAGCTTGGGTTGTGGTTCTTGACCTCTCGGTGTGTCTTCCTGTGCCGCTCCAATGTGTTCGGGAAGCTGGCTCCCCATAACCTCTCCCCGACCTGGTTCTCAGAGTCTAGTCCACTTATTCATTGTGCCTAGGAAGCTCTCCCTCTGTCCCTAGTGGAGGGAGGAGCCCACCATCTCCTAGTGAATGCGCCACTTGTAGCAGAAGGTGCAGGATGCTCCAGCTGTCTTGTGAAAACATGTGGAGACAGCCTTGGGGAAAAGAGGAAAAGGTGAGGTGAGGGTTATATAATCAGATTGAAACACCTTTGGGACATCCAGAACATGAGCTCTTCCTCCTTTCCCAGCCAATCCGTGCTTCCTCCTTTCACCTCCTTGAATTCTATGCTCCTTCCACACTAAGGCTGAGGGTGCAGGAGGTAAAGGGTTAGAGGTTAAGACTGAGTGCTTCAGGTAGACTTGGGTTTTCTTGGTTTTGCTACTTGCCTCATTTTGGACAAGTCACTCAGCCTCTCAAAGCCTTGGTCTCCTCATTAGTAAAATAGGGATGGTATTAGTGCCTGCCTCATGAAGATGTTGTTTGTGTTGAGTGAGATATTGGAGCAAAACAGCTTAGCAGGCTGCCTTGCACTGAGGAAGAAATGCTCCAAAAGGGAAGAGAGTTTTTGCAAATTATTCCTCAATTATGCCATTTAGAATTCCTTCCATGTATCAGGCTATTTTGAAGTCTTTCATTTGCTGTCCCCCCAGCCTTTCACCTATCACCAAGTCAGCCTGGGAAACAGCTGAGAATCACCTTCCCAGTTGTGCCCAGCCCCTTACCCAAAGCAGAGTTGATTCCCCCCTCCCCTGGACGGCAGCGGGCTAGTGAAGGCATGTCTCCACTATACCATGGCTACTGCACTGGGTTGAAATGTCCCTTGCCCCTTCCCCTGCCCATTCCCCCTATTGCTGGTGAAATTGCTTAGAGCAAGGACTGTCTTACACATCACAGGATCTGGCATAGTGCCTGACCGAGGGTGAAACAACAAATGAATGAGTAATTGAAAGGAGAGAGAAAAAGAGATAGAGAAGTAACCAAAAGAAGAAAGTTTTTAAAGGTTCAGAGGAAAGAATGAGGTCAGTTGCAATTTTTTTTAAGTAAGATGTTGGAAAGAATAAATGACATGATGAAAAGGAAACTGACATGATTCCTATCATGAATTTGAAAGCTATGCAAGGGTGGAAAGGTGGGTGAGAAGCTGTGGACTGGTGAGAAGACAGAGAAGTCAGAACTGAGAGCATAGCAGAGAACTGTACTTCTGTTGTGCTACATATGTCATCTTCATCTTTTGTATTGTGCCTTAAATTTTCAAAAGCGCATTTGCGTTTCAAATCTGCTGTGATAGTCAGCATTCCTGTGGCATGCAGAGGTGAAGAGCATGAGGCCTTGCCCTTCAGTCAAGGTGGGGATACTGGCACACATAGGATACTACATACTCCCTAGGTGTCTGTGAGGATGGTGGAGGGGATTTTCTCCATGCCGGGAGGCTTCCTGGAGCAGGTGCTGCCTCTCGTGACTCTTGAAAGATGCTTGTGAATAAAGCATACTGGGAGCTGAGCTGCTGTTTAGTAATTAAAAATCCTTTCCATTGTTTAGAGCTCAGCACCTTTGTGCATTCATATTACGCATTCATTTTCGTATCATTGTTGAATTTCTCACTTCTGCTACTGCAATGTATGTCTACAGCTGACAAGTCTTCCTTGGGAGCCCTACGTAGCTCTTTTTTTTCTTTTCTTTCTTTTTTTTTTTTTTTTTTTTGAGACGGAATCTTGCTCTGTCACCCAGGCTGGAGTGCAGTGGCGCAATCTCGGCTCACTGTAAGCTCCACCTCCCGGGTTCACGCCATTCTCCTGCCTCAGCCTCTTGAGTAGCTGGGACTACAGGTGCCCACCACCACGCCTGGCTACTTTTTTTTGTATTTTTATTAGAGACGGGGTTTCACTGTGTTAGCCAGGATAGTCTTGATCTCCTGACCTTGTGATCTGCCCGCCTTGGCCTCGTAGCTCTTTTTGACCCTCAGGGACAGTCACTGAATTATGTCTTGGGAGCCCATGCTTCTGAGGCAGGCTTAGGGAGCAGGAGAGCATACAGGTGTAGCAGCCTTTCCAGCTGATCCCCATGCCCTGCTGCACCTGGAGGGCTGGAACAAGCTATTCTCATATTGGGGAAAAGGGCTGATGGGACCTCAGTCATGTGGCAGAGAATCTGAAAGCCAGAAGCTTGGCAGGTCTGTCTCGGGGTGGGGTGACGGAGAGACATTTCCCTAGAATTCAGCTGCTGGGAGCAGAAAGACAGAGCAGGGGCAAGTGCTGGGTTTCTGAGGCCCGCAGTCCTGAGCATGGCCTCAGGCAGTCTGTTCTATGACAGAACCTGAAGAAAGGCCCAGGCATTTGCATCTATGTGTGCAGTTCTACTTGTCCTAAAGGCACTTCTCACACTGGGAGCCTGCCTGTCTGTACCTGTCTAGAAATCAGCCTGGCTGGGACGCACACCAATAGGAGGGCATCCTCACCTTTCCCACCCATGAGTCGGGACTGTTGCCTGCTGTGCAGCAAAGGCACCAGGAACACGGAGTCAGACACTTAGGGTCTACCCCAGGCTCCACTTCCCACTGCCTATTTGACTCTGGGCAAGTCTTTTACAGCTTTTCAAACTTCTCTCTTTCTTAAAACAAAAAAAAAAAAAAAGGAAAAAAATTTCTTGCCAGGCACAGTGGCTCACGCCTGTAATTCCAGCATTTTGGGAGGCTGAGGTGGGCTAATCACTTGAGGCCAGGAGTTCGAGACCAGCCTGGCCAACATGGTGAAACCCTGTCTCTATTAAAAATACAAAGATTAGCCAGGCATGGTGGCACACGCCTGTAATCCTAGCTACTTGGGAGGCTTAGGCACAAGAGTCACTTGAAACTGGGAGGCAGAGTTGTAGTTAGCCAAGATTGTGCCACTGCACTCCAGCCTGGGCAACAGAGCAAGACTCTGTCTCAAAACACACGTACAAATTTTTTTCTTTTATTTTTTTAAAGACAGGGTCTTAGCTATGTGGCCCAGGCTGGCCTCCAATCCCTGGGCTTAAGCAATCCTCCCACCTCAGTCTCCTGAGTAGCTAGTACTATAGGCACACACCACACACCCAGCCAGACTTCAATTTTCCCAGCCACATCATGGACCAGAAGCCACTTGGTCTGGTTGTGAGGATGACGGAACCTTGCCCGAGGAAATGGGCAATGAACAGGAGCCTGTTTGTTTCTCCTTCCAGCTCCTGACCTGTCTAGCTCCTGACCCTCTCAGTGTCATTCTTGCTCACCCCTGGCCCTGCTCCCTGGATATGCAGACAGGATGGGCTTCTTCCCTTTAGACCTTCACTTTGCTCTTTTGGACTCCTCTTCTGGCCTTGCCTTCCCCTGGTGTCATCTGCTGGCTCCCTGCCTGATACTGCCACACTGGTCATGCTGGCCTCCTGGCCTTTGGTGACACCGCATCAGCAGGCTCCTGCTTCCCTGTCAAGGGATACAAGCCAGCACCGGTCTTTCGCCACAAGGTATGTGTGTAAAGATTGCTTCCTGTACTTGGTGTCCACAGGATTTTAAAGAACTCCTGGCCCACTCGGAACTCTACGCTTGAAACAGAAACATCTTCTCAAAACACCTCTGGTATTGGCCCATTTCTCTATTACTGTTTCTTGTGGTTTCATACTGAGGTTTTTGGTGCATTGCAATTGCCCTGGAGTTTATTTTTAGTAATAAAGACAGAGTTCAATTAATGTCAAAACATGAGGGTAATTGCAGAGGAAGGATTAGTAAGTCTAGGGGAAAATGTGCCCAACTTTTTTTCTTCTGATAACATCTTTCACTGATCATACACCGTCACACCCACAGACACGGAGCTTCCTCCGTGATGTCTGCAATGCACTAGGCCCAGTCGGGGAGCAGTGGCTGCGCCACCACCTGAAAACGAAAGCATTTCTGAGTCTCTTTCAGTCCAGCTCATCTAGCAGCCAGCCACACAGGTGACCACCCACCGTAGCTGTCACTATGGGTGATGATTATCATTATGGTTTTGAGGAAAGGCTGGGCTTTAGAATAGTCAATTCTTATCCTCTCTCCGGGGGGATTTATTCTGTCTCCAGAAGCAGCATTTCACTTTCCTGAACATCAGCTCTTCTCCCCTGGATTGCAGGGTCTAGGTCTTGTTCTCTGTCTGCTTCCAGCTTTTGGCATTTTGACAGCACATAGGACATGCTTGGAGAACGTTTTCTTGAGTTAACTGAATTCAGGACACTGACTTGGGGCTGGAAAGGCAAAGTGAGGAAGAAAGTATTCCCCTTTCAGAAGCTCCCCAGTCTGCCTTAAGAAACAAAGGCAGCCCTGTCATCTGCCCAGGACTTTACAGTTTATAAAGTGATTTCTCATCCTTTCTCCTTTCTTGTATTGCACAAATATCGAACGAGAACCTGCAGTGTGCCACTGTGCAGGGTGCCTAGAATAAAGGAGAAAAGCCACTGTGCTTTCTCTGAAGGAATCACAGGGAGTGAAGCTAGCTTCATGGATGCCAGAATTTCACAGATGAAGGGACTGGAGGCTTGGAGCAATTGCATTGCTTGAGATCCCCCCTGCTCATGGATGGTGGCTCCCAAATCAGGACATGAGTCTTCTGAATCCCTTAAACCTGCCCTGTGCCTGCCTGTTCTCCCAGCACATTCTCTGTACTCTCTTGTGCTGCTCCTCACCCCCTCTCCAACTGTCTCTCCTTCTCCACCATTGTCCTCTGCCCACTCCTAGTCCCTTCTTTCAGCTCTGTTTCTTCTGAAAATGAGGATCTTTCTCTCTACAGTGCCTCTTGTGGGACGGGTTCTGCTGATGGGGGCTGTGTTTGGGATCTCGCCTGGAAACACGATCTCTCCAACTTTCCCTGGGAGCAGAGCCTTGGGTCTCACTGAACCCACCTCCCCAGCACCTTGTGTGGTGACTGGCAGGAGGTAGCCATTCCCTCCTGTCCTCTCTGCCCTTGTCCACTTTCCTGTTATGAGTCAGTTGCTGAGATAGGCTATGAGGAGTTAACAGAGTGGATAAAAAAGAGCTTTGTCCTTCTTTAAAGCCTTCAAAATATACAGATGTATTAGTCAGGGCTTTCCAGAGAAACAGGACCAATAGAACATGAAGATAGATGCGTATCCATGTCTATATCAATATCTACCTTGATATTTATATCTATATCTAGGAGATTTATTTATTATAAGGTATTGGCTCATGCAATTATGGACCCAGAGGGGTCCTGTGATTTGCCACCTGCAGGCTGGAGACCTAGGAAACAGCTGTCGTGTCACAAAGGGCAGAGGGCTGGAGAACCTGTAGTGTAGATTCCAGTCCAGATTCGAAGGCCTGAGGACCAGGAATGCCAAGGGCAGGAGAAGATCGATGTCCCAGAACAAGCAATCAGGCAGAGATGAAATTCAACCTTCCTGTGCCTTTCTGTTCTATTCAGGCCTTCAGTGGGTTGAATGAGGCCCAACCCACATTGAAGAGGACCATCTGCTTTACTCAGTCTCCTGGTTGAAGTGATAATCTCATCTGGACATACTCAGAAATGCTGTTTAACCAGCTCTCTGGAAATCCTGTGGCCCAGTCAAGTTGACACACAAAATTAACCATCACACTGCAGAGACACAGTCTATCCCAATACCTGTATTTACTGGGTAACGTGCATCTCAGCTCACCAGGCTGGTTTGATTGACTTGGCCCAAAGCTGCCCTTTGAGTGTTGAGCCCCAGCTGACCCCTTTGATCCTTCACAGCCCCATCATTAAAACAAGGACCCTGAATCAAGTGACTGTAAGAGCCACTCTTGTCCTGTTCTGTCTGTATCCTGGCTTTGAGTGTTTATCTAAGCTAAGCCCAATTGACTGTTGTCATTCTTTGTCTCTTCCTTGCTCAGACATCAGTTAGGTATTTATTGAACACTCCTGTGTTCACAGCATCCGGCTCCTGGGATTAGAGACAGCTCTTGACTCCTGGTTTTGCTCTTTGAAACCTATTGGACTGCTTTTCTTTTAAGATACACCCCCCACATTATAGGAATCTATCCATTTCTTTGTTCATTTCTTTAATTGTGCATTATATCAGTCCGTCAGTCAGTTTTCCTCCTGAAATATGCTAAGTATTGAGAATTATAATAGATTCTATTAAGCACCGCTAATAAAGTACTATCCTTATAGTAGTAGTAGTGTTTGCGGTGATGGTCGTGTTAGTACTAGTAGTAATCAAGATGGCCATGAAGAGACTGCTTTTAATCTACCAGTAATCATGGTAAAAATAGTAATAGCTCAAATGTATTATTCATGGTGTTTCAAGCACTTTACATTATATGATGTCATTTACTCTTCACAACCTGCCAGGAAATGGAAATGATTACGTAATATACTCCAGTTTGCAAATGAAGGAATCTTCCTGCGGAACGTATGTGAAGCGCATATTGGTGCTCTGGGCTTTTGCATAATTTCAAATGTCCTTTTTTTTTTTAAACTTAAGGCTAATGTTTAGAAGCTTTTGCTAATGAGAGGACCATTTGCTAAATCGGTATAAGTGCTACACATTTGGGTATCTCCATCCCAACATACCTCTTATTGCCATTCCCCAAAGCAGACACCTTCTCCTCCCTCCCTCAAGGACCTCTGAGCTTGCACTCCAATTCCTCTCCCACACTCACCTTTCTCCTTTCTGTTCCTCTTGGGATCCAGGTTTATTTGAGGAGATAGGAAAAGCTCCTGATCCAGCAGGTTTTATTCTTAAATTTGTAACAAAGTAAATCACAGAACCTCCACCCAGCATCCAGGCCTCTGGTTCTCTCCCTCCTTCCCAGGTATAGGCCGGCTTTCAGAAACCCTGCACCACATAGACCCTGGGCCTGAATTGCTGTGAGTAATAATGACTCTGCTGGTAATTTGTGTCCTTCTGCTTGGAACTGTTTCCTTTTTAGTTTGGTCACCCTCCCAGAGCTGGTTTCAATGGGGGCATACCCATTATGGGATGCAGGGCATCCTGCATCCTGAGGAATTTTTTTTCCTCCAAAAATGAAACCTTGAAATGAGGACATTGTCCTGTCCACGGACTGCACAACAACACTGAGCCTCAAGGACTCATACTGGCATTTTTCTTCTTTTGCAGAGTGTGGGCACCCTGGCTTCAAGCTCACGAGAAACCAGGTCGGGATTTAAACAATGTTGGGTTAAAGCAAAGTTTCATAAAGACAGAATCAAGAAAAAAAGAAAGAGAAACCAATCTAAGTGCCATCCTCCCTGAGTTGCATCTTACCTGAGTCTTCAGCCGCCGCCCCCTGCTGCTGTGGGAGGAAACGGGAAAGTGACTGGCCATGGGGACAGGGGTCGGGGGTGTGAGGGTTAGTGGTAGCAGGGAGGTAGCACTTCTGTGAAGCCGGAAAGGAGACCTGAACCTGGCTCTCTGCTTTGCTGCTTGCCAGCCCTCTGGCTGGGAAGAAGGCTCTTGGCTCTTGTGAGCCTCGGTTTCCTCTGCAGAGTGGCCTGTTCTGAGGACAGGCTGACATTGCTGTCCATCAGTCTTCCAGGACCCTGAGGATTTCAGCTCTACCCATGGGCACTGAACTGGAACATTCACTGGTCATTTGCTTTCGTTTTTTTTTTTTGTTTGTTTGTTTTTTGATACAGAGTTTCACTCTTGTTGCCTAGGGTGGAGTACAATGGCGTGATCTCAGCTCACCACAAGCTCTGCCTCCCGGGGTCAAGCGATTCTCCCCAGTAGCTGAGATTACAGGCATGCGCCACCACGTCCGGCTAATTTTGTATTTTTAGTAGTGATGGGGTTTCTCCGTGTTGGTCAGGCTGGTCTCGAACTCCTGACCTCAGGTGATCCGTCTGCCTCAGCCTCCCAAAGTGCTGGGATTACAGGAGTGAGCCACCGAGCCTGGCCGCTTCCGGTCTTTGGATTTGATTTTCCTCAAGTGTAATTGAAAGCAGGGGCCTGGATGGCCGCCATAGTCCCTCCCAGCTTCGACATTACACATTCCTGCCAATCCATTTTTCAGGCTGATAACATTGTTCAGAGTTTAATGGGAGCAGGGTAAGATAGTCACCGTGTGGAGCAAAAATTGAAGGAAATATTCCAGATGTCATGATTTTTTACCTGTAGCCCCTCTGCTGCCACACCCTTGTGCACATCCTCCAGACACTTTTAAAGAATAAACTCTATTTTCAGAAGAGTTTTAGATTTACAGGAGAATTGTGAAAACAGTTCAAAAAGTTCTCATATACCCTGCTCCCAGTTTTCCCTGTTACTAACGCTTTGCATTAGTGTGGCACATTTGCCACAATTAATGGACCAATATTGATACATTATTATTTACTGAAGTTGAAACATTACTTTAGTTTTTACCTGGTCCAGGATCCCATCTGGGATCCCACATCACATTTAGTGATCATGTCTTCTTAGATTGCCCTGGGCTGTGCCGCTTTCTCAGACTCTCCTGGTTTGTGATGACATTGACAGTCTTGAGTTTTGATGACCAGTTTTGACTGGTCAGGTATTTCATAGAACGTACCTCTGTGAGGGTTGTCTGATTCTTCTTCTTATTAGATTGGGATTATGGAGGAAGGCCACAGAGGTAAAGTTCCGCTTTTATGAAATCAAGGGTAGGCACCATCAGCATGACCTATCACTGATGTTGACTTTGATTACCTGGCTGCTGTAGTGGTTGTCAGGTTTGTCCACTTTAAAGATACTTTTGTGTTTTTGTTCTTTCTTAACTCCCTTTTTATATTAAACTCTTCAGAAGGAAGTCACTGTGCATAGCCATCCCCTAAGAAGAGGGCATTCCTGCTCTTCCTTCTCCATGGCTAGAGGATCTACATGAACTATTTAGATTTTTTCTACCTGGGAGATTTAACTCCTCTCTCCTATTTATTTATTTATATATCAGCATGGACTTGCAGGTATTTATTTGATAATTTTTAATTTATTTGAGTTATAATCCAATAATATGGTTTTATTTTGTTGCTCATGGTTTTTCTTCCTTGGCTATTGGGAACTCTTCAGTTACTTCCTGTGCCCATTTGACATACTTTCTTATTATGGGTCTTTCTTTCTTCCTTTTCTTTCCTTCTTTCTTTCTCTCTCTCTCTCTCTCTCTCTTCCTTCCTTCCCTTCCTCCCTCCCTCTTTTCTTTTCTTTTTTCTTTTCTTTCCTTCCTTCCTCCCTCCCTCACTCCCTCCTTCCTTCCTTTTTCTTCCTTTTTTCCTTCCTTCCTTCCCTCCCTTCCTCTTTTCTTTCTTCTTTCTTTCTTTCTTTCCTTCCTTTCTCCTTCCTTCCTTCCTTTTCTTCCTTTCTTTTCCTACCTTCCTTTTCCTTCCTTCCTTTCTTCCTTCCTTTCCTCCTTCCTCTTCTCCTCCTCCCCTTCCTTCCTTCCTTCCTTCCTTCCTTCCCTCCCTCCCTCTCTCTCTCTCTCTCTCTTTTTTTGGTGCATCCATACTTTCTGGCACTATAAGATGCTTAGGGCTTATCTTGTATATTTCCAGCCCCAGTTATAGAATCAGCCATTTCTTCAAGGATCCCCTGTCATTTTACTGGAGAAAGGACTTAGAATCCAAGATCTGGGTGCTAGATGTGCTTGAGGTGTTGTTTCCTCCAGATCTTCTCAACTGACAGAGCAGTGAAATATATGTGTGTAGGGAGGATGGGGAGAACAATTTTTTTAACACATATGAATACTTACCTGGCAGGGGAGATACCATGATCACAAAGGTGGTTTCCCCAGGGTGAGGCTTATCCATTGCACTCCCGATGTGCTGACCCCTGTGATTCCCCCAAATGTGGGAGACTTGACTGCATAATTTGTGGTAATGGGGGACTGCATTTACACTTTTCCCTGTAAAAATTTTTAAAAATAAATAAATACATAAATAAATAAATGTGTGTATATGAATCCATGTGCATGCACGTATGTGTAAATATTTCTCCAGGTATCCATCTTATCTATGTTAAGCTAACTATGAGTTTATACTGCTGTCTCCAACTCTAATTCATTACCACATTTCACCCATTTTTTTTTTTTTTGAAATGGATTCTCACACTTTCGCCCAAGCTGGAGTGCAGTGGTGTGATCTCGTCTCACTGCAACCTCGCTCTCCCAGGTTCAAGCGATCCTCCTGCGTCAGCCTCCCGAGTAGCTGGGATTACAGGTGCACACCACCACACCTGGCTAATTTTTGTATTTTTAGTAGAAACGGGGTTTCACCATGTTGGCCAGGCTGGTCTCGACCTCCTGACCTCAGGTGATCCACCCACTTCAGCCTCCCGAAGTGCTGGGGTTACAGGCGTGAGTCACCACGCCCGGCCCCCATCCACTTTTAACAAACTTGTTTTCTTTTTGCCCACATTGACTGACAAAAGAAGGTAATGAACAGAGATGTTGGAAAGTTCACGTGGGGCAAGAGGAGTGGGCTGAGAACATTGGACTTTTCCCTATGGTCAATGTGGCCTCATTCAACAAAAATCAAGATGAGTCAGATGCATGTAGAAAGAGACTCCGAAATGTGTCCTGCCTAGATGTTTGCAAACCGGGACTCTGTGTTATGCTCACAGGCCTTTGAATGTGTCTCTCCCTGGGCTTCATGTGCCCTTGCTGGTTTCTGGACTGTCCTGTTCTGCTCCTGTCCTCCTACTGACAGCCTTTCCTGCTTTCCTTTCCCTCCCATGCCACTCCCACTCCATACAACCTCTTCCCCTGCACACTGCTCCTAGAACCCCTTGGTTAGCCCCATCAGGGATGTCCCTGCTTTCCTGGGACCCGAGGCACACAGAATGAGGATGAAACAGTTGACGTATCATGTAGTATCCCCCACCTGGCTTCCTTCTCAGCCAGGCGTCCCAAACTCAATTGTCTGCAGAGGCCAGGCAGGCAACAAAAATAAGTGATGTGGGCCTCCTGGGCAGTCAGGAGGGCTTGGTGCAGAACTGGAAGCACCAGAGGTAGCAAGGAACCAGGAGATCAGGCCAGCACCTGCTCTGAATGGTCAGGCACCTCCATGGTTGCATAGCAAATCAGTTGTTGAGAAATGTTTTGACTATGGTCCTTGTGTAGGCCCAGTATAAAGGGGGAAATGGCCAGTCTGTGGCTGCTGATTATGGCCCTGAAAGTCTGCAGGCCCAGAATGGCCAGACCTGGTTGTTCAAAGGAAAACTGGCAGGTGGGAAGGGCGGAGGGCCTTGCCCCTTCCCATTTGCCTCCTGTGCCTGACAGTGTCACCGTAGCAATACTTTCCTGGCAGCAGGACTTTGTCCCATAACAATAGTTGATTTTAGTGTGTAGGGCTTTTGTTGTTGTTGTTTATTCCATACTTGGAACCAGCTGCGTTGTGCTACTATCAGAGATGACAGCCCAGCCTGGAGCTCTGCAAGGTCCTCCAGGCTTCTCAGTTCTGATCATTCCACCAGCAGATCCCATCACCAAAGGGGTGTACTTGCTTCATGCAGCTGCTGCTTCTCCCAGACCTCATTGTCCCCCTTGTGCCTTTTCCATGTTCAATACAGGATTTGTTTTTTATCTGAAATTCTACCCGTTAAAACATTTGGTATGTTTCCTCTTCTCTTGTGAGGTGTATTTCTGTATTTCCTACCTTTGCATCCTTTGCTCAGTTCAACTTGAAGCAGGTTTCCAAGCTCATCACTTGGAGGCCCAGGGCATTGCCACTGCCCCCCACCCCACCGCCTACCGCCCACCTGCAGGTCTGTGCCAGGAAGCCCTGCGTGCTGTCTGCACCCCGTTTGGCTGCTTGCCCACAACCATGACTGCTCCTGAGGGGCTCGCCAGCAGCACTGTTTCCCAGCCTGCTGTGCATAAAGGTGACGCTTCGGGTTTTCCACAGTGAACAATGGTTCCCAGAGTGGGCAGGACTCCCTAGTGTCTGCAAGGGTGTGTGACCATGCAGGGTGGAAACAACCTTGTCAAAATAAACCAGGGCAGTGCTGAGGGGGGAAGTGAGGCTAGCTGGGGGGAAATGTGGGCTGAGTGCTTCTTGGGGGGTTTCCTCTGTACCGGTGCCCAGCTGCCCAAGGGTCCCAGAAGGCAGAGGCTGACACACTTCCTGTGACCCTTTCAGACTCGCCATTGGCCCCCACCAGATCAGGAATCTGTTTTCCCTTGTTGACCTTGAGCCACTCACAGAGTGGGAAAGGTTTGCCTATGGAACGAAAACAGTCCTCCTTCCATGATTTCCCCTTTGCTCCCATGTTCATCCATGTGGGCTGCTGTAACAAAATCCCATAAACTGGGTGGTTTACAAACAACAAAAATTTATTTCTCATAGTTCTCAAAGCTAAAAGTCCAAGATCAATGCGCTGGGAGATTTGGTGTCTGGTGAGAACCTGCTTCTTGGTTCAGTGTCTTCTTACCGCGTCCTCACATGGAGGAAGGGGCGAGAAAGCTTTCTGGAGCCTCTTTTGTCAAGGCACTAATCCCATTCATGAGGACTCAACACTCGTGACTGGATCGCCTCCCAAAGCCCCTACCTCCAAATCCCATCACCTTGAGGGTTAGGATTTCAACTATGAACTTTGGGGAGACACCGACATTCAGACTGTAGCAGCTCCCCAGCACAATCCTGCTCGACCGAATTCACCTTCCTGACCAGGCACGTCAACAATCTTTCTGTCCCTCTGATGCCAGAACGTTATGTTTCTGAGGGTGAAACTTGAGTGATTAATTGACAGTATTCCTCAGGAATCCTTGCTGATTGCTGAATGCATAAATGAGTGAAAGACCTGGATAATCCCCAACAGGCGCCTGAGTCTCACATCCGCCCTGGGTGATTCCCCATGGCCAGGGGCCCACCTCGGTTCCCAGGGATCCATGGGCATGATCATTGTGATGAGCCACTACTCTCCAATCTGGCCTCTGCACCTGTGTGACATTTTCCTCCCATTGCTTTACATGTTACTCTTTCTTATTCAGTAGGATGTGCAGATTGGTCAGGGTGTGTATTAGTTTCCTAGAGCTGCTATAACAAAGTACCACAAACTAGGTTGCCCAAAACAACAGAAATGTATTCTCTCATAGTTGTGGAAGCCAGAAGTCTGAAATCAAAGAGTTGTGAGGGCTGTGTTCTCCCTGCAGATGCCCAGAAAAATCCTCCCTTTCTCTCTCCCGGCCTCTGCTGGAGGCTGGCCATCCTTGGCGCTCTTTGGCTTGTCATTGCATCATCCAAGTCTCTGCCTCCATCCTCCTGTGTCCTCTCCTGTGTGTTTGTGTCCAAATTTCCCTTTTCTTAGAATTGCATCTTCTCTAAACCAGCATGACCTCATCATAACTTGATTACATCTGCAAAGACCCAATTTCCAAATAAGGCACATTCACAGGTTCTGGGAGTTAGGACTTCAACATAACACTTCTGGGGACACAGTTAAACCCACAACAGAGTATAAGGAGAAAATGTTACAACTTCCTTTCTCTTCTTTTTTTTCCTTTTCTTTTCTTTTTTTCTCTTCTTTCTTTTTCCTTCCTCCCTCCCTGTCTCCCTCCCTCTCTGCCTCCCTCCCTCCCTCCCTCTTCCTTCCTTCCTTCCTTCCTTCCTCCCTTCTTTTTTCTTTCTTTTTTTGACGGAGTCCTGCTCTTTGCCCAGGCTGGAGTGCAGTGGTGCAATCTCGGCTTGCTGCAACCTCCATCTCCCAGGCAGGTTCAAGTAATTCTCCTGCCTAAGCCTCCCGAGTAGCTGGGACTACAGGCACCTACCACCACACCTTTTTTTTTTTTAGTAGAGACAGGATTTCACTGTGTTAGACAATCCTGCCTCCCTCCCTCCCTCCCTTTCTTCCTTCCTTCCTTCTTTCCTTCCTTCCTTCTTTCCCTCCTTCCTTCCTCTCTTCTCCTCTCCTCTCTTACCCTCCCCTCCCCTTCTGTCTCCTCTGCTCCCCTGCCCTCCCTTCTCCTCCTTCTCCTTCTCCTTTTTCTTCTTCTCTTTGTTGTCCAGGCTGGAGTACAGTGGAAGGATCATGGCCCACTGTAGCCTAGACATCCCAGGCTGAAATGATCCTCTCTCCTCAGCCTCCCAAGTACCTGGGACTACAGGTATGTGTTCCCATGCCTGACTAGTTTTTGTATTTTTTGTAGAGACAGGATTTCATCATGTTGCCCAGGCTGGTCTTGAAGATATCTGCTTGCCTCTGCCTCCCAAAGTACTGGGATTACGGGTGTGCGCCATTGCGCCTGGCCTGTTGATTTCTTTTTTATAAAATGTCTTTGTTTTCATCCCTGTTATTATAATAATAATATAGGCATTCATATGCATATGTGTAAATTATAAGTGAGTTCTTATATAGATTTGGGGGACTATTCTCCAACATGACTGATGAGGGCATAGTCAAAAGACAAATTAATCAGGCCACCAGTCTGATTTATGAAGCGTCTCTGTCTTTGTCTATTTGGGCTGCTATAACAAAATATCATAGAATAAAGGGCTTAGTTTATTTTCTTACTGTGCTAGAGGCTGGGAAGTCCAAGGTCAAGGTGTGAACTGATTCAGTTTCTGGTGGGGGCTCTCCTCTTGGCTTGCAGATGGTTGCCTTCTTCTGTGTCCTTACATGGTTGTAGGAGCAGAGAGGGTTCTCTGGTGTTTCTTCTTATAAGGACACATATCCTTTCAGATTAGGACTTCACCCTTAGGACCTCGTTTAACCTTACCAACCTCCATAAGGTTTCTATCTCCAATAAAGTCACCTTAGGGGTTGGGACTTCAACATATGAATGCAGAATGGATGCTGGCACCTTTCAGTCCACAGCAGGCCGCAACTACTGTATTTCATTGTACAATAAGATCCCCTTGACTCTTGTGAATTATAATGAACATTAGTCTGTAAAGCAGGTCCTTGTAATCCAGCCAGTTTGTATACAGTAGGTAATCAAGAACTATGGATTTACTGGGTTTATTGGGTGGGGGAGAAGGGAGGGCTTTATTCAGGTGCCAGCACTTCTTCACCTTTCTCTACATTTGCTCATCCTGGAGGTGGGGTTGAGCTGGGTCTGCCTTGTCCCCTCACTTCCCTCTCTGCCGAGAGAGTCCTGAGCCCACCCATTACTGGTAGCAAAGCCCGGGGCACAATCTCCGTTTTCCTATTTGTAAAATGGAGCTAACAGTAGTACCCATCTCATCAGATGGCTGTAGAGATGAAATGAGATAATGTATTTGTGGCGTTAGGACAACAGTGGTCCTGCTACAGGGAGAAGCCTGGGCCAGGAGATAGACTAGTCTCCAGATACCACTGAAGTAGCCTTTCGAATACCAATTACCTGCCTCACTTTGCAGCTGTGCAGCCCTGAACAAGTTACTTTCCCTCTCTGATTTTCCAGTCTTTGTTACCTGTAAATGTAACAATGCCTTTCTCTATGTTGTTGCGAAGTCCACATAAAGTGACATGAAATTGATTATAAAATACAACACAGGCTGGGCACAGTGGCTCACGCCTGTAATCCCAGCACTTTGGGAGGTGGAGGAGGGCAGATCACTTGAGGTTGGGAGTTCAAGACCAACCTGACTAACATGGAGAAACCCCGTCTCTACTAAAAATACAAAATTAGCCAGGCATGGTGGCACATGACTGTAATCCCAGCTACTCGGGAGGCTGAGGCAGGAGAATCGCTTGAACCTGGGAGGTGGAGGTTGCAGTGAGCGGAGATCACACCATTGCACTCCAGCCTGGGCAACAAGAACAAAACTCCATCTCAAAAAAAAAAAAAGTTACAACACAAAGGTTGGCAACTATCACTAATAAGTTTGACTGGGAAACCTCACTACTACATTTGTATTGTCTTAGACCAAGCTTGTGAGATTTTTTTGTTATTTGTTTTTGAAGCTCATCAGCTATCGTTAGTGTTAGTGTATTTTATGTGTGGCCCAAGACAATTCTTCTTCTTCCAATGTGGCCCAGGGAAGCCAAAAGATTGGACACCCCTGTCTTAGACTTTTAAGGAGCTGTGACTGAAGGATGGAGACTGGGCCAGGTGGGGCTTGGTGCAAGTTTAAGCTCTTAGGTCATTTCTAAATAGCAAACCTCTCAAATAGCATCCAACAGATATGCCCTAGTCTTGTCGTCTTTCCCCTGCTATCTTTTGTACATGTACCTTCTGCTGACTGCAGTGTGTCCTGGAGCCCTGACTTAGTTAAACCTCAGAACATCCCTCTGCATCCGGATGCATCCAGTACTCTCGGTTTGTCTGGCTCCTGCTGTACTCCCTGCATCTGCCCAGCTGCTGACACAGCCACATATGGCTTCCTTTGCCCCAGCTTTCAGCATTCTGGTGGCTTGTAGTGCTGAGTGCTAGCAAAGAAAGTGGGTACTCTCACACACTGCTGCTGAAAGGTGGAGGGTGATGAACAGGACCAACAGCTCTAAAAGACGTTTCAAGGCCAGGTGTGGTGGCTCACACCCGCAATGCCAGCACTTTGGGAGGCCAAGGCAGGCAGATTACTTGAGGTCAGGAGTTCGAGGCCAAGCAGCCAACAAGGTGAAACCCCATCTCTACCAAAAATACAAAAATTAGCCAGATGTGGTAGTGCGCGCCTGTAGTCCCAGCTACTCAGGGGGCTGAATAAGGAGAATCACTTGAACCTGGGAGGCAGAGGTTGCAGTGAGCTGAGATTGCGCCACTGCACTCCAGCCTCAGTGACAGAGTGAGACCTTGTCTCAAATAATAATAATAATAATAATAATAATAATAATAATAATAATAATAAAAAGATAAGGGAAATTTGGGCAGGACTTCTCCAAGTTTAGAGTATATGCACCCTTTGGCCCAGCAATCCCACTTCTCGGAGTCTGTACCCTAGAAATAGTGAGGGAAGTTTCAAAAGATATTTATTCAACAGCATTAGTAATGTATCAGAACCTTGAAGACAGCCTAGCTGGTCAACAGTACAATGCTCAGTTGCCACTATAAAGAATGAGATGCTGTGTCCTTCTCAGTGCCTCAGATCAGGAGGCACCTGGTGTTGGCTTGTCACATTACTAATGATGTTTACTTCCATCACTTGATTAAGGTGATGTCTGCCAGATTTCTCTACTGTAAAGTTTCTATTTTTTTTTCTGTGTAATGAATAAGTATCTTGTCAGGAGATGCTTTGGACCTATGTAAGTATCTTGTTTCTCATCACACTTTCACCAAACTAATTTTAGCATTCGTGGATAATTCTTGTCTGAAACAGTTATTACTACAGTGTGTGCCAAACAGTGATTTTCTACTTCCATCATTACTCCTACATTTGTCAATTAAAATGTTACTATAAGGAAGATATTTTCTTTTATATTGAAAAAATGCAATTTTTTAAAAATCAGTCTGGACTCTTGGATTCTCATTATATTGGTTATAACCCATGACTATAATACATTTTGTGCTCAGATTTTTCTAGATTTTACATTGGGATGCCCTTCAAGTTGGGTTCTATGTATTTTTGCCATTTTACTGTTGTTTTTTGAGCACTGCCTTACCTTTTGACCCCACAAGATATTCTAGGCTCAGTGTACACTTTGCCTGGTCCAGCCCTGGAATCAGCCATTGCTGCTGTGCTATCCTTGACAGAACTATAACCTGAATTTAACAAGGAGGAAATATCAGGCAAACACAAATGGAGTGACATTCTAGTTAACAACTGATCAGCACTCTTTAAAAATGAAAGACAAAGAATGACTGAGGAATGAGTTCAGATTAAAAGAGACGAAGGGACACGCTCCAACTGTAACTGCAACGCATGACTGCGGGCTGCGTTCTGCATTGGAAAAAAGTGTTACTGATGAAATTTGAATATCGTCTCTAGATTGAGCAACTAAGCAATAATATTGTATTAAATTGCTAGATTGGGCAATAGTATTGTACTAAAGTTAATTTCCTGACACAGTTAAATAATTGTACTGTGTATATAAGATGTCAAAATTGAGAAGTTGCAAGGCTAAATGGAATTTCTCAGTTTTTTAAACTCTTACTTTGTACATCTGAAATTATTTTAAAATAAAAACTAAAAAAAAAAAACCTAAATACAAACCATGAGATAGATTTATATGTACTAATATGGGATGGTGTCCACAATCAATTGGAAAAGATAAGTTGTAGTACCATTTGTATAGAATTGGCCCATTTTTGTAGGAGCAAGACAGAACAATATAGTGCACATACATATTTATCTACACATGGGAGAAATTCTGTGAAGGGTATGTACTTCCTGTTAACAGACATTTCTGGGAAATGTGTTTGGAAGGTATGAGACACCTTTTACTTTTTGATGTCTCCTGATAATGGGAAAACAGTAAGAATGTGGGTTGTATGCATGAGTGTGATTCTACACGTGTAGGTTTAGGTTTGATGTACTCCCATCCAGCTTATTCTCTTTTGCATTTTCCAGCACAGGCAGTGCTGTGCAATGTCTTGCCCAGTGGACACCCACCTAATTTTCACTCCACAAACCACTGTCCTACATCTGATCCTTAACAAAGTATGTTAGTTGTAGACACAAAGGTGGCCTACATTTCATACTTGTTGACAGTAATGCTAGTTGACTCATCTTACCTTTGTCTGAGGAGGCTGGAAATTGTTTGTCCTCAGAAACTTTAGGGAGAAATTTATTACTAAGATTGTATCATTTTGGTCTCCCCAGAGAAATGAAAAATTAGAAATTGGCCATGTGACAATCGTTGCATTTACCTCTTTAAGGAGCAGTGATTCTTTAAGTGGTGCTTGATTTATCTAAACCCGATTAATTAGTGAACGGTCATCTGTTTCTCCCAGGAATTTTTAATGATCATTAGGCTTTTGTAGTTACTGTGAAATTTTGTTTACGTGGATTTATTTTTGTGCAGGATTGTATACAGGGCAGATGCTCCTTAATTTAAGAAGGGAGATGTGAGAACAAAAGTGTCTTCTCTTGAGTGAGGGCCTGTTATGTGCCCTGACTTGTTACAAATATCGACTAATGTAACCTTCTCTACCATGTACCTTTCTTCCAATTTATCAATGAGGAAACTGATGCAAAAATGTATGTTCCCACAGGCTCTGGTGTGTTCACTGAGTTAGCTCCAGAAAGAACTGTCCCCTTCTCATGCCTGTTCCCTACTTCTTTTGCAGCTAATTCTCCGAAATGGTTTCTGTCTTCAGCTTTCTGGGCTGCCCCATCACCTGTGTTGCTTCTAAATGTTAGTTTCATTGCTGCCTTCTGGGTTCCTCTGCTTCTCTCTGACATGATGTCTCTACGGATGCATCTCTCAGTAATGATTATAATGGTGGTGATGATAATAAAAAGAGAATACACAAGTGTTTTTATCAATCCCTGACCATGCTGGGCACAATGCTAAGCATGTGCAGGCATGATGTCTTTATTCTGCCCACTCAGCTGATGAGATTGAAGGGGCTCCCTGCAGGTTGGGGCCTGAAAAACACAGCCAGGTCCATCTAGGAACTAGAAGCTATGGTCAGGCTTACATGCTTTTTTCATATCAGTGTTCATGTAGATGTTTAAGCTCTTGCAGTAGGTTTTTGCAAGCTAGTGAACGCTGCCAAATTATGCTCGCCACACAATTGCAGCCACCTATTCCCAGGCAGTATAAATATATGGCTGAACTAACATTAATACCTATCACTGTTTTATCAAGTGACATAATCAAGATAATTATGAAGTATCCAAATATTAATTTTCATAGATTAAAAGCAGATAAAGTATTAGAAATCTGCTTATATCATTAGCAGAAACATTTTTGGGGGCCACAGGGTAAGGAAAAGAGGGGAAAATATTGTCCTTCAACAAAAGTAATCATATTCTAGTAAGTATAATAAAAGAAATGACAAGCTTTTCAGAATTTCCACGACTAAAAATTGTTTTAGCTGCAGCTAAAAAAGCATCACATAACAAAATATCTCTTGTTTAAAATATTTGCTACAAAAAAGTCCTATTCTATATGTCCTGCATAAGAACAAGTATCTTTATATAAGAAATGTGTTTAATAGCCCTCTTTCATTCTTTTTCTGAAGCCCTCCCTGTTAAATTGCACCCAAAGGGGAAACATTAATTGAACTGTAAAGCTTTTTTTTTTTCTGTCTAAAGACATTAAAGACATATAGGTGGTATTAAATGAACCTTTAACTAGAGCTCTGTGAGTTTTCAAAATAGATTTTATTTTTCTTTACCATAGGCCAACAGAGATTTTGAGAAACACATTGAAGGATCTGTTAACACTTGATATACCCAATAAAAGCAGTGGTTGTGCCAGTGCTGATCTGTCTTGATGTGAATGTGAACAATGGGAACCTGAGCTGAGCAGGTAAATAATCATGTAGTACAGTCACCGTCTTCAGTGTTTGAGATGACTAGCAGGGTAAACCACGCTGTGTCTAAGATGCAGTGTTAATTCTGTTTGAAGTAAAAATATGCAAGTGTGGTACTGGATATTTTGGCACGCAATCTTGCGAAATTTCTCATTGATGAGATTCTGACATAGGAACTACATTTGAGTAAGAATCATAGCTCAATACAGCATGATTTCAGGAAAGTCGACTAAGATAAAAGTGTTTCTGAGGCTGAACAGCAAGAATCTTTTGCTAAGAGTTAGAATAGATTGACAAGAACCTAAAATCAGAAGTTGCAATTCTGCTGAGATACTGCTTTTCAGTTCTCCGGTGGAAGCTTCATTGGACATATTGTACATCAAGCCTCTATGTGACTGATTCCTGCCTCTTTATGTCTTGTTTTAGATTCTCCATGGCAGTAGCTTTAGGCAACCCAGTTTTACTGAATGCAGCAATGGTTTCAGTGACCATTAGAGTCCAATTTTAGGATGATACTTCTCCAAATTGTTAAAACTCCCTGGTGCTTTTCTCTTATAAACTGCAAAATGTCTTCATATTTCATCCCGCTTTTCAGTTAATGCTAGGGTGACAGAAACTGGACCTCTCCCAAGACATGTGACAGAGTAATACAGCAGCCAACTTCTTCGCCAAATTAAAGTTTTACAAGATTTAACCTGTCATCAAGACCTGGGATTTTGGTGGTGAGTCATCTTCAAAAGCCAAGTTCGGTCCCTGGTTTGCCTTCTTTTCCGCACAAGAACAAGGGTTTTGATGGCTCTGGTCTCCAGGACCATCTGTGGCTTTCTATTAGCAATAATCGCACCTCGGTGAAACCTCATTGGCTACGATACTGCCACTGCGCAAAGCTCATGGCTTTCTTTAATAGCAAATGGCCTCTGACTTTTAAGAAGCCATGTGGCTACCCCTCAGCAGACTTAGGAGAGGTCTTGGCTATTATTTGTTGTTTTATAAGGTGTCATCATTGAGCATCTACTCTGGATGAGGCTCTGTGCTGGGCTTGAGGGGTACAGGGAAGTTTCACATGTCCCGTCTTGTTGAATCACACACACTTGATCTCACTACAACAGCAGAAAACAAGTTAAAGTTCCCCAGGGGTTGACACATTTGCCTGCCGTGTTTATTGCTGCTGTGATTTCTGCAGCATGGTCCAAAGAAGGCAATCAGTCAACAGTGAATGGGTTGAGATTTTGTGATTTTGGTTTAGGAGTCTTAATCTCTAGAATAAAATCTAATGAAAGGGTGGGGCTATGTTTTTCTCTTGCCTTGACTTCTTTGACTCTATTTGTAAATTCCAAATTTACCCAGGCCTCTGGCTCATTCTGTCTTAAGGTGCGGGGACCTCTAAAATGTAGATGGCAACAATCTTTAGACTATATGTGTCTTGATGGTAGGGCAATCAAATTGATTTCCTCAGCATATACGAGTCATGTTTTGTAAGCATGGTGGGTACTTAGTCAATGTCTCAATCAGATTTGCTTCTGTTTAGCAAGATAATCTTTTGTGGGGGAGTGTTATGGACTGAACTGTTTTCCTTCTTCCAAACGTATATGATGAAACCTACCCCCATGTACTCAGTATTAAGAAGTGGACCTTTGGGAGATAATTCAGGTTAAATGAGATTATGAGGGTGGGGCTCTCGTGATGAAATTAGTGCCCTCAAAATAAGAGACCTCAGAGAGCTTACTGTCTCTCTTCTCTCTCTGCTACGTGAGGACACAATGAGAAGGGAGCCATCCACAATGCAAGGAGAGGGCCCTCATCAGAACAGACCATACTAGCACCTTGATCTTGCACTTGTAGTCTTCAGAACTGTAAGAAAATGAATTTTCTATTATTTAAGCCACCCAGTCTGGTGCAGTCTATTATTGCCTTCCAAATGGAGAAATACAAGGAAACTAGGGCCGTCTTAGCTTCACAGAGAGAAGATGTGGAGAGGAGTTAGGAGGTAGAGACTGGACCTTGATGGTGGTGATATTCAATTAGTGAAAGGCTGAGAAGAGGTCAAATATACTTCTTGTGGCCCCAAAGATCAGAACCAAAATGGAAAGGTAGAAACAGTAGGCAAACAGAAAGCAACTTAATAAAAGGAAAAGGAACCTGAGAGAATGCTCTGTCTCTGACAGTGGTTGGGATCTCATCACTGGAGATATCCACACAGGGACTGTATTACTACTGAGAGGGGGTGGGGCTGAAAGGATCCAAGCATTGCACTGTGATGCGACCCCATAAGGTCACTTAGTCTTTGGGACTTGTGAGCTCACAGTGAATCATTACAAACAGAAACGATTCCCTCTTATTTGTGGAGCACATTAAAATTTCCAAAGCATTTTTGTGAGTACATTAGCTCCCATGATTTATATCAAAACATTAGAGTTGACATTCAATACACATTTGCTGAATGAGGGGGATGCATGAAGGAGCTATTGTGGTACCTTGGTTGGCAGAAGAGGAATACATGGGCAGAGTCATTTCTAGACTTGCTAGGAAAGGCCAAGCCAGGCTTGGACCTGGGTCTCTACTGTACTCTTTACTCTACTCAGTCTTTTCCAAGGTGGAAATAATATTTTCTCTGAGGCTGATGTTTTTCTGTTTGTTTTGCATTTTGGTAAATTCATCAACATCAATATCCCCTTTAATGCTCACAAATGCCCTTAGAACCAGCTTTTATTGTTCTCATTTTGCAAATGAGAAAATGGAGGCTTCAAGAGTTGAGTGAGTTTAGCAAGGTTTTCAACTCTTCTTGGGCAGAGCATTAGGGTTGCAGACAGTTGGGCACCCTCTTCAAATGAATGTGAGCCAACGTTGGCCCTGTTGGGTGTGCAAGGAGTTCTTGCAGAGTTGATGGAGACCCTGTTTCGAGTCACATGAATAATTAATCTAGGGAAACAGTAGTCAAACAGTCAACTCATTCTTTCTTGCACTCTTGCTGATCCTCAGCAATTTCTCGGCTGCTCCTCCTGCCAGAGTCCTGTTTTGTACCTTGTAAACAAGTCACTCTAGGAGTTCCTAGTCCTGGCTGTATACCATAGTCACCTAGGGGCTTGCAAAATCTACTAATATCCACCCCACTCCCACCGTACTCCAGAGATTAAGATTTAATTGATCTAGAGAGGGATCTGGGCTTTGGTGTTTTAAAAAATCTCTTTAGATGGTTGAGAATCACCAAATTTTTGTTGGTGTGGGGCAGGTTTGCACATTCAGGTTCATGGGTTATTGGAATGAGGCATGAAGGGGCCTGCTATGTTCCCAGGGCCTGCTAGCTCTGTGCCGATTGCTTTTGGTTTTGTAGAAATGATTTCATTCCTTCTTCCCTGAAGCCATCCTGATTTGAGGTCATAGTCTATGGGGGTGCCATGTGGATTTATACTGCAACTCTTGTTTTTACTAGCTCTGTGACCTCAGAAAGGCCACCCCCCCTTCCCTGTGCCTCTGTTTCCATCTCCTCTGTAACATGGGGATAATAATACTAGTTTCCTTATAAGTCTGTTGTGAGCATTAACTCTTGGGATTATGCCTGTTGAATAGTTAGGGTTCCACAAATAAGTCTTGCTTAATGGTGTTGTTATCATTGTAATAGCTGCATGTGTGTGAGTGTATAAATGTATGTAAGATATTTTTCCTGTTTTTTTTTCCCCCTGGCAGAGTTAGCCACTTCTTCCTATGTGTAAGCATATCATCACTTTCTATTTCTATTATGGAATTGTAATGTGTTTTTGTGTCCCTAACCTGATATATTCATTCCACAAATGTTTATTGAACACTTGCTGAATGCTGAGGAATGGACAAGAGAGACACAATCTCTGCCTCTTGAGCCATTTGAACTTTGAAGAGGACAGATGATGACAAGAGGAAGTGGAAATAGGCTAGGATGCTACGGAGACTAGAACAAATGGTCCTTATTCGTACCTTGCTGTGGGGGAGACTCTCCTGACAGAGTTAGTTGTGTCACCTGCATTCTTTCTTTCCCTTCCACATATAGTGTCCTGGGACTTACTGTGATTACTTATCTCTCTATCCCTCAACAGTAAGTCCTAATCATTGGGGCTAGGAAATGTGCCTTGTCAAATGAATTAATGAATGAATCACGCTGGACCAAAATGAACAAAAAGTTATTTTTTTGACTCAATTTAGCTTAAACATCACATCCTGAGATGCTGTGTTAAATCCTGGAGTCACAAAAGACCTTTACAGAAATCTTTACAGATTTCTGGGAACTATAGACACGTATATGAGGATAGGTTTGGACCATTGTAGCTGCTGTAATAGCTGTTGTTCTGGTGAGCAGTGGGGACCCAAGTGTTAGTAGGCCCTGCAATAAACATGTATGGGCCTGAGATAAATGGGTCAGTGTCTCTCACGAAGCTCTGTTTCGTCAAGGTGAGGGAATGTGTCTTTTTTGCATTTATTCCCTCCCAGGGTTTAGGTCACTGCCTGACACATGGCAGGTGCACAGTGGATACACAGAGAGTGGCCAGACAGACGACATAGCTTTTCTCTGTGGATTTATCCTCATCTCTACAAGGGGGGTTAGCCAGTATTTTGAGGGTCTCCCTCAATGCTCACATTCTAGAATCCTGTGATGGGTGCTGAAACAACGCTCCCTCATTGGAGCTGCTTGAGAAGGTCATTCATTATTTTGCGATATCTTCAGACTCTCATCATTGCTAGAAGCTGACTAATTATGAGAAGAGAAGTGAAGGCCTTGAAATGCCTCTCTCTGCACATCTGGCCTCACTGTCAAATAAAGTACTTATTTCTGATAAGCTCTTTGGCTTCTGTGAAGCCGCCTGGCCGTGTCTGGCCGTGGGCGGTGCTGATAATGAACCGAACAGAGAACACAGACTTGGCGGGGAAGGTGGGGACCCAGTGGGTAGAAAGAATGGGCTTTTTAGACCATTTCAAAGTAACAAGAAAGCTTTGAGAGTGCTTAGTGATGTCTGCTACCACATTCATTTCCTCTGTTTCCATTGAAATTGAAGTTCTAGATGGACTGAACCTGACTAAGAAAAGGGAATGTGGACAGGAAAGCTAATGACAAATGCAACTGGCTTATTTCTGGAGTGCTTTGTACTCTCAGAGTCTTGTGCCCTGAACTTTCTTCATCTGGACTCTAGGGGCACTTAAGCAATTAGCATGCCACAAGCTGGGTGCTGTGGAAAGATCATAGACTTTAGAAACTGTCCAAGAAACTAGTGGGACTCCACACCTTGTGAGTTGTGTATCCTTGTCAAGTTTAATTTACCATGTTGAGCCTCAGTTTCCTCACCTAAGAGAAAGAAAAGAGAAATAGATTTATTTATTTATTTATTTATTTATTTATTTATTTATTATTTATTTATTTTTGAGACAGGGTTTCACTCTGTTGCCCAGGCTGGAGTACAGTGGTGCGATCTCAGCTAACTGCAACCTCTGGTATCTGGGTTCAAGCGATTCTCGTGCCTCAGCCTCCTGAGTAACTGGGATTGCAGGCGTGCACCAACACATCAGGCTACTTTTTGTATTTTTAGTAGAGACTGGTTTTCACTATGTTGACCAGGCTGGTCTTAAACTCCTGGCCTCATGTGATCTGCCCATCTCGGCCTCCCAAAATGCTGGGATTACAAGTATGAGCCACTGTGCCTGTCTGAGAAGTGATTGTTTAGTTAGAGTAACTCTAGATGACATAACAAATAAACCTCAGTATTCTAGTAGCTCAAAGACACCTCTTTCTAAGTCAGATAATAGTTTGAAGCTGGGCGCAGTGGCTCACGTCTGTAACCCCAGCACTTTGGGAGGCCAAGGTGGTAGATCACGAGGTCAAGAAATCGAGACCATCCTGGCCAACATGGTGAAACCCTGTCTCTACTAAAAACACCAAAATTAACTGGCTGTGGTGGCATGCGCCTGTAGATTCAGCTATTCGGGAGGCTGAGGCAGGAGAATCGCTTGAACCTGGGAGGCGGAGGTTGCAGTGAGCCAAGATCACGCCACTGCACTCCAGCCTGGTGACTGAGCAAGACTTTGTCTCAAAAAAAAAAAAAAAAAAAGGTTTGAGAAGGGTTTTCCTGGTCATTAGGTGGCTTTTCTTCATTCTGTGATCTAGAGACCCAGGTCTCTTCCATGTTGTTGTTCTGCCATCCCTGGGACCTTGAAGTTACTCCAACTGGCAGCGGAGATGAAGGACAGGAGAGAAGGCACACCACTTCTTAAACACGTCTTCTGGAAGTAGGCTACAATCATTTCACTTGCCAGGGATAAGTTCTAGACGAGCTTTAGAAGGGGGATGGTCTTTGGGAAGCCAAGGTGGGAGGATTGCTTCATCTCAGGAGTTGGAGATCAGCCTGGGCAACATAGCGAAACCCTGTCTCTATAAAAAATACAAAAATTAGCCACGTGTGGTGGCACATGCCTGTGGTCTCAGCTACTTAAGAGACTGAATAGGAGGATCACCAGAATCTGGGAGGTGGAGATTGCGGTGAACCAAGATCACACCATTGCACTCCAGCCTGGGCAACAGACCAAGACCCTGTCTCAAAAAAAAAAAAAGGGGGCGAGGATGGTAACCATTCTCTGCCATAAATACCTTAGTGTTGCTCAAGAATAAGTGAGGTTGGGTTTGTGAACCTACCCTTGCATAACATGTGTCACCAACTATGGCCTTACTTATTTGTGGATTGTTTGTAGGTACACATGGCCTCACAGGACCATTCGTGTGGTCCTGAAATTAATGTATCCCTTTGGAAATATGTGGTAGACATCTCTCTGTGTTATTAAGGATAGATCTCCACCATGAATGGAATGGCTAATGCTTACAGCTGGATCATGATTTACATTAACTCCTCCCTTGCTGGTATCTTATAGATTGTCTTTGGTTTTGTTTTCACTACAAAGGAGACAGCACGAATTCTCCTACAGGCTCACCACACAACTGGTGCTGTGAGGGAGACGAAGATGAGTCATGCCTGTACTGCTCTTTAAACACTCACAATTGAATAAGCTACCCAGGTGACACGACATGGTTATCCTGGCCAGAAAGCCATGGCTTTTCCTAATCAGAGCTTCAGTGCTGTGGAAACTTGAAGTTTGGAGGGTCTGATGTCTCAGTCTGGATGAGGATGAGTTCCCTGCCATTCCTGGGTTAGCAGCTCCCATCCTCTTAGATTCCAAGATGGTGGCTCATGCCTGTAATCCCAGCACTTCGGGAGGCCAAGGTAAGAGTATGGCTTGAGCCCAGGAGTTCAAGGCAAAACTGGGAAACACAGCAAGACCCTGTCTCAAAAGAAAAAGAAAAGTTTCCAAGATGGTGTAGAACATCAGAGAGGGGCTCTTGGAGATTATCTGGCCATCGTCACCCCACCTGCTTATAGATGGAAATGCATAGACTCAGAGAGGTTGGGGGACATATGGGCAGCTATAGAAATCCAGTGGACCTCAAATCCCGACATTTCTAACCTGAATTAAATTCTCTCACCCTTGTATGGAGGTCCTAGAGTCCTATTTTCCAAACTTTGCCTCTGAATGTCTCCATGTCAAAGGGTTTCTCAGTGTGCCAGAGGGCAATGGAGAATGGAGCAGAAATGACCACAGAAGAACAGGTGGGAAGATTCCTGCAACAGCAAAAATTCTGCTGCCCGGTTCCTGAGACATGAAGAATGTGTTGTCTACACAACTACATGGCCAGCTGCCTCCTTAATTTTTTCATTTTGTTTTGTTTCTGAGACAGAGTCTTGCTCTGTAGCCCAGGCTGGAGTGCAGTGAGCTCACTGCAGCCTCAACCTCCTAGGTTCAAGTGATCCTCCCACCTCAGCCTCCCAAGCAGCTGGGACTATAAGTGCATGCCACCAAGCGCTATTTTTTTTTTTTTTTAATTTTTTTAGAGGCAGGGATCTTGCTATGTTGCCAGGGCTGGTCTCAAACTCCTGGGCTCAAGTTATCCTCCTGCCTCGGCCTCCCAAAGTGCTGGAATTATAGGCGTGAGCCATCATGCCCAGCCCTCCTTAATTTTTTAACATGAATTAATAGGACCTGGACACACACAGCCTCATTTATATCGGCAGCCATCACAGCCTGCCACATGTCAGATGAGGTCTCTGGGGCTCTCACTCCTTGTGTCGGGGGTGATGCCACATGTGGCCCAGCTGTAGGTCACATTCAGCTCCTGTGTTCACCAGGATCAGATGGAATGCCAGCACATCTTACCCTCCTGCGCCCTGGGAGTTTGTAATAATCTACGAATACGTAGATTTATTTCAGAGAACATTTTCCGAATCCTGTTGCGCATACGCACAAAAATATTGGCTGCAGTGTGTTTATAACCATGAAAATTCCAAAATAGCTTCAATCTCCTGTGAGAGGGGAGTGGTGGAAGGCCCTCCAGCACGTGCACAGAATTCTTTCTTCAGCCATGTAAACATGAAAATAAGGGTTAAAAATGACTTCATTATGGGGAAAAGGGACAGGATGCAAATTGTTCAAATGGCATGATGATATTATAAGGAAAGAAAAAGATGTTATAAAAGGTCACATAAAGTCACCCACAGGTCAGCAGTCATGTCATGATTAGCTGCTCTGTGCCAGACACAGGCTGGAAATTGGTAGATGCTCTCCCCAGGAAGTGGGCAGCAGCCCCTTTGTGCCTCTGTCACCTCTGTTAGGCTCCTGGAAGCCCCCTTCATTGCTGCATGTAATGACATCTTCGTCACCACATGTAACAGCTTCTTTACCACTATGTGTAATGCCATTCTGTGTGCTTATTGGGCTAAACAATCACAGAGGAAAAGAGTGCTGGAGAAATGCCAGGGAGATAGGTACCGAAACGTTCCAGATGGAAAGTCTCGTCTTCAGGTGGCCGTAGCAGTAAATGTCAGGGTCAAACAGGGGGTGTATTCTTGGGAGAGCTTCAGCTCGTCTGTGACCTAGTGTCCAGCCAGCTTCCTGGGAAGGAGGCTGCATCCTGACATTGAAGCCCTGTGTGCTAGGATGAGTGTGTTACGCAGAGCCTTACAAATGAGAAAATCTTGCGTCCTCAGGACAGGCAGTTAGTGTTGCTGTCTGGAATACACTGGCTACCTCCCTCCTCCCCCCACCACTTAAAATTCCCTGAATCCGACAGTGGTAGGGAAAGGGCTGATCCTGGAGAAGATTGTTCCTTGATAATCCTAGTATGATTCATAATGGTTGCAGCAGATGAGCCGCGAGGTTTGTGGCTCAGTCTGCAGCTAAGGAAGGCTCTTCCCTGGGGAGGTGTGTCCAGCTTCCCGGAAAGACCTCAGCTGTCTAGCTGGTCTGGGCTGCCCAGTTCTTAGCAGTGCATCAGCAATGAGCAGCCGCTGACCATCAGGCAGCGTTTCCCACCTGCCAGAGAACGTCAGAGCCACTGCGTCTGGACCAGCTGAAGGCAGCCACGGTGCCCAGGATGCTGCTGCTGCCTCCAAGGAAAAGAACTCTGAAAATGAGGAATTACAGCCTGGTGGTTTTGTTTTATGTTAATTTTTTACATCTGGGAGATAATGGAAAAAATTAAAAATTGCTATAATTGCACCAATCTTAAAAATTAATAATATAAAGACGGGAAAGTAACCAACACAAGCTTGAAACCCATCCCGCCCCTTCTTGAGATAATCCCTGTTGTCAGTTTGGTAATTTATGCAAATGTAGTGGTGCACTGTTAAACTTCTCAAGAGGAGAAACAAAAACCCTGAATTGTAGGTTTGTCAATTTCAATGGTGAAATCCCACCGCAGCCGATTTCAGGCAACCAAAGCTTTAAAAACGAGTTCGCAAATTTCTTGAATATTTAACAATCAGCTTTTGCAAGTGCATACATGCTCACAACGTTTGCTTTTTTGTACTTTGTTTTGAGGGAGGCAGGAAATGGAAACTTGCAATGGTATTGATAAGTGTGCCATTTTTATTTACGGTATCACGGATGTCTTCCTAGACCAGCATGTGCAGATTCACTTAGCTTCTCTCACTTGTGGGATGGGGTTTCCATGAAGGCTCACTGTGTTGCTTCTGGAAAGGCAGAATCGGCCCCCCAGGAGACAGGAATGGCAGCAGCTTGGCACTCGGAGGCTAGCTCCTGCAATGCTGTGCACTTGCAGTGGACAAAAAAGTAAACTTTGGTGTTTACTTGGAGTTCACTCTAGCTTTGGTTTCTTCTAAATATGTTCTTCCAATGACCTGTAGCCTAATCAACTCTGCTGGCAACACATCCCTTTGCTCTGCTCAATTCCAGTTTCCATCAGAGAATCTCATTTTTCTTTTGGGAAATGTTTCCTGATTTTCGTCTTTTCCACCACCCCTCACTGAGGCTGGGTAAAGTCCTTCTCCATGATGTTTAGAACCCAGGCCTCCTTCTGTGGCAGGGCTCTCTACCCCTTATGATTTATTGTGTGATGTCTCAACCTGTTTCCTGTGGAGAAGCAGAGAAGCTCTGGTAAACAGAATGGCCCTCTAAAGATGCCCATGCCCTAATCTCTGATGTTATGCCTATGAATGAATATGTTACTTTATATGGCAAAGGGGACTTTGCAGATGTAATTAAGGTTACTAATCAATTGACTTCTAATAGGGAGAGTATCCTTGGTTATCCAGGTGGATCCAATCCAATCACACGGGCCCTTAAAGGCAGAGGTTTTCTCCGACTGTGATCAAGAAAATGCCATGAAAGATTGTAAGTGTGAGAAGGAGTTGATGTGCCACTGCTGGCTCTGAAATGTGGGGCCCACTTGTAGGAACTGGAGGGAGAGACTGGTTGCTAACGGTGGCCCCTAGCTAACAGCCAACAGAGAAATGGGGACCGCCGGCCTACAGCTGCAGGGAACTGAATTCAGCAACATGAATAAGTTTGGAAGAGGATCCTTCCAGAACCTCCTGATAGGAGCCCAGTCCGCTGTCACCTTGAATTCAGCTTCATGAACCAGGAGCAGGGAAACCAGCTGAGCCAACCCACATTCTGACCTAAGGAGCACTGAGGTAATTATATGTGTTGTTTTAAGCCACTAAGTTTGTAGTAATTTGTTATAGTGGCTGTAGAAAATTAATACAGGATCCTAGTGTTTGGGAATGCAGGCCCCAGGCCCCGCTTTTTCCAGAGCGTGTTTGCACTTTCGCAGGGGACCTTCAAGTCCCAGTAGTAGCTCACTTTCAGGTGTCTCAGCTCAGCTTGCCCTGCTGCTCCTGAATGAGCAGGTTCTAACATCTTCCAAACACTTCATCTCCCCCACCTGCCTATAGTCACCGCTTGGTGGATTTTTACCACTGCAATGTGGGCCTTGGCTTCCTATTTCAGACCCCCTGGGATGTTTTGGTAGCTTCCTTAGGGGTCTTTTCAACTCCAGGCCCTCCCTCTGCCCAACCATCCTTCAAACTGCCTCCAGATGCAACTTCCTGGAGTGCGGCTTTGCTTCCATCGCTCCCTAGCTACAGACATCCTGTGGGCTTCCTGTTTCTACTGAATCCAGGGCACATCCCCCAGCCTAGGATTCACAATCTCTACTGGGGACAGGGGCATTGCCTCTCCAGTCCGATTCCCCAGGACTTGTGCTTTTTTTTTTTTTTTTTTTTTGAGACGGAGTCTAGCTCTGTTGCTCAGGCTGGAGCACGGTGGCGCAATCTTGGCTCACTGCAAGCTCCGCCTCCTGGGTTCACGCCATTCTCCTGCCTCAGCCTCCCGAGTAGCTGGGACCACAGGCGCCCGCCACCATGCCCGGTTAATTTTTTGTATTTTTAGTAGAGACAGGGTTTCACCATGTTAGCCAGGATGGTCTTGATCTCCTGACTTCGTGATCCGCCCTCCTCGGCCTCCCAAAGTGCTGGGATTACAGGCGTGAGCAACCGCGCCCGGCCTGTCTGGGCCATCTTTATACTCAGTATAATCAGTCCCCACAAACAGAAATGCTGTTGCAGGGTGAGTGTGCTAAAAATACTCCTGGGATTTTTCAAGTCCTTGGAGACATCCATCTTAAAATAGTGCAAAAAGAACCGAATAAATACTCATTTATGTGCTATTTTAATGAACAACTGCAGGCAATATGCCTAATATGGCAGGGAGGTCTTCAGTGTCCTTTCTCCTTCATTCTTGATTAGCGTCTGAGCTCAGATGGCATGCATCAGTATGTTTGTGGCATTACAGAGGTGCTGGGAGTGAGGGAGAGTGCAGGGGTAGGGAAGCATTACATGCCTGTAATCCCAGCTATTTGGGATGCTGAGGCATGAGAATCGCTTGAACTCAAGAGGGAGAGGTTGCAGTGAGCCAAGATCATGCCACTGCACCCCAGCCTGGGCCACAGAGCGAGACTCTGTCCCAAAAATAAAGAAAAGTCAGCTTCTGTGCTCCTGCCCAGAACCACTGAATCAGATGCTGGGTGTCAGCTCTGGACCCTGTTTGGCCTTTTCTTTCCTATGTCAACCCAGCAGAGCTGCAGGCCTTGTGTGGAGGTGGGTTACAATGTGCTCTCCTTATCCCCAGTAAAACCAGGACATTTTAAGGTGGGGACGGGGTGGGAGTGGATCAATTAACTTGGAGTCTTGGCTTGACCTTTACCCTGGATTTATGGGGCTTAGAAATAAAGGGAAAGTTGCATTCTTCTCTGAGGAACTGCTTAATTCATATCCACTCTCCCAAATAAAGCTGCTGGTTGACTGCAGCTATTTAATTCAGTGCTATTTGCTTTCATTCTGTATAGGGTGAGGATAGCTTCTGTTGGCCAGAGCTTGTGCTAGATCTCCACCTGGGTCAGGAAGGCATTTCCCTGCGCTCACAAAGGCCTTGCACACATAAGATGCACTGAAGAATTCCTGGCAGGGCCAAATCTGGTGTCCGGTTCACTCTTGGCCTTCCAAGTTCTTGCTGCCTCTCCTTTGTACCCATGATATCTGATGGCAGCAGCATGGAACTTGGTACAGTTGAAATAGCCCAAGTTCAAATCCTGACTCAGATACTAAGCTCAGTAACTTTACGTAAGTAGCATAATTATATGGATCCTCCCTTCTTCATCTATAAAATGATGTGGTGAACTGATTACAGGAATGGCCCTAATTCTTCACTCATTCCCTGTATCTCATTCTGGACTGACTGTGTCTCATAAGCTGTTAGTAAACATGACGCAAGCTGAGATTTTTTTTTTTTTTTTTTTTTTAAGACAGAGTCCCGCTCTGTGGCCCAGGCTGGAGTGCAGTGGCCTGATCTTGGCTCACTGCAAACTCCACCTCCTGGGTTCAAGCAATTCTCTTGCCTCAGCCTCCCATGTATCTGGGATTACAGGAGTGCACCACCACACCTGGCTAATTTTTGTTATTTTTAGTAGAGACAGAGTTTCACCATGTTGGCTAGGCTGATCTCAAACTCCTGACCTCAGGTGATCTGCCTGCCTTGGCCTCCCAAAGTGCTGGAATTATAGGCATGAGCCACTGTATCCGGCTGCAAGCTGAGCTTTGAAATACTGTTTCCATTTCCACTGTTGAATCTCTTTTATCACCATGAAAAGAGATTTCAGGGCTAGTCACTGGTTCCGGGAGAAGAAAGAATGACACATAGAACATAACTCAGGTGCTCTAATGGTCCCAGTTGACACCAACCTAGATCAGTTGACAGCCAGCCAACTCCTAGACCTCCATGTGAGCCCAGCCAAGATCACCAAAGCTACCTACTTGACCACGCAGATATATGGACACTTAGTGCTTATGCCACTGAGCTCGTTGTGCACCATTGTTTTGGTAATAGGTACAGTGGGAAACTCAGTAATAACTATTACTATTACAATAGTAATAACTATTGGATTCAAATCCTGCCAGGGCATGGGTTGGTTAGTGCTACATGCATTGCCTGATACATCAACTACTTTTGGAATGACTGAATGGTCTTATAAGGATAAATTATGTAACTCTTTTGCACCTGATTTCTCTATTCAGAACATCTCTAGTAGGCTGCAATCACTGCCACTCACTTGAAATTCTTTAAGAGTGGAAATGCCATTTGCTGGACATTCAGAGAGAGAGACGTGAAGTAGCTAGGTTCCTAGTTTTACGTGAGATGTCGATTGATCTACGGAGTAATTTGGGTCCCTGGCTCCAAGGCAAGCCTGTTACATTCTTCAAGGAGAAAACAGCTTGACATCAGTATCAGTTTGAGAACACAGCATGAGTGAACAAAAAAAACAGCGGTCCCCATATTTTGGGCATTTGCTCTACGCCAGGCACTTCTTATCTATTCTGCGTGGAGGAATTGCTCTCCTGATTTTTAAAGGGGACAAAACAGCTCAGAGACATCAAATAGATGATCAGAGAGCACACAGCTAAGGAGGTAACAGCTCAAACTTCTAGATCCAGAGCTACCTCACAGCAAAGGACAGCCTCTTACACCCCACCACCGTCTGCAGAGCCCACAGCAGGCATCCAGGTGAAGCTCCTCAGTTTATCAATGAAGGAATTGCACCTGTGAATGGAAGTGGCCTGCCGAAGGCTACACGGCAGTGAGTGTAACCAGATTACCTGATACCCCTTCCAGGGCCCTTGGTGTGACTTATTGAGATCTCATGGGCCAGTGGGTGTCACTGAAATTCCTGGATAAAAGTTGCTTGTGGAGGGCTGTCATAGTGGCTCATGCCTGTAATCCCAGCATTTCGGGGAGCAATTTGGGAGGCCAAGGCAGGTGGATGGTTTGAGCCCAGGAATTCCAGATCAGCCTGGGCAACATGGTGAGACCCTGTTTCTACAAAAAAAATAACGGAAATTAGCCTAGTTTGGTGGTGCATGCCTGTAGTCCCAGCTGCTCAGGAGGCTAAGGTGGGAGGATCACCTGAGCCCAGGAAGGTCCAGGCTGCAGCAAGCCATGATTGTGTCACTGCACTCCAGCCTGGGTGACAGAGTAAGACCCTGTCTCAAAAAAAAAAAGTTTCCCATGGAGACATTATCAGTTTCTAGGCCTCCACGTGAGCACCTTAAAAGAAGCACTATGGTTTAACAACAACAACAAAAGACACACCAGGGAACACCTGAGCTGCTCCTATGCGCCTGTGCTGTCTTCAGGGAAGCAAGTCAGCATCATGAGGAGGATGCCTTTTGGGAAGAGGCCTGAGGGCTGGCTAGCTGCAGGTGTGCCATCTCTAATCAATTCATTCATTCATTCATTTATTTTTATAGAGGTGGGGTCTCGCTATGTTGACCAGGCTGATCTTAAACTCCTGGCCTCAAGTGATCCCATCTTGGCCTCTCAAAGTGTTGGGATTACAGGCGTGAGCCACTGTGCCCAGCCCCAGACATGCCATTTCTAGACAACACCTCCAAGGATCTGAGGAGAGAAGCCCCTCATGCTGGCTGCCCCGGCATCTACCTATCCTTCGTTCTGCCTGCCAGCTCAGAGGGTGGGAGCGGTGCCAGGGAGCTGTTTGGGCTGGCGCAGGCCAGGCAGGAGCCCTACTTGGCTAGCAGCCCCAGGCACCTGCCACACTTGTGTATTTGCTCAGCGGTTCGGGGTACGGAAGCAGGATGCCTTCCGTCATTGCACCCTGGGTGTTCGGGGCCTCGGGGGCCAGCTGCTGGGCTGGCAGCTTCTCTGAGGAGCTGTTTCTTGCCCTCTTTGTACCCCTGTCTCTCAACTACCTGTCAGGCAGGTAATAATCCCACCATCACCTGATGTACCCAGAGGAGAAGGCAGGAGGCCTGCGCAATGTGCACAGAACAAACACTGGCAAGGTGCCTGAGAGCCCTGCACCAGGCACCTTCAGCCCTCAGGGGAGAGAGTCTCCTGTCCAGCTCACCCCAGGCACCCTTCTCCAAATGCCCAGTCTTGCACCATTCCCAGACCATTTGGGCCACATCTGAAAGAATTTGCCATACTGCCTGCCTTTGATTAGATGTTAGGGAAGATTTAAATTCGTGCAGAATCTCAATACAGCTCCCTTCCTGTTGGAACCATGTGACAGACTATTTCCAAGGCTGTTTCTTACAAGAGGATCTGCCTTACTAAGTCAGAGCATTGCAATAATTAACGTTTTGAAAGCTCCCTGATTTCCAAAGCATTTTCACATACATTAGCTCACTTAAGGTCTCCCAAACCCTGTGAATGGAGCATTCTTTTTAGCCCCATTTTACAGGTGAGGCAACTGAGGCCAAGAGAGCTTGAGTAGCTCCCCCAGTGGCTTAATGTAGAATAAGTATCAGAGCAGAGACTGGAGCCCAGATCTTCCTTATGAGAATCCAGCCTCCTTTTTTTTTTTTTCTTTTGAGACAGACTCTTGCTCTGTTGTCCAGGCCGGAGTGCAATGTTGTGATCTCAGCTCACTGCAACCTCCGCCTCCAGGGTTCAAGTGATTCTCCTGCCAGAGTAGCTGGGATTACAGGTGTGCACTACCACACCCAGCTAATTTTTGCAATTTTAGTAGAGATGAGGTTTCACCATGTTGGCCAGGCTGGTCTCAAACTCCTGACCTCAAGTGATCCATCTGCCTCAGCCTCCCAAAGTGCTGGGATTACAGGCGTGAGCCACCGCACCCAGTCCCAGCCTTCTTTCTGATTCACTCTTGTTTTGTAGTTGTGGACATTTAAGAAGACTTTTTATTTTTTTATTTGTATTTTTTTTTTTATTCAAAGGGCTTGTGCTCAAATAAAGTGAGAGTAGGGAGAGAGAAATTCATGTTTCTCTGCTCTGTTTTTTGTTTGGGCTCTCATTTAATCTCTCTGACAACCTTTTGCAGCAGGTGTTATTCTCATCCATATTTACACCTGAGGAAGCTGAGGCTCACAGAGGAGAAATATCTTTCCCCAAGCCCCACGTCGAGCAGTGGGTAGAAAATGAGCCCAGATCCCTCTGTCTCCATCTCTGCAACCTGTCTCTCTGCATGCCACATTGGCTTACGACCGAGATCAGCTGCACCAGGGCAGGCTGGAGGGTGAGGAGGCTGGCTAGACCCCTGGGAAGGCAGGCAGCACCCAGAGCTGTTCCAGCTCTGCTGATCCTGTTCGAGAGGCCAGAAAAGTTCAAATATTGGCCTTCTCCTTATAGTCTCCCACCTACCCTCCCTCTGGAAGCACAGAACTGTAGTGTGCAAAGAAAGACCTTGTGGATCCTCTGCTCTTGCCCTCTCATTTACCAAATGAGAAGACGCTCTCTGGGGAACGTGACCGGCCTCATTCCATAGAAGAGATGGAAGAGTCTGGAGCAGAATCTGGGACCCTGACTCCCAGGCCTGTGCACTGAGGCGTTCTTGTCTGCCACCTCCCAGCCCCTCTCTTTGCCTTCCTCGATCTTCTTGAGTTCTCTAATGGGTCATCTGTTGTGACCGTTGATTACAAGACACCATGCATGGTTCCCCTGCTTCCATTTATGTGTGGATCTCCCTCTGTTCTTACATAAGAATCTCAGAGATGGGTCAGGTTGTGACCTTCTCTTTGGTGCTGGCTTGAAGTTGAGGAAAAAGCCAGGCTCCGAGTCCCTTGGATCTGGGTCCCAACCCTGCCTGTGTGGCTCTGAAGTCAAGTGACTCCTCCTCCCCCTGTTGTATTCCCCGGCAGCACTAACAGTGGCTCCCCTTAGCTGGACACCTAGAGTGCCAGGCTCTGTGCTCAGGACTTCACTGTTTGAGGTCCCTGGAGAGTGGAACCTCTCACCCACAAGGTGGTGATTCCCTTGGGAGTGGGCAGCATGCAGTCAGAAGGGAACTTGGGTGGGGACAGGCATCCTATATCCTGGGTTTACCCACTCCTACCCATGCACTGATGGGCTTGACTGCCTGGCCAACACTTACTGAGCATATAGTGAATGACGGGCACTGAGGCTCAGGGGATGAAGCCATAGGCTTTGAGTCCCAGAGTCAGTGATGGAATCACCAGGGAGCCCAGGCATCGTGTCTATGCTCTGTGCCATGTGACAAGTCTCTGCCTTCTCTTCATCCTGAAGAGACCCTGGGTTCTTGCCTCCCTGGGCTGTGGCACCATGCAAGGTGGCCAAGGTAGGGGCCCTGGTGTTCTGGCCCCCAGCTAGGTTCTCAGCACTACTGAGTGCTGGCTCATGGTGAGTGTTCAGCCACTGTTGGATGAATGGAGAAATGACTCAATGAATTTCCCAGAATGCACAGATGCTGCACCTAATCCCTTGGAGTTTAACCAGCACAAGAGTTTGCACTTTGCTGGCCATCTCCTGCCAAGGCACAGCCTTCCCTGAGCCTGTTTCCCTTGTATGTGGCTCATACCTGAGGCCCCCAGCTGGCATTTGGTCCCCTCCTGCAGGCGTAGGCTGCCCAGTGCCAAGTGCACCTTGCATCTCTCCCCAGTCCTCCCACTGCTGTCTCCCGCTTCCTGCCCTCCGTCCCGCCACGGGCTCCCGCCAAACCAGCCCACACGGCCTCCTTTTGTTCAGCCACCTCGGTTTCAGGCCAACCAGTCCAGCCAGGTCCCCCAGCCTGCATTGCACACTCCTTTGAAGCCTTGACAGGCAGCCAACCAAGCTGGCCCGAGCGCGCAAGGCAGGGTGCTGGTGCCGGCGCGCTGGCAGCTGCTTCCCGCCTTTCTGGCTCCTGGGACCTGGCTGCTCCCAGGCCCATTCACATGGGGACAGAAATGCCTGGACGTTCTCCTCGGCTGGCATGGGTATTGCGTCCAGGGCCACAGGCTGGGGCTGTTCCCACAGCCCAGAGTCCTTTCCCAGGCTCCCTGTTCTCCATAGTGAAGCCCTCTGGTTTGTCCCAGGCAGTGCATCCCACAGCCTCTGTCTCCACAAAGGAGAACTGGCAGCAGGAATAGCCTGGCTGGGTTCTGAGCTCTCTGAGGAGAGGCAGGACTGGGCAAAGGGTAGGAGCACTGGCTTTGGCTTCAGATGAGTGTCGAGCGCCTCACTCTGCCATCTCTAGCTAGGGACCTATCTGCTTCATGCCTCAGTTTTCTCTTCTGTAAGTGGGGAGCATAGAGCACCCAGTTCACCGGCACAGTGAAGGGTGATGAATACTGTAGGTTAGCACATTGCAAGCTAAGTCTTCAACAGGAGTTGTGGGGAGCACTGTTAATATGTGGGGGATCATCATTCTAGTAGCTGAGGAGCATCGGAGCCTAAAAGACTCGTGTGAAAGAGGGGTCTCCTGTTCCTATTTTTAAATTTTTAAATGTTATTTTTTATTATTTTGGGGACAGGGTCTTGCTCTGTCACCCAGGCTGGAATGCAGTGATGTGACCTCAGCTCACTGCAGCCTTGACCTCCTGGGCTCAAGCAATCCTCCCACCTCAGCCTCCCAAGTAGTTGGGACTACAGGCACATACCACTGCACCTGGCTAATTTTTTTATTTTTTATAGAGATGGGGTCTTACTATGTTGCCCAGGCTGGCCTCAAACTCCTGGACTCAGGTAATCCTCCCACCTTAGCCTCCCAAGCAGCTCTTGGGACTACAGCACCACCACCATGGCTGGCTAATTTTTTATTTGATTTTATTTTTTGTAGAGTGCAGTGGCTCTATCACTGCTTACTGCAGCCTTGGCTTCCCAAGCTCAAGCAATCCTCCTACCTCAGCCTTCCAAGTAGCTGGGACCACAGGTGCACACCACCACCCTCAGTTAATTTTTTGACTTTTTTTTTGCAGGAAACGAGGTCTCACTATGTTGCCCAGGCTGGTCTCGAACTCCTGGGCTCAAGCAACCTGCCTACCTCATCCTCCCAATGTGCTGGGATTACAGGTGTGAGCCATTGTGCCTGGCCTCCTATTTTCTAAATTTCAAAAGTAGTACATGCTGACTGCACAATTTAAGAAATTTAGATAAGTGAAAGAAAACTTAAAAAATACTTGTTGCGGTCGGGTGCGGTGGCTCACGCCTGTAATCCCAGCACTTTGGGAGGCCGAGGCAGGTGGATCATGAGGTTAGGAGTTCAAGGCCAGCCTGACCAACATGGTGAAACACCGTCTTTACTAAAAATACAAAAATTAGCTGAGCGTGGTGGCGCTAACCTTAGTCCCAGCTACTCGGGAGGCTGAGGCAGGAGAATCACTTGAACCCAGGAGGTGGAGGTTGCAGTGAGCCGAGATCGCGCCACTGCACTCCAGCCTGGGCAACAGAGGGAGACTCTGTCTCAAAAACAAACAAACAAAAAAACACTTGTTGCTGGGTGCTGTGGCTTGCGCCTCTAATCCCAGCATTTTGGGAGGTTGAGATGGGAGGATTGCTTGAGCCCAGCAGCTTGAGACCAGCCTGAGCAACAGAGTGACATCTTGTCTTTATAAAAATTTTTTTTAAAAAATTAGCTGGACATGGTGGTGGGCACCTGCAGTTTCAGCTACTTGGTGGCTGAAGAGGAAGGATCACTTGAGCCTGGGAGTTAGAGGCTGCGGTGAGTTGTGACTGTGTCAGTGCACTCCAGCTTGGGTGACAGAATGAGATGCCATCTTAAGAAAAAGAAAAATTAAAAAAACCTTTTTATCCTACCAACGTATATACTCATGTGTGCACATGTACATATGTATGCATACCCCTACACACACTAGAATTGCTAGTTTATTACCATGTGTAATAATAGTTTATATGGACATAACAGTGCATGCCTATTATATTATGTACATATGTAATGCATTTTATATACTTTTCATATATATTTCATTTCATATTAAATTCTTGCATATACATATATTTGAAAAAGTAAAGAATAGGTTCCTCTGGTTTTGTAACCAGCTTTTGTCATTTAATGTAAGTTGAATTTTTTTTCTGTTAGGGAATTTTTCTGCAGGAAAATATTTTAAGGCCACCTGGTATGTTATAATACAAACATGTTATATCCATTTGACAGTTGAGGAGCTGGAAGTGCTGAGATGCAACATAAGTTCCCCAAAATTATGCTACTTGAGGCACAGCTGACATCCAGAAGCTTCTCTGGGAAGGCTTTTGGAGTTCCCCAAGGCAGAGTCAACAAGAACATAAGTTTCTTAAGAACAGGGACTGTGTGCCTCACTTACTGTCATCTCCCCAGCATCTGCCACAAAGTGGACATTCTGTTAATAGTTACTGAGTGAATAGACACAGGAAGTTCAGTCTTCTTTTTTATCTCATTTCTTGCTCAAAGCTCATCTCAGCATTGAACGTGTCTTTCCACATGGCCTCCTCACTAGCTTCTGTACCCCTCAAGTCCAGGACCATGTCAGATTGTCTTTGAATCCCTCAGCCCCAGTCCCAGGCCTGCCCTAGAGCAGGTGTTCAGTAAATGACTATCGAATTGTGGAAACAGGGATCTCTCCATCCTGGATTCAAGACAGCGCCCTCCCTATGAAGCTTTTCTGAGCTCTTTCACACCAAAGTTCTCCCAACCATCGTGTTGACAGCTATCTGCCTGCTGCCCTCAGTCCAGGAGCAACTTGGACATCAGCTCTGCCTGTCACACTGGGGTCGGCGCACCTGGCCTGTTCCAGGACAGATCACAAGGCTGAGGGTTAAGTAACACCTGGAGTGGTTAGGAGGCTGGGCACCTCCTTGTGAATCTCCCGGGCTGCGTGGCGGGTGGCGGGTGGCTGGCAGGGGAGGGACCCTTGGCACTGCTGTGGCTTTGTATTTGCTGCCAGCGGGGCCTTTGATGCCCCAGGGGCTGCTCGCCCAGCCAAGGGCATTGTAGAACACAAAAGCTGCAGAAAGCAGCACAAATAAAGTGAAAGCGACCCAGGAAACTGCCAGGGAGCTTATCAGCCTGTTTCCTGATCATAGGTATGGGGTGTAGGGAGGCACGGGGAGCATTTCTGGGCCCGGTGATTGCCTGCACGTTGCCAGGGCCCCTGGTATTGCGTACAAAGCATTAACCTGGAAGCTAAGCAAGGCTCTTCACCTTGTAAAACTGACTGGATGAGTCCAAACTCTTAGAGTTTTTGTGAGGATTAGACAGGTCGATAAGTTAAAGTGCCTACTCTGTGTGTGTGCATCTGATAATGATAACAGTGACAGTAGTAATAACGGTAGCAGCTAATACTTTCTGAGCATTTCATATATGCCAAACACTGTTTTAACTGATTTTTATATTAATTCATTTAATCTTCATAATGACACTAAGAGGTAGGTAGTACTGTTATCTTCATTTTATAAATGAGAAAATCGAAGCTCAGAGATGTTAAGTAACTTTCTTAAGATCTCACAGCACATGAGAAGACAATCCGGCGTTTGAACCCGGGGCTCTGGTTGTGAAACACTGGTCCACCTTGCTCCCCATTTCTTCCCCCTAGCCTTTGGAATATTGTGTTCCCCTAATTATTATGATAGGACAACCATGTCGTGATGATGATGATGACGACGATGACAGCGATGGCGGTGGTGAAAGAGGAAGACATCCCTTCATTTCATGTAGCAATCTGCTTCTTGCTGGGATTTCAAATCCATTTTCATTGTTGATCCTGAGAACAAGCCTTGGAGGCGGAATCATTTTGAAATCCCAGGAAACCGGGCCTTAAGAGACGGCTGAAGACCCGAGCAGTCATTCGGTGGAGTCTGTGAGGCCCAGAGCTGAGGAGGAGGACATGGGTGTAGAAACGGTCGCAGCCCACACTGCTGTGCCTACAGCTCTGGATCCTGACTGTGTGAGTGGGCCCAGGGCTGCTGGAACCTGTGGAGCTATAGCAAGAAGGGTGAGGAGGTTGCCCCACTCCTGCTTCCTTCATGAACTTCGTTGTTCCCTCAGGACAGGAAACTTAGGCTGTTCCGTTGACCTCTCCAGACAGCTTAGTGGTGATCTCAAGCCTTCTTATGAGATGGTGGATCACAGCTACCATTCATTGAGTTAAGACCTTCATTTATTTCATTTCATCTCATCAGTAGCCCTGGGATATGCATATTATATTTCCATCATGGTGTACCATAATTGCGTCAGTTAATTTTTGCCACGGCAATGCCAAGTAACAAACTGCAGAATCTCAGTGGCTTTCAATATTAAGCATTTATTATCTACATATCTGGGGAGATTGGCCAAGCAGCCCTGCTGATCTTGGCTGGACTGCCTCCATGTCTAGGGTGTGGCTGCCTGGTGGCTGATGTGATTTTGCTGGAGTGGCTGGGGTGTCTCCACTCTGCCCTCTGTGTCTTTCGTCTCCTTCTGAAACCAGCAGACTAGCTGGGGGAATGTCGTTCTTATGGTGAAAAGCACAGAGCAAGACAAGACCACTCCTAGGTGAGTAAGCCCTTTCCAAGCTTCTGCTGGCCTCTCTTTTGCTAGCACTCCATTGGCTGAGGCGAGTGACCTCACCACACTGAGTGTCGGAGTGGGAAGGCACTGCAGAGGTGCATGGTGGAGGGTGAGGGTGCAGGTAGGGTGAAGAGTCACCCTTCAGGTAAGGGTGCAGGTAGGGTGAAGACCTGTTTGCACTTGATCACAGGTGATGTCATCTCAACTGTCCCTCAGGCTTCTCTGAGCTTTGCTGTCGTCCTTACTTAAAACTATTTGCATTGTTAGAAAGAAGAAGAGACTAGCAGGCACCTAGCAGTGACTGAATACCCAACAATCCACTTAAGGAGATGAATGGTATGATTCTCCGAGGCTCTGTGGGACCACGGGGCTTTATCAAGGTTGCCTAACAGAGCAGTGGCTCAGCCAGCATTGAAATGTCACCTGCCTGGTTCCCATGTGTGTGTGCATGTGTGTGTGTATGTATGTGTGTGTGTGAACCCAAACCTGTGCCCAAGTCAGACTTATGTGACTCTTGCAGCCAGTTCTCCCTCACAGTGTTGCTTGGAAGGAAACTGGAAGGAAAAGAAGCTTTAGGAGAGAGAAATTGTGACCTCCTTTCCGCAGGTTGCTATCGCCACAGGCTTTCCACAAGCTTCTCCCTGGGCGGCCACCCCAGAGGCTAGAACATAGCAGAGGATTTTTCGTAAAATCTTTGGAGTCTTCAGAAGAAGGTCTTTTGAGATAGGTCATGGAGAAATGAGGCCTTTGAGCCATAAATTGGCCATAGTGTGCAGGCTGGGGCCTCACCAGTTCAGCGAAATCTCCAGCCTTGAGAACTGAAACTGACTTGGGGCTCTGATTTTAACAATGGCCTTGAAGTAAGGCATTCCTCCTTGTGTAGTTGGAGCTGCTTCCCCTCCTCCTTTGTTCCCCTTCACCATGGCATAGCCCCAGGGAGTCCCGATGCCAAATTCAGTCTTTGGCCTGTATCCTGAAGTCAATTCCCTTAGGAATACTTTTCTTCACTTGCCTGCCTGAGGCCCCTCTCCACACTTTTGCTTGCTTTCCCATGTTAAGAAGACGTATTTGAAAGTGATTCCTGGGTGGCCAGAGTCAGAAGGCTGGGCAACCATCTGCCTTGCCGGCCACCTCCCCAGCCCTGCCGAGCTGTGAGCTTACAGGTGGTACCATCTGCACTTCTGCACCTTTTTTTTTTTTTTTGGCCCTGACCTTTGGCCTAATAAAAGCAAAGTGCAGAGCTTTGAATGAGGGAGATAGAAACAAGATGTTCTCTACCTCCCCCACCCCCTCTTTTCTCTCCTCCTTCTCCTCCTCCTCTTCTTCCTCTTTCCTTCTCTACACTTAGTCTGTGCCAAACATAAATCCAGGGATGTATTTATTTTTCCCAGTGAACTAAAGGTTTATAAGGAGGATGCCCTTTTCTCTGCAAGGACTGGTATTCTCTTCCCTTGGAAAACTCCTGTTCATCCTTCTGGATCTGGGGGAAGAAACCCATTTCCCTCAAGACTGTTCTCACCACCTGGGTGGAGTTGCTGACTTTCCATTTTGGAACATTACACTTCCAGGGCTTCGCTCTGGTCCAGAATACACTTACTGTGCTGTTCTAGCTCATCTCTTGGTGTGCGTGTCAACTGAACCATTTGAAGGGGATGACTGTGGCTCCTTTACTTATCTCTGTGTCCTCTGTGCCCACTACAGGGTCAAACACAGCATGGAAGCTAAACATACATGTGCAAAATGGACAAATGTAGGTACAAGCAGGGGCACCCTTAGTTCAGAAGGGAGCTTGGGCTCCAGATCACTTAGCTCTAACTTGGAAGCTGGAACACCTGGCTCTGTTACACAGACAAGACCTGTGTCTCCATATATACAATTTATTCCTCACACTTGGCAAATGTGTGCCGAAGCTGAAAGAGCTCAACCTTAGAGTTTGACAGGTTCAGGTTTGAATCCCTGCTCTGCCTTTTCCCAAGCAGGGGACTTTGAGTAAATGACTTCACTGCTGCCTTTGCCACAGTTTCCCCATCTGTAAAATAAACATAGAAACACTTGCTTTGCCTGATTTGTTGAAAAGAATAGAGATGATGTTTGCAAAGTCCTGGCATGAGCAGTAGCTATTATGGCTATTTTATTTACCCTGAAAAGCAACTGTTCATAGTATCACAAGGCAGGCAGGGGTAGGGGGCAATAAAAGCATTTGTGGCAAGGATCCAGTTATTTGCAGGCTTCTCTTCTGTCTGGCTTTGTTTACTGTCATGCAGGAAAAGTGCCTTCACCAGGGCACAGCAGTAAACCTGTTGGCTACTCTAGTCCTGCCTGGGTTCCCAGGAAATTGGCATGAGAGGAGCTGCCTGCTGCTTGTGGGCCTGCTATTTAGGCTGCAATAGCTGTGGGAACACACAGGGTTAGGAAAACAAACACATGACTCATTGGGGACTTCCGACCTCAAGCCAATGAGGTGCTGACTCCTTGCAATTTCTAAGGGTTCCCAGTACATATGTATATGTCTGCTCAGCCTTCCTTGGACCTGAGCCCATCTGTCTCTGCTCTCACACTTTGTGGGGGGCCAAGGGATGGAATGCTTGTGTTCCTACCCTTCATCCCTCCTTCTGCGTTTATTGAGCCTTGCTAGGTGCTGGGAATGTGATGACGAGTAAGACAGTGCAGGGTACAGACAAGTCAACACATGTGGTCTGCTGGACAGCAGCCCCCCAAGATGACCATAATCCCTGGGACCTTCGACTGTTATCTCACATGGCAAAAAGGACTTTGCAGATGTGATTAAATTAAGGATCTTGAGATGGGAAGAGTGCTGAATTACTCAGGTGGACCCAAAGCAATCACAAATAGTTACTTATTAGTGGTTCCTTATTAGAGGGAGGCAGAGGGAGACTGAATACCCTAGAGGAGGAGATATGACCATGGAAGCAGAGATTGTAGTGATGCAGCCAGGAGCCAAGAAATGCTGGCAGCCTCTAGAAGTGGAAGACAAGAAACTGATTTTCCTTTGGAGCTCCAGAAGGACCCAGCCCTGCTGATGCCTTGCTTTTAGTTCCTTATGACTTAGTTCAGCCTCTGACCTCCAGAAGGGTAAGAGGATAAATTTGTGTTGTTATTAGCTGCCAAGTTTGCGATGATTTGTTACAGCAGCGAGAGGAACTAATACAATGTGTCCTTGCAGTATTCTAAGTGTTAACACCACTTCCCTAGTGATGAAGGAGACTGAATGGCTCAGTGGTTCCGAGGTAGATCCCTGGAGTCCCAGTGCTTTGGTTCAAGTTCACGTTCACCTTTTGTTAGTTAAGGGGCCTTTTGCCATGTTACTTCTCAAAGCCCCAGGTTTGTCTGTCATCTGATGTAACATCATGATGTAAAATAAGGGTAATAGTGATTTCCATCTCATGCATGGTGGTGAGGATTGAGCTGTGAAATGCACTTGAAGATGGCTGTCTGGAGCACAGTATGTACCCCAGCACCTTCCTCCCGTGCCTTACCTCTTGTACCTCGTCATCGACAGGAAGGCACTGGATGCTGGAGAACCTCTCCACAGGGATGTCACAATGCAGGGCAATGTCTGCAGAGGTGTTCTGGGCTGAGGCTTCTGGATAGGATTGATAGGACATTTAGTAGTTAGCAGTGGGAGGAGGCAGGGGTGCCCGAGACCCAGCGCTTCTGGGGGGCTGGGCACTGTGCTGGGCCCTCAGTAGTTTAGTGGCTATTCTGAAACAGTCACTCACTCCTGATCCTCCCGTCACTGCAGTTCACAGGCAGCCTTAGTTTTACCTCTGTAAGCTACTCATGAGCATACATCATTCTTTTATTTAGTAAATGGGAATCTTGCCCCTGTCATGTACCTGTCAGGCATTGCAGGAGTGAGTGGAAGCTGCTGCAGGGTTACCGCACCTGGGTTTTGCCAGAAAGGTAATAGAAGGCTGTCAAAGCAGCTCCTGGAGGACAGTTGAGCAAGTGACTGTTAGAGAAACCTGAGGCTTCGTTAGGGCCAGGACTTGGCTGCAGGGTGCTGTTCCATTCCTGCCTGCCTCTGCTGCATTGAGGATGCAGCCTCCAGGCCCACCATGGGTTTGGGCTCCTTCCCTGGGACATTTGGGATGATTTTGATGCATAACTTGCTGTTGAGATTCTCACCAAATAGCTGCCTGGGCCCCTCTCCTCCTGACCAGTCAGCCACCGCCACTGCCACTGCCAGAGGTCCACAGATGGAAGCTCCCCCAGGCAGTGGGAAGAGGCAGGGGTGCCCGAGACCCAGCACTTCTGGGGAAGTTGGGCACTGTGCTGGGGCCTTAGGCCCTGCAGTCACCACTCCTCTGAGGGGCAGGAGCCACTGGGTCCATTTTACAGTCTCCTCACCTGTCTTTCAGTTGGTGATGGGACATACGCCCATTTGTTTTCATTTTGCATGTATGTTCAGAGGGGAGTAATCATTATCACTGCTTCCAATTCTATAATTTATGTGTTTAATGGATTTTTCAGGTGTGGGTTTGGGGGAGCTTGCTTTGATTCGCTATAGAGAATGTTCTTTTCCCCACCTGGAAATGCAGTTGTCATTGTTATTGTGTTGTTGCACTTTGTTTGCATTCCTGAGGCCGTGTCGGCAACAGGCTTGGAAAGGGAAGTGGGGGACAGCCTTGAAGCATCTGGCCTGTAAGTACAGTCCATTTGGAGGGAGGATCTCAATGCATTTTTTAGCATAAATACACGCTAGGCTAGCTGTGCCCACAGACAGAGGAGGTACCCAACCCTCCCACGTTCTCTGCCCTTGCTGAGAAGCCTGGGTTCTGAACCCCAGGCCTCCGTGGGACACAGAGCTTCTCAGGAGCACACGAAGCTCAGTCTCTGCCCCTGCCTTCCAGGTAAACACAAATGCTGCTCGCGTTGGTGGCTTAGAGCCCAGCAGCACATTTAGTTCAGTGCCTTTCCTGGGCTTGGTGGGCAGGTGAGGGTGCAAAGTCACCCTTGATGAAGAACCACTGGTGTAGACTAGTGGTTCCCAACATTTGCTATACCAGAAATCCCTTTTACTGGTTCTCCTTCCCTGTGAGGGAGTTTATCAACCAAATAAACTTCATTGTTAAGTATTTATTCCTCTACTTTCTTATCTAAAAATATCTGCCAGTGGGAGTTCCTGATCTGGGTCACCAGGCTGAGTTGATATAATTCTGGCCAGTATCGAACAAAGAAGCTTGATATTTTAGGTGACAACCGTGGTCTTATTGGAAAGGAAGGTGAAATTTCTGGTAGACTTCTTGACCCTTCGAAAAATAGACTGAGGACCCCCGTGGAGGAGTCCTGAGATTGGAATCGCTGGTATAAACTTTTATTTTGCTGTTTGGAATTAAGAATTTGGATCAAATGTTGATGGAAGGTTTCTTTGAGCTCCACATTTCCCTGGGAGCCTCCATCCTGTCTTGTCCCCTTTTAGCATGAGCAGTGTCATTATTCAGCATGTATTTAGTCAGTGATCGCCACATGCCTGGCACTTCCCTGGGTGTGAGGTTGCCGCGGTGAACAGCAGATGCAGACATGGTACTAATGGGGTCTGTAGCCAAGTGAGGGAGGCTAAGAAAGAAAGAATGTCATTTCCAGCAGTGATAAGTCCTAAGAGGGAGGTGCGGCACGTGAATGGGCTTGAGGGTGCTGGCCTCTGGAGTAACAAGCCTCTGTAAATAATCAAGTCACCCATATCCCAGCCCTGCCCTGAAGCACAGTCTTCACTTGGCCTGTTTAGGATCATTTCACAGATTCATTGACAGGGCCCAGTTCCTGCTAGTTGACTCCTTGGGGACGGAATCCTCTATTGCTTGCAAAAATATGCTCTGCAGTAGGCTGTGTCTTGCTAATTGAGAGGGATTCTGAGAAGTGGAGCAGCCCTGCCTCACTAGATTCAGTAAGAGGAGGCCTTATAGGTACGTTGAATCTGGCCTGGTGGACAAAGCACCCTGCTGAGAGCTGGGCAGGTCTTCGGAAGGAGATTTAATGTTCTTCAGTAGGAAACATGGTAATTCCTCTCTCCCTCTCCAGATGTCTGCAACCAAGTCATTATAACACAGAAGGGACCTTGCAGCCATTGTGTCTTTGTGCTCAGGTACTGTCTGAGGGAGGGAAGGGAGGCAGAAGGAAGGGGAGGGACGGATCAGCTCCATTTGCTGAGCCAACCTACTCAGCACCAGGTGCCCCTCCTCTTGGCCACTGGAAGGCTTTCTTTCTTCTGGCCACAATCAAACACCGTTTCTTCTTTCTGCCTTGGTTCCCTGTGAGTCAATGACTGTTGCCGTGGGAAATAGTAGCTGCTTGGCAGGGGAGTTCATGAAGGTTGCAGAGCACCTGCTCAGGTTCTTGCCTCGCCTCCCTTCCCCCTTTCCTCCCTCCTCCCACCTTTCCTTACCTGGCAGCTACCTAATTCTTCTCTTTCAAAATACAGTTCAGAGAACAATCCACACCAGCTGGTTGGGGAATCATCCAAAGAGACAATTTCTACCCTGTGCCCACCTCTCCTCTAGTTAACACCTTTCAGTGTTCCCTCCCTTCCTGTTGTCCTTAAGTTAATGCCCTAAAGTCATGGCCCTTGCTCAGCCTCTAAGGCCCTGGTGGGTGCTGCTTCCCCTTGTAGCTGGGTGGGTTTCAGGAAATGCCCCATCTGGTCATGAGAGATAGGCAGCCATACCTCAGGGGAGATGGTGGCTGGGGAGACAGTCTAGCCACAAAGAGCAAAAAAGATAGGGATGAGATGGCTCAGAGGGAGTCTTGGTAAGGACTTTGGCTCTTTCTCTGTTGAGATGGGACCATCGGAAACTTTTTGGCAGGTTCTGATTTGCATTTTAATGAGATCCTTCTGGCTGCTGTGTTGAAAGTGGACTGGAAGTGGCAAAGATGGAAAGACAGACCAATCAGGAGGCTATTGTGGTAATCCAGGGTATTGCAGTAATCCTGGCCTGGTGGAAGCAGAGGAGATTGTGAGACATGATCAGATTCAGAATATATCTCAAAGGTAGGATTTGCTGGTGGATTGGCTATGGGGTGCCGTAAGAAATATGATCCCGATTGTTGATTATCCTGTGCAACTACAGAATGAAGTTTCCATTTATTGATATGGGCCAATCCTCAGGGTGAGCAGGAGTGCCTATTTGTTTTTTTGTGGATAGAGGTGGAATTGTTATGTTAGAGATGTTGGTCAGACATCCAAGTGGAGACAGTAAGGAGGCAGCTGCATGTACAGATCCAGAGTGTCCACTTGGCCAGGCCATGGTACTCAGACATGTGATCAAATACCAGTTGAGATGTCACATGGAGTACGTTTTGAATGAGGTTAACATTTAAATCAGTAGACTTTGAGGAAAGGACATTACCCTCCACAATGTGAATGGGCCTCATCCAATAGTTGAAGGCTTTAAGAGTAAAAAGACTGAGGAAATGGGAAGTGGGAATTCTGACCCCACATTGCCTTTGGACTCAAGCCGCAGTATCAGCTCTTCCTAGGGGCTCCAGCTTGCTGGCCTGCCCTGCAGAGTTTGGACTTGCCAGCCCCCATAATCACACGAGCCAACTCCTTAAAATCTCTCTCTTTCTGTCTCTCTCTTCAACATACACACATCCTACTGATTCTGTTTTTCTGGAAAATCCTAACACATGGAAGAAAGGGATAAATTTGGATATCCAAAATTTATGCAAAAATGGATATTCTGATTTGTATTTGGGACTTAAGTTATTTAAGCCTTAAATATGAGCGTGATCATCAAGAGACAATTGTGGGCAGAGAGGAGCCAGTCCATGGGGCCGCACAGCACAGATTAAGAGATTCAGAAATTATGTGTGTATGTTTGTGTGTGTTATATGTGTTTGGGTGTGAGTGCTTGTGTGTGTGTATGTGTTTTTGTGCTTTTGTGTGTGTGTGCTTGTGTTTGAGTGCTTCTGTGTGTTGTTTGTGCTTGTGTGTTTGTGTATGTACATTTGTGCTTGTGTATTTGTATGTGTATTGTTTACGTGCATGTGTTTGTGTGTATATGTTTGTGCATGTGTGCATATGTGTGTGTGCTTGTATATGTGTGTGTTTTCTGCTTGGGTGTGTTTGTGTGCATATGTTTGTGTGTGCTTGTGTGTGTTTATGCTTTTGTGTTTCTGTGTGCTTTGTGCTCGTGTGTGTTGAGTGCCTGTGTGTTTGTGTGTTTTGTGCTTGTGTGTATTTGTGCATATGTTTGTGTGTGCTTGTGTGTGATTGTGTGTATATGTTTGTGCATGTGTGTGCATGTGTGTTTCTGCTTGTATGTGTGTTTCTGCATGTGTTTGTGTTTTGTGCTTGTGTTCGTGTGTTTGCATGTGTGTTTGTGTGTGTGCATGTGTGTGTGTTGTTTGTGTGTGTGTTTGTGCATGTGTGTGCATCTGTGTGTTTATGCTTGTATGTTTGTGTTGTGCTCATGTTTGTGCATGTGTGTGCATCTGTGTTTATGCTTGTATGTGTTGTGCTCATGTGTTGTTTGTGTTTGTGTGCATATGTGTATGTGTGTGTTTGTGTGCATGTGTGTTTGTGCTCGTGTGTTTGTGTGCATGTGTATGTGTTTGGCGTGTATATGTGTTTGGTGTGTGTGCCTGGTGCGTATGTGTTTGGTATGTGTGTGTGTGTGTATGCATGTGTGTTGTGTACGTGTGTGTGCTTGGTGAATGTATGTGTGTATTTTGTGTGTGTGTTTGTGTGTGTTTGCGTGTGTGTACATGTGTTTGGTGTGTGTGTGTGTGTTGTGTGCATGTGTGGTGAATGTGTGTGTATTTTGTGAGTGCGTGTTGTTCGTGTGTGTTTGTGTGTGTGTTGTTCGTGTGTGCATGTGTTTAGTATGTGTGTGTTTGTATTGGTTGCTGAGCACTTGCTATGTGTCAAGCATCCCCTATTACTAGATGCAGCCTCTCCTTAAAACAGTTTGGATGTCATCATGGAGAGCCATCTATCTCCTTACTTTTTCTGGAAGTTTGGGAAGGGATTCTCATGGGCCACCTATGTATTTGACTGATGCTTTGCAGTTCCTGTATCACAGTCCCTCCAGTGTTCTGGGCAGCAGACTGGCATCCAGCCATTCCTTCTCCTGTGTCAGAAATTGATTATTCTGGCATCTTCCTTCCATGCCATTTTCAGTTCCCCTAACCTCCAGTCTCTTGAAGCCATTTAGCATCTCTTGGTACTGAGTAATCCCGTTTATTAAAGCATGTGAAGCTTCCTTAATGGCAAGTGTTGGTACAAATAGTTTTGCAGCCCCAAGGGACAGGGTCATTTGAACTCGGTGACTGGAAAAATGGTTGGTGTGAATAATGTGAAGTGCAGGACCATGGTGATGAATTTCCTTCACCCTCTTTGTTCCTTGTTTTCTTTGTAAGGCAGAATGTTTAACCCATATTTTCCAAGAACTGTGTAGGTGGGTTGCTGGGGACAATTGATTTTTAGAGAAGTATTATTTCTCTGGATGTAGAAACCAAGAAGCAAAGAATAATATTGAGCAAGAGTCCTCCTGATGACCAGGCCTGGGCTAATTATGGCGATAGTGTTGCAATGTGTTTGGACCATCATACAGTATAAGAACACCACTTCCCCCCAAGATGTGCAGGACACAGGATACTCCCCAGGGCCTTGCTCTAGCCCCATGTCACCCAATGTCAAGTGGATCAGCTACTTTCTAAGACTGTAATTGGTCCTGAAGAAGAAGGAGTGGAGCCTGGCAGGAGGAAGGGACACAGGTCTTTGTGTGAGGAATACTAACTGGTAATGGTAGTTCTGGTACTGCCCTGGCTTGCTGTGTGAGCCTTCTCACCTGTATGAGCAGTGGGATCACCATCTATGAGGAGATTGGACTAGGTGGTTTATTTTATTTTATTTTATTTTATTTTATTTTATTTTATTTTATTTTAAGAGAGATCTTGCTCTGTCACCCAGGCTGGAGTGCAGTGGCACAATCTTGGCTCACTGCAACCTCTGCCTCCTGGGTTCAGGCAATTCTCATGCCTCAGCCTCCCAAGTAGCTGGGATTACAGGCTTGCACCACCACACCTGGCTAATTTTTGTATTTTTAGTAGAGACAGGGTTTCACCATGTTGGCCAGGCTGGTCTCGAACTCCTGGCCTCAGGTGATCCGCCTGCCTCAGCCTCCCAAAGTGCTAGGATCACAGGCGTGAGCCACTGTGCTCAGCCTTGGACTAGGTGCTTTCTAAGGAGTGGGGATGGGTCAATGGGAGGGTGCCTTCCCTAAATAAAGGGGCCAGCCCTCCATTAGCATCCACTTAATGTTGTATTGTGGGAGGGTGCATTCAGTGCTGCCAAATTAATTTTTGGACTTTGAATATAATGAAAATTTCTGAATTTTGGATGTAGGCAATAACTTCAAAAATATTTGAAACACCCTGTGGGTTAGATCTGTAGCTGGATAAAGCCCCCTAGGACTTCACGTTGCAACTCAGCATTCCTGAATTGCTCTCCATGGCTTCTCACAGGCTGGGGGTCAGGAGGTGAGGGAAGCTCTTTTGATTTGTTTTGTTTTGAAATCAGTGTAAGTATCTTCAAGGAACTAAGAGAACAAAATCAGACTGGAAGCTGGGTCACAAGATGCTGTTGCCTAGAGACTTAGACAGAGGGCATGGCATTCGCTCGCTCATAGAAGGAGATGGCCTACGGCAGGAGCCTCAGCAGCCCATCCCCCTGGGATTGATCCCTGTGTCCTCCACCTGCTGTCTCTGGCTCTGTGGACTCCATGGCATTCAGAGCTGGGGGAAATCAAGTATTTCAACATCTTAATTTTTTCAGTCGATAATTATATTTTGGAGATCTTTGTGTGTCCGTATGTGTGTGTACACATACATTATTTTTTAACTGCTATATAGTATTATTTTCCCAAACTATTTCCTACACACACACACACACACACACACACACACATACACAAGGAGGCCAAACATCTTGTCTTTTTTTTTTTTTTTTTTTTAAAGACAGGGTCTTGCTCTGTCATCCAGGCTGGAGTGCAGTGGTGCAATCACGGCAGCCTTGACCTCCTGAGCTCAAGTGGTCCTCCTGCCTCAGCCTCCCAAGTAGCTGGGACTACAGACATGCACCATCACACCCGGTTAATTTTTTTATTATTATTTATTTATTTTTTTTTTTTTTTGTAGAGAAGGGGTCTCACTATGTTGCTCAGGCTGGTGTCAACCTCCTGGTCTCAAGTGATCCTGCTGCCCAGGCTCCCAAAGTGTTGAGACTACAGGTATGAGTCACCGCACCTAGCCCCAAACATCTTATTGGACAAGCCTTTCTTGGCCACTCTATGCAGACAGCACCCACCTCGCACCTCCATCTCCCCTTTTTTTTTCTATCTTAATTGATCACCATAGCACCTATCATCATCTGACCCAGCATATAGTTACTTGTTTATTTGTTTGTTGACAGTCTGACACCCCCAACCCCTCATGAACCCCAGGAATGCAGAGACTTCTGTTAATTTTATTAAGTGCTTTATTCCCTGGAAAATGGTAAGTGCCTACTAAATATTTGTTAAATGCATAAGTCTCTATTTTGGAGATGACCTCCACACCCAGCCTCAGGCACAGAGATGTAAAGTAACTTACTCAAAATCACCCAGCTACTGACAGGCAAATCTGGGCCCAGAGCCCATGCTCTAATCTAAATCATTACTACCTCCCTGCTGGTAACAAACAAAACCTCAGCACAGTGCCTGCAACACAGTAAGGACTCAGTAAATGTTAAATAAAGGTAATAATGCTTATAACAACCATCTTTGCCCCCAGAAAGATCCTTACCTTGAGGAGATAGCAAGGATTTGAGATGTTCAATATAAAATACCAAGTATGGTGCCTGTGCATAGTTGGCCATCAATGAGTGGTGGCTATTTACTATTATACTTGTTATTTTATTATACTTTAGCACATTGTGTTGTACTTAAATACCACTTGTTTGCCCTACTTATCTTTGTCCCTCCTGAGGGTGCGGAGTGAGCCTTATTCATTCCAGCATTCCTACAATCTTGTACATCCATACAATTCTTGATATGTAGTTGACATACACTACTGTAAGGTACATGAATGAGTAAGTAGATAAAGGAATGAACAAATGGACCAGTGGTTTGTTGGGGCCACTCTGGCCAGTGGTTTGGGGACATGCTTCCTGGAGTCTTATCCCCTCTTGTCAGATTCAGGTTTAGGACAACGGTACAGTTGTTCCATTGTTCCCAGATAACATATCCTATCTTAACGTCTTTGCTGGGGCAGCCCTTGGACACACCCTGAGCTCCTGCCCTATCACTGGCCCCACTTGTACCCCTTGTGGGCAGGCACCACGGCAGCCTGCTCTGAAGGGAGCTTTCATGTGGCCGACCAACTCTACTCCTTGACTCCTCCCTTCTCTCATTGAAAAAAAATGTTTAAGGGGACATTTCTCTCTCCTAAACTTTTTATGTTCCATTGAAGACCTGGAAAACATGTTAAATAAAAATGCTTTGCCACAGCTGACCTATGTCTTCTGGCTTGTACCCCACAACATCTTATCTAATGGGTAAGTCAGTTCTTATCTTTATTTCACTACTGAAGAAACTGATGCATAAGTGTTATATGCTTTTTAAGTTACGTAGTATTAGTGAAAGAGCCTAGGGCCAGAACCAGCTGTCTGCACGCAACCCAATGCTTTTTCCACAAGAGTTACCCACATGGCTGTATTTGTTGGTATTTTCTACCCTTACCTGCTTCCAGAAGACTTTGGAAGGGTGTGTTACAAAAGCAGTGATCCAGGGCAACTTTCAAGTCTGTTAGCTCCTTGTGACAACCGAGCTGCCCTGTAAGGCGTAATGAGGAGCGGCTTCATAATGAGCTGAAGTAGTTCTGCAGATGACACTGCTCAAGGATGGGGATGCTTTCCTCTCTGCCATGTTTTCCTTTCCTGTTGGATTTGACTCTTAGATCAGTTGTTCTAAGACTGGGTTGAAGCTTGGAATTGCCTAGAGGATTTTTTAAATCCTGCTGCTAGTACCCCAGCTGCAAAGATTTTGATTTTGTCTGAAATGGGACCTGGGCATTTGGATTTATAACATCTCCCCAGGTGATTCTATTATGCAGTGGAGTTTGAGGACCACAGTCTTAGAGCATCCCTGTTATAGGGATTCTGGGGACTAACAAGAAGCTACAGACCCCAAACTATTTCAGATGTAGTTCCAGCCCTCCTAAGCAAGTGTTAGCTCGAACCTTCTCACTCTTGCTCAGATTCATAGCTGCTCACCTTTCAGAAGAAATGACAATGCTGAAAGAGGAAACCAAGGGGACAAGAGAGATGGCAGCCATCCCAACAGCTGTCTTGTGTTGTGCCCCTACTGTGTGCCAGACACTGTCCTAAGCACTTTACTTATATTAACTCATCCAGCTCACAACCAACAAAATGGCCCTAAGAGGCCTCTGCTGATATCCCCGTTTTCCAAATGAGAAAACTGTCCACGGGGTCGGTCAGTAACTTGTTCAACCTGGGAATGGCAGAGCTGGGATCTGAAGTCCGGGAGCCTGGCTCCGTAGGCCTCTGTTTAAGCCACTGCATCTGTTGCCTTGTGGAATGTTCTTAGAACTGTAGGATACTGGTTCCCACATGGCCGAGAGTCTTCTCTCACTAGTTCGTGCTCCATGGTGATGGAGAAGCATAGTTCTAATCTGTCATTCTGTTGCTCTGGAGCCTACACAGCCCCCCATCGCATCTGGAGGGAGAAGCCCAGCTCCTTAGCACAGCACCTGAGAAATACCCTTTACAGTCTGGCCACTGGCTGAACATTCTTTCACTCTCCATGCCACACTGCTCTGTGAGTACCATCTGAAGGTCCTCTCCCTTTTCTCTGTCTTCTAAATGTTCACTCTTCAATATCTAACTCAAATATCCTCTTCTCTAACTTGTCCAGGAAGAATGAGTAAGGCCCTTTCCTTTGTTCCCCAGGCTCTTAGTTTCTCCATCTCTAATCACGTAGATTACAGCCCTTTCTTTGGTTTTCTCCAGGGGACCAAGGAGTGGGGCTCTGCCTTTCTCATGTCTGCTCTGCCTTCACGGTCCCCCACAGTGTCTTCAGTGGATGGCCAACCTCTCATGAACAGGATGTCCTCTTGTCTGAGGTTCTACTTTGTTCCAGCCATGGAGTCATACTCTCTTTATCTTTTGACTATCCAAAGGTGTTCTGTTGGACGACTGATGCCTTCCTCCAAGGTACTTTGGGCTCCCAAGTGTGCAGTTGACATTTGCTGTGCCTTCTCCACCAGGCTTTAGTTTTTGATGTATGCTGAGCTTCAGTGGAGATTTGCTAGCCTTGGGCTTTCTGTGTTCTTGAATCTCTCAGAGTCCAGAAGAAAAGGAAAGCTGACACTTTCTAGGAATGACCTGTGAGAAGAGAGGTTGGTGTCTTGCTGCTAAGTTCCGCTTGATTCTGAACTAAGTCACCATGGGCCAGAGGAGGCAGGGATAAGAGGAGTGGTTTCTTGGCCACCAGAATGGAAACGTTTTTGTTTTCTTGTGTGCTTTTGTGGAAATGGTGGCAGTTGCTCACTAAAGAGAACTAAAACCCTTTTACTAGAGCCCCACCAGGTCTGAAGAGGATGGGCGCGTGGGAGCCATTATCTTGTAAAGGACGCTATTGAGACCTTGCTACTGCTGCAGTGAAGAGCACAGGAAAAGCCAAGCTTAAAAAACACTGGGCGAATCCTAAGAACTTTTCATGCAGAAACACATGCATGATGAGAAGAGAATCTTCATTACAACATTGTTTGACACAGAAAAACGAGACTCAGCTTAAATGCTCATTAGTTAGTGATTGGTTGATTAAGTTGTGATAAAATGGAACACTAATACAGCTGTTTAAAAAATTAGTAAAAAAAAATCAGTATGTGAGATGATGCACCTGTTAATTAACTCAACTTAGCCATTCCACAATGTATACATCATTCAAAACTTCACATCATATATTATAAATATATACAATTTTTATTTGTGAATTAAAAATTAATCTAAAAAAATTAGTGGCTATATGAAGTAATTGGGAACAATCTTGAAGCTATATTAACTACCAAAGAGCAAAGTCAACCTTAACAATGCTGACTTTTTAAAGAATAGTGCCTAGAACACTGTGTGGAGTATGCTAACAGCTACACACTAATGCACAGCCACCAACCCCAGATCAGTTACGTGAACTTCTGCATTCACAAACACACTTAACACACTCTGTGGCTATTGCCTCTTTACTGACCTGTAAGTCAGTTCTAGAAGACAGACGATCCATGAAGGCAGGTCCTAGCCTGCCCATTTGCATTGGTATCTCCAAGGCCAAGCTAGAGAAGGCACACAATAGGCTTTCCACTAATATTTGTGAATGAATGAATGAACAGAGAGAGGAGTTTTCTTTCCACAGTTTCCTTCTACCTGCTACTCCTTGAGCATATGAGGCTGGAATCTAAGCCCTGAGGTCACTCACTGCTCTCCTGGGTACTATCCCTGGCCTCCCGTCCTTTTCCTTGAGCTTCTGTGCTCTGCAAGGCTTTCTCATTATCCTTTAGGCTACAGAGAAACAAGGAGACGGGAGAGCCTTGAAATGGACCTTCAAGATTACAATGTGTAGCTGACATTGTCAGTTAAGTTGGGCAGATCTGACTTCGCTGATTAAGTGGATGTATGAGCCGATCCTCCCCAGAAGCTGGGATCAGCTTCCCCATCTGATGGTGAGTCAGACCTGCTGGGGTTTGGGTCCTCGCTCCAGCATGGCTGCCTGTGTGACCTTGGCCACTTTACTTAACCTTGCTGAATCTCAATTTCCTGATCTGTAAAGGAAGCTAAAAATGCCTCTCTTGAGGTTGTAGTGAGGATTAAATGTGATAGCATAAGTGAAAGTGCCCTTTGAAGAAAGAGGAAGGCGAAAGCGCTTATTGTGTCAGGAGAAATGTGTGGAGAGCCCCCTGTTGTTCTCAGGTGTCTCATCCTTCCCAGGGAAAAATCCCCATGCCAAGTCAGAAGAGGTTATAATTTGGCTCTTACTCTTTTATTCAGGCACTTCTTTCGGCTGCCCAGGGTTTTCAGCTTAAGCAAATAAATTACCCTTCTCCACTGGACTCTGTGTTCTGCAGCCAGCCATATGTTTAAGCTTGATAGAGATTTTTATCTGGCTTGGTAATATTACCCAGCAAGGGATGACATTTCTTATCAGAGGCCCTGAGGAATCAGAGATAGGAGCCCTTTCTTTTTCCTGGCCGCCAGGCCTCCATGTGCAGGGCTGGCAGGGAGGCTGGGAGGGGCTGGCTGGGTCTGGTAGTGGGCATCAGCTGGCCCTCATTTCTTAAGACAGCACTTCTGTTAGCTGACCTACACAGAAGCAGGTCATTTCGAGATGTTTGCGTCTTGGAGCCACTGATAGAAGCAGGGCAAGGGAGAGTGAATGAGGAAGGAAGGCGGGAGTGTGATGACGCATGCCCAGCTTTGCGCGGAGGCAGAGCACTTGCCTGTGTGGGGCCCTGCCCTTCTCTTGAGAGGCAGGCGGGCCCTAGCTGCAGCGTCAAGGTCTGGGGATTCTGTGGCTCTGTAGGGTGAAGGGCACTGGAGACCTACCAGGGGCTGGGCCATTGGAGTGGTGGGTGCTGGGGAGCTTCCGTGGGCCCCTCCAGGTCCACTCCTTGCTCTTCTCTGCCTTGTTTTGTGCCCAGAAGGCTGACCTGTGTGGATGCATTATCAGGGTGGATGCAACACAGGGCTGCCATGCTCTCTGGTATCAGTTTGGAAGGCACTGGCAGGATGGGAAGGCAGGCGGGGAGTGAGGTCAGGGGGCCTATCCTTCCACTGCCTCCCTGCTGCTCCCTGACTGATTCAGGTAAGGTTTACACCGGGGCTCTAGGTTTGAATTTTGATTCTGGCATGTACTTGCTGTGTGATATTAGGCAAGTGGTGGAACCTCTCTGTGCGTCCGACTTCTCATCTATAGTAACGCTTTTGCATTCCATTGATCTCTTTGCCTCTCATTTGCCCTGAATGCTGAAGGAAAGGACACTGCTGTATCCCCTGAGGGACTGTCTGAGCCCAAAGTACACTGGGGACAAGGGCTTCAGGGTGGGCAAGGAGATGACCGATGATCACGTGATTTGGAACTATAGCCTCCATTGGAGACACGTGCTCTGGGCTCTTTCCCTCCTGAGTTTTGGGAAGTCCTGGCCTGTGCAGCCTAATTCTCAAGTACTAATCTTGCAATCATAAGAAGAGGAAGGAGAAGTGGTTTTCCCTCTCCCTGGACCCATTCCAGCCAGCAGTTCCTGACTTTGCTTCCTTCCTGTTGGTGCCCACTCTGTTTCCTTCCATCCCTTCCCCAACCTCTCCCATCCCATGCCTCATGTTGGGCAACTTGAGTTTAACTGTCTCTTCTTCCAGTGGCCAAGTCCAAATTCTGAAAGCACAGTTCTGACCATGTCCCTGTCCAACTCAAAAACAGTAGCTCCGTGTCACCCACAGGCTTGAAGTCAGACCTCTCAGGGGGCATTAAGTCCACCGCAACATCACTCCAGCCTGTGAATAAAGACTGAATGCCTCCGAGCCTCTTATGTGGGGAATCAGTTCTGGTAAACAGGTCTCACTTCTTGTCTTTTAAACACTACTTGCTTTCCTTGACGTCTGTGCTTTGATCCCATTGTTTTTTCTCCCTTGGATGCCTGAGAGATCCATGGGCTCTGGCTTCAGAGAGTGCTGGGTTCAGACCTCAGCTCCAACAGTTGCTGGCTCTGTGACCCTAGGAATGTCACCTCACCACTCCAAGCCTCTGTATCCTTGACATTAACCTGGGCTGATAGTTCCTACCTGCAGGGTTCTTGTGAGAAGAACCTGTCTAAAGGCTCCTACTGGGGCTTGACTTGTCAGATAAATGAATGGGGTTTTCCCTAACCTTCTAATTGACTACCCCACTGATTATTCAAACTCCACCTGTCCTCAAGTTCCATTCCATCATTCACTTCCTCTGTGGGTTTTTCTGCCACAAAGTCATCTTCCTCTGTTTGAAAGACTCTTAGTTCCTCATGTATGACAGCAAGAGTGGACCTCATCTCTTTCTTTTTGTGTCTGACTTCCCAGCACAGTCTCAATTTCTTCAGGGCATTGACTGTGGTGTAAGATTCTCAGCTTGAGCACTGGAACCATTTATGGGACGATTGAGTATTCAACTCCAAGAGAATGAAAGAGAGTCACTTGTTCTTTCATTGAACGAAATTGATTGAGTGCACATGATATGTTGTGTCTGTGCTTCACACTGGAGTTGTAAGGATGCATAAAATGAAGATTCTGTCTTCACATAGCCTATCATCCAGTGAGGAGGTTGCATTATTGGGAATCTGTGCCAAGCCTGGATTGCATAAGACATAGGTAGCTGAGAACCTGGTGCTGACTGGGGACTGGGGGAAGTTCTGTGCCCAAGGAGAGGAGGACTCTTCCCTTCAGATGGATGCCCATAATTTTATCTTTAACTTTTAAGAATTTGGCTTTAATGTGCCTCAATGAAGACCTCCTTATGTTTAATAAATTACAAATTATTTGGACTTCATGGATTGAGATGTTTATTTTCCTCTCCAGATTTGGAGAGTTCTATGTATTTTTTTCTTTAAATAAACTTTCTATCACCTTCTCCTCTGCTTTTATTCCTCCTCTTGAGTTCCCATAATGTGTATTTCAGTTCACTTGATGGTGTCCCATAAGTCCCATAGGTTTTCTTTTTCATTTTTTTTTCTTTTTATTCTTCTGACTAATTTCAAATGGCCTGTCTTTGACCTCATTGATTCCATCTTCTGGTCGATCAAGTCTGCTGCTGAAGTTCCTTATAGAATTTTTCAGTTCAGTCATTTTGCTTTACCACCAGAATTTCTGTTTGGGTCTTTTTTTATGGTTTATCTCTCTTTGTTGAACTTCTACTTTGTTTATGTATTGTTTTTCTGATTTTGTTGTTTATGTTCTCTTTAAGTTGAGTTTCTTCAAGACAATTATTTTGAATTCTTTGTCAGACAATGTATAGGTCTCAATTTCTTTAGGATTGGTTACTGGTGCTTTAGTTTGTTTTTTAGTCATGTTTCCTTGTCTATTTGTAACCCTTGGGGTCTTGTGTTGATGTCTACATATTTTAAGAAGTAGAGATCTCTTTTATTCTTTACCAATTAGCTTTGGCCAAGAAAGCTGTTCACCAGTCAAGATATTTTGGGTGGATTGGCTGGCAGGGTCTGAGGGCAAGTTTACTGCTGGAATTCTTAAGCGGGCTGGCCTGGTGCCTGAGTCCATGGGTACAGGCCTAGATTCTGGGTCCCTGGGGGCCAGACTGGCACTGAGATACAGTGGGATGGCTTTATTGACTGTGTTCATGTCTGTAGCATGCGTCTGTGAAGGCCAACCTGGTACTAGGATCTACACTGATGTTGGGTGCTTACTTCACTCTCCTTCCTCCACATGAAGGGTTTCTCTCTTCATGCTGCACTGTGCTGTCTTGGGGGAAGGGTGATGTGAGTGATGTGAAACTCTTATTCCTACCCTTTTCAATGCATCTTTTATTATTTCTATGCTCCACCCAGCTGCTGTAATTGCTCATCTGGATTTCTTAGCTCTTGTGAAGGTATATTTTTCATGGGTGGTTGTTCAAATTGCTGTTTCTATGAAGGGATAGACACTGGAGACTACTATTCTGCCATCTTGCTCACATTACTCTTCTCTTCATAGTATTATTTAAAATGATACATTTAGTTTTGTTTATTTCACATCTGTATTCCTTCACTAGATTGGGATCCTGTAAGGGGAAGAATGAGGTCAATTGTGTTTACCACAGTCATAACAATAAAAACCAGTGCTGTTGTCACACTATGTGCAGGGCACAGTTTTAAGTTCTTTATGTTTACCAAATTATTTTATCCTCATTAGACCCAACTGAGATATACTGTCACTTCATTTTACAGATGAAGAAACCAAGGCACACAAAGGCTAAGTAATGTGGTCTAGCTCTCCTATGAAGACAGTAGATGGTAAAACCAGGATTTTAAACCTCACAGTGGCTCCAGGATTTGTGTATCTAACCACTCTGCCAGACCTTTCTAGTGCTTTCTTCTAGTAACCACCCCAGCAAAGATGCTCAGCAAATGGGTGGTGCATGAAACAAAGGGTCATTATCCTATTTCTTGGGTAAGTTCTCACTGCAGTTTGTGCTCTGGGCACAGAGTTAACAGCATAGTAAAGAGGAGGGGACCTGGATCTAGGAATTTAACACAGCTAGATTGAGATCTGAGCTCACTCATCACTAAGTGACTATGAGCAAAGTGTTTAACTTCATTAAGTCTTGGTTTTGTTAGATCAACATGGAAGAAATGCATTAATAATTTCCTATTAATCTTACATTAATGGTGGAAAAAATGAGAGTATAGATTATAGTGGGTGCTCAGACAGTGTCATCTGCCATCTTGGAGGGCTATATATACATATATATATACACACACACACACATATATATGTATTTTATATATATTGTATATATAATACCTATATATGTGTATTTTATATATATGGGTATTATATATATAGGTATTAATATATATAGGTATTATTATCAGCTTTAGCTTTTTCATCCATGAGATGAGAATTTGATGTAGTCCTGCCTGATGTCCACACAGGCTCCTCAGAATGGCTTTGTTTTACTAGAGATGTTACCCCTAGGAAACAAGCTCAATCCCTTGCCCCTCAGTGGACTAGAGGCAGCATGTTTATGAGACAGGAAAGGATGTGAGTGATGTGAGTTTCTTAGCTGGCTTTGGAACAGAACAGAGGCTCTTTACGATGATGCCAGTGCTCCTAATTAATTATCATAACAAGTCTCCTGTTCTCAGCATCTGTCAGCAGGTACAGCTGCACCAGCACAGTGGACTGGCTGAGCAACCAGAAGGGTTGGGGCAAGGCCAGGCCAGGGCAGCCAGCCTGTATCTCCAAGTGCCCAGCTGGTTCCGTCCTTGTATCTGACAGGGCCCTCTGATCTTCCTGCATACAATGGATTGCAGGGAAAAAGAAACTTCCTGGCCTGATTGACACAAATTTGTAGGAAACAGCTGCCTTTAGTGGGGACAAAAAAGCAAAATCCAGTGTGAGTGATAACCTCTTGCCAGTCTGGGTTCTGGGTTGCATATCTGCTGGTGACTATAGGAGGTGGTGGGAGGATGTGAATTCCTACAAATGCTAAGTTAGCATCCAGTGTGTGACAACAGGGTGAGAATCTCCTATTGGTTCTCCCAACAAATAGGAAGAGAAGAGCCTGAGTTTTGGGGGTTCCCAAGTTTTTGAGGTTTCACCAGTGACTTACTTTATTGCCACCAGGAAGTGCATGATGCACTCTGTACCCCACTTTCTTTGTAGTGGCAAAATGGGATTTGTTAGATTTTTTTCCCACAGTTGAAAGGAGGTTGCTATGGCAATGACCTGTGCCTAAGATGAAGTTGAAGAGAAGTATGGAAAGAACTTGACAGTTCTTTGCAGAACAGCAAGCTTACATGGAGAACTGAGGCTCAGAGAGGTGAGGTATGGCCCAAGGTCTCACAGCAAGTTGAGGGTAAAGCTGGCTCCTGGAACCAACCATGGCTTCCTAATTGTTGCCATCCTCAGTTCCTTGCACCTGTTGATTGAAACACTGATGGCCTGCTTCAACTGTGTCAGTTCTCCTTGTCTTCTGGGCTCATTCCTTGATGGGTTCAATGTGGCTGGTTGCCTCTTGCCACATGATTTGGGCACTCCATGTTTAATCTGACAGATTCTGACTGCAGTTTTCATTTATTTTGCTGCTTGTGTGAATCATGACTGTGACTGGGAATGCTGGGCCCAGGTTTTCAGGGACACAGATCACAGAGTGAGAGAAATGCCATGTGATGGTTAATTCCATCTGTCACCTTGGGTAGTTACCCAGGTTTTCCTTAAACACCAGTCCAGATGTCACTGAAGGTATTTTTCAGATGAGATTAACATTTGAATCAGCAGACGTTGAGTAGAGCACATTATCTTCCATAATGTGGATGGGCCTCATCCAATCAGTGGAAAGCCTTAAGAGAAAACACATGAGGTTCCCTAAGGAAGTAGAAATTCTGCCTCCAGGATGCCTTTGGATTAAAACTACAACATCAAGGCTTCTCTGGATCTCCATCTTGCCAACCTGCCCTGTAGAATTTAGACTTAACAGTCCTCACAATTGTGTGAGTCAATTCCTTATAATCTCTCTATGTCCCTACAGACACACACATGCACAGACACACACACACCCACATACACACACATTCTATTGGTTCTATTTCTTTGGAGAACCTTGATATTACATGCAAGCTTTGTGTTTATTTGTTTTATTTTTATTTTAAAAACCTTGGACATCATAATATGCAGACTTTAGAATGAGACAGATTTAGGTATGACTCCAAGAACTGCCAATGCTGAGGGTAAGTTACTTAACTTTTCCGGGCTTAAGTCTCCTTATCAATAAAATGGAAATAATATTAACACCTCCTACATTAATGCCAATAAACACTAAACAAGACAATGAATGTAATGCACTTAATACACTGCCTGGCCTAGTGCTCAACACATAATGCTGCTTATTCTAAAATTTATACTTTACTGCAAGCCATGTAGCTGCATGAATCAGTTCTCTATTTGCTGCACATGAAACCATAACAAAATGTTGTGGCTTAAAACAACTTATTTTTCTCATAGTTCTATAAGTTGGCTGAGCTCTGCTGGTGGTTCTTCTGTTCCACATGGGAGCATTTGGAATCGGTGTGTGGCTGCATTAAATTAGGAGTCTGGTGCTTCAGCTGGGGTGACTGGAGTGGCTGGTGGCATCTGTCTTGCCATGAGGTCTCTCATCACGAGCAGTCTAGCTCAACCTTCTTTATGGTAGGTTGGGTAGCTGAATCCCAAGTGGATAGATGTGAAAGTTTCCTAGGACAGAATCATTTCCATCACCTTCCCCTGGTAAAGCAGCCACAGACCAGCCCAGACTCAAGACAGGGAAACCAACTCCAACTCTTGATGGGAGAAACAATATGCATGTACAGAAATGGGAGGACTCATATCACTCACTACTGGACACAGTCCACCCCAGGCACAAGTTGCTTTTCAGGTTTATGACTCTCAGCTTCTACTCTGCTTAACCTCTTGGGTTGGTTTGTAATAATGTAGTGACCTCTGAACAGAAACTCTGGAGCCAGTCTGCCCTTTTCAAATCCTGCCTCTGCCACTGACTAGCTATGGGACCTTAGGTGAGTTTCTTATTTCCTTCATGCCTCAGGTTCCTTATAAAGGAAATGGGGATAATGTTGGTACTGAAGTGGAACTTGTGTGAGGATTAATTGAAATAGGAGTGTGTGTGTATTCATGCCTATATGCATATGCATGCCTGTATACATGCGTTCATGTATTTACATTTGAATGTGCAGGTATGTATACTCATATATGCATACATATGTGTCTGCGTATACACCTACATATGTATATATTTCTATATACAATATATATTCATTGCGTGTATACATAAAATTGCATGCATAGCTCGCACAGATGTTTCCTTGTTTATACATATGTTTGCAGCCTGTACACGAGTCCCAGGCTGCTTTAACCTGGGCCCTGCCCCAGTGTATTTGAGAAAATTTTATCACTGTGCTTGAGAACTGGTCTTCAGCTGGGTGTTGAACTGGGACCTCCCGAGGCCAATGCCTAGTGCCTTCTCCACCACACGAATGGTTGCCAAGACTGCCCTTGGGACGCATCAGAAGTATATCAGTGGGTCTTGGTAAAATGCAGAATCCTGGGCCCCACCCCAGGCCTGCTGACTCCAAGAGATTGACCTAGAATCTGGTTATTTCACGAGTTGCTCCGGGGTGATTCTGATAGAAACGTCATAGGCGCTTCTGATCGTGGCGGGTCCCTGGCAGCCCATGCTTGCCCCAGCAGTATCTTCTTTACTCTCTGGTTAATTCATTTTCCTTTCCCTCCCCAGAAAAATTGAATGCATTCTCTTCATGCACAACCATGATCTCAGAGGAGTGCAGAACACAGGGCCAGTTTCACATTTGGAGTTTTAGTTTAGTTTAGCTTCCCGCATCATTGAGAAAGACAGGGTATTCTCACCTCACCACTTCCAGGCTGAGCTGACGTCAAGTTTAGCTGTGAGATAACCAGACCACCCTGAGCTTCCCTCCCATTCACAGTGAGCTGATTTACCCCAGGTCCAGCTTCTGGGTGATATGACCTCATTGCTTTGTAACTTCCCCGAGGCCTTCCCACTAAGAAAATTACAACTGCTCTTTATTGAGCATTAATACTGTATACAAACGTTGCTTTTCTTATTACTTACCATGTAGAAAAGGTATTATTACCCCGAAGCTAAGGGATAATAGCTTACAAAAGGGCACAGAACAAGGATTCAAACCCTTATGACCTAACCGGAAAAACCCCTTTCTCTTTCTACTATACTGGCAGGGAGATATGTTAAGATTTGTTTTCATGGCCCCAGGTCCTAAATTCTTCCTAAATACTTCTCTTTAATATATGTGAACAAAAACCTGCAGGGATATTTTATCCAATTTCAAATGTACAGATTGTCTTTGGGGTTACAAACAAGCACCAGAAAGTCAGGAGCCACCCTGGCACTGGCTGACGTGGGAGGTACAGAATGAGGTGTCCGTCCCTCCAAGGCACGGTGACCTAGAATCCCACTGCTCACTGCCTGTCTCTGTTCAGCCTTTCAGTTCATAAACATGCTTTCCTCCCTGCATTTTGACATCCATCATCGTTTAAATTCCAGGTCGTCATCCTTGTAGAACGAGGTTCGGATCTCGGCATTAAATCTCCCCCACGGTGTGTGCGGGGCCTTGCCATTTGCAGAACACTTCCTGAGCCTTGGCTTATCCTGACAGCTGCGAGAGGTTACCCTGTTTGTGAGTGAGGAAAAGAAAGGCTCACATGGTGGTATCATTGGCCTAGCTTTCAATCCAAACACTAGTCTTACCATGGATACCAGAAGGTCTTCCGTCAAATTGATCAAAAGCTGATTGTGTGAGGGTGTAAGCCAACCCTGAGATCAAATTAGGGTAAGAGGCTGGACCCTTCATCAGGAGCTGGGGCTCCTCTCTGCAAATACTGTAGAACATCAGCGTCACTGAATGAATGGAGTTGGTTACCTGACCAGCTTTCCTACTCAACATGGAGCTCTGTCTGTCTCATCTCTCTCGATTCTTCAGTGCATAACCCAGTTCCTAGCTTGTGATGGATCCTTCCTAAGGATGTATTGGGTAAATTAATGAATAGTGATTCGACCTAACCAATTAAATCCCTGGGAGTTTTAAACTCTTGTCCAACATCAGTTTTATTTCACGTCTTATTATAAAACAGTACATACCTCTTCCAGAAAAAGTGAAAAACCCTTATATCACTTAGATGTAACTAATTAAACAAACTGATGCATGTGTGTGTGTGTGTGTGTGTGTGTGTGTGTGTATAGTTGTATGGTGGTATATATATTAGTTTGTAAATAGCTCTTCTACTAAATACATGATAAATATACTTTGACATCATCATGTGTACTTCTACTACATCACCATTTGACTGCTTGGACACCAGACTTCACCGTTGTTCAGACCTAAGTGGCAAAACCCTTTGTATTTTTCTAAGTGTCTAGGCAGACATTTAGGAAATGAATTCAACTTTGGCACTATTATAAACAGTGTTGGTATGAATATTCCTAAAGCTAAATCTTTGTGAATATGTTTTCCTACTTTATGAGGACATATTCCCATAAACTAGAATGGCTGAAACAAGGGCTGGTTAGGCTATTGAGGTTGCGGAGTTTCCTTTCAAAAAGTGGGGACCAGTGTCTCCCTCCACCCCCAGCATGACAGACGACCATGTCCTCGAGCCCTCCACAGCAGGGCTTCAGGGTGGATTTACCTTTCCAGCCTCATCTGTTTGGCACTTGGTATTGCACCAGACGCATGGCTGTTCTCAGGCCATCATCCCTTCTTTAGAGGGTCTCCTTCACTGCTTACTGTGTAGTGAGTGCCCTTTTATTCCTCCTTCCAGCCCTTGCTTTGTGCAACACACATCTCAGATGAATTAAATCATGATTTGTCTTGTTTGGAGGGGAGCCCAAGTGAGTCAGTTCCCTGTTGTGTCCCGGTGGCCAGCACATATTTTATCATGGATAGAAGCAATGGCTCACGTCAGAAAGACCTGGATTTACAATGACTCTGCTTCTTTTCTCGCCTGAGTCCTGGCTTTTTCATGTGAGAACCCCCTTTGTACAATTATGATAAGGTTTGAATGAGATATGGCAGGGAAAGGCTCAATACGCAGCTCAACACAGGTGAATGCTCAGCCATTGTTGCCCAGGCTCAATGGCTGGGCAGGGCAGTTGACTATGTGTTGGACACTGTTTACGTGTCCACCAGGGGTGGTCAAACTATGCCTCATGGGCCAAATCTGTGCCCACCACTGTATTTGTACAATCCTAGTGTGAAAAATGGTTTTCACATTTTTTAGTGGTAGTGAAGCAAATCGAGAGAAGAAGAATATTTTGTGATATATGAAAATTACATGAAATGAGAATGGAAATTTCAATGTCCATAAATAACATTTTATTAAACATAGCAGACCCTTTTTCTTAACATATCTCCTATGGCTGCATTATGTTACAATGGCAGAGATGACGAGGGGCAGTAAGGCCAGGTGGCCTCACAATGCCCAGGATATTGAGTATCTGGCACTTTATAGGAAGAGTTTGCTGACCCCTGGGTTACATGTGTAAGCTCATCCAATCCCGCATAGTGTTGGCAGTTATCATACCATCCCCATTTTACACATGGGGAAGTGAGATGCAAAGAGGTTCAGAAACTACCTGAAGCCACATGCAGCATGGAAGTGGTAGAGTTGGGGTCTTGTTCCTAGAACTGGGACTCTTCATCGTTCAGCCATAGGGTAAGTCATTGGTCTTTGCAGGTGAGGGATTGTGAGGCAGGAAAAAAGAAAGTCATGCACTAATGTATGGTAGAATAAGAATTTAGAGGCTGGGCGTGGTGGCTCATGCCTGTAATCCTAGCACTTTGGGAGGCCAAGGCGGGTGGATCACAAGGTCAGGAGATCGAGACCATCCTGGCTAACATGGTGAAACCCCGTCTCTACTAAAAATACAAAAAATTAGCTGGGTGTGGCAGCGTGCACCTGTAGTCCTAGCTGCTGGGGAGGCTGAGGCAGGAGAATGGCGTGAACCCAGGAGGCGGAGCTTGCAGTGAGCCCAGATAATGCCACTGCACTCCAGCCTGGGCGACAGAGTGAGACTCCGTCAAAAAGAAAGAATTTAGAACCAGGTTCGTTGGCCTCAAAGTTCTTGGTCTCGCTCTCATGATGAGCTCCTTCCACCACTCTAGTCTCCTAGGATCACCTGCTAAACGCAGGGCCAGACACACAGAGGCATTCAAGATATCCCTATAAATGCAGCCACTTCATAGCAATGTCAGGACTAAATGTGGTTTTGTACTTCCTACTAAACATGAGCTTAATAAATGTTTGTGGAATAAACAGATGAATCTGATGAATAGTTCCTGGACTCTCGGAGTTTAAACTCTGGGAACAGGGCAGGGACTCCTGAGGAAAGCAGACAACTCCTCAACCTTCTCATGGGAGGGAAGGAGACCTTCTTTCCTGAACACCAATTATGCTTCCCAGGTGGCATGGGGTCCTTAGGCCACAATGCCAAACACTTTTGCAGTTAAACTTCCGATGAAGGAAAACTGGTCTGTCTTCTCTGCCCATTACAATTGTCTTTACTCTTTTTGATTCTGAATGTTCTTTTTTCTTTAAACAGCTTTGTTAAGATATAATTTACATACCGTACAATTTACCAATTTTAGAATATTTTCCTCATCTCAAAAGAAAGTCTGTTCCCTTTAGATATCACCTCCCAATCTCCCTTCTATCCCCAGTCCTAGGCAACTACTTTTTTTTTTTTTTTTTTTTTTGAGACGGAGTCTCTCTCTGTCACCCAGGCTGTAGTGCAGTGGCGTGATCTCGGCTCACTGCAACCTCCACCTCCCAGGTTCAAGTGATTCTCCTGCCTCAGCCTCCCAAGTAGCTGGGACTACAGGCATGTGTCATCACGTCCAGCTCAGTTTTGTATTTTTAGTAGAGACGGGGTTTCGCCATGTTGGCGAGGCTGGTCTCAAACTCCTGACCTCAAGTGATCTGCCCCTTTCGGCCTCCAAAATGCTGGGATTACAGACGTGAGCCACCATGCCTGGCCATGGATTCGCCTATTGTAGACGTTTCACGTAAATGGAACCACAGAATATATGGTCTTTTGTGAGGAACTTCTTCACTTGGCATAATGTTTTCAAGGTTCATCTAAGTTACAACATATACTTCATTCTTTTTTATGCCCAAAGTATATTCCATTGTGTGAATATATGCCCCATTTTATTTATTCATTCATTAGTTGATGGACACTGGGTTGTTTCTTTGGGGGTGGGGCTGTTATGATTAATTCTGCTCTGAAGGTTCGTACAAGACTTCGTATGGAGGTATGTTTTCATTTGTCTTGGGCATGTGTATACCTAGGAGTGGAATTGCTGGGTCATATGGTAACTCTATGTATAACCTTTTGAGCAACTGCTAAAGTCTTTTCCAAAGTGTCTACCCTGTTTTACATTCCCACTAGAAGCTGCTCGTTCTTGGGCTCATTATTCGTGTTTATCTTTAAACACAGAACGTGACTCCATTCATATGACGGTGCTAGAAGTCAGTACAGTGGTTTTCTCTGGGACGATGGCAGAGGAAACTATGAAGGGCCCAGGAACACTTTCTGGGAAAGGGAAATGTTCTGTGTCTTGCTGGTTTGGTGCATTTGAATACTTGCATTTGTCAAAACTCATCAAACTGTTTATTTACAAATTGAGCATTGCACGGCATGTGACTTATGCCCGATTTTTTAAAAAAATGTACAAATGAAAAAACATAGAAAGAGAGGAAAAAGCAAAATATCTGTATTTTAATTATCACATGACCTGACTGGCTGCTTATCTTACCCACCTTCCCATGGACACAGGGCCAGTGCCTGGCAGGCAAGGCCACGTGCAAGAAAAGCTCTTAATTGATGTGATTAACTACATCTCAATAGGGAGCCTGGTTAACAACAGGGGAGTGAAAAGGAGGCTATTTTTCACTCTCCCAACTGGTGAATGCCTGGAAGGGGTGATGGGGGCACTTGGAGGGCTGCCCCCTGCGGTGCAGGGGGAGACAGGACAGCTGCTTTTTCCTTTGGCATTAAGATAATTTTAAAAAATTATTTTCTCTCAATTGCTACAAAACCTACTCTTCATTTTCATCTATGAGGAGGAAGAAACCAAGTTAATTTTTGTTTAGTGTGTTTCTGAAGGCCACATTATCTACCAGAACACAACATTTCCTAGGATACTCTTTAACCCTTCCTAAATGCACCTGTTCAGAGGAGCAGGCAACAACAGGAAACAAACAAATAAAAAAGAAGTGAAGGATTTCCTCTTTCCCCCTTAGAAGGTGGAAAGAAATGTATGGATTGACATAAATTCACAGAAGGTGAGAACTGGGCAAGCAAACACATTATCCATGTTCTTAAAAAGGCAAAATTATATAAATTTTGATAAAATTTCTAAAATAGTATCATGTCATTTGTAGGCTAGAAAAAATATGTATTTGCTAGTAAAAATATAGACCTATAAAAACACCATTACTTGGGGGAGGATGTGGTTATTTGTGTATTTTTTTTCTTATTGCTAATCTGTGATTTATTTTTTTCCAATAACCACTAGTTGCTTGTGAATTAAATTGTTGAGAAATTACTTGGGTTGTTATTTCTGATTTGAGAGATCAGTTTCCTCAGTCTCCCCCTTTCTAGAACAGGCTTCCTTCTCCCATCCCTCCTGTGTTTAAAGCTAGGGAACTTTCAGGCAGCACTGCACAGGGCACTGAATGTGAACTTTGTGGTTAGCTGGGTCAGGGTTTGATCTTGCAGTATCTGGGGCAAGTCACAGATCTTTTCTGTGTCCTGGTTTCCTCACTGGAAGAAAGGGACAGATAATGCTCTCCCCAGTGGATTGATGTGAGACATACTAGGAAATCCCTAGCACAGTACTTGGCCTTTTGAATTAGTTTACCCTTTCTTTCCAACCTACCCCTTTATCCTGGTCTTTCCTGGCACCATGAAAACCAGCACTCAGCAGTACAGTTTGATGACTTCTTATTGCTAGGTTTCATCTGTAATCGTTGCAGATGCTTAAATACACACGCAGGCCAGGCACAGTGGCTCAAGCCTATAATCCCAGCACTTTGGGATTCTGAGGTGGGAGGATCACTTTAGGTCAGAAGTTCAAGATCATCTTGGCCAACATGTTAAAACCCCATCTCACCAAAACTACAAAAATTAGCCAGGTGCGGTGGAGGACGCCTACAGTCCTAGCTACTCTGGAGGCTGAGACACAGGAATTGCTTGAACTCGGGAAGTGGGGATTGCAGTGAGCTGAGATTGCACCACTACACTCCAGCCTGGGCAACAGAGTGAGACTCTGTCTCAAAAAATAAATAAATAAATTTTGAGATTTATGTGTGTGCCAGACACACACACACACACATATGTACACAAGCAATTTTTGTGTGTGTGGCTCAAGCCAGGCAGAGAAAGACAAATACTAAATGATCTCACTCATATGTGAAATCTAAAAAAGTTGATCTCAAAGAAGTAGAAAGGAGCCTGGTGGTTATCAGAGTCTGGGGAGGGGGTTGGGGAGATATTGGCCAAAGGATATACAATTTCAGTTAGGTAGGAGGAATAAGTTCAAGAAGTCGATTTTGACTATAGTTAATAATGTGTTGTATTCATGAACAAGGCTAAGAGAGTGGATGTAAAGTGTTCTTACCACAAAAAGGATAACTACATGAGGTAATGCACATGTTAATTAGCTAGATTTAGTAATTCCATAATGTATCCACTGTGTCCTTCAAAACATCGTGTTGTAAATAGTAAATACATACAATTTTATCTGTGAATTAAAAAAAAAGATTAAAGAAAACCCCCATCCCCACGGATGAGTTAAGACTGATCACTGACGGAGCTAGTATGTATTACTAACCAAAGCTAGAACTCATTGCCGCAAGCATCTGGGTGACAGCGCTATTGATAGTCCTTCCTGCAGTACCCGTCCCTGGCAGAAACACCTTCAGTCTTCAGGCTGGGTGCCCAATGATATGCTAGAAATATTAACTCCTCCTGTAAATCACCAGAGGGGATGCAGTCTCAGACTGAGTTTGAGTATTGTTTTCCGGGCCTGGAGGAGGGGCTCAGCAGAGAGCGATTCATGGTTTTACAAAATGTATTTACTCTGGTGGAACGTGTGGGCTCACGTGGGCAGAAGCACATTTGCACACATGCAAAATGTAAGCCATGCACCGTCATCTTTTCACCCTTGTTTGGTCACCTTTTAACCCTCCTTCCTCCTCCCTAATTGCCTCCCCCAGCCCATTTCCTCAGCCTCTTTTTATGGCAGTGGTTTTCAAACCTCAGTTTGCAAATGATCATCTGGGAAATGTGCTATAATGGAGATTCCTGGGTTCCCCCAACAGATTTTCTAATTCAGTGGTTCTAGGGTGGGGCCCTGCCTGCAAATGACATTTTTACCGAACATCTGAGAGAGTCCCATTTGACCAGTTAAGTGCTATAAACAGAATGTCTGGGACTTACTGATATTTCAAAGACCCACAAACAAACTTGAGAACAAACATGTAAAATTCTTAGCTGAAAAATATGAAAACAAAACTGCAAAATAGAAATAGTTATACTGTATGTTTTATAGAACTTTATGTCAACTTGTCAAGTTCGCCTCAACTTTTACAGTTACATAGGAATTATTTTTTAATGAAGGATATGAGTGCAATTAATGCATTTGATACAATGTGTGTGAGGCCTACAAAAGCCTTATAAAAGCTGTCACCCCATGGACCCTGCTCTGAGAAATATGCCCTTAGATGATTTCTTGCTTGTAGCATTTTAGATCTGGAAGGCCCCTTAGAAATGTGCTTCTTCAATACCCAGATTTTACTATCAGAGAAACAGAGGCCTACAGGGGGAAGGAATTGCCCAAGTTTACACAGCAAGTTCCTGAAGAGGCCAGACTAGAGTGAAGCATTTACAATGTACGTGCATGTGCATGCGTGTGCAAGGGCTGGTTACATCCCTCTCAGAAGTCTCTTCTTTTTTATTTTTTATTTTTTTTTGAGACACAATTTCACTCTGTCTCCCAGGCTGGAGTGCAGTGGTGTGATCTCAGCTCACTGCAATCTGTGCTTCCTGGGTTCAAGGGATTCTCATGCCTCAGCCTCCAGAGTAGCTGGGATTACAGGCACACGCCACCACGCCTGGTTAATTTTTGTATCATTGACAGGGTTTTGCCATGTTGGCCAGGCTGGTCTTGAACTCCTGACTGCAAGTGATCCACCCACCTCAATCTTCCAAAATGCTGGGGTTGCAGGTGTGAGCCACCACGCCCAGCCAGAAGTCTCTTCTTCATTTCTCTTTCACTCTGGCTGTTTTTTTCCCTTTGGTCCCTATGTTCTCAGGCCAGTCTGAAACTTGGCCCTGAACCCTGAGGGTAAGGGAGAAAGGTTAGTGGGGGGATCTCAGGGTTGAAATCAATAGGCATAGTATCTGTCAAGACCAGTCTTCAGCTTCAAGTCTTCAGCTCTCAAGTCCCTGTAGGGGGAAAGAGAGAGGAAATGCACCAAGGGGGGAAGAAGTGCTGAGTCATGTCACTTCAAGCAGACACAAAAAACTGGCTAACTTCTTAGCAGCCCACTGAGTTCCGACAATGTGCTGGACATTGTGCACACTAAATTAAGCTGACGGAGTCCCTGCCCTGTGGAACCTTTCGTTCATTCACCTACTCATTTCACAAATATTTGCTGAGAGTCCTACTGTGTGCCCCACACTGCCAACAAGGCAGATAGGGAGCTTAGAACCTAGTCTGTGACACAGGCAACAACAGATGACAGATCCATAAACAATTAAGGCATTTCAGTTAAGATATTTCAGATAGTGACAATTACTATGAAGAAAATAGAAGAAGATAATGAGAAGGAAAGTGGCTGGGTGCAGAGCATGCCATTTTAAAATAAGTTCTTGCTAGTTGAATGGATGAATAGTAAATTCCATGTGACCTGAAAGGGGATATACTTAGGCCATTTATTGTTTCTGACTCTGCCTTCCACAGGGTAAGACTGAACTTTCTTACCCATTGTGAGCAATTCTGGCCAAGGAGTAGTGAGCAGAATTGACATGTCATTTCTGGCCTTCATGTTGGAATTCTAGTGAGAAACCCTCCAGAGGTCATTCTCTCTTCTGGCCTGCTGCTGATCAGTGCTATGTGTAGAGGCTGCCACGTTGGCCTGGTCTGGATGATGCTGAGATTGAGCATGATCTCAGGTTGACCTGTGATGAACATGCAGCTGAAAAAAGAAATGAATCTTTGTTGCTTTAAGCCACTAAAATTTGGAAAGACATGTTAGTGCAGCATAACAGCGTCACTTCTGACTAATACTAATACAACCTGCAAGGCAAAATAAGTTTGAACTGTCACTCTGGATCCATTGGTAGGGGTTTTCTTGGCCCTGAATGGGAAACAACTCTGAGGTCCCAACTGGGCCTGGTAGGAAAGTGGGCTCTAATGACTTGGTGTTGACCACCACGCCTGTAGGTGGGAGGTGGCAGCTCTGGTACCACATGCCTGTCTTCCTACTTTAACTTTCATAAAAGGTTCTTACCAGGATCTTTTTCTAGTCTGTCCTGAGCATCTATCCTCACAAATGACTCTCATCAGCTGCACTGCTTTATGTGGTCTTCACTCGTCTCTTTCCTAGTGCAGATTCTTCTCATTGGGTTTTAAGGTTCTCAAAATTCTGACCCTAACACACCCTCCCTCAGGGGACTTCTTGCTGGCCACTGAGCATCCAATACCCCTCCCCTGCTCTAGGCCTTCATCACTGAATGCTATCCTTTCACCCCACCCCCTGCAAACCTACCTGTCCTGTGGGTATCCTTTAAATCTGGCTCTCAGAGGACTTTCCTTTGCAGCCACAGTGACCCTGCTCTCCTGAACCCAGACCACACAGTGCCCACACTCAATTAATCTTTGACAATCTTGTTTTATCTTATACTTCATTGCTGCATGGTTATCTAACAATCCTCATGTTGAAGTCTCGACTCCCTAACTCGGTTATACACTCAAGGAATGGCCTGGGTTTTGCAATTTCTCACTGCAACGTCTTGGTGATAACAGGCACTTGAGAAATAAGTTTTTAAAGAGTTGATTGGATTGGTGATGTGGGGCTAGAGAGTAGAAGGGGAAAACTGACGTGGAGTCATCTAATGGGCATTGTCCAGCCCATTCTGCCTGTCCTGTCTCCAAGGCCAGTCCTTCCTTCCACGGCTGGCACAGTCCCCGTGTGATGTCCCCTTCCTGAAATGGTTAGACTTCTAATCAAAAGGTCTATATTGGAGCAGCTCAGTACAAGCCATTGCAGTGGGAAACTCAGAAAAGGAACACACAGGATGTCTTGGCAGGATGAGACTAGGCAGCAATTCGACTTTAGGGGAAAGGGGAGGCTTCCTGGGGGAAAGGATGTTTAGGCTCTTCCCAGAAGGAGGTGTGGGGATTAACCCAACAGAGGAGCCAGAGGAATGCTCTGTGGAGATCCCAACCCAGGCCTGGGCTGGAGAACTGGAGTTAGGGGTGAGCTGGAGCAACCTGTGACCAGCGACCAGGGAGGGGGCTGGAGGAGTGATGTGGGGCCTCCCTGCTTGCAGGAAGGAGTTTGACCTTATCCTTAGCCCTGAGGGATGCCCCAGAGGGGTTTTAAGGATGGAAGAGACTGATCATGCTGTCTTCATGTCCTTATTTCATTTTCTGCCTTTCCTCTTCTGACTCTGCTCTTATTTTTCTATTCTTGGACTAACATACTTTGTGTTTTTTTTTTTTTGGTTATCTTATTTGAAAATCAATATAACCACATCTATAAAAACAATTTTAAAGAATGCCCAAATCCCAGAGCCATCATCTCACCCAATTACAACTCTTGCCTTCATGTCTGCTTGGCCTCTTGCCCCCTGTTCCTGCTGTGCATGCATACATTTTACAGGGATGTGTCCTCAGTGGACGTGAGATTTTTTTTTTCTGTTTTGCAGTTTTTTACACAAACATTTTCATTTGTTGTTCCTGTTTTTCCTTCTTTCCCAGGAGGCTTTAGGCTCCCATTCTCCTCTCCCTGGCTTTCTCTCTGTCCCATCCACCGCTCTACCCTTCAGGCCTGCCTATATGAAAGAGGTCTCTTTCTATGCAGAAAACTCACTTTAACAAGATGTGGGTGCTCTTACACAGACCTCATATGAGGAAAATAGCACATCAGTGAACTTGGGGTCCCTGGGAGTCACAGTGATGTTCACCAGAAAATCAGACAACGGTAATGTACCTCCCCCATCAGGTTGCCAAAAATTAGAATAGGTTTTGTGTTTTTTGTTGTTGTTTGTTTGAGACGGAGTCTTGCTCTGTCACCAGGCTGGAGTGCAGTGGTGCGATCTCGGCTCACTGCAATCTCCGACTTCCTGGTTCAAGTGATTCTCCTGCCTCAGCCCCTGAGAAGCTGGGATTACAGGTACATGCCACCACACCCAGCTAATTTTTGTATTTTTAGTAGAAACGGTTTCACCATGTTAGCCAGGATGGTCTTGATCTCCTGACCTCGTGATCCACCTGTCTCGGCCTCTCAAAGTGTTGGGATTACAGGCGTGAGCCACTGCACCCGGCCAGTTTTGGGGTTTATTTTAAGAATGTGTCAGAGCCTGGCATATGCCTCCATTGCCGGTGGCAGCATAATTTGTTCTTTTGGAGTAACAATTTGTCAAGAGGCATCAAAGCCTTACTTTGACCTTGTATCCCTATTTGGGAAGTTTATTTAGAAGACAGTTTCCAGAAAATGAGAAAGCTGTGTGACAAAAGGGGGTTCTTGCAGCCTATTGCACTTCAGGGCAAATTAGAAACAAAGTGGACTCCAGGGTCCTTCTGTTTCACGGAATCTTTCCCAGACATCTGAAGGGTCATCATGGAGAAGAGGCGGCACCTTAAGGACAGCAGTGACAATCTCTGATGTGGCAATTACATAAGGTATTGCGTCCTTCCTGAGATTACACAAAACCTGTATAGAGAGAGGCTAGCTGTTCATTGGAAAAATGAAGGTTTTGCCTACTTGGAATAATAAGAGCATGACAGCTTCTTTTTTTCTCTTCTTTCATCTCATCTCTTCTCTTTTTTTATAGCTTGTCTTATTCAGTTAAACTTCAGTCATTACCATAGAATAAAGTAAAAGGCAATATATATTGAATGTGTAAGGCCCATGTTCCACTAGGAATGACGTCACGAAAGGACAGCCTGACCCTCGCTGCTGTATCAGGCATGGGCACAGCGCACACTGCTGCACTCAGGGGTCAGAGCAGGAGGTGCTCCTGGGTTTCATGATCTTGCTTTTTGTCCCTCATGGTCATGTGTCATTTCATCTGCACCATAATCGTGCTGGGTGGGTAACGTAAATCCCCATTTTATAGAGGAGAGAGCTGAGTCCTTAGGGCTCCTGGCAGTTGCCATCCAGGAAGCCCCTGCTACGTTCCAAGCTTAGAATCTCCCCACACTATCTCCTTGGATGCTCACATAACAGCTCTGCAGAGCCACTCTTCAAACCTGCTCTTCATGATGGGGAAACTGAGGCACTGTGATTTGCCAAAGAGCCGTAGCCAGTAAGGATCAAGGCAGCATTCACGCCTGGGTTCTCTGACTGTAAATCTGGCTGTGTTTTTTTCTTTCGAATTTTATTATGAATGCCTTCTTTGTTCATTGTCATTATTATCATCATCATTGATCTCTACCAGGCCCCCTACCCCCAGCCACTTGCCTCCTCTGTTGCAAGAGGAGATGAGGAGACAAATGTGGAATTTTTATTCCCATTCCCTTCCCTCCTCCATAGGCAGCCACTCCAGTGTGCTTGCTGCAGGCCCTGCATGAGGGCCTGCATGAGGATCCTCCCTGTCTTGTTCTGATTGGGTATCTGTTTTTAATTTAGACAAATGGGATTCTGCTATAGATCTCAATTTGGTTCTTTTGCTTACTCAACACTCTTTTTCAGAGCCAGTCTTGGTGCTCTGTGTTCACCTGGTTCATCTGAGGAGCTGCATCTACCCTGCCCATGCCATAGATCCTGCCCTGTTTGCTTCTCCTGTTGCTGCTAGTGGACATGAGGTAACCACAGCCTAGTTCTGTGATAAGCTCTTCACACCTGTACCCATATGGACTGTGGGAGAGTTTCTCTGATATGGACTGTGATGCGGGTGAGTCATAGTGCACACTCACACTTAATTTCACAAGTACTGCCAGATTGTGTTCCAGAATGACTGTACCAGTTTACACTTCCACAGGCAGTGCTCAAGATTTCTGTTTCCCTCTGTCCTCGCCAGCACCTGGTATTGGCAGATGCATCAAAAAGGATGCATTTGACAGCTCAACCACCTCAGAGCACTTGATTAGCATCCCTGTGATGGCCCTTTCTGCTGCAGACATCACTTTGTCATAACAGCATTTTGAGCAGGAAGAAGCATCAGGCAGGAAAAAAGGGGCCCTTTTACTGTGACTCCCTATCTTCTGTTAGGGAAGAAAATTTTCCCCAGAAATCCCCAGTAGACTTCCCCTATGTCTCAGTGGCCAAACTGGGCCAGGTAAGCTCCCAGCCAGTCCCTGACAGAGATAACAAGATTGTCATGGCTGTTTCAAGCCAGGGCCAATTCTTCCCCCTGCCATGGACTTTTTTTGAGCACATTGCTATCTCCCTTGTCCCTGAATAGAACTGGGAATATTTTAATAAAGAAGAAGAGACCAGTGGCTGATCAGTAACTTGGCAGCCAACAGAGTCTTCTACATCAGAGTTCTGCATTTGCCAACTTTTTGCATGCATGCTGCCTCTTCTATATAAGGGATCTTCCCCCACATCTGTTTGATTTGCAGAGAATGTCAGAAGCGGCGAGTCACTCATACATGTCCATTGCTTTGGGGATTAGATCCATCCAGCTCATTTTGGAAACGGCAATTCTTTTTGCCAGGCAGACATGAGACCCATTTCCACACCAGCTGCTCCAGCTGAGGTTCCCATGCAGGTTCTGCGTGACAGAAATCAATAGAAAGATTCGAAGGGCAGAGCACCAAAGTTCCTGCCCTGCACCATGATGTCAAAGCAGAATGCCTGCTGAGGACAGGTGCAGATGAATACCTGTCAGAGAGTATCACTTCTGCAAGCAGCAACTTCCCCTTCTTGTCAGCCACGTGGATGCCATAGTAACCTTGTGTTTCTGGCTAGCTCAAGAAATTAATTTATAGGATGTGTGCAGCAGGTCATGCCTGTAATCCCAGAACTTTTGGAGGCTGAGGCGGGAGGATCACTTGAGGCCAGGAGATTAATACCACCCTAGGCAACTAAGGAGACCCCCATCTCTATAAAAATTTTTAAAAAAAAAAAGCAGTTTTGGTGGCACATGCCTGTGGTCCCAGCTAGTTAGGAGGCTGAGGTGGGAGGATCGCTTGAGCCCAGGAGGTCAAGGCTACAGTGAGCTCTGATCATGCCATTGCTCTCCAGCCTGAGAGACAGATTTGAGACTCTGTCTCTAAAATAAATAAATAAATAAATAAATAAATAAATAAAAATAAAAGAAATGGAAACCGTATAGTTATAATTTGTTGAGCACTTATCTTTGCCAGGTGGCCTGGGAAGCATTTTATTTCTACGATCTCATAGATATCTCTTGGCAGCCCTCTGAGAGCATTGATATATTATTGCTACATCACAGGCTCCTACAGAATCCTGATTCTGACAATTATCAGCCATGTGGCCTTAGGAAAGTCACTTCATTTTTTGTACCTTAGCTTTCTCATTTCTACATGAAGAATGATAATAGTATATTGCACCTGCTCACAGAGTTAATAAACATAAAGTGCCTAGAATGGCACTTGATACTTATTAGCTACTATTGTTGCCATTTTTTAAAATGAAGAAATTGAGAGGTTCAGAGGGGTCAATTTGCCAAAAGTTAGTTATTAAGTAGCAGGGCCATGATTTGAATCCAAAAGCTTCTGGCTCCGAAACTGGGCTTTTATCCAAGGGAACATCACCATTGCGCCCCTCATCAGTAGAATCAATTTTCAGGTGAAGACTCGGTGACAAAGACCACAAAGACATAGTGTAATTCTTCTAACACATGACTGGATCATTTCTGGAAGGTGGCTGGGGACATGGATACTGGGCCACAGAACAAGCATGCATGGGATGGAAAAGACACAGCGCTCAATTCCTAATTTGACCACTCAATCTTGCAGAGCCTCCACCTCCTTATTTTTAAAATCAGGTTTTCATTATAGTTCCTCCCAGCAAGGATTTTAAAAGTGCCTTATAAGCTGACCATCTCCAGGTTCCTTATTCCAAAATTAGGATTTTATATGTCACTTTATATTATGTGTCTCATCTCAGTTTCCACTTACACTGACAAAAAGTCTAAGAGTCATTTCCCCCCAACTCCATTTTAGTCACCGCGAGGCTCAGGAAAACAGAATTTCAGAATCTTCTGGAAGAGATGTTTCCTTTCTTAACCAAGCTAAATGGACTGGAGGCAGGCACCGCTGGTGTTTTTAGAAGGCTGGTTAACCACAGTGCCTAGCGGTTTGGGGAAAAATAAATCAGGTAGCTTTCTGTGGCACGAGACATTCCCTTACCACATTTGTCCACTTGAGCACTTTTATTTTATTTTATTTTATTTTTATTTTTATTATTTTTATTTTTTTGACAGAGTCTCACTGTTGCCCAGGTTGGAGTACAGTGGTGCAATCTCAACTCACTGCAACCTCCACCTCCTGGGTTCCAGCAATTCTCCTGCCTCAGCCTCCTAAGTAGCTGGGATTACAGTTGTGCGCCACCATGCCTAGCTAATTTTTGTATTTTTAGTAGAGATGGGGTTTCACCATGTTGGCCAGGCTGGTCTCGAACTCCTGACCTCGAGTGATCTGCCCTTCTCGGCCTCCCAAAGTGCTGGATTACAGGCGTGAACCACCGCACCCGGCCCACCTGAGCATTTTTAGATGTAGACCTGGTGATGGGTCTGAGGGGCAGCATGTTCTGTCTGAATGGGGATCTCAAGCTCAGTGATGTGGCTTTAAGCAAAAAGGATGGCTTCAAGGTCTAGATTTCCTTGGGAGCACGTTTTAACCTAAACCTGCATAACTAGTAACTCGAAGATCTTTTAATTTTATTGTTTTTTAATTTAACTGACCCCGTTCTCCCTCCTTTTCTCCCTCCATCCCTTCATTCCTCCCTCCCTTCCTTTTGACACAGGTCACCCGATATAGAATCACACACCTGGGAGATGGCACCAGCCAGTGAGGCTCAAATTTGAACCACACACAAATCTCCAGGGGTACTTGGTAAATGCAGACTTTTGACCAATTTTTCGGCGTGGGGCTGAGCATCTACTCTAGCAATGAGCTCCCAGGCAGTACTGATGCCGCTGGTCCATGCATCAACCCACTTCAACTTGTGAGGAATGGTCTGCTACCCTCCCTAGCCCTCCTCATGCGCCAACCCATTTCAACTTGTGAGGAAGGGTCTGGTCCCCTCCCTAGCCCTCCTCACACAGGCAGTTGCAGATACTGTCTAGAATACCAGATTGATTGTGCACACATTTGACCTTCCTGACCATCCTGGGAGCTGTGAGAATAACAACAATTTTTTTTTCTTTTTTTTTTTTTTTAAGATGAGAAAACTGCTAGTCAGAGATGCTAAAAATAACTAGGCACAGCTGATAAGTAGCAAAGATGAAAGTCCAAGTGCAGAGGCAGTTCCAAGTCTCTGTAGTCTTCTCCAAGAGCTGATGGATGAATGTGGCCCTCCTGGGATGGAAGGTGTCCTTGTGCTAGTCATGAACCCAACAGAAAGCAAGTGCCATTTTCTCTTCTCTTCCCCTCTTTATCTCTGAGATCTTAACTTGGCTGCTTCTTTTCAGAAGACAGTGATGCACTGTATTCAAGTGATAGCCCCAGCAGTAACATTGATGCAGAGAAAATGGAATACTTTTTACAAGAGACCAGAAGACACATGAAGCTAGAAAAAGGAGCCCAGAAAACTGCCACATTTTGCCCATATAGAAAAGCATATCCCGACCGGGCACAGTGGCTCACGCCTGTAATCCCAGGACTTTGGAAGCCCAAGATGGGTGGATCACAAGGTCAGGAGTTCGAGACCAGCCTGGCCAATATGGTGATACCCTATCTCTACTAAAAATGAAAAAATAAAAATAAAAAAAAAAATTAGTGGGGTGTGGTGGTGCATGCCTGTAATCCCAGCTACTCAGGAGGCTGAGACAGGAGAATTGCTTGAAGCCGGGAGGCGGAGGTTGCAGTGAGCCGAGATCATGCCACAGCACTCCAGCCTGAGTGACAGAGTGAGACTGTCTAAAAAAAAAAAAAAAAAGGGGGGGGCTCCTTCCCACTCATTTCTCCCATAACATGTAATGCTTTTTATAGTGATTTGGTCACTGCTGAGCTATCTTCATTTAATGTGGTTTTGACAGAATAGTTGGTCAGGAAAATTTATTTTCAATTAAAATAACTTGTTGAACTGTCTCGGTTTTGAAAGGATTCCGTTAGGATGGCTAATTATATAGCGGTTGCTACAAGGAGATATTTGCACTCAATTTCAGCTCTTAGGTAATTCAAATCAAATGCTTGAGATTTTCCTCCCTGGAGCTGTGTGCAACCATCTTCCTCTCACACTGCAGGCTTCCCATGAGTTATTTTTAGAAACCCAAATTTAAGCAGCAATTTTGGCAGAGCCATTTCTAGTCTAGTGGAGTAAACCATATGTACTGATAAATGCAGCCAAAGAGTTAGTTTCTTTAAAAAGTAACAAAACCATCTCTCTCCGTTCATGGGGGTTATATGTTTACAAACTGCAAACTATCCGTTGTACTATTATATTCATTTGTGAACTCTAGCTGAAGTGAGAGATCATGGATATTACTTTAAAATTACAAAGATGTGTCCTTTTGCAAACTGTTGTCATAATACTCTTTTTTTTTCAAGATGGCAGGCCTTGGCAGAATTGACTGGAGACTCTGTTTTGGCCTTTGGATTTCCCGTGAAACATGGAGATCCCTTTCTTTATTTTCCTACTCTGCTCTGATTTCTTCATTCACCAGAGCACTTGTAATATATCTCATCATGCTTATAAGCAGGAAACCTCCTCCTTCTGTGTTAGAACATATTCTTGTGGTCAGGGGCTGGATTTTTTTACCTTCTTCATGCCTGGCACATAATAGATGCTCAAATAGTGCATGAATAGATCGATGAATCATTAAAATTATATTTCTATTTTCTCCTTTTTTTAAAAAAAAATCTTTTATTACGTAAATATTAAATGATTGCATTCATTTCGGAAAAATTAAAAATTTTCCACAAAAGGCCAAAGTCCTTTTAGCTCACCCATCTTCAATCCTTGTCTCCTCATTAGTTCTGTGTAGGTCATGTTTGTTATCTTTTAGAGCACATTCCTGCAGACCATTCTAATTCATTTAAGTGTATACGCATGCACATATACACACTGAGTACTATTGTGTACACCTCTGGTAGAGTATTTTGCAGTTTACCCCTTTTCACTCAGCAATATATTGAGGAGTGCTATCCATGGTAGCCACTCTATTCTTTTTAACTGCTACATTGTTCTATTGTTTCATGTGGATGTACCCACCTTTTATTTGGACCAAATACACAAATTATTTATCTGCTTTCCCATTCATTATACTTACAGATCGCTTCTCTTGTATAAGTTGACAAACCCAGCCAGGTTCACTGCTATCTTTTGGTAGCTACAACACATTTTATCAAAATCAGCCACTTGCCTTAGAAATTATATCAAACCAGTAGACAGATTATGTAAAATTCGAAGTGTTGTCAGAGGGACCAGAGTTTCCTTTGTCCTCACAGTCTAGAGAAGTACCCTGTGCTCTGGGAACCCCACAGGGTTGGATAGTGAGTGATGCTGACCACCACTCACTCTGTGTTGTGACACAGTGATCTGGTGTCTGCTCTGCCCACAGCCAGCTGGGTTTCCTTGAGCAGATCATTTCTTCTCCCGGGACGTTACTTCTCTTATCTGCACAATGGACCCAGTGAGCAGCCTGAAGCTCTTTAGACTGAATAACTGGGCCTACACACTGCCACCAGGATTGACATAAAGAATGTCCTGTTAGCTCACCCTTCACTATATGTTGGGGTGGGGAAGGGCAATTCCTGATAAAGTTCCAAGCTCCAGCCCAGAGCTCTGAGCTGAGACAATGTCTCAAAGAGCCCATGAGTGGCAAGGAATGTATTGTCTTCAGATTTTCCTCCTCTTTCCTACTATTTTACCATCCAATTAAAATGAATATATATTTTTTTCTTTTGCTTAGGTTTGTCTTTGTTCTAAGCAAGGCAGTATGATGATGGGAAAAAAGGTTGTGGACCCCTGAATTCTACTTCCAAAGTTGTTTAATTCTAGCTGTGTGTTCTTAGGCGAGTCGCTTACCTTCTCTGGGCTTCCGTCTATTGACATCACAATTCCCAGTGAGCCAGGTATCCACTAAAATGACACTGAAAAGTTGAAAACCACACTCGCTTATGAGTGATTCATTTGGCATTTGTGAGCCTTGTCACCTGCAAATAGGTCATCTCATGAACTGATGAGGCATCCTCAGAGACCACGAGAGCCCATGAAATCTTCTTGTTTCACAGGAGAATTTGCAGCTGTCCTGGCCCCTGGTGACACATGCTAAGCCCTTCAGGGGCTTCTGAGAGAGGCCCAGAGAAGGTGCTGAGCTGCCATGATTCACAGGTGAAGTTTTCTCACCTAGGCCCTGAGGCTTTGTGGTGGATCCACGGCAAAGGGTATTCCCCTGCTTTGAGGCTCAGGACCACAGAGGTCACAGGATCTGATTCAGATGCCAGCGGGTTTCCCTAGGGGGCCCAATGAGGCTTTCCATGTAGGGCAAGAGTTATGGCTCCCTGCTGGGTGTTTCACATGGGTCAGCAGACTCAATGTGGTTCTGAAGGTGAAAGGTCAGTGTAAATGGGTGTGAAGCCACGTGGGAGGCATAGCCCATCTAAGTGTCTGGGGTTTTGGTTCCCCTAGTCCCAGAACTTTGTTTTTTGCCCCTACTGTGAGTTTCTGTTCCTGAACACCCCTTAGTTAAGTGTTCCCTGGTTGAGCAGGTTTCTACCAAAGGAGACCAAAGCTCAGTGCTTTTCCGCTGCTGAGCTCGCTGGGGTAGGTGACTAACCCTCTCCTAGCATCTGCTTCCTAACCTGCTTGGGCTTCAGGGGGTGAAATGAGATTCTGCAATAGGTGCTCAATCCACATTTCTTTTATTTCCCTTTTCCTGTTTTATATGGAAAAAAAACTCATAATTTTATAAGCACTGAATCTATAACTGAGCTTCCAAAAACCCACCCTGGGCATTTTTTCACATTAACCAAGATAAACCAAAAAGGCAGTACCACGAATAGAGAAAATGTCATTAGGAAGGTGTACATGATAAATTCGTTTTTTAAAACAGGAATGGTGATCGTTTCCATTTATCAAGCCTCTCTGCAAATTTTTCAGCAGCTGCCTTCCTCATTTTAATAAAATGCTTGCAGATCTGGTTTGCATTTTTGTAGATAAATGTAGAACAAGTCACATTGACACTCCCTACATCTGATCATCCTCCCAGCCATCAATACCATTTTCATTCACAGCCTGGAATCTTTAAGAAATGAGTCAACCTGACCTATGATTCACAGATACTTGATCTGAAATGCTTGGTGGTGTGGGGTTGGTGGATGGGGTAGAAACAAAAATAAATTTCCTGACACCAAAAGTCAGTTCAAGTGAACTAGAATGGGCAGAGAGGGGTCGTGGGGATGGTTCCTGCCCTTCAGGAGCTGCACTTCCAAGTCTGACTTAGGGTGATCACACATCCAGGCTTGCTGGTGGAGCTTCAGTTTATGCCTGTGGTCCCAGCCTCTTAAACAGTTAGCGTGCCTGTCCACGATTAGAAATGTCACACGTTGGAAGATGTAGGGTTCTGAGGAGAGTAGAGTGGCAGTTCTTAAAGGCCAGAGATAACATTTAATCATGTGTATCTCCAGTGCCTAGCCTCTTGTAAGAAATTAATACATAAATGCTTGCTGGGTAGGCGAGTGAGTGAGTAAGTGGTTTCTTAAACTCCCCTCCTTGTTCTCTAAATTATTTCTCATTTTTCTTTGCATGTTTGAAGCACCTGGTGACTCTACTGGGTTCTCAATAAGTATATTTTGAATAAGCCAGAGGTTCAGAGATCAGTTTCTTACTTGCTTGTAAGCAACCCCATGCTCTCTAGCTCTGCGACTTTGAGTGGGTTAGCCCAGATTACTTAGAACTTAGTACTAAGAACAGTGGCTTCCACGTAGTCAGTTCCTAAGAAATGGTAATGGAGGAGGTGGAGGTGGTGTTATTGTTATTAGCCATCTAGCTTTACTGCCAGTTTTTGTCTTTTCTCCCCCTAACTGTAGGAATCGTAGACTATATATATATAAGACCTCATATATATTTTTAGAAGATAAGTCAAATATAAGAAATTGAAAAAATGAATAAAATAGTTATCCTAATCTTGTGCCCTTGGTAACATACTATCAATTATCATTATCAATGTGCTATACCCCATTTATGTCCGTTTATACCAGTGTTGACAGGGTCTCACTTTGTTGCCTAGGCTGCCATGCAGTGGCGCAAACATGGCTCACTGCAGCCTCGACGTCCTGGGCTCAAGCAATTCTCCCACCTCAGCACCCCCCGAGTAGCTGGGACTATAGGCACCAGCCACCACACTTGGCTAGTTAGGGTTTTTTTGTTTTGTTTTGTTTTTGGGTTTTTTCCTTTTCTTTTCTTTTTTTTTTTTTTTTTACATAGTTGTTATCTTAAGGTGATTTCCAATTTTTTTTTCCATTTACATTTTTCCACAAGCATTGTCCACTTTATTCTGTAACCTTTTCAACTACCATTTTGAAATTTGCTTTTATCCATGTGGTTGTTTGTGATGAACTACAGGTTGCTGACTTTCTTCCCCTTCTGTAAATAAAGTTTTCTTCCTAGTATGTCCTGTATCTCAAGAGGATCTCATCAGTGGAATCATTAGATCAAAGGATATGACTGTTGCTCAGCTCTCTGTGTGTATGTAAATTAATAGGCTGTTTATTTGAGCAGTTGTAGGCTTACAAAAATATTGAGTCAAAAGTATAGAATTCCCATATATTCTCCTCTTCTCCCGTCATATCCCCTATTATTCGCATCTTGAATTAATATGGTACATTTTTTACAATTTATGAACTAATATTGATACATTAAGAGTTACTGGAGTCCATAGTTTACATTGGGCTTCACTCTTTGTGTTGTATAGTTCTGTGGGTTTTGACAAATGCATAGTGTTGTGTACCTACCATTATAATATCATACAAAATAGTTTCACTGCCCTAAAATTCCCCTGTGCTTCCCCTATCTCTCCTCATTACTCCCTCTCTCACACTAACCCCTGGCAACCCACTAATCTCCATAGTTTTGTTTTTTTCAGAATCACACAGTTGGAATCACATAGGATATAGCCTTTTCTTTTTTTCTTTCTTTTTTTGAGATGGAGTCTCACTCTGTCGCCCAGGCTGGAGTGTAGTGGTGTGATCTCGGCTCACTGCCAGCTCCGCCTCCTGGGTTCAAGCAATTCTTCTGCCTCAGCCTCCCGAGTAGTTGGGACTATAGGCACCCGCCACCATGCCTGGCTAATTTTTTGTATTTTTAGTAGAGACAGGGTTTCACCATGGTAGCCAGGATGGTTTCAATCTCGTGACCTCGTAATCCGCCCGCCTCGGCCTCCCAAGGATGTAGCCTTTTCAGACTGATTCTTTCACTTAGTAATATGCATTTAAGGTCCCTCCATGTCTTTTCATAGCTTAACACCTCATTCGTTTTTAGTGCTGAATAATATTTCTTTGTCTGGATGTACCACAGTTTATTTACCCTGTCACCTACTGAAAGGCATCTTGGTTGCTTCCAGGTTTTTGGCAATTATGCATAAAGCTGCTATAAACATTTGTGTGTAGGTTTTTGTGTGGATGTAAGTTTTCAGCTTATTTGGGTAAATATCAAGGTGTTCTGTTGCTAGATCTTATGGTAAGAATATGTTTTGCTTTATAGAAAACTGCCAAATTGTCTTCCAAAGTGGCTATATCATTTTGCATTCCCACCAACAATGAGAGTCCCTGTTGCTCCAAATCCTCTACCAGAATTTGGTATTCATGTTTTGGATTTCAGCATTCTAATAGGTGTGTAGTGGTATCTAATTGTTGTTTTAATTTGCACTTCCCTGATGACATATGTTTATTTGCCATGTGTATACCTTCTTCGATGAGATGCCTGCTCAGTTCTTTTGCTCATGTTTTAACTGGGTTGCTCATTTCCCTATTCTTGAGATTTAAGAGTTCTTTGTATACTTTGTATAAAATTCCTTTAAGTGACATGTCTTGTGCAAATATTTTCTCCCAGTCAATGCCTTGTCTTTTCATTCTCTTTGTAGTGTCTTTGCAGATCAGAAGTTTTTAATTTTAATGGAGTCCAGGTCATCAATTAGTTTTTTCATAGATTGTGGCTTTGGTGTTGTATCTAAAAAGTTATTGCCATACTCGAGGTCATCTAGGATTCTCTCCTTTGTTATCTTCTGAGAGTTTTATCGTTTTAAATTTACTTTTAGGTCTATGATGCATTTTGAGGTAATTTTTGTGAAGGGTTTAAGATCTATATTTAGATTCTTTTTTTGCAAATGAATGTCTGGTTGTTTCAGCACCATTTGTTGAAAAAAATTATCTTTCCTCGATTGCAATGTCTTTGCTCCTTTGTCAAAGGTCAGTTGACTATATATATGTGGGTCTGTTTCCAGGCTGTCTGTTCTGTTCCATTGATCTGCTTGTTTATTATTTTGCCAATACCACGCCATCTTGATGACCATAGCTTTATAGGAAGTGTTGGAGTTGAGTAGTGTCAGTCCTCCAGCTTGTGTGTTCTTTTCCTGCAGTATTGTGTCAGCTATTCTGGGTCTTCTGCCTCGCTATAAAAGAATCAGCTTGTAGATATCCACAAAATAACTTGCTGGGATTTTGACATACCACAGATTGTTTATCTATTCACTTATTGAAGGACATCTTAGTTGCTTCCAATTTTTGGCAACTACAAATAAAGGTGCTACAGACATTCGTACATAGGTTTTTGTGGGAAGAGGAAATCTACTCATTTGGGTAGACACCAAGGAGCGCAATTATTGGATCACATGGTGAGACTATGTTTAGCTCATTAGGAAACTGCCATAGCTATATGTTTTTTGCATTTGTTCAGAGATTTTTCGTTACAATGTCACTAACATGATTAATCCTCAGAATAAACCTTTGGGTTGGGGGTTATTAGCCTTGCCTTCTGGCTAATGTTATTAAATGTTATTGCTGAAAGAAACCCTGAAGGTTCCTAAGCCTCTAAGCTTTCTGAGTGTGAGATCCACATCCCCTATCACTGCTCTTCTATGGCTTCCATGGCACCGTGAGTATAATAGTTGCTGAATTAGTGTCCACTACACACTGAATACCAATAATGGAAAAACCACTTCACTGTACAGATGAAAACACAAAGGTCCCAAAACGAGAAATGAGATACTTCTGGCCAAACGGCATTTTAACTAGTAACAGAACCAAGGCTAAAACTAAACTATTGTAGATCCGTAGACCTGTATTTTGAGCCACCAGTCCTTGACTCGCTACATTCAAGCAAGACAAGCTGGAAGATTCTTAAATCTGTAATTAGTATTGTATTGAACACCCCCCCTCACTTTCAGGCCTACCCACTACTGACTGCCATTACCAGATAGCCCAAAGACGCCCAAAATGGTGTTCTAATCTGAGTACAAGGCCACTATAGCTACAAAGTCTCATAGGGTAATGAGTGATAATAGCAGTGACAACAATAATAAAAATAGCCAAGAATTATTGATTGCTTAGTATTGTCAGGGTCTTTGCATATATTATTTCATTTTACACTCATAGCTGCCCCTTGGTTCAACATCATTACTAGCCACAATTTAGAGATAAATAGATTGAGCTTTAGGGAGGTTAAGTAACTTGTTCGGGGTGCTACAGCTTTCAGTGGTAAAGCCACATGTGTGTCCATCCATTCTCGACTCCACTTAGCAATGTACTACTTTACAGTTAAAATAATGAGATTTAGAGTTAGATGGACCTGCATTCGTATTCTGGAGCTGCCATATTGTCAGTCATGTGATCTTAACCTTGTGACTTCTAGCTGCAATGTTCCCATCATGGGGTAGCAACATCCATGGCAGACGCTGTCTCTTGTTACCTCAAAACCATTGCCTCCCACTGTACAGAACATCAATATGTTCAAAGGGTTGGCAGGAGGCACCAAGTCTCAGGGAAGTCAGACTCTTATCCCAACCTGGTGACTGGTTTAAACTAGATATGGTAATGGCAGGCAAGTTACCCAGTCTTGTTAGGAACAGTATGCTGAGGAGGGAGTCTCTTCTCAAATGAAAAGGCAAAGCCCCTTACAAAGGAAGCTTATTACTCCTTTCCTTTCTTCCTCCCTAGATCTTGGACATGATACCTGGATGTGCAGCAGCCATCTGGTAATTATGAGGTGACAAGTCAATAGACTGAGATGGTGGAGCAGCAAAGATAGAAAAGGTCTGGATTTTTTATAGCATTGTTGAACTGTTCCATCAGCCTAAGACAGTTGACTATCTCCAGACTTCTTGTTATGTACAACATGTCCTGTTGTTTAAGTCACTCTAACTTGGATTGTTTCTTATTTTCAGCTGAAATTATTTCTAATAGATATACAGATTTCCAACAAAGCACAGTGTAGAGCAGCTTAACATGGTACCTATGTGCCAAAGTTCCAGAGCAAGAGTTCCTGGGTTCTAATCTTGGCTCTGTGGCGTGACTTTAGACAAGTCACTTAGCTTCTCTGTGACTCGCTTTTCTCATGTATAAAATGCTCAGTAACTGTGTATTGACTGTTGAATAAAGGATAATAGTGATACTGAATTCATATGATTGTTAGGATCATCGAATGGCTAAACATTTTATAAAATGATTAGAACATCGCTTGGCGCATTGTAATTGGCTGCAGATGTGCTTGTCAAAGTAAAATTAAAAGAAAAGTAGTCACTATTATAGGCCTGGGTTTGCATCTTGATCCCATCATTGGGCCACTTGTGGTATTTAAGCAGAACCTTCACCCTTTCACTACTGAGGCTCATAGAGCATGAAACTCCCCCTAAAATCTGTCTCAAAGCAGCCACAATGGTGGTTTCTTTTTGACAAAAAAAGGCTCCTTAGAGAACGTTGGCTTGCAAAGGAGAGGCTGTGACTACCAAGTCGTGTCAACAACTGAATGGCTGAAATACCCAAACTTGCCCATGCAAATGGGCTTGGGTCTCTCCTGGCAGCCGCCTTTGAAGGCTCTAGACTTATCTGTGAACTCCTTTTTTGAGAGGGTCTTTCCAACTAGTGGTTTATTCTTTGACTCTCCTCATACCTTTTTTGCCAGAGAGTGAGAGTGAGAAGGGAGGGCTAATGCCTGAGCTCCTGCCCTTTCTATGCAGTGAGGGTCAAGATCCTCAGCTAGTGTTTGAGGGAACTGGTGTAACCTGGGTCTCTCATTTTCTACCATCCAAGTTGCCACCTCTGTCGGGGTCCCACTCTAATTTGGGCAGCCACTAAGCAATATTTTGAAATATACCTTGTTCATGAGTTTAAAGGATCAACTGGTAGGTGTGTCCATTAGCAAATCCTATGGAACAAATATCTGCTCTTTTTACCCCCTACTTACCTTCTCCACCAAGGACAGTTCAGACAAAGTTGTCACCACCTTTAGCCTGATTTACTGCAGGAGCCTCCTAATCTATCTTCCTGTTTCTACTCTATCCTTTATCCCCCCCTTGGCAGCCAGGGGATCCTTTAAAAATGTGAACCAAAGCATGAGACTAAACCACTCAAAATCTTCCCATGGATCTCATCTCAGATTAAAATCCTAAGTGCCTTCTCTGTCCTTAGTGAACCCCAGGTGCACCCTTCCTCTGCCACTTTCCCCCTTGTTTATTCTACTTTCCACACTGGCCTCCTTGCTGTGGGCCAGACATATCTGAGACCAGTGTGGCTTCAGGGCTTTTGCACATACGATTTTCCTTTTCTGGAACACTCTCTCTTCCTTGCACATCTGCCTGGCTCTCTGCTCAGATGTCAACTCTCAGAGAGGCCTTTTCTGACCACTCCCTCTAAAAGAGTTTCCCCCGCCCCTCATTTCCCATCATTATCTGTAGTACTGATGACTTGCAGATGTTATTACAAATTTGGTTATTTTTTGCATCCTCCAGCAAAATGTAAGCCAAGTGAAGAATGAGGTATCGTTTTGTTCATCAAGGAATCCACAGAAACCAGAACATTCTGTAGCAGGTGATCACTAAATATTTGTTAAACTACAAAGAGCCATTTTAGGTTAGAAATAAGGTATAGCTGACAGAATTCTAAGCCTGATGTTTCTTATGAGCCTGCTCAATTGGCCCTGAAACCACTTCCCAGAAAGCTCTAGATATGTTCTGAATAATGGGAGCAATGCTGGACCAGTGTTTGAGGTTCCAAAGTGAATACATGAAAGTGAAAATGAAGCTACATGTGACTGGATGAACCCTCTTGCATTGGTTTAAAAATCCTATTCATCATGATTAGTTCACGCTCTCTTTTTCTTGCTTTGCTCCCAGGCACCAGACAAGTCATTCCAAATATGGGGTCTTGGTACCAGTCAGAACGAGGTTCCCATCTGTGGTGGTTTAAAAACAAAATGACCTTGTTCCTTGATATTCTTTCCATTGAAAGATGGGATATATGACTTTTCCTTGAGTCTGTGCAGGCTTGTGACTGCTTTATGCAGCTCCTGCCTGGTTTTCTGAGCATAATTATTCCAGGGAAAGCACTGGGACTGTCAAGCCGAAGAGGTCCCTGGTGGGTGCTCTTGTTTGTAGCCTCAGCTGAGCTCCCAGCATCAGCCAGCAATCCTGAGAGCCGCCATCTTGGATGCACATGTAGGCCCTCTGCACCTTCAAAAGTCCGCGGCCCGGCTGACATCTGACTACAAGGGCATGGAAAACTCCAAGTGAGAAGCACCCAGCCAAGCCCATCCCAAATTCTTGACCAAAAAAATCATGCAACATGAAACAATTATTGTTTTACAACACTAAGTTTTGCAGTAAATATGTAATCCACAATAGTAATGAGAACCCCACCTTAACTCTTCCTCCTATGTACTAGGCAATCATGAGAAAAACCTTTTTTTTTTAACACTCTGGGCATCAGGTTTCTCATCTGTAAGTTAAGAGTGATAACATATATTGATGTGGTTGTTGTTTCAAGCAAAAGCAAGTTTTGTCCAAAACCTAGCACGCTTCTCCACACAAACAATATTTTCTCAAACTTAAGATGCTTTCATTTTACGACTCACCCTTAATTCATGTGTACTAAGAAAGAAACAAATGCTTCCAATTAAACTACTGCATTACTGTATGCCACTGGTTGTAGGACACATACCTGTTTTGGAGATATTGAAATTTGAAAAGATGTATGTCTTAGCATCTTTGATTTAAAGACTGATTAACATAAGCACCTAGCTAAGCCCAGGCAAAAAACGAGATCCCCAAGATTAGAGTTTGTGAAGTGTAAGAGGAGACATTAAAGCAAATGTACCTTTGTATGAATGTCTCCAATCTGCCATTCTGTTTTATACGATAAAACACAAAGATTAGTACAGACATCCTTGTGGTCCAGACAAAAAGTGCCTTCCTTGTCAGCCGTCGAATGGTTAGAATTCAAATGACATCATGTCACAGTTATTGAGCCAAAATGTATTTTGCAAAAGGGATGAAGTCAGATCCCTAAATCTGGCTGTGAGTCGATAAGTTGTTTTCAGCAGTAACTCATCCCTAGTAATAGTAATAGTCCAAGCCCCATTTCTCTTTGGTTCTTGAGAATTTCCTTTTTTTAGGACACGAACTAGTAGTTCCTTGAGTATTCCAGCCAATGGGCAGAGGGGGGTCTAGGCAGTGGGCAAAAGGATGACACAGGGAGACCCAGGGCCACATCTAGGGGGACAGAAGCATAAGCATCAGCTTCCTAGCAGGCTTGACGTTAAGTGTTCACATGGAGCTCTGCAGTTAGTACGGCTGCCCCAAGTGCTACTATGCTAATCCTCATGTGAAAGGCAAACCTACTTCAGGACAAGAGGGGTTAAGTCTCTTCCCCAAAGTCACACAGCTTGATTATGTCAACTTAGACCATCAGACACCAGAGCCTGTACTTATACCCACAGCACTGTACTAACAAGAATGTTTGCAAAGACACAGAAATAGTCATAAAAGGCTCCAACAAACCCAAAGCTCACACCACAACAGCTGTCTTGTCAGCTTTACCTAAACAGAGAATTTCTTTTCATCCATACCATCTTACTTTGTTCAGTATGGGTTTTCCGATAAGGATGTTCTTACCTCCTTCTCTTTCTGGTAAAAACCAAAACATCCTTCAAGACCCAGCTCAAATGGAACAGCTTAACTCCTTGTTCCTACAGGGTGGGCCCTGGCTGCGTTTGGCTCCAGCATATTGTCCCTTGGGCTGCATGGCTGGCTCTCCTGGAATTGTTGGGAGTGGTTTCTGTTGATTACTCCTATTGGACTGGAAGTTTCTTGAGGTTCTGGAGTTAGACTGAGTTTGACTCTATGATTTACAGCTATGTCCTTGGACAAATGTCTTAGCTTTCCTGAGCTTTAATTTTCTTATCTACTTCCCAGAATTGTCATAATGCAGCGTCTTTGCTTAGGTTGCACGATCAGTGCCCAATATTGTTTACTGTTATGTGATTGGCAATAGTGGAGCATCTTTGTGCATTATCTCAGTCTTCAATAGCCCTCTGAGGTAGGTTCTTTCACTACCACCCCTTTTTCACAGATGAGGAAACTGAGGTGAAACTTCTTGCCCATGGTTCCACAGCTCAGATGTGACAAAACTGGGCTGTAATCGTACCTTTTTAAACTCCCTTCCCTCGATGGAATCCCAGTGAGAGCCTCCATGAACTGATTGCCAAGGATGTTTTGTCATGTATCAGTCTCTTTAGATGTCTTTTAATTCAGATCTTAATTTTCCACTCATTTGTGCCTAGGTGACATTATCCTAGTTTGCCGGAAAATGATGCTGCAACCAGCTTTGTCTCTGTAAACTGTGGTTGTTTACACATTTCAGGCATCTGGCAATAATGTGTCCCTCCCCCAGGCTGTTATGCGTGGCAGATTATTAACACCACAACTGCCGTTTTAGTTAATGAATCAAAAACATGGATCACTCCCATTATTGGCCTTGAAAAGCTCAAGCAAACTCTTAAGCATAACTAAGGGCCCACATCGTTTTCCAACCCAAAGAATGCCAGGGCTATGCCTCCTATTTACTTTGAATGATTGGCTCACCAAAGTTTTTGCTGGTTTTCTGTGTTGTTGCAATCATGGAAACCCTCTAACTCTGCTGACATTCCTGATGTGCTACTTTTTTTTTTTTTTTTTTTTTTTGAGATGGAGTCTCGTTCTGTCTCCCAGGCTGGAGTGCAGTGGAGCAATCTCGGCTCACTGCAACCTCCACCTTCCACCTCCCAGGTTCAAGCATTCTCCTGCCTCAGCTTCCCGAGTAGCTGGGATTGCAGACACGTGCCACCACACCCGGCTATTTTTTGTGTTTTTAGCAGAGATGGGGTTTCACCATGTTGTCCAGGCTGGTCTCAAACTCCTGACCTCAAGTGATCTGCCCACCTCGGCCTCCTAAAGTGCTGGGATTACAGGTGTAAGCCACCGTGCCCAGCCGCTACTTGTTTTTTTTCCCTCAAGACATAACAGTTAAATTCCCCAAACAAAACAAGTTTGATTTTATTTGCCAGAAAATATTCTGAGTAAGCAGAACAAGATCCATTACTAAATCAAGCCTCACCCCATACCTGGGCAGCCCCCTCAGCAAGTTAGGTGCCTTGTTTGGCAGAATGGTGGAGGTCTTCCTGTCTAAGCATGGATCTCGTGAAAGCCCATGGGCTCAGCGCAGGGGCCAAGGTTAATTCACGGTCCCAGCTCGTGGCGCAGACTTGCCAGTGAAAGACACACTCAGGGCTTCAGCAATGTCCTTGGCTGCTGGTTTACCTTCACTTTCAGCAGCAGCAGAGGGGTTGGTCATACCTGAGGTGGAGAAAGATGTTGGGGCAGGGGTTGGGGGATGGAGGTAATATTATTGAAAGCCTACTTTGTGCCAAGCACTGAGCGAGGTTCCCCATTTGCAGGTATTCGGGGATTGTCTACCTACTTACTATTGTTAACTTCTAGTTTCTTTCCATTGTCCTCAGAGTAGATGCTGTGCACGACTTCAGTCCTTTGAAAGTGGTTGAGGTTATTTTATGGCTCAGTGTCCTGTGACGAATGTTGCATGTGCACCTGAAAAGAATGCATCCTCTGCAGTTTGGGGATGGAGTGTTCCATAAATATCAACTGTGAAAGGTCCAGTACTCAGCTGGTATAGACTCACTGTTCAAGAAAAACTCGTTCTTTCACTTATTGCCATGATTACCAGATACACCCACAAGCAAGAGGCTATTTTGCTAGTTGTGTAGACCAGCGGTTTCGGGAGAGAATGTAGTCTTCACTCTGCAGTGAGCTCAGAGGAGGAGAGAGGGGAAAAGTCCATGTGGGTGAGAAGGCACTGCCAGGCCCTGACCCCAGGAGGCAGGTGCTGTGCCAACTTGTCCTCCATGTGGCCCAAATAAGAAGAAAAGGCCAAGAACTCTAAACAGATCACTGAGGCCAGGGGAAAATATCTTGAGATTTGCTGGAGGGAGGGAAATTTACCCATGGAAATGAGAGAAGTTATGTGTGGTAAGACCCCTTCTCATCTCAAGCACAGCCAAAACTGATCTGATCAGAGACCTACTGTCTTAGTCCATTTTGGCTGCTACAACAGAATACTGTAAGACTAAGTTTACTTCTCATAGTTCTAGAGGTTTGGAAGTCCAAGATCAAGGTGCTGACAGATTCTGTGTCTGGTGAAGGCCCAGTTCCTCGTTCATAAATGATTGCTTTTTTGCAGTGTCCTAATGTGAAGGAAGGGGCAGGAGAGCTCTCTGAGGTCGCTTATATAATGGTACTAATCTCAGTCATGTGGGGTCCACCGTCATGACCATCACCCCCCAATAATGGTAGTAATCCCAATCATGAGGAGGGCTCCACTGTCATGACCATCACCCCCAAAAGGCCCCACCTCCCAATACCATTACCCTGGAGGTTAGAATTTCAGCATATGAATTTTGGGAGGACACAAATGTTCAGTCTATAACTGGGATGCAAGGATTCAACATTGCCCCTGCCCTTCTGGAATTTGCAGGCCATGAGGGCATACAGATAATTAAACACACAATTACGCATAGCAGGGTGTGGGGGGGGTCATAATTGGAAAAGTATGTTGAGATTAGAAGAAAATCATTCTTTCTTTGTTTCTCCCTCTCTCTTTCTCTGTTACACATATTTGCAGACAAACCAGGAGGATTTCCACAGGGAAGCTGAAAGGGGAAAACAACAGGATCCTATCTATAAGCCTATTAGAAACCGTTAGAGAATGATTTCATGAAGAGTAAGGAACATGTGAGTTCGCTAGGGCCTCACCCACTAGGATCAGGAATGCTTGGAACGTTTTTTGTACCATAAACCCTTTTGGCAAACTAGAGAAGCTATGGACATCTTTTCAGAATAATGCTTTTAAAATGCATATAACAAAATCCTCAGATTTTATTTCAAAGGATTGCAAAGAAAACCAATTGTGTTGAATTCAGTTCTATGCATAGGCCTTCCCCTCCACCTCACTCAATCTATGGGATGGGGACCTGAATGTTTATGGACTAGTGGGGAGATACTTTGCAGAGAAAGAAAAAAGTCTTTCCCAGGGCCAGCAGTTTTCTATATTTATGGAATTCGTTACCTCCAAGGAGGGCCTGACTGGAGTTTTTACTTTCAAATAGGTTTGGGTAACTCCACGCAAGACTGTCTTTACCTGCCTTTGGTGAGCTTATGGTTTCTGTTTCTTTTCTCAAAAGACTGCGTGCCCAAACTTCCAGAAAGCAGACATATTGATGCAGTTGAATTGCCCACCTTTTACATTTCCCTTATTGTTCCATGGATGGAGTATAATGAATTGGCAATGGAGGGAAGAGAAAAGTTAAAGGCTGACTTTGATGGGGGGCTAAGTCCTCAGAGAACGTGTTTCTTAGGGAGCCTTTTGTCACTTGTTAGGCTTTGGAATCCTCTTTGGGAGTTCACCAAACAGAGAGTGCAGCCCAGGAGGATGGGGGGCTGAGGAGAAGTCAGAGGTTCAGGGAGGACCCAGGTCATATTCTGGGAGGTGGCAGGGGCTGTGGGTCCCATGAGATCAGACACTAGTTATGAAGGAACTACTGGCAGACACTTTGCTCATTAATGTCACCCCCCATGCTCATTACCACCCTAGGACCTGGGGTCCCCACTATACCACTGAGACAACAGTTGCTGAGCATAGTTAATCCAAGATCATCCAGTGAGCAGCAGTGGAGCTAAGATCTGATTCCACATAATCTAGGCTCCTAAATATTTTTTTTTCTATTGCCACATGCCCAGCGACCTTCCTGCGGCATGGAGGTCGTGGGTGCAGCTTGTGGAGTCAGGTTGCCAGGTTTCGAGTCTAGCTCCTCTATTTAAATAGCTTGATGATCCCAGGTCAGTTCCTGATCCTCCTCTGTAAAATGGGAATAATTTTTTCACCTTTCCCACAGACTTTCCTGGGGGATTAAAGGGAGAATGTATCTAAAGCTCTGAGCACACGTGCCTAGCATGTGAGTGCTCCGTGAATGTTAGTTACTGTGATTATTTTTAGCCCAGCAGGACAGGGAGGAGTGTTAGGTCCCTGGGGGCGATCACTCCTCTGTTTACTCCTCGGACTGTCCCGGCCTGGCAGGCGTTCATGAGTTTGTTTCTCCTGTCCCAAGGTTGCCCTGGTGCTCTGCAGTGGCAGGGCTGAGATGATTATACAACCTGCACTCCAGGCCAAGTCCGGTACTCGTCCCAGCTGTCGGCTAAGCCTGCACTGCTATGGGTGAGGGAATCACTCCTCTCCAGCTGGCTTTCTCACGCTGGAGAAGCCTGACCTTTATTCAGAATCATCCTCCAGCGCCCACATCACACAGCACCCTGGCTCACCCGCTCCTCCCCCAACATGTCCTTTACATTCTCATCTGGGGAGATAATGGGGCTCCAGTGTCCCCAAGACAGCTGCTTTTCCTTTCTTCTTCATTCGTGATAACTCTCTGTTCTCCAGAAGTGCTGCTTAGACTCTAGAGGGATACATGAAAGAGCGGTAAGGTGACAAAGAAAACAGCTGGGTTCAATCCTGGCTGCATACTCAGTGTGGGACAGAACAAGTGCTCTACCTTTAAAGTTACTTATCAGGATAATATACAGTATTTCATGTATATATACATACATTTATAAGATGTAATAAATTTTTGTAAAGTTGTGAGGATGGTAAAAGCTTAGCCCAGTGCCTGGCACATCATAAGCACCCCACAGGTGTCAGCTGGCATCATTAGCAGTCATAGGAAAACTCAGGGTATGTCTCCATTCCAGGCTTTGTGGCATATGGGTCTCAGTGTCCCCATTGTCCTGTGGGGTTGCTGAGAGCTGTCCTCATAAGATTGTGAGGGTGGGAATATGAGAGGAGTTTGAGAAAGCTGAAGCCTAACAGGTCAACAACCGGACTGAGCTCTCCCCTTCTCCCCTGGGCCGTGTGCAAGCTTTGGGCCTGGTGGTGACACCTACCTCTCCATCCCACCTGGCGGGCCCAGCTGACCCTCCCAGTGCAGGGGCTGGGAAGCTGCAAAGAACCCTTAGGCTCAGAATTTCCTGCTGTCAGCCAGCCCCCCTGCTGTTTCCCATTTATTTTTCTCTATCTCCTTTTCCATCTCCCCTTCCAGCACCTTCTGAAACTCCCTAGTCCTGTACTACCAACACACCAACCTTTGCTTAATTGTCACGTCAGACAGATGGCTCAGGTGTCCCCAGCTCCCTGAAGCTCTTCCCTTCCCCTCCCCTGGGCAGGGGCCTCAGGCCTTCCTCTGACTGATCCAGCCCACCTCCCAGTGTCCATACTATTAGGTTGGTGCAAAAGTAATTGCAGTTTTTGCCATTACCTTTAATGGCAGCCCCGGCACCCTGGCCATTGGCCCCTGGACAGCTGTTCACTCCCTTCTCAGGCTTGCTGGGGACACATACGTCATGCCCTGAAGCGTTCCGGAACCGGTAGGGGCTGCCTGTCCTGCCACTCACCCACTCCAGCTAGGAACTCCTCAGTGGGCAAGATAATTGAGCCCAGGTTGAATTATGACGTTCACAGGTAAGAAGCAGGGTTCAGATGAGGGCTGGGTCTACAGCCAAGTGTGGGAGAGCTGGTGAAAGCCTTGAGAGAGGCAGAGACTGGCCAGCCTCACCCTGCATTCCCAATCCCCTCCTCTTTGTCAAAATCTTACTCTCAGCATGGTGCCATTACCTTTAATGGCAAAAACTGCAATTATTTTTGCACCAACCTAAATACTTTTGCACCGCCAGGAGATCTCCTGCCATCTATTCAGTCTTCCATCCCGCTCTCTGGGGCTTTATTCTTTCTGTTCTTTCTGCTTCTTGCTGCGCACGGTGCCCCCACCTCCTGTGGCTGAAATGCTGCCCTCTCCCATCCTGCCCAGATGCCTCTTCCACCAAGCTTTTCTGACTGCCGCATCTGGAATAATATATATATGCAACTTTAAGATCTGTCTTTCTTTTTTGATCTTTTCATATTTTTTTATTTCTATTTTGGTTATTTGCTGCCATGTTCCTTAAGGAAAAGATTCTACCCTCACAATGCCTAAGCAGCTTGGATCACGGAAAGAGCTTGGGCTTCTCTCCCCACTTCTGTTTTCTCATCAGTAAAATGGGGATAAGCATTGTAAATAACCAACCCTCTTAAGAGTTGCTGTAAGGCTTGGCCAGGAGCAGTGGCTCATGCCTATAATGCCAGCACTTTGGGAGGCCGAGGTGGGCGGATCACCTGAGGTCAGGAGTTCGAGACCAGCCTGGCAAACATGGTGAAACCCCGTCAATACTAAAAATAAAAAATTAGCCAGGCTTGGTGGCAGCTGCCTGTAATCCCAGCTACTCAGGAGGCTGAGGCAGGAGAATCTCTTGAACATGGGAGGCGGAGGTTGCAGTGAACTGAGATCGCGCCATTGCCCTCCAGCCTGGGGGACAAGAGCAAGACTTTGTCTTAAAAAATAAAAAATAAAAAGAGTTGCTATAAGGCTTGAAAGAGGCCTTTGGCACGACTATCACCTCCCTCAGGGCTCTGCACATTTTTTTCTTTTTTTGAGACAGAGTCTAGCTCTGTCACCCAGGCTGGAGCGCTACAGCACAGTCTCGGCTCACTGCAACCTCCGCCTCCCAGGTTCAAGCGATTCCTCTGCCTCAGCCTCCTGAGTGGCTGGGATTACAGGTGCGCGCCACCACGCCCAGTTAATTTTTGTATTTTTAGTAGAGACAGGGTTTCACCATATTGGCCAGGGTGGTCTCAAACTCCTGACCTCGTGATCTGCCCGCCTCAGCTTCCTAAAGTGCTGGGATTACAGGCGTGAGCCACCGTGCCGTGCCAGCTCTGCAAGGAACCAATGAATAAGTGATTGAATGATTGAATGGATAAAGGCCTTTACTGTTCTACTTGAGGCTGTCAAAATGGATAGGTTTTTGCTACAGTCCTCACCACCCCTCTTAATGCCATGTCAGCAGCATGGCATATGGACCTGCAAACCCAGGCTCTGCATCAGGTTGCCAGGTCACCTAAATGACAGCTGTGAATTCTTCTAAAACAGGGGTCAGCAAACTATGATCCGCAAGTTAAATCCAGTCCACAGCCTGTTTTTGTACAGCTTGCACATTAAGGATTTTTGCTACTTTTTAAATGATTTTTACATAGAAAATGTTACATTTTTAAATGTAAATGTAAATTAAATGCAAATATAAACATTTACATTTTTAGATGTTTAAATAAAAAAATCACAAGAAATGTAATTTTATAGCATGAAAATTATAGGAAATTCTATCATTAGCACTTGTAAATAAAGTTTTATTGGCACACAACTATGCTTGTTCATTTATGTATTGTCTACATAAGCTATAGTTGGTGTGTGCAGAGCTTTCACTCAATGATGGCACAGTTGAGTAGTTTCAACAGAGATGGGATGGCCCAGAAAACCAAAATATTTACTACTTGGCCCATTACAAAAAAATTTTGTGCTGATCCTTGGTCTGTGAAACAGGAGCAATGATGAATACCTACCCATCGTGTGTGGGTAAAATGTTAAAGTGCTTGATATCAAGTGGGCACTCAAGAAAAGTTTTTCCTTCTACTCTCTATTCCTCCCTGTCTTCATTCCCTTTCACAGAGGGCTCTTTTATTTCAGGGTCCAAGCCATGAAAACCATAGAAAAAGGATGACAGGGAGAATCTGAACCAGTACCATGCCCATACCAGGCCTCAAAACAGCAGAGCTGTGTTTGTCATCTCCACCTTCCTGCTCCAGAGCCTCCCCAGACCTCTCAGTCTATGGGACTGTTGGTGGACAGGCAGAGTTTAAATCCATTGCGTCTTTTGCGTCTCGTGGTTCCAGATGTGGATGGGGCCAGCCCTGCATGACCAGCCCCGGAGAGCAACTTCTATTAGGTTTATCAGAGGCTGGACAGCGTCCACTGCATCTTTTCTTGCTTTGGGCGTTTTAAAACTTGGGCTGCTGTTGCATAGGAGATTGCAGCTGCAGTTTGGCTTGGCTTAAGATAAGATGCAGCCTCTGGGCTGAAATTGAGGGTCCTGATTCTGCTTTGAGAGATGGTATGGCATCCTGAAAAGAACCGAGATTTGGAATCTGGGCTGGAATCCCAGCTGTGCCCCTCACAAGTTCTAGGATTCGTACCTTTTGCTTTTTCTGAAAAGTGGGGGTGATGCTTTTTCTTGGGGTGAGGGTGGGGTGTTGGCAGGGTTCTCCACCACGTAAGCTTGAGGGAGCAGGGTTTTGTCTTTTTCTGCACTGAAGCCCAGCTTCTAGAACAGTGCCTGGCTGCGGGTGAGCACTCGGCAAATACCTGCCTTAGAAAGGTGATTAAAAGATGTAGAGTTCCTGGCACACGATAGAATCTCATTAAGTGGTCACATTGCCATTGTCTGTACTCAACCAGGAATTGGCACACTATGGCCCACAGCCTGTTTTTGTAAATAAAGTTTTATTGGAACACAGCTATGCCCATTTCTTTACATATTGTCTGTGACTGCTTTCCTGCTATAGTGGGGGAGTGGAATCGTGAGACAGACCTGTGCCCTGCCGAGCCTAAAATATATATTGTCTGGCTCTTTACAGCAAAACTTTGTGGTTTCTGCTCTGAATGTCAGGGTAACCCTGTCTGAGGATGATCACGGATTTCATTTTCCCTTGTTTGTTAGCGTTGCGGTCAGCCGCAAGTTGAAAACAAGGAACCAGCTTGAGGTACGCATTCTCGATGCCCTTTCTAAGATACTTATGGAGACTTTTCTTTTCCACTCCAATTCTGCCATGCTCTTTCGGCATGGTCAGAGCTGGCTTCTCTGTGCCCTCCAGATCTCATATGTAAGATGGTGTTACTTTCATTTCTTTGTAAAAAGAAACTCAACCCACCTGTCAATTGCTGGTATATTCATTAGGGATTAACCATGGGTCCTGCAACAAGTAGGCTCAGAGCACAGAGGACATGAGTCAAAATAAAAAAAGATAACCAACCAGGTACAACTGTGCTTTGTAATATTATAGAATAGAATGCTGATGGGGTTCAGGAAGGAGTCCACTGTGTTTGTGGGGCACAGGATACATAAGATTCTGATTTACTTTTCCATCATGGTGAATGGCATGATCTTAGACACCTTAGTTAGCTTTATTCAAACTCAGTTTTTCAATCTGTAAAATGGCAATGTTCACTATATGTTGTCACTCTCTTTGATGGGCAGGGCCCACAGTTAGGAGCCTCTCGAGGCCTTGGTATCTAGAATGGTGAAGGAGAGCTTTCTGGAATGAGTGAACATGTGTCAAATGCTCTGACGTCCTCATTTGAAGGGGGCCCTGTCCCCTGTACCAGCTGAGCAATGCGAGTGGGCCACTGTCCTGCTACCATTTTATAGTCAGCGGATCTTTTTTTTTTTCTCTTTCTCTCCAGAAGGACAGAATAACGGGCTCCCAGATTCACAAGCCCCACCAAGAGGATCACCCCAGGAACGCTTGGAGGCTGAGGAGTTCACTGAGGCTACTGCATCTTGAGACTCAGGATGAAGACCCAGCTTGGGGCTGTCAAAGGTGCGACCTGCCAGCTGAGACCTCCAGGGGTCGAGCCCAGGCCCCTTTGCCTTGTTCATGGCTTAGGCCAGTGCTTAGCATATAGTAAACAACTTGTAAATGTTTATTAGAGGATGTATGGTGGGTCATCCCTTCTGAATGGCACACAGTCCATTGTCATTGTCCTCAGAGGCTCCAGCCTCAGGTGCTTCTTAAACTGCGATGGGAATGATGGCAGCAGATGGGCCCAGGGCTCAGCATGAGAGCTCACAGCAGGCTGTGCTCCACCCCACCCAGGCCCCCAGTCTTGCCATGTTTCCTCTGCCTCCCCAGGCTGGCCTAGAAACTGCTTCCAACTGAAACCAGCCAAATGCCTGCCCCTAACCACACCTACAACTCTAGGGTTACCTTTAGTCTAGATCAGGGGTCCTTAAACTGTAGCCTTTGCTGGGTACAGTGGCTCACACCTGTAATCCCAGAACTTTGGGAGGCCAAGGCGGGTGGATCACTTGAGGTCAGAAGTTCGAGACCAGCCTGGCCAACATGGCGAAACCCCATCTCTACTAAAAATACAAAAATTATCCAGGCATGGTAGCGCACATCTGTAATCCCACCTGCTTGGAAGGCTGAGGCAGGAGAATCACTTGAACCTAGGAGGTGGAGGTTGCAGGGAGCTGAGATAGCGCCACTGAACCTCCAGCCTGGGCGACAGAGTGAGACTACTTCTCAAAACAAACAAACAAACAAAAACTAAGCCTTTGGGCTAAATCTGGTGAGTGTTCTGTGCTTGTAAGAACTCTGAGTTAAGAATAATTTTTATGTCACTAAAGGGTTGAAGAATACAAAAAGAATATTCAGCAGAGACCATCTGGCTAGCAAAGCCTAAAATATTGACCCTCTGGCCCTTTACAGAAAAAGTGTGCCAGTCGCAGGATTAGGCAGTACTGACCACACCCCAGGCTCCCTGTGAAAATTTCAACCACACAGACTCATTTCCTTTCTCTTATCAACACTGAGGCAGGTGTGATTATCATTCCTTGTAAACATGGAGAAACTAAGGCATGGAGAGGTTTAACTCGTTTACCTGAGAATCTATTAAGTAACAGAGCCAGGGTTCAAACCCAGGCAGTCCAGCTTCAGAGTCCATACTTCCTAGCTGCACTCTGGGCCTTCAGCGTAGGGATGAGCTTCAGACAAGAACTCCCCTCTTAATTTCTGCCCTCTCCTGCCCCACAGCCAGTGGACAGGCATTTTGCACCCCAGCCTGCCCCCAGCCAGCTCCTACTCAGAGATTTCCTGCAGGGACTTAGACGAGGCTCTGGGACCACCCTCCTTTTCTGCCCTACCCGGCACCTGGAACTCTGCTTGATCCTGCTCCCTCTGAGGCTGGACACATCTCCATGAGCCAGGCCTGAAGTTCTTCCCCTCTCTGGACCTCGGGGCCTCCCTTCCTAGGGGCAGTTCCTGTGTCCCCTCTACTCTCTGCCTTCCCCCCGCCCCACCATGTCCTTGGGGCTGGAATTGTAGTGTGCAGCCTTGGGAACAGGGCTGGGCTCAGGGGTTGGGAACAGAGGCCCAGGGCTCTGGCTGACCCTCTCTCATCCCCAGGAGGAGAAGCTGCTGTGTTTAGAGTGTCACAAAGAACAGTGCTGGAGGCTTCAGAAATCTCGGGAGATTCTGAACTTCTAGGCGGAGCAGATGGGATGGTGCCTCTGTGATCAACAGGCCTGGCAGAGGGGTGCAGGAGGGGGTGCGAATGGAAAGACAGCTGCCAAGGGGAACGGAGAGCTTTTCAAGTCACCCTTGTCCCCTCCCCACCCCACCATCAGGGCTAAGACTAAACCTCACCATCCGGTTGCGGCCTCTCGGCCCTGGGGATGGAGATTAGTACATGTAGAGTGGAGGTAGAGAGGCCATGTTCTGGTTGTGTGACCTTGCACAGGTTACATAACATTCTGTGCCTCACTTTACTTGTTTTTAAAATGATGAAGATGATAACTACCTGGCAGCGTGTCTTATATTAGAGATAATATGGTTCCTGGCACTTTGTAAGCACTCGGTGTGAAATTGTCTTCTGCTGCTCCTCTTCATCAGTCCACCCCTCCTCTGCAGAGGTTTCCTCCATGCTGAGCAAGCTGGCAGCACCTAAATTCCTGTTAGTGCACCCTAGTGCCTTCTGCCCAGGCCTCGGGACCCCCAGGGATCCTGGCCCCTGTGGACAGGGACTTTTGTGCCCTCCTTCTCTGTTACCAGCAAGAGTGAGTCCTGCACTGAATTTCCATGGGATCATTGCTTGCTAACATTTGTGAGTGAGTTACTGTCTAGAAAGCAGCTTTTCTGGACTTTTCCCATTAATTTCACGAAAGTTATCTTCCTTTGCCCTTACTACATGTTCATTACTACAGGTTCATTACCCCATTTTACAGACAATTAATACTCCGAGATGAAGTGACTCACCAGGGGTCGCCTAGCTAAGCAGTGGAGAGTGGGCCTCCCACCCAGGCCTTCTCACTCTGACTCCTGTTCTCCACGTCATTGCATATGGCGACATGCGGGTCACGTGATCACACATCCCTAGCCGATATGGAATTGTGAGCTTCTCCTGGGTCTTCCGAGGAAGGATGCTTTCAGGAGTGCTTTGGAATGAAGGCAGTGGAGGCCAAGAGACCTCTAGGTCAAAGCCAGGCGGGAGGGTCCTCTCAGGGGCCCAGCCGACAAGTTGCATTTCTCCCTCAGAGGCCTGAAGAGGCAGAACACCCCAGAGGAGCCTGGGGCCACCACCCAGCATCACTGTGGGAAAACGGCAGCAGGAAATGTCCTCTCGCCTGCGTGCTCCACCTCGGTCCACGCCTTCCCTCCTTCTGGAAGCCTTGCCTGACCACTGGCCTGCCCCTTCTATGGGAATCACTACTGACCTTGCAGCTTATTATAGACTTATATGTATGCAGAAATATAATTTTAATTACTTTTATATTGCTCCGAGAGTGATACCAAATCATGATAGAAAATTTAAATAAACAAAATAGCCAAATTAATACCAGTAATCACCCCAGTCAAATATACCCAGCTCACATTTTGATGTAAAATCTTCCAGTACAGTTTCTATGTACATATATATATTTTTAGGAAGGAGATTATATTTTACATGCTGTTTTCTAGAACGTTCTTTTAAAACTGTATCATAAACATCTTGCCTTATAATTCAATAGTCTTCTACAACAAACTTTGCTAATGAATTTTTTTTTTTATCATGGTCACTGTTGTGTTATGTGCATCTTAGTTTAGCATCTTCAGTTACGTTATAAGTGTCTTAAGCCCTCAGGTTCCCCAGCCAGCCGCAGGGTGGGTTTGTTCATTGATTGATGGCTGTATGGGGTGGAGGAGGGAAGTAGAAAGTGAGTGAGATTTGGGTAAGCAAACCTGGGTTTAAATGCTGAGTCTGCAAATTCCATAAATTCTCCTTCCCTCCCTCCCTCCCAACCTTCCTCCCTCCATCCCTCCCTCCCTTCCTTCCTTCCTTCCTTCCTTCTTTCCTCCCTCCCTTCCTTCCCTCCTTCCCGAAACAAATGCCTTGTTAGATATTTTATATCTTTATGTAAATATGCACTCATTTAAATATCATGTGGGCACCTCCTCTGAGTGGCCCTGAGCTTGGTTCTTGGATGTAGCACTGCACAAGAGAAACCAGGTCTCTGCTCTCCTGGAGATCGATGCATCCAGTGTGGGGCACAGACTCAAATCAAGGCAATAGACCAAAACCTAAGCAGGCCACTAACTTGTGTTTAAGTACAACATCCACATGGACGGGAATGAGAATTACAGGGGGAGCACACTTGAGCTGCGGTCCAGCAAAGCCCTCTCTGGGGAGGTGACAGTCAAGCCCAGACCTAAAGGAACCTGCTGCAGGGAGGATGGGAAAGATGTTCTGACAAAGGCCTTGAGATGGGGAAGGCTATGGTTTAGATGAGGAACTTCAGTTGGTCATCCCCTCTCTCATCCATCCTGTTGAAACCACCTTTGCAAAAGGTGTGTCAATGAGAAAATTATAACAGTAAGCTAAGCCAACCCAACCTCCATCTTGCCTTTCTCTTAATTATTCCTGGGCTATTGGGTCAAGCTAACTTTGGAAGACATTTAGGCTACAGTTTAAATGATAATAGGCCTTGCCCAAAACTCAGCCACTTTTGTAAAGCTGTTAGGGGGCCATCAGGGTGCGGGGAGGAGAAGAGCCTGAATCCTACTAAGCTGCAGACATTATTCCGAAGGTTATAAGATATGCAACTTTCCCAATTGCTCCTGTGAATAACACTACTATTACAGATTGGCCTTTTGAAATATCTTTCCAGGTTTTTTGCATGTCTGACACCCATGACTCCACCTGGACCTTATGGCTCCACCCAGAAGCAATTCAGCCCAACAGGAGGACAGCTTCAACCCATTACGATTTCATCTCTGCCCCAACCACTCAGCAGCAAGCACCTGTTACCTGTCCACCCCCACCCCTTCCCCCAAACTGCCTTTGAAAAATCCCTAACCTATGAGCTTTGAATAAGATGAGTACGAACTTCATCGCCCACGTGGCGTGGCCGGCCTCGTGTCTATTAAATTCTTTTTCTACTACAATGCCGTGGTCTTTCTTTATGCAGTGGGCAGGAATAACCCCTTGGGCAGTAACAAATTTGGGGTCTCATGTGGGATTGTGCTGGTGGCTACCTGTGTATGATTCGGTAGCCCCCCACTGGCAACAGGCCTGGAGGCCAGCTCAAACGGCTGCCTAGTTCTCCTGGCAGAGAGATGGGGGCTGACTCTGGCACCATCTCTACCGGCGGGACACTGCTGACCATGGTGCATGGATGCAGTGGGCAGGAAGAATCTCTTGGGCAGTTATGCTATCTATCCAGTCCATCTGTCAAATGTATCCAGACTATGACCTCCTCTCACTTCTTGGTCGAAGCCACCCTCATTCCTGCCTGGAATTTTTGTAACAGCCCCTGGGCTGGGCTCCCAGCTTGTGCCTTTGCCTCTCAGTCTGTCTTCAAAACAGCAGCCAGGGTGATCCTTTGAAAGGGCAGCCAGAGCTCATAAGCCCATTTGCTTCAAAACCCTCAAAGGGTTCCACCTAATTCTGAGTAAAAGCCACAGGCCTCACTGTGGCCTGCGAGGCCCGTGGGATGCAGCCCTGTGATGTCTCTGATCACGTCCTCGTCCTTTCCATCTCATTTCGCCCTGGCATCCTGGCCCCTTTGTCATAACTCAGACCCTCCAGGCATACTTCTGCCTCAGGTTCTCTGCACCTGCTGTGTCCTCTCTAGCCTATTTGTCCACTTCCTCATCCCTTCTCAGTCTTTGCTCGGGTATCATCATTTCCATGAGGCCTTCCCTGGCCACCAGATTTAACACTGAAACTTCCCCACATCCCACGAAGCTCACTATGCTCTTTGCTGGTTTTATTTTCCTCCATTGTTCTTGGTGTCTCCTAATGGGTTCTACAATTAATTGTTTGAGTTGATTTATTAGTTTCTCTTACTCCCCTGGAATATAAACTTCAAGAAGGCAGTGATTTTTGTCTTATCTCTTTCCAAGAAAAGTATCTGTGACATGGTAGGCACTCCATAAGTATTTGTAAAACAAATAATTGGACTTCCTTATACCAAAGACAGTCTGCACAGAAAACAAATCTTTACTTCAAGCACAAACCTTTTGATATACATATATATGTCCAAGTTTTCCTTTTTTTTTTTTTTTTTTTTTTTTTTCAGAGAAGGGCCCTTTCTGGTTTCCCCTGCTGCCCATCAGGATGCACTCAGGCAGCAACTGTACAGTAAAAGGGGACACCTTTAGCCTCTGGTTTCCCAGAGCAGAGAGCTGTCAACACCATAAGCTATTTTTGCCTCACCTCTGGTGCTCCGGAGTGGCAGGCCAGTCACAGGTGTGGTGCATCAGACTATGAAGAGGCTGGGTGGCCACAACTCTGTGCTGGGATGCTGACCTCTTTGAGGCAAACAGCATGAGCTGGAAAAAGTGTGTCTATCTCAGAGTTAAAAACTGGTGAATTCCCCTGTTGCTCTTTACCATCTCCTGGGTCCGTATGATCTGACTGCCACCCACTTTCCCCTTTCCTCACTGGGCTCCAGACACACTGGCTTCCTTCCTTCCTGAAGCCTCCATCTGCTGCCGAGCTCAGGGCTTTGTTAGACGCTCACCCTGCCTGTGTTGCTTCCTGCAGTGTGCTGAATTGTGTCTCCCAAAAGATATGCTGAAGTTCGGACTTCCAGAACCTGTGAATGTGACCTTATGTATAATAGAAATAGGGTCTTCGCAGATGCGATCAAGTTCAAATAAGGTCACTCTGGATGACGGTGGCCCCTAATCCACTGGCTGGTGTCCTGAGGACAGAGACACACAGTGGGGAGGCCTTGAGAAGATGGAGGTAAAGGTGGGAATGATGCATCTACAAGCCAAGGAGCACCAAGGATTGCTGGCAACCACCAGAAACTAGGAAGAGGCAAGGAAAGGCTCTTCCCTACAGCTTTCAGAGGGAGCACAGTCCTGCTGACACCTTGATTTCAGACTGCTAGTCTTCAGAGCTGTGGAAAAATACTTTTCTGTTATTTTAAGCTCCCCAATTTATAATATTCTGTTATGGCAGCCCCAGGAGATGAATACATTTCTTTCTCCTCCTTCGTTTCATACCTCTAGTGCCATCTCCTTGAAGAGTCGTTCTTTAACTCCCAGTCATTACTAGGTTCCCAAGTTCTACACCTTTAGCTCTGCAGCCTATTCCCACGGGAGATTCTCTTGGTAGCCTCCCCCGACACAGTGTAAGCCCCTTTGTGTCCAGGTTGCTCACTATGGGTCCTCAGTCTCTGAGAGCGTCTTCAGCACACATTGCGTGAGCAATCAATTTTTGTTGAATGAATGCATTGCAATCTGGAGTGAGCATAAGATCCCAGTCAGAAGATTGCCCTGGGTGCTTCCCCTAGAAATCCTCAAAGTACAATTATTCAGATTGAGTCACTCAGCCCATGGTACCCTACAGTTGCAGATGACACAAGAAACATGAGAACCTCTGAGGACTTTCCAAGCTGGGGCCTGTTCTTACTGTTTAGCATGAAATGTGTTTTCCTGCTAAGAACATGAACCAGAAATGAGTTTTACCGAGTGGTTAGCAAGACCTTAAATAGAAAGGAAACTCCAAAAAATGTAACTTCTCTCACACTTAAGCCTCCTTTTCAACTTCCCTTTCCTGCTTCCCATCACTAGAACCTCCAGATCTTATTTCCTGGGTGATGATGAATGGTGGGCCCTATTTCAGACCTCCCCAAATTCTGCTGAACTTCCTCTCTTTGGGTTTTAGACAGAGAGGTATGGTAAGTGCCTCTAGAACTGACATCTCCTGTGAGACCCTTCTCTTACATGCTATGTAGGTTTGGCTGCTGATGGATTCAGAATGGTTTTTATTGAGCACCTACTAAGTGCTAGCTTTTACACTACGCATTTTGACACTCTGTAACTTCTTTTTCATTTAATCTGTTCCAGAAACTTATGTTCACTATGATGTGATCTTGCTTTTGATCCATTTTACTGATGAGGAAATTGAAGCTCAGAGAGGTCAAGTAATTTGCCTAAGGTCACACAGTTAATAAATGGTAACGCCATTTTCAATTCTACATCTGCCTGACTACAAAGTTGGTGGTTTTCCTTTCCTAAATGTTACAACTAAAAACCCACTCTAGCTCAAAATGGCAATGGGCTTTATTGTAAGGATTTGGGCTGTGCCTGGGACTGTCTGGTGGTTATCCAGCAGCCTCTTAGGAGGAGTTGGCCTGTTGGATTTATGGACTTGGGACCCTTGGTATGTGCTCAGCACATGCCACAGACCTGGCAAGCATGCTGGCCTGGGGTCATCTGCTCTTGGGGCTGTGTTTTCTGATTAAGGGACATTAGGCTAGCCACTTCCCACATCCAGCTTCAGTTTCCCCAACTATAAAATTAAGACATAGATATGCTTTCCACGCTGCCATCCTGCCCTGATAATCAGATTTTAGTATCCCAGGGCTATAACGCCCCATTCTTCCATACCCCTCAAACTCCTGCCTTTCTATCCTATCTGGAACTGTGGCTTACATAAAAACTCCCAAGGCATCCATGCAGGTCCCTTCTGTCAGAGGCTCCAGCTTCTCCATCCCTTTCCTCCCCTCAGTCGACATCCTCTCCTCTCCTGGAGTTAGTCCTGCTGGGGGACCTTGGGCAAGTTCCTTCACCTCTTTGAGCTTCCGTATCCTTCTCTTTAATGATCTCGAATGTAACAACCCCACCTCATAGCCTCATTATGAGAGCTAGATGAAATGAAACAATAACCACTGTTTACCTTTCAGGCACCTGGCAGAAGTGCACGCTCTGGAGCTGAGTGGATGGGTGCAAATCTTGGCCATGCTGCTCCTCCACACCCAAGCGGTTTGGGCCTGGACTAGTTGCCTGATGCTCCACACCTCCACATGCTCTCTTGTCAGGCAGAAACAGTAACAGCAACCCCCCACGCCTGTTATGAGAGTTAAGTGAGTTGATATTTCTAAAACACATCAGTGTGGGGCATTAGGCTAGCCCCTAATGCCACTCATGCCAACAAGTGCTGTAGAAGAGTTAGCCATTATTCTTAGGTCAGCTAATTATCCAATCAGCCTGACAAAGGAGGTACTGTTATTAGCCCCATTTTATAAACAGGAAAGATCAGTAACTTGGCCAAGGGCAGAGGGGCAGGCCTTGAGCCCAGACGGATAAGACATTCCAGGGGGAGGCTCCTCACCTTCAGTTACACTGACTGCTGGATATAAGGGGGCTCCCCACTTGGAGCTTAAAGGTTTGCAATAGCCACCTTGAAATTCTTGAAAATCTTAATCACTTTATGTTTGAGTTTGTGTTTTGTAAGTGAAGTTCTGCTTCTGCCACCTCCCCCTTTCCCCAAATGTGCCCAAGACTGAAGAGGGTCAGAGTCAATCCCATAATTGTGCCATGGGGCAGGGCTGTGGAGGTCTTCAAGGGGCTGTATTCACCCTACAAGTATTCCTGTGCCCAAAAGAGTATGACATTAAATAGCAGATAAAAACAAAACAAAACACACCAGGACGGAGATCTCAGAATAAAGAAAAAAGCTTTTTTTTTTCCTGTTTGAACAAGCATTTTCATTCTGCACCAGGCCTTGCTAATAAGGTAGCCAGATCTGGGTGCATAGCATGTCACGGGCGGGAATGAAATGATAGTACTCTTTCGCTTCAAAAAAAAAAAACCCCAAAATACTTGTTCCAAGTTTAGTAACTGAGTGCAGTTTGTTCTGACTTTTGATTCACAGGTAGAGACAAAGTCTTTAGCTGAAAGGTAATAGTTTTGCCACCTTCTACAAATATAGATATATTTTTTCCCTAAAGCCTCCTGAGTCCTTTTTAAGATTTGCATCCAAAATATGGGCCCTTTGCCACCGACATTCCTGTTTGGTAGTGGATGAGAGGGCAATCTTATTTTTTTCTTCTTCTGTTGTTATAATCCTCAGATGCAGAGTGTTCTCTTTAAAAGACGCTTTTAAAGGGCAATTACTTTATGCAAATGTGGGCATCTCTGGATGGCTGGCAAGGCTGGAGTCAGGCCGTGGAAGCCTGGAAAGTGGACTGCGCGGGCTGGGCAGGGGACCAGGAGGGAGGCCCTGCTTGCCGGTATCAGCAACTTTCTTCTGCTGCCCCCTGGACCTCTGGGAGAAGACTCAGCAGCCACAGCCAGAGTAATGGGAAGATCACAGCCGCATAGGGCTGTGAATCAGGGAGGACACCTCATCTGGTTTATCTCATGTGAAATAGATGAGGCTCCTTGAGATCTGAGCAAGCAGCCACTCGAAGCCAATCATGGGCGCCACTGCAGACCTGTGTCCAATGAGAGATCTCAGTTAAAGTAGAATAGACCACGCTTCTGTGTCTCCTGCTTCAGTGTAGGCCACAGCACAGCAGAGGGTGGAACATTCCAGGAAAGAGTTAAGGATGCAGGAGAAACCCCCTAAGGGAGGCCAGTATGAGAAAAGGTGGCCTGGGATTGTATGGTGGGGGAGAGGCAGCTGGGCTCCAGATCCTTTTCTTACCCTTGGAGCCTATGCAGTCTTCAAGAGGCCACTGCTGGCCGGGCGCGGCGGTTCACACCTGTAATCCCAGCACTTTGGGAGGCCGAGGCGGGCAGATCACGATGTCAAGAGAGGGAGACCATCCTGGCCAACATGGTGAAATCCCGTCTCTACTAAAAATACAAAAATTAGCTGGGCACGGTGGTGCGTGCCTGTAGTCCCAGGTACTTGGGAGGCTAAGGCGGGAGAATCTCTTGAAGCAGGATAATCGCTTGAACCCGGGGGCGGAGGTTGCAGTGAGCCGAGATCGCGTCACCGCATTCCAGCCTGGACAACGAAGCGAGACTCCTTCTGAAAAAAAAAAAAAAGAAGAAGAAAAAAAAGGGGGGCCACTGCTCCAGTGGCTAGGCCCAATCTCATTTCCAAAGCTGCTTCAGGCATCTGTGAAACCCCCAGATGGAGCAGCCCGGGCTGTGGACACTCTGCCGCATCCATGCCTCCTTGTTGCTTAGTGAGCCTGTTCTCATTACTCCCCCAGCGCCACCCTCTGCATTTGCTCCACTCCTCCTAGAGATGCATCTTTCATTTTTGCATCACTAAATGCACTTCTTCTGTTTCTCTGTTTACCGGAGAAAAAAATAGGAAGCGTGGGAGGCAGGGCACAACAGTCTTCGCCTCGGGTTCGTTGGGTAAGTTTCGCCCATTCTCCAAGAGGGGACCTGACTAGGGAGGCTCACGGTTCAGATCGGTGCTCCAAATTCCCAACATACAACTGAGTCATTTTTACTTGTTTCTACAATTTGTTAATAGTAGCTGGCCTTTGCTGAGTTCCATCTATGAGCTTGGCCCCCTTGCTAATCTCTCTACTACATACAATACCCCTTTTAAGTCTTTTTTATCGCAATATAGTTTACAGATGACAAAATGCAAAGATCTTAAGTTAGAATTTGGTGTGTTTTGCAAATGTATACATCCGTGTACCTTTCACCCCCAAACAAGAACACAGGACATTTCTTTCACCCCTGGGAATTGCCTTGTGTCTCTTTCTATATTCCGTCCTGCTCACCCCACACGAAGGTGACCACTGTTCTAATTTCTGTCCTACCCATGCATTTTCTCTGTTCTAGAACTTCTTAGAATCATCTTTACTTTCCTCATGTCTAGCTTCTTTTCTTCAGTACACTGTTTATGAGATTCATCCAGGTTGTTGCATAGATCAAAAACACTTCCTTTTTATCGCTATTTAGTATTCCATTCTCTGGATACTCCACACTGTTTATTATTTCATCTGTTTGATGGACATTTGGGATGTTTTAAGTGTGCATTGATGATGAATAAGGCTGCTATGAGATTTCATGGACAAGTCTTTTTATGGACATATGTCTTGGGGAAATACCTAGAAGAGGAATTGTTGGATCATATGCTAAGTGTATTTGTAGCTTTCTAAGCAACTGCCAAAACTGTTTTTCCAAGTGGTGGTATCTTTTTTTTTTTTTTTTTTTTTGAGAGATAGTCTTGCCCTGTCACCAAGGCTGGAGTGCAATGGTGTGATCTCAGGTCACTGCAACCTATGCCTCCCAGGCTCAAACGATTCTCCTACCTCAGCCTCCTGAGTAGCTGGGATTACAGGCACCCACCAGCACGCCTGGCTAATTTTTGTATTTTTAGTAGAGACGGGGTTTCACCGTGTTGGCCAGGCTGGTCTCAAACTCCTGACTGCCTCGGCCTCCCAAAATGCTGAGATTACAGGAGTGATCCACAATGCCTAGCCAATATTATTTTTTAACTCTTGCCAGGAGCAGAGGAGAGCTCCAATTGCTCCACATCCTCACCAACATTTGGTATTGACAGTCTTCTTGATTTTTGGCCATCTTAGTGGGTGTGGAGGGCTGTCTCGCCATGGTTGTTATTTACATTTTCCTAATTACTAATGGCATTGGGCACTGTTTCACACACTTATTGCATATATCTTCTTTGTGAAGTGTCTAGGTCTTTTCTTTATTTGGGAAGATGGGTTGTTTGTCTTTTTATTATCGAGTCGCAAGGGTTATTTATATATCATTGATACAAATCCCTGGTCAGATACATGTGCTGCAAATATTTTCTTCCAGTCTCTACTCACACTGTCTCTTTTAATCCTCCCAGCAACTTGATGAAGTAGATGTTACTATCCTCTTCTTTATTTCCTAGAAGCCAAAACTGAAGCACAGAAAGTTTAAGTGAAATGTTCAGAATCACACAGCTACTCAGTATGGCAGTGAGAGTGTGGGCCTACTGCAGTGTGACTCAGAGCATTGATGTCCAGAAAATCCCAGGAAGCTTCTTTCCACACACGAAGCCTTGTATCTCCCTGGCAGTCTGGAGGCATGTGGCCCTCGAGCCAGTGCTGGGCTGGGTTATTTCGGTTCACACTCTCGCCCTCTGCCTTGCACATACCAGACCATCCTGGGAAGTAGGCGGCTCCCACAACCCGGTTGGGAGCGTGGTCTTCTGGGGAGGATGCCACACAGCTTTGAGTTGCTCTGATGAAAGACAAACTGCGGGGATTCTTATGGGCCTCCGAGGACGCTGACAGTATTACCTCATGCCAGGAATAACAATGAGGGGCCTAGGCGAGCTCGCCGCCAGCCCTTCTCTGGGAGGCACCGCTGGAGGAAACCAGCCAGGAGATGGGAGGACGGGGCTGGGATATTTAGTCCACAGCTGTCTCAAAGGAGAACTATTGGGTGCCTCAGGGACTTCCCTCTTTCTTTCTCCTTTCTGAGCAGGTGAAAGGGTCCCTGCGGCAGTCAGAGCGAAAGGCTAGGAGGTTTTGTGAGAGTAAGAACAATGGCAACTCCAGCCCTCAAAATGCTAGTTGGAAGAGCGAGCCTCTCTGAGCACTCGCTGTGTGCCAGGCACCGCGTCCACACTTTGCAGCCCCACTTGATGCAAGACTCTGTGTAGTGGCTTTGCATTTACTCCCTCAATCCTCGTCACACCCCCATGAGACACGCACTATTAAAATGCCTACAGGAGGAAACTGAGGTCCAGAGAGGTGAAGTAATTTGCCTAACGTCACTTATTTATAAGTGGTTGAAGTTTGAATAGGGGTTTAGCTAATTCTAAAGCCCAGTAGCTTTACTGCTACGCACTTCTGCCATTCTGTTAAAAAACTTTGTCAAATTTCAAGTTTGTGTCATGCACTACACATGAGGTGTCTTGGTCAGTGGAATATAAGATTGAACAAGACCTGACTCTTCTTTGGGCACTGTGTGGGTTGGATGGTGGACCCCCAAAAGAAATGTCTACATCTCAGAACCTGTGAATATCATCTCACTTGGAAAAAAATATTTTTGCATATATAATTAAGGATCCTGAGATGAGATCATCCTGGATTCTTTGGGTGACCCTAAATCTAGTGACAAGTATTTTTATAAGAGACAGAAGAGAAGGTCATTTAAAAAGGAAACAGAGATTGGAGTGATGTAGCCACAAGCCAAGGAACACCTGAGGCCTCCAGAAGCTGGAAGAGGCAAATAATTCTCCCCTGGGACATTTAAAAGGAGCTTAGCTTAATATATTACATTCATTAGAAGTGAGTCCCTAGGTCCAATCCACCTGCAACTGGAGTACATTACACAAAAGCTTGAATACCGGGAGGCAGGAATCAGTGGGGGCATCTTACAAGCTGTCTAGCACAGTGCCAAGAGGCAGGGATCACACCTTCTTTTGCTTTTTAAATTTCTTTTTTAATTTTTTCGAGAATGTGTCTTGCTCTGTCACCCAGTCTGGAGTGCAGTGGCGCAATCTTGGCTCACTGCAACCTCTGCCTCCTGGGTTCAAGTGATTCTCCAGCCTCGGCCTCCTGAGTAGCTGAGATTACAGGCACACACCAACACGCCCAGCTAATTTTTGTATTTTTTAATAGAGATGGGGTTTCCCCATGCTGGCCAGGCTGGTCTTGAACTCTCGACCTCAGATAATCCGCCTACTTTGGCCTCCCAAAGTGCTGGGATTAGAGGTATGAGTCTGACCCCACCTTCTATTTTTCTGGCAATCCCCATCCCCACCTTCTGTTTTTCTGGCAGTCCCTGGCCCCTAACTGAAAGAAAAAGAACTAACATTTAACATTTTTATTTATTAAGAAATAATAGCATTTATTATGCATTGACTGTGTATCAACAACCATGCCAGACTCCTTAAACACATCGTTTCATGCAGTATCACTTGACCCTCCTATGAACCCTGAAAAGGGAGGTGTTCTTACCTCCATTTGACAGAGGAGGAAACCAAGGCTCAAAAAGATGAAGGCCACACAGTAGCCTCTCAGAGGAAGCCAGTGGTTCTCAAACTGTAGCTGCATCAGAATCGCTTGAAAACAATCTCTAAGCCCTGAACACAGAGTTTCTGTCTGATTTTGCAGCTTTAGGGTGGGACTTCAGAATCTGTTTCTTTTTGCTTTTGCTTTTGCTTTTTTTGAGACAGAGTCTCTGTCTAGCAGGCTGGAGTGAAGTGGTACGATCTCGGCTCACTCCACCCTCCAGGTTCAAGTGATTCTCCTGCCTCCTCTCAAGTAGCTGGGATTACAGGCGCCCACCGCTACACCTGGCTAATTTTTGTATTTTTAGTAGAGACGGGGTTTCACCATGTTGGCCAGGCTGGTCTCGAACTCCTGACCTTAGGTGATCCACCCACCTCGGCCTCCCAAAGTGTTGGGATTACAGATGTGAGCCACCGCGCCTGGCCAGAGAATATGTATTTCAGACAAGTTCCAAGTTGAGGCTGAGGCTGTGGGCTTGCGGATCAAGCTTTTAGAACCACTGGAGAATCAATATATTTTGCAGCAACAGACAAACCCTAAAGTTTCAATGGATTAACATATCAAATGCATTTCTTGCTTAAGTTGCAGTCTTACTGGGGTAGGGCAGCCCTCCTTCATGCTATAGCCCCTATCATTTGGAGCATATGGTCCCCAAAGTCACCATGGAAGGAAAAAGAGAGGGCAGAGGGTCACTTAGGATGTTCAAAAAAGGCTAGGCCTAGAAGAGGAGGCTTTTATGCCTTTTGCTTAGCCTTCATGGGCCAAGACTCAGCCCCATGGCCTCAAACTAACTGCAAAAGAGGCTGGGAAATGTAGTCTTCCCCAGGAGGAGCAAATGGTTAAGATGAGCACACAGCTGGTCAGGGCAGGGCTGGGATTTGTGCTCAGGTGCTTTCTCTCTTTCTTCTCTTGCCTTTTTCCTGGTCCAGGTGTTTTTGGTGGGCTTTCTTAGTGTTAAGGAACTTCTGTATGTGTGTGTGTGAAACTGAAAAAAGAGAAGAGGAAAGAGACATTTTCGAGGTCCTTCAGCCCACTCTCTTGCCAGCAGCCTTCACCCATCTTCACTTCATCTTAGAGGTGCAGGTGACAGTTGATAAGTACCTTGAAAGGCCTCCATGTGTGTGCAGGGCATTCTTTCGTAAGTTTCATCTGTACCATGTTAAGTGATTCAGGGCCACTATCTCTGAATTTGAAGAACCCTCAAGCTACTGGTTCTCCAGGACCTAAACCCTGGACTCCAGGCCACAGACAAGCTCTGAGTGAAAAATGAATCCTTCTTGCCGCTCCTCCCCTATGCTTCACATTGCTCCAAACCTACCTGCCTCCAACACGTGGTGCAGTTTCTACCTTCCCTTCCTTTGCATATACTGTGACATCTGCCCGATATCTTTCTCTTCCCTCCAGACTTGACTCAGATGATACCAGCTCTATGAAGCCTTCATCAATCTGTCAAAGAAATATTCAACTTACCCTCATTCTGGGTCAGAGGCACAGGCATGCTTCTTTGTCTAACCTATGGTCTAGCACTTGTCAAGGCCTGTGTAGACTTTGCACTTGCCTGCCTCTCCTTAGAGAACGTGAGATGTTCTTGAGCCAAAACTGTGTAGCATCTTTTCTTGGCCTCTTAATTTCTGACAAGACTGAGTCTAGAAGCCTTCCTGTGATGTGCAAAGCCCTCCTCAAGATCCACAGGTAAAGAAGGAAGTCTCTGGCATTAGTTTGAATCCCAGCTGAGCCACTTGTGGGCTGTGTGACCAAGGGGAAATTCTTAGTCTCATGAATGCCTCAGTTTTCTCATCTGTAAAATGGAGGTAGTAATGTTGTGTATGTTCAATGAAATAATGCACCTAAAGCCCTTTGAACAGTGCATGGAAAAAACTCAGGAAGTGCCAGCCATCACTGTGTTCTTATCATTGCTCTTGTTAGTATCTTGCTACTTTAGCCCACACCAGCCACATCAGATCACTTACTCGCTGACAATTTTGATGATCTTGCATGCTCCTTTGCTTTTGCACTTAATCTCTTCTGCTCAGAGGTCCCTGTCTCTCACCTATTAATGAATTAATTCATACTTATTCTTTCATTTATTTAACAAACTTTTTCCTTAACTCATTCCTGCTCATCCTGTAGACTCGTCTTGGCCCTTCCTGTCCATTCCCATTGGATTTACCACTCCTGTTTTGACTTATGTTTACTTTTCTGTATCTCCGTGAACAACTTGAAAGCAGAAAAAAAGATGCTCATTTCCTACTGGATTTACTGCTCTGAAGCCAGTTCCTAATATCTTGATTGTCACATAGCGGGAGCTTAATGAACATTTGCTGAATGAATATATGAACGTTTCTCATCTCTGAATCTGTTCCCAAAGCTTAGTGCATTGTAGGTGCTTACCCAGGACTCTTTCTCTTGCAGGAAACCAGATCACTCTGGATGCATATCATCTAAAGGCCCTAGTTGTGGGAGGGCTACTTTTAATCAGTGTATTGGCCGGGCGCAGTGGCTCATGCCTGTAATCCCAGCACTTTGGGAGGCCGAGGTGGGCGGATCACGAGGTCAGGAGATCGAGACCATCCTGGCTAACACGGTGAAACCCTGCATCTACTAAAAATACAAAAATTAGCCGGGCCTGGTGGCGGGTGCCTGTAGTCCCAGCTATTTGGGAGGCTGAAGCAGGAGAATGGGGTGAACCCAGGAGGCAGAGCTTGTGGTGAGCTGAGATCACGCCACTGCACTCCAGCCTGGGCGACAGAGAGAGACTCCGTCTCAAAAATAAATAAATAAAATAAATAAATAAATAAATAGTGTATCTAGATTTTGCCACCTTCAGAACCAGAAGGTTCTCCGTGGTCTAGCCTGACCAAGTTTAAAATGTCTGGGGGTTGGGGGGTTCCCTGAACAATGCAAGAGGCACCATTTCATCTGTGTTTCTTGGACAATCCCTAGCGTTATCCAAGACTTCTCAACAGTTGCCACATTTGAGGACATACTGCAGAGTATCTGTCTCATCATCTTCTGATATCACAGTGCTTAGATTAGTGCCTAGTAACCAAGGAAAGAGGGAATAAGGGGACGTCCCCCACTGGCCAATGTCTTAGATATGTGGATTTGGAGTCAAAATGTTTGCCCGACTAGCCTAACGGTGTGGATGGTGACATTGCGCTAAAACCGACCCTCAGACTCTTATTTCATGAATTTGTCTGATTTCTTTGGTAGCTGAGGTCTGGTTTTGATGTGCAAACTGGCTCTAAAAATTAATCTGTTCCCTTTCTCTCTCACCCTTTTTAATTGCCTGATTTGTTTGTCTCTTGGGAGTGGCAAGGTGGGAAGGTTTCTCTGCCCAAGGCTGGCCAGGGTAGAACCTTCTGTGCTGGTGCTGGTCTGACTGTGGAAAGAGGTGCAGATGTTGGGGTTTGGAAAGTCATTGTCTGGGTTCCATGTCATATGGCCTCCTGAAAGGGACCCTCTTGGTTATTGCCTGCTCATGTCATGGAGGAACTGCGCGTGGTTTTTATCGACATTTTGGTTTTGTTTCTATTTATAGGAGGTTGTTCAGAGGTTGTCCCAGTTTTTACTCCTTCTTATTAATTGTCGTGCTTAAAGCCATGCATATTTTCTGACTATCCACTTTTCTTTTCCCTGTGAAGCAAAAATAATATTAATTGAAACTGTAATGTGTGGCAGAGACTTTGCTTGGTATTTTCGCACTTGTTGTTTCATTTGTTTTTCATGATCATTCTGCAAGGTAGGTATTAATATTATTAGTTCCATGTTACAACTGAGGAAATTGCAGCTTAGGGATTTTAATTTCATAAAGCTAGTAAACATCTTTTTTTCATGACATGTACAATCTGGCTGGCTTTTTAATCATCCTGCCTTGAAGCTAACTTCGAGGTTCTTTTTAGGCGATTTTGGTGTTTGACCCTTCCCGGGTTGCACAGTGTGTGCCCTGTACTGCCGTGCTTGTATTTCATGGTCTCTTGTAATAAACGCTTCTAAACATGGGCTCACACGTTAATTTGTTTATAGTAATTATTTCCCTGAAGGAAAAAAAAAGTCCATTTATTTTTTTCTCTTCTTTTATCTTTCCAGACCCTTGGGGCCTGATTCTCCGTGGCTCTTTTGGAGCAGATGTAACCAAGAAATCAATATAACCATTAGATTCATCCATGGCAACCATAATGTCATAGCATCTCCTGCCTTGTAGTGTTGACAGAAGTGGCAGAGCCAGGAGGAGGGGAAATACTTCAAAGATGGGACGGGAGCCTCTAAAGTGAACGGGAGAATTAAAATCCCACGGAATCTCACTTAGCAGATGAGAAATTGTAGGTTGTTGCCTACGGCATAATCAGGTCTTCTTTCAGAGAATGTAATGGCTTGATGTCAGGTATGGCAGAGGGATCTCCAGCATTCAGGTATCGTGAGGCCCTTTAGCAGTGGTGGGGAGCAGCTGATGGAGCCGGAATTTCGTATTTGTCCTTTAGGTACCAATGCTCATCACCTCCAGAGGTAGGGTTGGCAGATCTCATGTGATTTCCTTCTTCCAGTGATCTGGGCTTTTATTATTATTGTTATTATTAATGATTACCTGCGGCGAGGAGAGAGGGCATCCTTTGTAAGCACAGTGTTCGGTTTATGGAAAGCACCGCAGGTATGTTTGACTAGTACATGTTGGTCTAGTCTACCTAACACATTCAGTTACTTAACAACTATTTATTGAGCACCTTTTTGGAGTCAGGTGCTACTGTAGGTATGGAGGTGGAGATTCTGCAGAAAACAAAGCATACAAAACCCATGCATTCAGGGAGTTCATATTCTAGTAGGGACTAGGAATTCAGCTGAGCTAGCAGCTTGAATTTTCTCTCTCCAAAAGAGGTTGCCAGTTGCCTCACAGTATCTCTTCTCCCCTTCTTTAGTGTAAAACAGTATTTCTTAACCAGGAGCAATTTTGCCCCCCAAAAGACATGTCTACAGACTTTTTGGTTGTCACAGCTTGGTAGGAGTTGTATCCTGTGTGTGTGTGTGTGTGTGTGTGTGTACTAGGTGCCTGTGCTCACACTACTAGTATCTAGTAAGTGGAGGCCAGGGATGCTACCAAACATCCTACCATGTGCACAGGACAGCCTGACAACAAAGAATTATCCACCCTGCAATGCCAATATTGCTGAGGTTGGGAAGCCCTGGTGGAGACAGAAGTGGCTGCTTGGTCAGTGACTATATTTCCCAGCTTCCCTTGCATCTAGCTGCGGCCTTGTGACTGGTTTTCACCAAGGGACCATGAGCAGGAATGCTGTGCCCACATCCAGGAGGAGGGCTTTTAAGAAGTGGATGTACTAGGCCGGGCGTGGTGGCTCACACCTGTAATCCCTGCACTTTGGGAGGCCGAGGCGGGAGGATCACAAGGTCAGGAGATCGAGGCCATCCTGGCTAACACGGTGAAACCCCGTCTCTGCTAAAAATACAAAAAATTAGCCGGGCGTGGTGGCGGGTTCCTGTAGTCCCAGCTACTCGGGAGGCTGAGGCAGGAGAATGGCGTGAACCCGGGAAGCGGAGCTTGCAGTGAGCCGAGATCGCGGCACTGCACTCCAGCCTGGGTGACAGAGTGAGACTCCGTCTCAAAAAAACAAAAAACGTGGATGTATCCTTTTCCTTTCCTCAGGCTGGATGAAGAGAATAACAAAGTTCCAGGTGACCCTGGAGTCACCAGGGGCCCTAAATCACCATGTGGAGGCGACTGTCTGTAAATCTGAGACTCTCACCTTGGACTCCCATGTATATGAGAAAATAAAATCCTGTTGTGTTTTAACCATTACGAATTTGAGGATTTCAGCTACGGCACTTTAGTCTACCCTGACTATTGTTGTCCCTAAGTGTTCTCAACAGTTCTTCAACAATAACAATAGTTGACACTTACGCTGTGAGCACACACCGTGAGCCAGACATAAAACTTTTTAAATGTGAGATTTTATTTTATCTTCATACAAACTCTATGGAATAGGTACCATTATTACCCTTGTTTTACTGATAAAGAAACAAATGCTCAAGGAGGTTAATAAGGCAAGTAAGTGCCATAAGCCAGTTCTCTTCCAGGTTCTAGTCTCAACCACTGAAGCAGGTTCCTTTCTCCAGCCTTAATATCTTTTTATCTGGGCATTAGCATCTTTCTTCAGGGTCGCTGTAACTGTTCCCTCTTTGGTTCCTCTGCCACCACTGTGGATACTCCAGATTGAATGACTTTTTGAAAACCAAATCTGAACATGCTTCTTTCCTGCCCAACTTCCTTCAGTGACTTTTCATTGCTCCCAGGATAAAGCACACACTTCTTACAGGGCAGAATGGTCCTTCTGCATCTACCCAGCCTACCGCCAGCTGCCTTCATCCTTTGTCCCTTTTTCCTTTCGCCACATGTTCCAGTGGTGAGTGCAGGCTTCATCAGCACAGAAAAAAAAAAAAAAAAAAAAAAAAGGGCTATTTTTTTCCCAGAATTATTCTCGCTGTGCAGAGGGAATCACAGTTAAGGTATCAGGCTTCCTATGTGGATTTCCAAGAGTTCAAGAAAGGATTGTTTGACCATCCCCTGGGAACACTGTTGAAAGGATTCTTACATTGGGTGGGTGGCTCATTCCAACCAGATATTGCTACAGTTCTTCAAAACACATAATTGCATAATGTAAGGGGAACCTGGTTTTCCAGCTTTGTTCAGCTCTCACATTCTATTTGTTCTATTAAAGACTATATTGACTTTGGAAAGTAATTTGGCAGTATTACACTACAGCAGCTTTACTCCTTTTTTTTTTTTATTGATCATTCTTGGGTGTTTCTCGCAGAGGGGGATTTGGCAGGGTCACAGGACAATAGTGGAGGGAAGGTCAGCAGATAAACAAGTGAACAAAGGTCTCTGGTTTTCCTAGGCAGAGGACCCTGTGGCCTTCCGCAGTGTTTGTGTCCCTGATTACTTGAGATCAGGGATTGGTGATGACTCTTAACGAGCATGCTGCCTTCAAGCATCTGTTTAACAAAGCACATCTTGCACCGCCCTTAATCCATTCAACCCTGAGTGGATACAGCACATGTTTCAGAGAGCACAGGGTTGGGGGTAAGGTCACAGATCAACAGGATCCCAAGGCAGAAGAATTTTTCTTAGTACAGAACAAAATGAAAAGTCTCCCATGTCTACCTCTTTCTACACAGACACGGCAACCATCCGATTTCTCAATCTTTCCCCCACCTTTCCCCCCTTTCTATTCCACAAAACCGCCATTGTCATCATGGCCCGTTCTCAATGAGCTGTTGGGTACACCTCCCAGACGGGGTGGTGGCCGGGCAGAGGGGCTCCTCACTTCCCAGTAGGGGCGGCCGGGCAGAGGCACCCCTCACCTCCCGGAGGGGGCGGCTGGCCGGGCAGGGGGCTGACCCCCCACCTCCCACCCGGACGGGGCGGCTGGCCGGGCAGGGGGCTGACCCCCCCACCTCCCTCCCGGACGGGGCGGCTGGCCGGGCAGAGGGGCTCCTCACTTCCCAGTAGGGGCGGCCGGGCAGAGGCGCCCCTCACTTCCCGGATGGGGCGGCTGGCCGGGCGGGGGGGGCTGACCCCCCCACCTCCCTCCCGGACAGGGCAGCTGGCCAGGCAGAGGGGCTCCTCACTTCCCAGTAGGGGCGGCCGGGCAGAGGCGCCCCTCACCTCCCGGACGGGGCGGCTGGCCGGGCGGGGGGCTGACCCCCCCACCTCCCTCCCGGACGGGGCGGCTGGCCGGGCAGAGGGGCTCCTCACTTCCCAGTAGGGGCGGCCGGGCAGAGGCGCCCCTCACCTCCTGGACGGGGCGGCTGGCCAGGCGGGGGGCTGACCCCCCCACCTCCCTCCCGGACGAGGTGGCTGCCGGGCGGAGACACTCCTCACCTCCCAGACGGGGTGGCTGCTGGGTGGAGGGGCTCCTCACTTCTCAGACGGGGCGGCTGCCGGGCGGAGGGGCTCCTCACTTCTCAGACGGGGCGGTTGCCAGGCAGAGGGTCTCCTCACTTCTCAGACGGGGCGACCAGGCAGAGACGCTCCTCACATCCCGGACGGGGCGGCAGGGCAGAGGTGCTCCCCACATCTCAGACGATGGGCGGCCGGGCAGAGACGCTCCTCACTTCCCAGATGTGATGGTGGCCGGGAAGAGGCGCTCCTCACTTCCTAGATGGGATGGCGGCCAGGCAGAGACGCTCCTCACTTTCCAGACTGGGCAGCCAGGCAGAGGGGCTCCTCACATCCCAGATGATGGGCGGCCAGGCGGAGATGCTCCTCACTTCCCAGACGGGGTGGCGGCCAGGCAGAGGCTGCAATCTCAGCACTTTGGGAGGCCAAGGCAGGCTGATTCTGGTACAAGCTCCTTTTCTCATCGCAGACCTGCAGTTTGAGTAGCGTTGCTTAAGTTACACTGTATAAACATTTATCTCCTCTTGAGAGGTGAAGCTGGCTAGGCTTCAGGGTCAGGTGGGGACTTGGAGAACTTTTCTGAATCAGCTTTACTCCTAATTATACTCCCTAGAGAATGCTCATGTGCAAAGCAGAAATGTAGTATTTGCAACACCAAAAAAAAAAAGTTAAATTAAATGTCCATCCAACAGAGAATGGACAAATAAACTCATACAAAGAGTATCACAGAGAAGTGAAAATCAGAGAATAGAGCTACATATAGTAAATATAGGTGAATCTCAAAAACATGATGTAAAGCATAAAAAGCAGTCTGAAGAATCGGTATATGGCCGGGCATGGTGTCTCATGCCTGTAATCCCAGCACTTTGGGAGGCTGAGGCAGGTGGATCACTTGAGGCCAGGAGTTTGAGACTAGCCTGGGCAACATGGTGAAACCCCGTCTCCACTAAAAATACAAAAATTAGCCAAAGGGGGAGGGGAGTGGCACATGCCTGTGGTCCCAGCTACTTGGGAGGCTGAGGCAGGAGAATCCCTCGAACCTGGGAGATGGGCAAGGGAGTGAGACTCTATCTCAAAAAAAAAAAAAAATAGGTGTAGTATGATATCATAATAATGTTATATACTGTGCCTGGTAGGGTCCCAGTAGGAAGCAGAAGGCACATCCAGATGCAACTGGAATTCTAAAGAGAAGGAAAAGAAGGGACATTTATAGAGGTCTCAGAAAGAGGAGATTGTTTAATAACCACAGATTCCTCCCATTCCATTATTTATTCCCTATTTGCTGCTCCTTATACCCAGAGAAGGAATCCATTTTCCCATCCCTTTTAATCTGGGCTGGCTTTGTGACTGGTTTTAACAAATAGGCTGAAGCAAAAGTGATTTGGGGTGAGTTCCAGAGGTCTTGTGATTTTTGCCTTGACCTTTTTGGAATGCTTCTGACTTCATGTAAAGGAGCCTGCACTGGCCTACTGGAAGCCTTTTGGAGAGAAAGATACAACCAACAGTCATTACCAACCAGGACGAGCTGACATTGACAGACTACAAATGTACAATGAGCCCAATCAGCACCACTTGGAGCAGAAGAACTGCCTAGGTGAGCCCAAGTCAAATTACCAACCTACAGAATAATGAGCAAAGAACTGGTTATTGTTTTAAGCCACTAGTTTTTGGGTGTTTTGTTATGAATATATAATCAACATAGTGGAATCAAGGAACCAACGAGGTTCTGAGGTTTCCAGGAACTAGCAAGTTGGGAGTTACCTGAAGGGGCAAGTATAGGAGGCAGTGTTACAGGAACCCGGTGGGGGCCTGAGGGTCAGAGGAGAGGCTGTCAGGCAGGCCCCAGGATCACATAACCATAGCAAGGAGGAAGTGTGGTAGGAAATACCCCGATCTCTCTCTCCTCCTGCCCCGGCTGCAATCTCTTGCCAGGCTCTTTGGCTGAACCCAATAAGAACCAGATAACAAGGGCATCTGGGAGATGCCCTCTACTGGGAGCAGTCTCTGAGGCACAGAGATGGATCTGGGTAGGACAGTGGCAAACAGAATAACCAGGATGTATATTGTTCACAAACAGCAGACCATACACACATTTAAGGGAATGAGAAACCTCAAAGTTACTTTTGGGAAGGAGGGATTTTTACCTTAAATAGAAGAGCAGGTACATGAGTACTCATTATGTTCCCATATATACTTTTTCTTTGGTATGTCTGAAATCAGTCACATTTAAGGGGAAATTAAGCCACCATTGAGTCACAGCCTGGGTGACCTTGGAAACACCACTTGACCTCTGCAAGTCTCATTTTCTCTGTAAAATGAGGGTGACAACACTCCCCTCATGGAATCCACATGGGGTAAAGCTTGTGAATGTATGATCGCAGTGTCTGCCAGCCAGGTAATTTTTAAGTAGTTAGTTCTGTCACACATAAGAAATCACATACAAGGATGTGTGTGTGTGTATATGTGTGTGTGTGTGTGAGAGAGAGAGAGTGAGAGAGAGAGAAAGGGAGAGAGAGAAAGAGAGAGAAAGGCAGACAAATAGAAAAACAGAGAGAGATAATACTCTATTTTGGTGAAAACCATTATCTGCATGTAAAGTAAGGGAACTCTTAATGCCTTTCCAGCTACCCTGTCATGCGCAATCTCCTCGCCACCAAGCACCATACACCTACTACACACACACACAGAGGCACACACATACACACTTATGCTCTGTCACACACACGCATGAACACACACTCACACTTGCTCTCATACACATGCACAAACACACATGCAGGTACACAGAGAGGCACATAAACACATATTCATGCTCACACATCTGTGCATGTAGACACGCACACATACATGCATACACATGCACAGACACATGCAGGCACACATGCACAGCGACCTCATAAGGCCCACCAAGTGCCTGTTAAGACAAGCAGGAGTCAACCTCCTTCCTTCAGCTTGTCATTTTTCCTGCAGGCCGGGCTTCCTCCAACCCAGCGCTATGGCATTTGCTGACACGGAATTAGGACATATAAATAGGAAAGCAGGCTCATGCCTGTAATCTCAGCACTTTGGGAGGCCGAGGCGGGTGGATCACTTGAGGTCAGGAATTTGAGACCAACCTGGCCAATATGGTGAAACCCTGTTTCTACTAAAAATACAAAAATTAGTCAGGTGTGGTGGCACACACTTGTAATCCCAGTTACTCGGGAGGCTGAGGCAGGGGAATTGTTCAAACTGGGGTGGCAGAGGTTGCAATGAGCTGAGATCATGCCACTGCAGTCCAGCCTGAGTGACAGAGCGAGACTCTGTCTCCAGTGAAAAAGAGAAAGTGCCATTTTGTGGGGGTTGAGAATCAGCACCTTTTATTTCAGTCTGTTGAAGTCCTGCCACCTGCCTCCTGCTACTGCTGTGACTTGAACCACTTGTGTGACATCTCTTGAAAACCAGCTTCTTCTTCAGAAAAATGGGAGTAGTGACAATACCTTTCCCAGGGCATGCTGTAGGCACTAAATGGGAGAATGTGGGTGACTCAGCACCAGGCCTGGCACACAGTAAGTGCTCAATAAATGGCACAGGGGTTGCTGAGTTTTAGACTCAAGTCTCTCCATCTCCAGCACCTGTGTCTGGATGAAAGATCCTTCTTGGTGTGATGGGCAGGTAAATAAGTTTGTTGGCCCCTCCCTCCCTCTCTCTTTCCCTCCCTCCCTCTTTCCCTCCCTTGCTCTCTTTGCAGTTGAGGATGGGGGAAGAGACGAAATAATTCCTGCATAATATTTGTCTAAAAGGAATGTGTAAGATAAAACAGTGTGTGTGAGGCCTGTCTTTTTTTTTTTAATAGCCCCATAGCACCTGGCATAGGTGGGCACCACAGGATCTATGATGATTGAAAGGAGTGTTTTCAAATTCAGCTGTCAAAGACAGGGCAATCATCCTGCCTCCTGCCTGGAAAGTGATTTACAATTTTCCTCCTTGGTGGCATCCTAAGGCAAACAGGCACTTTTGTTTCCATGGAGAACCCACTCTTCCCTCTAAGGTAGATGATCCTCCCCGCCTCGCTCCTTCTCTCCCTCTCCCCTTTCCTTCCTCCTCCCTCTCTCCCTGCATTCCTTACTTCCCCCCCTCTTTCTTTCTCTCTCCCTTCCTCTTCCCCTTTCCTTTCTCTCTCTCCCCCACTTTACTCCTCAGTCTCTCCAGCCCTTTCCTCCTCCCACAGAGGCTTCTGCCCCAGAAGGGCCAAACACTACCCTTCAGCTTTGTCCCCAGGAAGGGCTATGCCCATCCCTCCTTCCTCCCCCTATGGAGAGGTGAGACCCTCTGAGGGCTTAGAAGTTTTGCCCTAGCTCTTTGGACTGTTTTCTTCTTAAGAAACTGTTTACTCAAAGAGCTCAGAGCTCCTTGAGAACCATCTACCCAGGACCCAGGAACCATCTACCTGGGTCCCCAGGCCAGGCCCCGGGAGGCTGCACGGTGGTCTCGGCTCCAGTCCGAAGGCCAAGTGCAAGTGTACGTGCCACCTCATCTCTCAGTTTCTTCACCGGCAAAGTGAGAGCAACTCTCCCAGGAGCTGCCATGAGAAAGAGCTGAGGGCCAGGGGCTAGAGAGTTGCCATGAGAAAGAGCTGAGGGCCAGGGGCTAGAGAGTTTCCTTTCTGTAGGTCCTCTGGCTCACTCAGCTGATACCTCTGCCTTTTGGCCTTGAAATTAACTTAACAGCCCAAAAAGGAGAACCCAGGACGCTCCTCAGCCTGATGGCAAGGGATCCTCTGGAGATTGATTGTTGAGTGGGATCCTAGGAGTGCCGTCTTTATCCAGAGCTGAGGCCCTGCGGTGGGCATGGGCAGGCGGAACAGTTGGGGACTCTGGGGCTGTCTTCACCCTTGGTATCTGTGGAGCTTCAGAAATGCCAGTAACCACCAAGAGCAGTGTCTCAGTATTTGGAACACATAAGAAGATAAAGCTAATCTCAGAGTGTGTGTCTGTTTCCTGTGAGCAGCTCCAAATGTGTGCTCCTTAGTGTGTATGTGTGTGCGTGCCCTCCCCACCAGTGGGGGAGCAGGAAGTTCGAACAACAGCCATTTATTTATTTTGCATCAGATGCAGGCTACAGTGACAGAATGTGAATCTTGGACGTCTGGTCAGAACACTGGGATGTTCAACTCCGAGTGGATGAGCCTGGTCTGGGAAACCGGGAGCCCTAACCTGGAGCCCCAATGTCCCCCCAGTGCCCACCTCAGGGCACCATCTCTGTGTTAGAGAAGATCTGTGTCCGTGTGGCCTCTTTCTGCTCAAGGTGGGGCTTACTGTCAGGTACCCAAGCTCAGGTTTTCATGCATTTCCAGAATATAAGTATCACTTCTGTCTGTGTTTTGTTACGAATAATTATGCAGATTTTTAGGTGGCCCCTGCTAAATATATGGTGATGCTTCTTTCCTTTTACCCTCCCCCATCTCTCTAACTCCCACATATACTCAGCACCTTCTCTGGGCCAGGACATCTTCCATGTGCACTCAGCACACACAGATGATTCAGAACTAGTCCCTGCCCGTGAGAAACTTCTAGTCTGTTTTGGGGGAAGATAAGCCAGGCTATGGCAATAGTGTACAGTCCTGAAGGGGACACAGAGTGGGCGTTCTGGGAGCACAGAGGAGAGCCCCTATCCTCCCAGGGAACCCAAAAACGGTGTTAGGGATGGGAGGATGATAGAAGAGGCTTTGTAAGAATAGCTGCTGTGTTACAGAGGTGGGCTGTGGGGAGCAGGACAGAGTCATAATCTCGTTTCTGGAAGATGTAAGAGGCCCTGTAGTTTCTTGCAAAAAATGACTGGGCTTGTGTGTTACTGTCACAGCTTTGTACTAGAAAGACACATTTAAACACATTTAATGGAATGGCAAGCAATACAGGGAAAACGAGGAGGGGGAGATGAGCACCCTTCGGTCTCCATGAATTACCAACTTAGCTCCTCAAAGCAGAGAAGGAACATGAGAGGAGGAGATGAACTTACTGCTCACCTATTGCATTTCAGTCTACTTTAAACATGATCTCATTCAGTCCTCATCAGCAACTCTGTAGTAGATTTATTAACCCCATTTTACAGTTGAGGAGACTGAGGCTCAGGCTAAGTAACTGTCCAAGCAAAGAGCAGGATTTTAAACTACGATCTCTATGGCTCAGTTCCTGAGTCTGTGCTCTCTTTCCAACAAACCCTATTGCTCACAAGAACCTTCTATAGAGAACACAGCATTGTGGTCAATGAACTCCTTGTCGAGGATCATAAACTCAGAATTCAATATAAAGTCACTATTATTCCAGAAAAAAAAAAAAGAAAAGAAAAACCCTGATGCCCGCCTCCTTTGAAAAAATAGCATGCCTTAGTGAGATGGGCTATTAATATACTTTGTCGCTGACATCAGTATTGCAGGCTGGTTCTTTGGGAGAGCCAGGATGATGCTAATTTGCATGCTGCTTTGCATTTATTTGCATTCTCTCTCCATATGCAAAATCCAACACAGCTAATTAGTGCAACCTTGTTACAATGAGAAGCAGGCCCGGCGTTCAGTGCCAGGGCAGATGGAGACCAGAACAGGGACAGAACCAACCCAAAGCCAGGCACGTCCTGGGTTGGACACACCGGGAGACTTGAAGGGGAGGCACATGCCCTGAATGAAAAGTAGTGTAACTGAGCACCATTATTCTTCAAATATTGTTCCTTTGAAGTAGCTATTGCAGAGAAGGAGGGTGAGAGAGAGAAAATGACGGTGGGCGGTGGGTGGGGAGGGGATGGAGAGATCGAAGAAGGTGGCCAGAACTTTGCCTCAGGCAGGATTTTGTTTGAGAAAGAGCACAGGATTTGGATCCCAAAGGCTTCAGGTAAAGTCCTGCTTGGAGTTTGGCTTCGCCACTTACAAACTGTGGGACCTTGCACTTCATGGGTTTGCAGGGATTACATGGGAAAAAGAGGGTGGACATGCACTTTTTGCAAATGGTAATGCACAATATAGATGTGAGGAATCCAAGCCATGCCATATGACCATGGAGGGCAGCACCAGAGCCAGGTGGGGTCTGCAGACTCAGCCTCCTCTTGGGGTCCAGACCCTGGATGTGATCCACAATATAGAGATATATTATAACATATGGATGATATAGCATGTGTGTATGTACATATATATATATATATGTGTGTGTGTGTGTGTATACACACACACATGCTAGCATTTAATGATCATCTAATATGGACCACATACTGTGCTGTGCTTGTGCACCTATCAATCATTTCTTTTAGTGATTCCCATGACCGCTCTAAGACCTGCTTATTATTATGACCCCATCTTACAGATATCACTAAGGCAAAAAATGCTTGCCAAGTGCACTAGGGCACTCTTGCCAAATGATTGGGAATTCATATTTTATGTCACCCACTTCCTTTTCCAGCTCCTATGGAGACTATGGCATTTCTGTTAATCTGCTTTTTTTCACATTGCCTAGTTGTGATAATTTTGATTTGGCCTTGGGTTTTGTTTGTGTCATCTGAGGACTTCTTCCTCTCAACTGGTCATTTTGGTTGGTCTCGAATATTTCAGCTCTGTGTTTCATTACTTAAAGTGGCCCGTTCTACAAGGGTAGCTCCAATCAAGCAAGGTAGATTGAAGTATTGTTCACAGATATTCACTGGGCTTCATAGAAGGAGAATTATATTATCCTGCCCCATGGGTATACAGCATGGTTATGTAGCTTGCTCTGGCCAATGAAAGGTGAGTGGAAGTGAGACCTGTCATTACCAGGCAGAAGGCAGCATGTGGTTTATCATAGTTGTCTTTCTCTTCTACCCTGATGATAGGCGAAGTTGCAGACAGAGTCTGCTTCCCAGAGGGTCCAGCAGTTTCAAAGGCAACTGGTGAAGAACAAGTCATGCGAATAAGAAATAAACATTTGTTGTAATTGTAAGCCTTCATGATTTGTTACAGGAGCACGAACTAGCATATTCTGACTAAAACATTCATTGTCTATTGAATATTATGAGATTAGCTCTTACAGGATGGCCTTTCTCCTAAATTGCAGAGGCACATTATTCGAGCGCCCTGTGAACTGGCTGTAGTTGTTTCTGTGGATGGCCGGACAATTCTCCCAATGATATTGCCATTACTCAAAATATTTTCTACTTCCATTCAAAAAACTGCTTTACATTATAAAAGTACTAAACTCCTGATAACACTAGTACTCCTGCTAACAGCCAATACTTTCTAAGATTTTCTTATTTAATCTTCACAAAAGCTATGTGAGATAGGTGTTCTTAATTTTCATTTTCCAAACAAGAAAAACAGAAGCTCAGAAATCTTCGGTAATGCATTCAAGATCACACAGCTAAGCAGAGAGTCAAGATTGAAATCAGCATTCGTCTCAGGCACAAACCCTAATCTCATTACTACTCATATTTTCCCCCTCCAAAATGGATATTAACTAGCTGAGTCACACACCTCATTTGCCAGAGATGGCTGCAAAGATTTTGTCTGCTATGAAAAGCAAAGTAATTATAATGAAAATAACGTTAGACTTGATATTAGGAGATGTGGAGTTGGTTCACAGCTGTTTCTAGTAAGTCCAGTGACCTTGAGTTAGATGATTTTCCTCTCTGGACCCTGGTATTTTCCTCTGTAAAATGAAGAACTTTGCCTCAGAAAACATAGTGTATGGATCTGGCCAACAGAGTCCTTCAGTCTCCTAAAAGTGTATGCAAAACATTGTGTATGAATGTATTTTTCTGAGTCAAGGATCTATACTATTCATCAGGTCTTGGAAGGAGCCTGTTACTTGCAGAAGATGAGGAACTCTAATTCTCTGACTTGTTGAAATGATTTATCACTTTCCTCAGAATTGGGTGTGCAGGCAAAAAGAATTCAGTCTGAAAAAAATGGCAGTTAAATTTTGTAGGGTGAGTGTCAGATTCATCAAAGAATAACTGGAAGGCAAGCTGTATCATTTCATTTAAAAATCATTAACAAATGTTTCTGCCTCACATTCCTGTGGTTCCTTATTGCTTACTCTGCATAGAAGCTGTTCATTCATCTCCTCAGCCAGGGACTGTGTCATTAGTTGTGGCTATTGGTCATTTCCTGTCTCATTCAGCAAGTAATCATATTATTTTGACTGGGAAGAGAATGAGTCCTGAGCTGTGAACTCAGTCTCACAATAACTTGAGGATGTATTTCTTTGAATGTGGGAGAAAACGAAAACAGAGCAGGAAAATAACATTCATTGAGCCCCTATGATATCCCAAGCTCTTCAATGGCATTTTCTTCTTTTTTTAGTCACATAGGTCTATTTTCAACCAAAATTTTGGGGTAACTATCATCCATTGGCCACTGTTTTAGGTGCTGCGGATATAGAAATGAACAATCAGACCAAAAAAAATCACATTCTGTGAGCTTATGTTCTGGTGGGGGAGAAAAAAATGTGCTAGTAAAATTTAGTAAAAAATATATTAGTAAAATATATATGCTTACATATGCTACTGCGGTATATGCGATATCCTCGTATTACAGGATCAGAGACATTCAATACCATTGATTATTGTTATTTCTATATCTATGTCTCTGTCTATATCTATATCTATCTATATCTAATCAGTTATTGACCTCTTTATTATCATAGTGTCTCTCAATGTCTCTAGTAATCCTGCAGTTTATTTTGTCTGACATTAATATAGCCACTCTAGCTTTCTTATGCTTATTGATTGCATGGTATCTTTTTTATTCTCTTACCTTTAACCTGCTTGGGTCTTAATTTTAAAATATGTCCCTTGTTGAAAGCATATAGTTGGTTCTTAATTTTTTATTCAGTTTGAAACTCTCTCTTTTTTTTTGAGACAAGAGTCTCACTCTGTTGCCCAGGCTGGAGTGCAGTGACATGATCTTAGCTCACTGGAACCTCTGCCTCCTGGGCTCAAGCGAGTCTTGTGGACTCTTTCCCTTTTCTTTGAGGTTATTATAATTATTGGTAAATTTGTATTGAGGTCATCTATTTTTATCTTTATTATTTATCTCATTTGTTTTTTATTTTTTCTCTCTTTTCCTGCCTTCTTGTTTACCAAGTTTTTTTTAATATTTTGTTTCAATTCCTTGTTTTCTATCTATATCTCTCTGATATTTCTGTGTTTGATTTCTCTATGGATCTTTGAGTTAATATTAAACTAATTCTGATTTATCTGAAAATATCTCTTCCACCTTCATTTTTTAAGCAAAATAATTAGAAACACAATTCTTGATTGATAATTTATTTTGTTTTAACTGCACTTTGCTGTTTCAATATCTTCTGATTTACAGAGTTTCTGATGAGATGTCTGCCATAGATTTTATTGTTAGTTTCCTATTGGAATGTATTATTTCTTCTGGTTGCTTCCAAGGTTTTAGCTTTATGTTATGCTTCTGGCCAAAGATAGTCATAGTTTTACTGTGATGTGTTCAAGAATATATGTCTTTGTGCTTATTACGCTATAGGTTTGTTAAGTTTTGGGGACCTTTAAATTAATCATTTACACCCACTTTGGGAACGCTCCGACCACTATATATTCAAACAACATTTATATTCCTTTCTACGACTTTACTTCTTCTATTCTTATTATATACATGTTGGATCATGCTTGATATTGTCTCATAGGTCTTTGAACTTCCGTTTTCCTTAAATATTTTAAATTTCTGTTATTTGAATCAAATCATTTCTATTGCTCTATCTTCATATTCACTGATTTTTTTCTTCTGATATCTCTAAAATTTAACTAATTTTTCTTTAGAGCTATAATTTCCATTGTAATAGTTTCTAATTCCCCATTTGAATTCCTTATTAGACAATTCATTCATGTCACATTTTGAAACACTTTTCTGCTGACTACAGTATCTTTGCAATGCCATGTTTTTTTTTATTGCCTTTTTTTCCTTAGTATGGGTCACTGTTTTCTGTTTCTTTGCATGTGTAGTAATTTATGGTTGAAAAGCAGACTTTGTAGATAACACATTATAGTGACACTGGATTATGTTGTGTACTTTTGAGGATTATTGCATTTTTGTTATAGTAAGTAGTTAACTTAAAAGGATTCAAAGCTCAAATGTTATCTCTCTTGTAGTGTGTAGCACCTGATAGCCTTAGTCTCTTCTTATGGCTTCCAGTGTTGTATTTTTAGCCTGACTCTCTGGGGATCTCCTAGGTGCCTACAAAACTTGGTTATTTGCCAAGAATTTGGGCGGTGTGAGGTTCACCCTCTCAGTTTTGTTTTCTTCTAGGCTTTTCCCCTAATTTCTAGTTTGTCTACCCACCTCAGGTTTTCTATCCTTACATTTCAGGCCTATAAGACTTCCTTTTTCTGCCGCCCAAGCTGTGCAAAATGGGAAAGACACGTAATTAAAAAAAATAATAATAGAAAACTCACAGATCTTATCCTTTGTAGTTCTATCTTTAAAGAGTAAATGTCCAGCTGGTCTACTTATGCCTTTTACTGGTCCCTTTGGGATGCTCCTGTGCATGTACAGTTTAGCTGTCAGCTGAGGAATTTGGCAGAATTTATAACTGGTGTTTATATCTCACTACTTCTGTGATTCTCATTGCCAGGAATCATTCTTTAAAGTGTTACCTCCTCTTCTATCCCTATATCCCGACCTCTGGCACTTTAGGCCAGTAAGATTATGGGTTTTCGCATCTGCAGCCACGGGGATCACAGAGCACCCTCAATTGAGAAAGCTGTAAATTACCAATCCTTCTCACAGTTGTGGTTTTTCAGGATTAAACTCTCCTCTGGCTACTGTCTGGTTTGGGATGCTTTCCAGTGTCTTTAAATTGTTTAAAGTTTTAAAATCCAGTTTTTATAATAGCCATCTGCAGGAGGATTCATGTAACCACTCTACTCCCGTACCATTGCTCCTAATTAGATTTGGCCCTGGGAAAATACTATGTGTAAGACACGCAGGGTGGGGTGAAAAGTTTTTCTGTTTCAGACATCTTATTAAGCTGAGTCCATTTTTTTGTCATTTGGTCTCCTTTCATTCCTTTTTATCTCCTGTGAAATTCCTAGCGGCTATGTCTTCAAATAAAATGTAAGCTCTTGAGGCTAGAGCTCTTCATGAAATAGAACTGGGTATGCTGAAAACCTTCAGTAAATTATACAGCCTCATCAATAACAATAACTATGGTGAAAATAAAAGCAATTGGTCCTCTTAATGCATTCCTACTAGAGGAATAAGCACTTACTATGGATTCTACACTGTATTTGCTTTGCACTACATTGATTTAGAGATGGAAGATTGAATGTAATGGCAGCCACCTGGATGCTTTCTTCTGAACACCCAAGGTTTATTCAATTTTGTCATTCACCTCTTTTGAATCTAAGGCTGGCATATATTGGTTTTGCCTGCCCTGCAGCCATCCTCCCTTTTGATCCAATGTCTTAATTTCTCCTTCTGGAACCATCCTTGACTCATCCAGATGAGTGGGACCAAGTGCAATAGGTCTATGTCCAGGATAATTAAAATGTCCCTGTCCTTGGCTGGGGACTGAACATGTAATATGATCCAGGTGGGTCCACTGAAATTTATTCCTGAAAATCTTTTTTTTTTTGAACTTTGGAGAAAAAGAAATTCTCCTTCACCTGATATTGCTAAGAAGATTGAGAATGAAACTTTATTGACTTCTCACTATTAATAACTTCAAAGAAAAATAAAAGCAATGTGGATTTGGTCATTGGTTTTTTAGTCCTATTTCTGGAGAGATGGAAGCCACCTTGACGTCTCCTGGGAAGAGTCTACCTCACTGAAATCAAAACAGGAGAAATTATACTTAAAAGATGGCATTTGTTTGTGTTCCTGGAAGCAGCCATCTCGGAAACTTTTATACCTAAAGTTTACATCTGAATTTTTTAGTAACCTGAGCTCATACATTTCTTTTATGCCAAAGTCAGTATGAGGTAGTTAGGTTTCTATCACTTGGGACCCAAGGAACCCTGACTAAAAAGTAATAATTAATTGTCTCTTTAGATCTCACGGATGCATTAGAATCACCCAAGACCCGACATAACTGTAGTGGGTTGAATAATATCTCCCCAGAGTTCATGTCCACATAGAACTTCAGAATGTAACCTTATTTTGAAATAGGGTCTTTGCAGACGTTGAAAGTTGAGATGCTATCATACCGGATTAATGTGGGTCCTAAATCTAATGGCTGTTGTGGTTGTAAGAAGAGGAGAGAATACACAGAGACACGAAGAAGAAGGTGATGCAAAGATGAAAGCATAGATTAGAGTGATGCATCTACAAGACAAGGAATGTAAAGGTTTACCAGTAGTCACCAGAGGTTGGAAAAATCAAGGAAGGATTCTCTCCTGTAGCCTTCAAAGGCAGCATGGCTCTGCCCACACTTTGATTTCAGAATCCTAGACTTCAGACTGAGATAGAATAAATTTCTATTGTTATAAGCCACCCACTTTGTGGTAGTTTGTTATGATAGCTCTAGGAGACTAATACTGTAATTCCCACTTATCTTTCCAGCCTCATTATAGAGGCAACAGAGAGCACAGCGGATAGTGGTACAGACCCTGGAATTGGACTCTTTGAATTCAAATTTTGGCCATTTTACTTAAATCTCTGTAGTAGTCCAGGTTTTCCAGATAAGCAGAATTTATAGGAGATAGATATATTAAAAAGAGGTTCATTATAAGGATTTGGTTCACATGGGTATGCAGGCTGAGAAATTCCAAGATCCAAAGTCAGCAAGACCCAGGAGAGCTGATAGTATAGTTCTGGTCCAGGTACTAAGGCCTGAGGAAAAGATCAATGTCCCGGGTCAGCAGCAGTCAGGCAGAGAATGAATTATCTCTCATTCAGTCTCATTCTCTTCAGCCCTTCAATGAATTGAATGGGGCTCACTTGCATTGGAGCAGGCAATCTGCTTTACTCATCCACCATTTCATAATAATTTCACTGAGAAACATCCTCAAGACACAACCAGAATAATGTTTAATCAAACATCTAGGTATCCCAAGTCCCAATCAAATTGAGACATGAAATTAACTATCACATCCTGGGTCTCAGTTACCTAACAGAGCTAATAAGAGTAATAACTCCCTTCTTAATAAGGTTGTGGTGAGAATAAAATGAGTTTATATTTTAAAGCACTTAAAACAGGCTTTGGCACACAGGAAACACTTAGTAAATAGCTATTGTTATCATTTATTATCATTATCATTATCACTCTCTCCTGCCACAGCCCCACAAATGCTGCCTGCTCCAACTATAGTAAACTGTTTGTAGTTCTTCAAACAGAACTTAGACCAAGGAACTTGAGAGAGCTTCTTGCTCAGGATCAACCAGCTTCCATGTGTCATATTATTTCTTTTCAATTTACCTTTTATTTTTAAATTTAAAAAATTATTTTCAACTTTAGTTGACACATAATATTTGCATTTGTTGGGTACATGGTGATGTTTTAATACATGTATAAAATGTGTAATGATTAAATTAGGATAATTAGCATATCCCTCACCAAAAATATTTATGATTTCTTTGTGGTGAGAACATTCAAAAGCCTCCTCCTAGCAATTTTGAAATAGATAATATATTAACTATAGTCACCCAACTGTGCAATGGAGCACTAGAAATGATTCCTGCTGTCGGTCTAACTGTACCTTTGTACCCATTGACCAACCTCTCCCTATTCCCCCGTTCTCCCCATCCATGTGTCTGATTTAGAATTCAAATCCTGGTTTGCTTCTATGCATAACAGGCACAATGACTTATTCCAGAGCAAAAATAGTGAATGGTGTGGAAGGCCCCTCTCTCCATTTCTCCAACCTATTCTTTATCCTGAGCCCTCTCCCCTAGCTGTCAGGGCTTTTGACCAAGTTCAGTAATCACACTGTGGTCGTAGGGGATGGCCCGCACTCTGAACAGAAGTGTTAATTTTACTTAAGGCCTGCCTGAGTTTTCTTCCCTACAGTAACAGACTCCTCCTCTTGTCTTTAAAATCAGGAAATAGCTTTGTTTTTGGGGAGGGAGGGAAGGGGAACTTTAAAAAGCTCATTACTTCTATTTGTCATATTTGCAATCAGTAAGACATACCCTAAAAGAACTTTTATAAGCTTAGAAAGACAGACTAGAAAGGAGGGCCCATAAACCTTTACAGATATTTCTGATAAAAACAAGTGGGAAACATTCTTCAGTGTTCTATAAACTTTGCCTTCGAAGCCTGTATTGATCTTGTCTTGGTCTCTGTCAACACAGGTATCCCTTGGGTCAATATATCCTGATTTTCCATCCCAGCACAGGCTGGAATGAAGAAACGACTTTTTGATATTTCCAGTCAAGACATTTTCTTTGTGTTGAGGACATAAACACTGTCACAACCCTAGAGAGGTAATACCTGTGTATACATAAGATATACATAGTTTTTAAAATGTCTCCTATTCCCCTCATTGTGTGATACTTTTTGTGATAACCTGTCCTTTTTTCTGCCTGTCCCTTTCCCCTGTGTCCCTATTTCTTATCCTTTTTTTTTTTTTCTTTTTTTGAGAGGCAGTTTTGCTCTGTCACCAGGGCTGGAGTGCAGTGGCATGATCTCGGCTCATTGCAACCTCCACCTCCAGAGTTTGAGCGATTCTCCTGCCTCAGCCTCCCAAGTAGCTGGGATTACAGGTGTGCACCACCATGTCCTGTTAATTTTTTTATTTTTAGTCAAGACAGGGTTTCACCATGTTGGCCAGGCTGGTCTCGAACTCCTGACCTCAGATGATCCACCCACCTTGGCCTCCCAAATTGCTGGGATTACAAGTGCGAGCCACCACGCCCGACCCCCTATTTCTTTTCACCCATCTCCATGGATGTCTTTCTGCCTTTTCACTGTACTCATTTCTCTCATCTGCATTTCTCTGTTTCTGTTTCTGTCTCAGGTCTCACAACAGATCTTCCATTGACTGTTTATCATGAGAAAATAATGTTTCTTTCAAGTCTAGAGCTAATTGCCAAACTCTTTAGCTTTTCTTGTCTCCTAAATTGGGATAAGTTCATCAAGTTTTTATTTCCTCTCCTACTACAAAGGGGCCATCCTGTAACAGGAAGTTTTATTCTATAAAATAAAGTTTTATCCTGAGCAGGGTCAGCAAACTCTTTCTGTAAAGGATCAGATAGTAATTACTCTTTGGCTTTGTTGGTCATACATAGGTCTCTGTTGCAATTACTGACCTTTGCCATTGCAGTGAGCAAAACAGAGCCATAGGCAATGTGCAGACACGCCATGTGTCTGTGTTTCCAATAAAACTTTATTCGTAAAGAAAAAGTAGTTTGCCAGTGTCTGTTCTAGAACATTCCTTGTGAAAGATGAGGTGATTTGGTGTATTTCTGATTTTCTTACTTGGTTTTATCCTCTTGGTGTGGTTGCCCAAGATTGCACCATTAAGAGTGCGACTAGATTTGAACCAGGTCTGCCTGAATCCAAGCTCATGCTTATTCCTCCTTCATCACACTTCTTCTCCAGGGATACAAGTTTTTGCTGAGGCAGACTGGAGTCATTTTTCCTTTCCAAACATCTTTAATGGCTTTTCTTTGCCCATTTAATAAGGAGTTGTTTCCTTAGCCTGGCATCTAAGTCTCACTAAAGTAGGGTTCCAACCTCTTTTTTCAAGCTTCTGGTCCACTGGGCCTTTCCCCAGAACTTCCACTGTGTCTGTCCCCTTTTACCCACTCACTCTTTGCCAGGCAGCTGAAGTGCATTTTCACTGCTGCTCCAAGGACTGCGTGGCCCCCCTGCCAGGAACACCTTCCCTTGTTCCTATATCTGTCTTTCTCTACTTTCAAGACAAGTTGAATTCCACTTATGGAATCTGGGTTAGATACTCTCCTAGGTATTCTAGTATAACACTCACCTACCTAAAACTCTCCAACACCTTTCCATCACACTCACCATGGCTTACAAAGTCCTCTGTGCTCTGTCCACTGGTGACCATAGCCTCTCCCACAACCAGAACCCCCCACCTCCACTTACCCAGCTCTACATGTACCTGGCTTCATGGCTGTATGTGAAGCACTCTCCCACCTCACTGAATGCTCTTCTTCTTTTTGTATAACTCACTTCCTTCCACCATTCAGATCTCTCCTTAAATATAATCCCCTTCAACATCCCTTCCCTGGCTACGTGATGTAACACAGCATACCCCAAAGCTGTTATGGGGCCTTGTTTTAATTTTCATATTACCCCATATGAAAAACCTGACAATATAGTATATGTTCATTTGTTCATTGCCTTCTCCCCAAGTAAATGGAAAGCCCCTCAAAAAAAGGGCTCTTCATGTTTTATTCACCAAATTGATCAACTGCTTAATCAACATTTGTTGACTGAATGAGGCCATCAGCAGAATAAAACTCATTCTGGGAAAAACATAAACAAAAGATAGAGCAATTCAGGCATCAGATAAGTGTTTGAACCAAATCCCTTTACAACCCTTCTGATTCTAAGGTTTGATGACTTGAGGTGATACTATCTCTCTCTGAAAATCAGATCACCCCCTTGACTTCTGTGTTTCTGTTGATGGGTCCGCTGTCCTTTTAGTCATTCACGGTTTAAAACACACCATCTGTCAGAGTATGTTGTCAGGCCCCTTCTCCATCCTTCAGCCTGGCTTCCTATACATGTTGGCTTCATGCCACCTGGCTGGCTTTCTCTATGGGGTAGAGAACATGGCTGTATATATTTCCAATTTGTTTCCTCCTAGTTTAGCAACATCAGCTGAGAAAAGACTTCTCTTTCCCAATATCTGTGTATTGATCCAGAAAAATATTCTGAGTGGCTCTTGTTGAGGAATCTGCCCACCACTGGACTGGTCATTATTACAGTGGATGGGTTTTTATGATGGACCTTCTTGCATCCACTCCTGAGACTGAGGGTTAGAGTGAGACTACCCTGACGGAAGACCTATTAGACCCATTTGGAATGGAAAAGGTTGTGGTTCCTTCGAGGAAGTAGAAGGACTGGGAAGACAGTAGCAGCACATGTCTCCTGTGTAGTTGCCTATAAATGTTCTTAAGATGCACTTTTGATTGTGTTACTTCCTTGCTGAAGGAAACAAAAAGGGCCAGTGCCTCTGTGTGGAAGTCATGGCCAGGTCCATGATGTTCCAGCACTGTGGGTGTAGGAGGTTTCTAGAAGAGCTGGTGAGCTTGCTGAATACTTGAGGTTAGACTTTTTCTGCTCCGGAGCACTGTCTTTAGATGGCTGTCTAATCAAGCTTTTCTGAAATGCACCACCCATTTTCTGTCTTTCTGTTTGCTTCAAATGCTTTTTCTTCCTGGAATGATTTCTTCCTCTGTCTCCATCTGAACCCACACAGAAGTGCTTTACTCCAGTGTTTTCTAAACACTTTCTGAAATCTTTTCTGGTGCCCCTCCCTTGAATATTCACAGTCTTTTTTTTTCTTTTCTTTTTTTTTTTTTTTTTTTTGGTACATTTGTATTGGCGCTTCTACATAAACAGGTTGAGCGTAAGGACTTCTTTTTTTTTCTGTTTTATTTTTGCATCCCCTCCTGTTCCTATAATGTTTCTGGAAGGCACAATTAATATTCATTGGACTGAATTTAATGAAACAGAGTTAAATATATCAGTCTACCTAACATCTATAGTCTCTATCATTCATTTAGTATTTACATTTGCCAACCTCTATTGTTATTTACTTCTTTATGCATATTTGTCTAAGCAGGATTACTATTATCTAGCATGGAGCCTTCACAACATTAGGTTGCCAAAAGATGTTTTGTTCAATGTGACACATATTGATTGTGTGCCTTTTATATGCTGAGCACTAATATCGGGGCTACGGCTACAACAGAGAACATGGCAGACCTGCTTGCTGCCTTTATAGAGACCCTAGTCTATTCTGGGAGTAAGATAATGAAATGTGCATTTATAGAACTGTGTGCTGAGAGCTGAGATGGGAGAGGGGAGCTGCCAGAGAATATGGGTGGGTTGGGGAAATGTTGCTTAATCTGTGTTTGTGAGATGAATGACTAGGGAAGTTATGAGTGAGAAATAGCCATTTTCTTTCTTGAAGATGTCCTCTTCTTCAACTTATACTAAAGCCCTCACATAGGGCTAAGCCCCGTCTTGTAGTTTGGTTTTCCATAGTGCTGTCTTTTTTCCTTTCTTATTGCATTTAACACATTATATTGAAATGTAGGTGTACCTCTGTAGTCTGCTTACACACAGAAAACAGATTGTATCACACTCAACAGGTCTGTCCCTGGCATCTAGCACTATGCTTGGTACATAATGAATGTTCAAGAAATGTCTGTTGGGTGCAAAAAAAAAAATGAGCTAAACAAAGTGGATCTGAGTTGTGTTGGGGAAAATGAGAGGTTTATCAGAAAGGTGCGTTGATGGGGGCACCTTAAGGCCAGGGTAATAAACTCCAAGCATTTATGGAACATGACTCTTTGTTACAGAAGAGGGGGTAAAGGAGCCTGGGGACAGTGACAAAGACTGATGTTCTGATGTTGTTTGAAGCGAGATAATTTCATAGCTTCAAATAGGGAAGCACATGACCATTTGTGCTAGACCAGAGGACAATAGACCTTGACTCACAACCACAGAGGCAGGGGAGATGGAGTTACTATCTTCTGCCAAGAGGTTACTCAAAATTAAACCTTCCTCCCAACTCCCAAAAGCCAGAGCCATGGCCTTGTCTGGGATTTGCCTTGTTTAGAAGAAGTCTGTTCTTTGGCACATGGGTTTGTTTTCCTTCTTCAAAAACAAAAATAGACTCAGTCCTTGAGTAAACTCTTCTCAGGGTAAGGAAGGGGGTTTTGAAGTGCAGTCAGAAAAATGGATACTGAATGAACAGATACCCTTGGGAACTGTCGCCCTAGGCAGGGGAAGTGGGGAGAAGTGAGAGTTGTGGTGGTTATCTGTTACCACCAGGAATGTGATAACTGCTAATCATTATTATTGTTATTTTCTCACATTCACTGTGGTATAACCATATGCCAGGCACCATGCTGGGCACATGACATGGACATTATCATTTGTTTCAGAAAACAACCTCCTGTTGTAGAGACTACCAGTATCCTCATTTTGCAGATAGGTAATTGAGGCAGGGAATAATTTACTGAGCATTAATTTGTGCCAAATAGAATACTGAGTGGCACATAGAGCTCATGTAATTCTCCCAACAGCTTTATAAAGTAGGTACCTTGTAATACTTCTTGGTAAGAGGATAACTGGTATAAAGTTTCTGTTATGCCAGTTGTCTATCAGATAACTGAGACCCTAAGATGTGAAGTCATTGTTCAGAGTCACACAGTAAATGGTGTTGAAATTGGAATCTGTGTTCCAATAAGCAGACCTGGAAGCCCCCGTAACCTTCCACTCCATGGCACAAATCTGCCTCCTAGACCAGGCATGTGTCTATGGGTAACAAGGAGGGGGTTATGGGGAGTGATTGGGGGCACTAAGAGTGATCAGGACACCTGAAGTTCAGAGACCTGAACTTAAAAATAGTAGTAATTGTTAATTTTCTGCTCCTGTGTTCAGGGACTTGATCTAGATTGTGTTGAGTTCTAGCAGCCCTTCTCTAATAGGGCAGCCATTATCCCCATTTTACAACCTAGGAAAGTGAGACTTCAGATGGCTAAATCACTTGCTAAATGTTACTAAGCTACTCAGTGGGGAAGCTGGGCTTTGAATATAGGTCCACTAAGAACTTAAGCCAGTGTGGACTCTTCTAGGAGACCTTCCCCCTGGTTCTCAAGTCTATACACATGAACCCTACTTTATCTGCTAAAACAAAATATATCTGCAGAACAAAATATATCTGCATGTTACAGGGCAAAAGCCTCTAGGAAGATGAAATTGGATTCAGAAAGGTGAAATATTTTATGATGGTCAAAACATAATTGGTGACACTAAGCACATATAGTCAGGATTACTATCCAGAGCATCATACTTGCAGGTTTCATGTGGGTGTGGCAAGGGCGAGCACACATGGCCCCTTGCTCAGAAGAGCCCCAGGCTTGGTTTAATGCTCTGTAGTCACTAGCTTGAAACTCTTACAGATTTTTATCTTTGAATTTGAGTTTTGTAAGTAAAGTCTGATGGGGTAATGCAGCATGTAAGTGATGAGAGGAGATAGGCACTGTATCACATTTCTTGTTTATCACATATCGTCCTTGCCATGCCCCATGAGGACAGAATTCTGGTGGATCCACAAAGCCCAGAAGTTCAATGGAACTCACAGCCAGTACGAGATAAGTGTGTGATGAAAGCCGCCAGCCATTTTGACTGTTGGTATAACGTGTGTGTATTGAAAGGTAAAATAAACATAACTGAGTTTGTTTTGGGCAGTGTTTTTATTCTTTTGGTAAGAACAAAATATACCTGCGTGTATAGGCTAGAAAGTACAAATTGGGTAATTTTGATGATTCTGTATGTGGATTCAATGCTCTTATACTTGCACTTAAAACTGGAATTGTACAATATAAAGATGAATGATAAAATGTATGCTGATGATTTAAAATATTTATTATGCCTTACTTATATTTATATTAAATAAAAAATTTAAAACAGCATGACAAGTCAAAAGAGAGACTGACAGAAAGGAAATAGTTTTATATTTTATTAATAGTACTTTGAATGATAATTTCCCCCTGCTTTTCCAAGAAGGGGACTCTCATTTTTATCATGTTGTCAGCTCTGCTTTCTTGTGAGAACAGCAACTTGAGGCTCAGAGAGGTCAGTGACTTGTCTTAGGTCTAGGAGTTGACAATCATCCAAGTGTCCACAGTCTGATTTTGCTGGCCTGCTGGGGATGGCTGGACTCGGAATCTCTGAACAGTTGGGTGGTGACACTTCTATTTCAACACCCATTTTTACAGACTAGTTCACTCATTCCTATAGACTGGTTCTCCCTAGTGCTAAGGAGAATAGAAATAGTTAGGAACTTGGATTCTTCTCATTTTTCCTACTTCTGTTCCTATCTGTAGACAAACTTATCTCTAGACCAACTTGAAGTACGATGAAGAAGCACTGGATGAAAAAACTTAGAAAATATGCATGTATAAGTTAGTTATTGTTAGTTGTGTATTCAAGTTGCTGTTCTATCCCTTCTAGCTGGGAGATTTTGGGTATCTGTTAAAAAAACCTCTAAACTGGAGCCATTTGTCTTCTGATTCTCTACCTTCACATCTTCTCATACTGAGGTCAAGTGTACCTCCTCCCAGAATCCTTACCTGATTCTACCTGAGAATACTGAGATGGAGAATTTAAGTATAGACTTCAGGTCCCGCAGCTTAATCAGGGATTCACATCTATCTATTATGTATATTGTTTCACTTTCCTGACTATTTTATTCTTTTTCCTGCCTCAGGACATTTGCACATGCTGTTTCCCAGAAAAATCCCTCACCCCACACCCCACCAGGACTTGAAGGCAGCCTCCTGCTGATCCTTCAGTCCTCAATCTCATTGTCCCTGCTGGAAGAAACTTTTCCTATTCTCCTATCTGGAGGTTGCTGTATTACTCTCTCTTCTCTCCTCTGGCACCCTGTTCTCTTTCCTTCATAATGCCACCACAACTTTTAATCTTATACCAACTTCTTCATTTATTAGTTAATGTCTATGACCCTCTATAAACTCTACAAAGACAGGGACAGTGGTGTTTTTATAACTTGACCACCATTACCTGTCCCTTTATCATATCACAGAATTGTGAGTGCACAATTAACTTTTTTAATATTTATTTTTGGTGGGGATCAGGATTGAACAAATTAAGGAGAAGTTGTAAGTATAGCGAGAGGAAGGAGGACAACCTGGGGAATGCAAAAAACTTACTCTCCCCAAGGGAGTTTGGTGATGGAGGCAAGAGGGCAAGGTACCTGGGCACACCTGTGAAGCTGTTGTGTGCTCTGTGGCTTGGCTATTCTGCAGTCACAGGTTCCTAAGTGTGCTGCTGTGGCGACCAGGGGGTGTCTCTCGTGTGGGTGGTCCTCCCTGAAGTATGCAGCTGCTGTGCAGGCCGAGGCCCAGCAAGAGCTTGTCCGAGGCCTGATAGATGGAACAGCCCACAGCATTTTTCTTGCCTGGTTGCTGGCAGCTCTCTGACTTCAAAGCTGGGACACGCTGACCCAGAACACTGTGACCTTTGGCACGATTTCCTCTATCCTCTCCCCTGCTCGCCCAGCAAGGAGGAAGGAGCCCAGCTCCCTTGAACTGGTTTTTGCTGCCTGGAGGGCAAATTTTTCTTTGATTCAGAGACTGGAGAAAGGGAGACATAGGGGAGGACCCGAGGCAGTTGCCTTCTGAACATCCGGGGAGCCAGACTGGGTTCCACTGTGCTTGGAATTTGGCACTTTGGTAAACTGGGTGGCAGCCTGGGAGATTTTCTCTTTCTCAGCTTGAAATGGGTCCTGTTGTTAGAAGTACCTGCCTAGACTCTGGAAAAAACAGGGCAGGGCCACTTCTTGTCTACCAGCCCTTGCCATCCAGCCTCCCAAGTGCCATCTGATTAGATGAGTCAAATTGCATTCTGATTTAGCTGAGAGTTACTAAGGGCTCCCTGAGTAACTCTTCTGTCATCTTTGAAATGTAGATAGTAATAGGAACTTTCTAGAACCAGCATGAGGATTGGAGCTGTGTGCATAAAGTGCCTAAGCACAGTGCCTGGCACAAGGCAGAAGGGAATCAATAAGTAGTAGCTGCCATCACCATCAACAGCGATGCCGTAGTTTTTTCTAGGCTGCCCTATCACACATTTTATCCTTTTGGATTGACACAACCCCTTCTTTGAAGAGGAAACTGAGGTTGGGAAGTGATCAAATCACTCTCCCACAGTAACATTGCTAATATTTGTTAAAATAAAGGCCACAAATCCAAGTCTGTCCCACTGCATTTTGGGTCTTCCTTCCTTCCTTTCTTTCCTTTTTTCCTTCCTTCCTTCCTTTGTTTCTTTCCTTTTTTCCTTCCTTCCTTCCTTCCTTTGTTTCTTTCCTTTTTTCCTTCCTTCTTTCCTTCCTTCCTTCCCTCCTTCCTTTTCTCCTTCTCTCTCTTTCTTTCTTTCTCTCTCTTTTTTACCATTTATGTATGTATGTATGTATGTATTTATTTATTTATTGCCTTGGCTTACCTCCGTGAGCCATGGAAGTAGAAACTAGTTTATGTTGTTGGCATCTGCTGAAGACATATGATTGTCACTGTAACCATCACTATCAATAACAGAGAGCAGAGATAGCTGCCAACACCAGCAGAGGACTTAATAGTTTATGAGGTACTTTCACCTACACTGCCATTTTGGCATCCACAATCTTGCGTTTGTAGATGGAAAAATCAAGAAAGTTTTAAGACAGTGACTTCATAGAGTTACTTCCTTCTACATAGTTAAGGCCTTATTTGCCTATGCCAGGGAGTGATTAGCTAATTCCTGGGATATGTACTTATGTGACCTCTTTTAATCTCAACTGTGCCATCTATGAGCTTTGTGACCTCAATCATTCTGTGTGTCTTTCTTCATCTATAAAATGAAGATAATTATAGCAATATGAGACAATATATAACAACTGCTTATCACAGTGTCCAGAACATACAAAAGCTTGATAAATAATAGATACATACTACTATCAGGTTGGAAAAAATGTATTCTGTTGCTAGAATTTTTTATTTCTTTTGCAATGATAGTAGCTGGGTAAAATTGGACTTAAAAATATTAAATTCCACAAAAGCAAAAACTGACAAATGGAATCTAATTAAACTAAAGAGTTTCTGCACTGCAAAAGAAACTATTAACAGAATAAACAGGCAACCTACAGAATAGAAGAAAATTTTTGCAAACTATGCATCAGACAAAGGTCTAATATCCAGCATCTATAATACACTTAAATTTACAAGAACAAACCCCAAGCAACCCCATAAACAGTTGGCAAAGGACATAAACAGACACTATCCAAAAGAGGGCATACATGCAGCCAACAATCATATGAAAAAAAGCTCAACATCAGTGATCATTAGAGAAATGCAAATCAAAAGCACAGTGAGACACTGTCTAACACCAGTCAAAATCGCTACTATTAAAAAGTAAAAAAGTGGCTGGGCACAGTGGCTCACGCCTGTAATCCTAGCACTTTGGGAGGCTGAGGTGGATCACCTGAGGTCAGGAGTTTGACACCAGCCTGACCAACATGAAGAAATCCTGTCTCTACTGAAAATACAAAATTAGCTTGGCATAGTGGTGCATGCCTGTAATCACAGCTACTCAGGAGCCTGAGGCAGGAGAATCGCTTGAACCCAGGAGGTGGAGGTTGTGGTGAGCCGAGATGGTGCCATTGTACTCCAGCCTGGGCAACAAGAGAAAAACTCCATTTCAAAAAAAAAAAAAAAAAAAAGTAAAAAAGTAACAGATCTGGCAAGGTTGTGGAGAAAAAGAAACACATTCACTGTTGGTGGGAGTGTAAATTAGACACTGTGGCAATTTCTCAAAGACGTAAGGACAGAAATACCATTCAATCAAGCAATCTCTTTACAGGGTATATACCCAAAGGAATGTAAATTATTCTATTATAAAGATACATGCACTTGTATGTTCACTGCAGCACAATTCACAATAGCAAAGACATGGAATCAACCTAAATAAAGACTGGAGAAAGAAAATGTGGTACATATACACCACGGAATACTATACAACCATAAAAAAGAATGAGATCATGTCCTTTGCAGGGACATGGATGGAGCTGGAGGCCATTATTCTTAGCAAACTAATGCAGGAACAGAAAACCAAATACTGCATGTTTTCACTTATAAGTGGGAGCTAAGTGATGAGAACACATGGACATATAGAGAGGGACAACACACACTGGGGCCTTTCAGAGGGTGAAGGGTGAGAGAAAGGAGAGGATCAGGAAAAACAACTAACAGGTACTAGGCTTAATTCCTGGGTGATGAAATAATCTGTACAAAAAACACCCATGACAAAAATTTACCTATGTTACCTGCACTTGTATGCATAAACTTAAAATAAGTTAAAAAATTAAGTTAAAGAATACTAAGGAAACCTCTGAGCACTGGGGGGATTAGGCAGGAACCCATTGCTTTTTAACTAGAAATAGCAATGCTCAAGGGTATGGTTTTGGTTCAGGACCAAGGACAGCACGAAGCTTGCTCCCTTGCCCCGCACTTGGGACTTGGCCTGTAGGACCTGAGTAAGAAGTCTACCTCAAGGCTTCCTGTTCTGTATTTGCCACATGTCTCCTGACTTCTCTGCACCTGCCTGTGGCATTTTTCCCACCTAAAATCCTTTTTCCTCTCTTGTCATGAAATATTTTCAACATAGCAAGAAGCATAGGGAATATACTAATCACCTTTGCACCTACCACTCACATTTAACACATGTTGACATTTGCCACAGTTACTTCTGATCTTTTCTCTTTTAAAATGAAACTTGGCAGAGGCCGCTGTAGCTTTTTTACACACCTCCTCGTCAATATTTCTCCTTCCTCTCCAGAGGTGACTGTGGGCCTTCACTATCTCCCTCTTTTCTCTACCCCAGTTATCTTGCATTCAACTAAATCCTCCACATTTGAAAGAGCCAGGTCAAGGCCCCTGTCCTCCAGCTCATGATGACCTTTCCTGCATGACATTATTGCATTCGATTTTGGAGAGCTTATTGTGATTTATTATTTATCATCCTAGTCATTCATTCAACCTGTGCTGAACAGACCCTCCTTTGATGCAGCACTCTTCTACTTGCTGGGGTTGCAAAAATGAGTCCCACATGGTCTCTGCTTCCAAGAGCTCACAGAACATGGCATGTGGGTGAACATTATCTTGCAGTGAGAAGGAAAGCTTGTTGGGAGAAGGACTTGTCTTTAGAAGTCTGCCACAGCTTTTACACAGGAATTTGATCTCACATAAACACTTGTGGCCTTGTGATCATAAGACTGGAAATGGTGTGAGAATCAGAAGCAAGGTAGAGGTGTCTGCCCCATGTCAGGCCTTATGTAAGGCTCTGGAAGTATATTATTTCATTTAATGTTCCACAAACCAGCAAGATGAGTGTTATACCTTTCTTTAACAGATGTAAAGTCAAGGGTTGGAGGTCAGAAATGCAGTTCACATTTGAACTGAAGCTCTTTAATGTCAATGCCTGTATTGATCTGTCTCCCTCTTTAGGCCATAATCAACTCAAGATAGACTGAACTTAATTCATCTCTGTTTCCCAGGCCCAGCACTGTCTCTGAGCAGATATTTGATGTGTGAACATATATGCTGCAGTAGATCTCTGGAATTAAAAGGAAACAAGAACACATGGGCCTTGCCCCCAAGGAGCTTACCATTTAGGTGGGCGGGCAGACTTTGGTAACAGGTGCAAGAAAGCAGTGCCTAAATGCCTGTCACACAGCAAGGGATTTCTACTCTAAATGGGAGGGGAGATGACATTCTCTTTGCTGATCCAGGCTTTTAATTTAATCAGGCCAAATCACTTGGGGATACAGAATTTTCTCAGGACCCCTGTTTTACTGCAGTTCAGGTTGCCTCTTTTTCCCCAAACTCTGACATTCCTGGCTCTATCCCTGTCTTCTCTATCTGCCCCATTGCTCTGTCACTCTTCAGACTTTGGGCTCAAACTTGCCACACAGATTCTCTGCTCTCTTCTTTCCCTTTGGTGTCTCTTGCTGTCTGGATGAGAATCTACTGCTCCAACCTCAGGGGAGCAACCATCAGCTGGACCAAACTCCACTTCACCACCTCCAACTCAAGAAAATGTGGTATTTGTACATGCACGCACATGCACATACACACACACACACATATATATATATATATATATACCCTTTATATAATAATAATGATATATAATCCCTTTTCCAAGAACCCATGTCTTCTTCAAAACAGAGTCTGGGGCAGGGGCTCTTCTGGGTGGCATAGACCTCCTTGGCAGATTGGTGAAGCCTATGATCTCTTCTCAGAATAATGACTTTAAATGAATTAAATAAAGATACATGGGATTTCAAAGGAAACTAATTATAGCAAAAAACTGTTATGGAACAGTACACGCACATGCACACACACACAAATGATATTAGTTATCCATTGCTGAGCAACAAAAAGTGTATTAGAGCAACAGGCATTTATTATCTCCCAGTCTCTGCAGGTCAGGGGCCTGGGCGTGGCTTAATTGGGTCCTTTTGCTTGAGATCTCTCATGAGGCTGCAATTCAGGTGTCTGCCAGAGCTGTAGTCATCTTGAGATGGCCTAGGGATGAGCCTGCTTCCAAGCTCACTCACAGGCTTGTGGGCAGAATTTGGTTTCTCACAAGATGTCTAACTGAGGGCCTCATTTCCTCACTGATTCTTGGCCAGAAGCTGCCCTCAGTTTCTTGCTATGTGGGCCTCTCTGTGGACAGCTCACAACGTGGCCTCTGGCTCTGTCAGAGTGAGGAGGTAAGAGGGAAAGTGAGTGTGAGCAAGACCAAAGTCATAATCTTTTATAATCTCCTCGTGGATGTGACACCTCCTCATCTTTGCCCTATTCTATCCATGAGAAGCAAGTCACTAGGTTCAGCTCACTCTCAAGGGAGAGCTGAAAATGAGTTGTGAAAGCCAGAAGGTGGAGTCATTGAAGGTCATCTTAGAAGCCTGAGTACCACAAGTGCTCTATATGCTATTTGAAGGCATCAAAGAAGATCTAGCAGAAGTTCAGTAACTAATGTAACTTTGAAATAGACACGAGGGCAATATTTCATGATCTCTGCCACAGCTGACATATGATATGAAATTATCTGTCATTTCTGTGGATGACAAAAATCACAGCTATTGCTAATAAACTGTGTGTTGTCTACATACACAAGTGATAGAAATACTAAATTTCAATTACAGGTGAGTGCAAATCAAGCTGTATTTTTTCCTTTTTCTTCCCAGGCCTCCAGGTGTCTGCATTCTGATCCTTGAAGAGTTCATGGACCTAAGTTAAGAACCTCTCCTCAAGAGACTGAATGCAGGCAGAGATGGCTTATTGGTTCATCACAGGTTATGTGAACTACCCACTGTAAGATCCCCAGATTACTTGGGGCTAAAAGGTGTCCCAAGAGGGTTTACAACATTGCCAGAAATTAGTGGGGTCACTTCTGTCCAGATTCTCGTTTTCAGCCTTGTGTGTCTAAAAAATATATTTTTTATTCTGTATTCTAAGGTGAGCAGGGTTTAAGATTAGACTCACATTAACTAGATTTGTAAGAGGCAGAAGTATAATGCATATTTTATTCACTCAATCACTCATATAGTCAATCATTCATATAGTCTTCCATTCCTTCGGAGCACACTGTTAGGCACACACTGATTGACCACTACTGTGTGCCAGGCACAAAATACATGCTAGGATCAGTGGTCTCTGAATAGTAGTTGAAGACATAATCCCGGATCTCTGGGAACTGATGGTGGTTTACAGTGGTCCTCAGCTTCCCTTTTCTCCCATGACACATGCATGACCATGATATTTACTCTAGGGAAATCCATTTTACTTCCACCCATTCCTGCATTAGCTCACTTCCATATAGAAATTTTAATCTCAGAAGAGCTTTGGAGGAAGCTTCTATCCTAGTCTGCTCTTCCCCATGAAAGAATGGCTTTCAGAGTCACAGGTGTTCTCTCAGCTTCTACCTCTTCTGTAAGGTCAGTCCCCTGGGACAGCCCTTTCCCTGAGTCAGGGTGATAGGAGGGGTGGGAAAGAGAAGGAGGGAGGAAACGAAAGAGAGAAGCTTGAAGTTTTCTAGCTGTAACTGAGTAAGTCATCTCTATCAGAAGAGGCAGGAGTGGGAAACCTGTTTTTGACTCATTTCTAAGCCATGTGTTCTAATTCATATTTACCAGCATGGGAAAACAGTTCATCCCTACCTAACTCTCAGGTCTGTGGCTCATTTGAGGGGGAAAAGTATAATTATCACCAAACATTTTACACTTTCCTATGGCCATGTCCAGGTTCTCCATGTCCTTACTACAACTCCACAATTTTTTTTCCCCAATGCAAGAATGGCATTATTAAGTCCATAATTCACTTTAATGGATCTTTATTCAACAAATCTGTATTAAGCACTGGGCTAGACGCTAAGGATTGAAGCAGGAATAACATCAAGGAGGAAGTGCTGCTCTCCTGGAGCTTACATTCTGGAGGAGAGACACTGGTTACAAACAAGTAAACCAAGATATGGATGAGATTCTGAAAAGTTCTTTAGAAAAAATAGGCCACAGGCTGGAGAGAGAATAACCAGATGACATTTATGTTGACAAGGTGGCCAGGGAAGTCTTCACTGAGAAGAAGGCATTTGACTTGAGACCTGTAGGACAAGAAGCTGGGCAGGTGAAGGCTGGGCAGAGAACATTCCAAGCAGAGAAAACTGCATGAGGCTTGAGTTTCAGCTGAAGCTTGGCATGTCTGGAGAAAGAAAAAGTTTGCATATTTTTACTTAATTGTGTTCAAAGAAAAATACATGTGATAATCTTGGTTTGATGTACAAGTGGTATGAATGCACAGATTACTCCTAAAAGAATTTTTCTTTATGTGTATATATGTTACTAATTTTACCTATCACACTTTGGGAAAACTAATCACTTTTAGGCCCATACTAGAGAACTTATGGATAATTCTGGAGACTTGAATATCTACCAGCCTCAGTAACTGTCTTTCTAGAACAGCACTGGATAAGTCCTGCCTTAGTCTTCCTTTTATCCTAGACTACAAATATTCTCTTCATGTTGATCCACTTTATCTTCAGTTTGACATACCTTAGACTTTTAAACAATCCATTCACATAGCAAGCTTCATGCAATGTCATCCAAAAAGATTTCTAATTTCTATAAAGTTTTGGCCCTTCTTCCTGTCTTTGGTGAGATTCCTTCACCCCTAAGGACCTCTGCAATGTTATAAATATTCACCATTTATTATATATATATTTTTTCTCTAGCTGTTTCCAAGTTCCTACTCTGGGAGCAAGCCGTACCCAGCACTTCCTCTTCTCCCTCCCTGTGTCCCACTGCCACTGAGTGAAGCCACACTCGGTCCGACTGGCGGATCTTTCTACCCTCCCTTCCCTCTAAATATCCTTTGGCCTCAAATGCTAATTGAAGAGCTCAGAAAGAGGACATTAAGAAGGGGGCTTTCTGGTGGGCAACAATGAATCACCGGCAGAATCACTGTTCAGACAGGCGGAGACGGGTCTTTCTCGCCCTCTGATGAGTCACCACTGTGGTGGGGGGGAGTGGACAGTCAGCCAGACAGATAATGTGTCAGTCTCTCTCCTCAGCCTGACCCTGGACATCAAAATAGACTGCGGTTCCCTCCTTCTGGGCCCATTGCTGGCATTTGACCTAATGCTATAGAAATTTAAACCAACAAGGAGGGTAGTAAAGTTAAGCTTTCTAGGCCATTGAGCTGAAGTTTTAATATTGTAACAGAGATTCTTAAGACAGGCTTGTCACCCTGGCCAGTGACTACCCAAGTAATGTCTTGCTGACCCAGGCCATCCTCTCCACCGATATAAATGCTCTGTGCTTCATCTCAATGTTCTCATCGTTGAGGTCTCGTTTCATTTGACAGTGAAAAATGCAGACCAGATGAAAACCACTTTCTACAAGGCAAACAATAACAACAGCTTCTGTGAATTAAACATCTACTGTGCCAGGCACTTGGCAAACATCATCTCATTTAATTCTCACACCTTCTCAAGTAGGTATGGCTCACTCTACGATACAGACCATGAAACTGAGGCTCAGAAAGTTGCAGCCATTTCCCCCACGTGTTCACGGGTAGGAAAGGGTAAAACTGACTATAGAATAAGGTGATTATAGAACTTATCATCCAAAACAGGGCACTTTTGAAAGTAAAAGGGAGAACTAGTAATAATTTCACAGCCACAGATGCAAAGGGGAAATGTCCCAGCAAGCCAGAATATAAAAATGCCTGAGTTTTGAACCAGTCTTTTTGGCTCTACAGCCCAGCCCATTCACCCAATTGGTTGTCAGGAAGGTAACAGGAGAAATTTGTAATCAGCTCCCCTCATTCTCTTATGATTTTTTTGCTTGCTGTTTCCTTTCCCTCTCTTTTCATTCTGAGATAGGATGAAGCCCAAACCTCTGTGCTTTCAAGCAGCCCTGTGGACGATTCTGATGTGCTGCCAGGCATGAGTACTCCTGACGATATGATCTTTGAGGACAGGCATTTGTTCTTATTCATCATTGTATCCTAATAAGTAACATATGGGCATGCAGTAAGTGCTTAATAAATCTTCATTCAATGAATGAGTATGTTATTGAATGAATGCAATGATGTGCAGAAGCAAGCAGGGAGGAGTATCACTGTGTGTCTGAGGAATATAAATGAGTTTGGGGCATCCATATAAAGAGAAATGAGAAAGAGGAAACAGTGGACACATCTGCCAGGCTGAGCTTCAATTTCATCATTAAGGCAGAGCCACCAGTCTCTGAGTAGGAAAGTGACACAGTCTGATTTGCATTTTGGAAAGAACATTTGTGTGGTTGTGTTCCAGGTTAAGCCTATGAGAAATTAGACACTGAAGGTATTTAAAACATGTTTTCAAAAGGGCTACTGAGTGCCTAGCATAATATAACCTTTTACATATTTGAACAATTTCCAAGCTGGGGCTAGCACCACCCCTGCTGGGAGTCAGAATCTGGACACTCTCTGGACCGTAATTGCTCACCTTGTTGGGACACCTAAGAGCCACTCTTTCGGGGGAATGTTTTCTGTCTGTTTGTTTTCTGGCTTCTTCCCCAATATTAGCGGTTCTACCATGGGGTGGCTGGGTGGGTGGAAGGGACCCACGACATTCAGGAAAGTGAGGAGCAGTTTCTGTGATTATAGCAGACCCATTCACTGGAATTTTTCCTGACATCTCTCCATGACCTTTATGCCTCCAAGGGCCTGGACACAATGCAGCAGCTCTCCAGCTGGGACAGGGCACATGAGGGGGTATCATACATGAGTGTTCCCCCAAGTGGGGCTGTGGCCACTGCAGAGCAGCCCAGGGGACCTTGCTGTGCACAGCCCTATGTCCTGGGGTTTCCCGCAAAGCTTTGCCCTGTCTGGTGAGACGGCTGCCAGACAGTATGAGATGAAAGACACCGTTCACACTTAATGGTGACTGGAATGTGCGCCATGTAAACCAGATGATGTGGAGACCAATTTATAACCACTTCACAGTTCAATGATGAATGGTGGGTCCCTTGTACTGACTCTTTAACTAGCTCCCTTCAAGGAACAGGCGGCTTCCGAGATTGTCTTAAAGCAGTGTGGGATGTCCAGGCCCTGCCCAGGTCCTATCTTTTCTTCCAGCACCATCCACCTCCCTGAAATCTTCTCATAGCACCTGGTCCTCACCTCGTTCTTCTCGTTGAATTCTGTTTCCTCCTTGGTGTCTACCTTGCTACATTCATTCCACAGGCATCTCTGTTCTATTAGGCAGTCCTTTCTGTAAGCATTTCCCATGGATATTATAACCTAACCTTCAAGCTTTGTCAACACTTATCAGCAGAATTCTGCTTGTATCTTGGGCCAGAATGAGTCACAGCACATCCCTGGATGCAGAGAAGGGTAGGAACTCTGATACTTGGCTTCTCAGTTTCCATACAAGAGGTAGCAATGGAGAAGAGTGTTGGGAGAAGATTTTAGTAGGGAATCAACAGTGTTAACTCCACACCTACCATTGTCATTCTATTTTACAGATTAAAAAACGAAGTCACATGGAAGATAAATAACATGCTCAACATCACCCAGCCAGAAGTGGTGGAGACATGGCCAACATCACAGGGGACAACTCCTGAGCCTGTGCTAGGAACAGCCAGTCTTCCTGAATTCATGATAAAGTAAGAGGTAGAACCGTGGCCAATTGTCTTTGGGAGAAAGTGGGATCAAGGACAACTCCAGGATTCTGCCTGAGATGGGACACACTAGAGCATTACTTGGGAATGTAAATAATAATATCAAATTATTGAATGATTTCCATGGGCTACTCTCTTCATATACCAGTTCTAATTCTGATAAGCTTGTATCATTATCTTCTTTTTAAAAGGCATGAAAACAGAGGCTCACAGAGATCATATTATTTTCCCCAAGTTGCAATGATGGTAAACACAGATGACAGCTGGACATCAACTAGGTCTGGGTGGCTTCCAACTCCAGTGACTCAATGCTGCTCCACACGGCCTTCTTACAAGGAAAAATGAGAACAGGCCGCGGGCCGGCTTCTGTAAATCGCGTGTTGTTGGAATTCCTGTCCTTCCTTGACCCAGATTTGTAAACAGAGGCTGTGGAAGCCAAGGTACACATGGGCAGATGCAAACGAGCCGTCTGCTGAGGAGAAAGTCGAATGTGCTCGGGGTGGGTGCGCGTCTGCCTGAAGCACGTGTCCCTGAGGCCTCCTGCTGTCTCCCCAGCCGGCTGACGGGCCCGGTGGTCTGCAGATGGCCACGAAGTGTCTCCGGGCTGTCCAGCTGCAGCCTGGGCGGGCTGGCGGTTTTTTTTTTTTGTGGGGGGAGTGATTCTGAGGGTGCTGGGTGGCCGCTGACAGAGCTTCCTTCTGCTACTTTTAGGCTTGTTGCTGAGCCTTTTTAAAGGGAAGGGGTGGAAATAAGCAAAGATATTTGCTGTGACCTGGAACTGAAATGCCTCACTTTAAAAACAGCTATCATTTACTCACTCATCCAAGAAATACAGGTTGAGCCCCTTCAGAACAACAGGTCCTGTCCTCAGTGCAGCGGATGCAGCAGGGATGCATACAGAGTACCTGTCCTCAGGGAACTTGCAGTTTATTGGATGGAGACAGACAACCCATAATGATTTGTATAAATGTCTAATATATGCTATAGAAAGAGAAGCAGCAAAGTAAAGGGGTGAAGGATGAAAAGGCCAGGGGATATTTTTCTGATGAAGTGACATTTGAGCAGATACCCAAACAAAGCAAAGCAGTGGGCCCAGCAGATATCTGAGGCCAGGATGGTCTCTGGCAAAGGGAACAGCGAATTCATAAGCCCTGAGCAAGGCGAGCCTTCAAGGGTGTAGGCCTTCTTCAGATGTTTAAAGAGCACCGTGCTTGGGGAGGGTCTGGAAGCCGCAGCCTGGGAACAAGTGAGAGAACTGAGGTGTTTAGGGCAGAAAAGGGAAGTCTTGTGAGTAGCAGGCAGCTTTCCTCATGTAAAGGGTTCAAATGTGGAAGAAGGATAAGACTTTTTATTACATAATGCCAGAAGTTGTAACCAAAGACCAGACCAGCTGATGGAAGTTGCTGGAGGCTGTTTGCAAAGGTATGTTGAATAATGCCCTAAGCATTGGCTCTAAAGAGAAGGAACCCGATATTAGTGTAGTAGGGCTGCCATAATAAAATATTATAGACTGGAGGCCTCACACAACAGAAATATTTTCCCACAGTTCTGGAAGCTGGAAGTCTGAGATAAAGGTGTTGGCAGTGTTGGTTTCTTCTGAGGCCTCTTTCCTTGGCTTGTGGGTTACCATCTTCTCTGTATGCCTTCACATGGTCCTTTGTAGGACCATCTGTGTCCTAATCTCCTCTTTTTTTTTTATTTTATTTTTTGAGTTGGAGACTCGCTCTGTTGCCCAGGCTGGAGTGCAATGGTGCAATCTCCACTCACTGCAACCTCCGCCTGCAGGGTTCAAGCAATTCTCTGGCCTCAGCCTCTGGAGTAGCTGGGGCTACAGGCATGAGCCACAATGCCTGGCTAATTTTTTGTATTTTTTTAGTAGAGATGGGGTTTCACCATGCTGGCCAGGCTGGTCTCGAACTCCTGACCTCATGATCCACCTTGCTCGACCTCCCAAAGTGTTGGGATTACAGGCTTGAGCCACCGCACCCGGCCCTAATCTCCTTTTCTTATAAGGACACCAGTCATATGGGATTAGAGCCCACTCACATGACCTCATTTTTACGTAGTTACCTCTTTAAAGGCCTTATCTCCAAACAGAGTCACATTCTGAAGTACTGGGGGTTAGGGCTTCAACATCTTAATTGTAAAGAGGGGACACAGTTTAGCTCATAACAAACTTTTCCTCACAATTTAAATTTATTGAAGAAGCTGAGTTGTTTGTTCTGCACTGAGTTATTCATTCTGTCTGGATTTCTCAGATTGCCTCTCTGTGGTTCACTGTTTTCCTGGTAAATGGTACTTAGATCCTTGATTGAATTTAAGTTTGATTTTCAGGCAAGAATACTACATCAGGTGGTGGTGTATACTTCCATCCAGAGGCAAATGATATCTTCTTGTCTCTCTGTAATACACAAAACAATTTTCAACCAGAAATGTAGATGAGTGAGGATTCTGACGTACCTAGAATATTTGGATGACTGCTGCTTGAATGGATGGCCTTGAGACACCTGAAGACCCTGATGTGCCTTCTGAATCATACCACGATTCAATTACATCCATCATTTAACAACAACAACAACTCTAGAAGGTACTTATTTTGTAGATGTCATTACATTCGTGTACGAGACTGGAGTCTGGAACAGAACCCCCGACTAACCTGTCATGCAGAAGGACAAACATAAACAGGCTTCGGGGTGTGAAGGAAATGTTCCAACAGCTGGGTTTGGCTCCTGACCCTGACCCGCCACATACTAGAATGTGATCCTAGCCAAGCGACCTAAAACTTTGAGTCCATATTCCTTATTGGTGAAATGTGTATTACACTTCTCTCTTCAAAATTTGCTTCTGGTGTCACCTCCCCCAGGTAACCTCCTCCTACTCTTCTCCCAGCCTTGCCTGACAGCTCATCCCTGGGATGTCCCTCTCACCGAATGCTCACCTCCAGCATGCACATAGCTTCCCTTTTGCTATTTATCCGTGTGTCTCCTCCTCAAACTAGGAGTTCCTTCGGGTTCAGTACTGTGTCCTCAAAATGGTTTTCAAGACAGTTGCTTGTTCATGGTAGCTGCTCAAACAATAATTTAATGACTAAAAGCGTTGCTCCCAAGTAGTGTTCTAAATCTAAAAATCCCAGGAAGCTTATTTTTATTTTTATTTTTATTTTTTGAGATGGAGTCTTGCTCTGTTACCAGGCTGGAGTGGAGTGGCACGATCTTGGCTCACTGTAACCTCCGCCTCCCGGATTCAAGCGATTCTCCTGCCTCAGCCTCCTGAGTAGCTGGAACTACGGGCGCATACCACCACCCCTGGCTAATTTTTTGTATTTTTAGTAGAGACGGGGTTTCACCGTGTTGGTCAAGATGTCTCGATCTCCTGACCTCGTGATCCGCCTGTCTTGGCCTTCCAAAGTGCTGGGATTACAGGCGTGAGCCACCGTGCCCGGCCAGCTCTTCAGCAATTACTGATATCCCAGGGCGCAACACTAGAGCTCTCCAGGTGATTCTAATATATAGCCAGAGTTGAGAACCACTGTGGTAGGGCAGTGGTTCTTAAAGTGTGGTCCTTAGACCAGTGCATTGGCATCTACCTGGGAATTTGTTAGAAGTGCAACTCTTGAGTCCCACTCCAGACCTACCCAATCAGAATTCTGGGTCTCGGGCTCAGCTACATCTGTTTAATAAGTCCTCCAGCTGATTCTGATGCAGGCTAATGTTTGAGAAACCTTGTTCTAGGGCAGGAACCAGCAATTATTTTTCTGTAAAGCGCCAGATAGTAAATATTTATGCTTTGTAAATCACTCGGTCTTTGTGACAACTACTGAAGTCCGCTGTTACAGCAGGAAAGCAGCCATAGATGATATGTAAATATATGGATTTTTTTTTTTTGTTCCAATAAAACTTTCTTTACAAGAACAGAGCCTAGGCCGGGTGCGGTGCTCACGCCTGTAATCCCAGCTCTCAGGGAGGCTAAGAGGCGGGAGGATAGCTTGAGCCCAGGAGTTCGAGACCTGCCTGGGCAATATAGCGAGACCCCGTTCTCCAGAAAAAGGAAAAAAAAAAACCAAAAAAAAAATAAACAAAAGACAAAAAACAGAGCCTAGGCCCAGACCTTGGTTTGCCGATCACTGTTCTAGGAGATGGAATTGGTCGGTCGTTGTTATGTAACAAGTCACCATGTAAGTGGCTTCCTATCCACTAATTTGAACCATTTATTCTTACTGAAACATCTGTGGTTAGCTGATGTAGCCTAGGTTTGCCTGAGGGGAAGAAGTGGGGAAATACGCCCCACCTTTAGGGATAACTATAAGTCACATGGCAAAGAATGTAAAAAAGGGAAAAATGAAAGATGAAGAACTGAAATCAATAATTCATTCTATACCAGGGAGTAAGTGAAATAACACACTAAAAGTGCCCAGAAGTATCTGAGCATATGATCCATGCCTTGTGAATGCTGGCTATTGTTATTATTATAATTATTAATTATTATTCTTTATTTTGTATAATTCAAGGCTAGAAATTGGATGCAACTGTCCATTCTTTTGGGAAGGCTGTTTCAGACATCCTCAGTGATGAGTGTCACTTATCATTAGCACTTGTGACAACAGGTGTACAGAGTTGTCCGTGCTAGCAGCCTGCTGTTGACAGAACAATTTGTTCTCAGTGCTGTGTGCTGTTTATTCAGAGGAGGCCCCAGGACAGGCTTGTCATGTCATGATCAGTTGCTGCTGAGAAACAGGCAAATCATTTCTGATAGCTGATGTTCAGTAGGGATGGGGAACTTAGATCCTGGTTTGAAAGAAGAAATGACTTGTTTGGAGCTCAAGTAACTGGATATTCTTAATTAAGGAGAGTATATTTTTGGTATGCCTTAGGGAAAAGAGGCACATGAAGAGGATGCAAATTGGCCTTAGAGATTTATTAGTAATGATTAACTTGGCAATGTATGTCCTGGGCTCAGTACAACTTCCATCATCCCGGCTCCTTCACTGTGGTTCCCATGTGCTCTGTGTAGACCCCTTGTGTCCGAATCACCTGGGGGATTAGCAACACATACTCATTTCTGGGGTCTAACTCTAGAGTTTCTGACTTGGGAGTGTGAGGCGAGATGCTGGTTGTAAAATTTTTCTGTGCCGGGCGTGGTGGCTCACGCTTGTAATCCCAGCGCTTTGGGAGGCCGAAGAGGACAGATCACGAGGTCAGGAGTTCGAGACTACCCTGGCCAAAAAAGTGAAACCCTGTCTCTACTAAAAATACAAAAATTAGCTGGACGTGGTGGTGGGTGCCTATAATCCCAGCTACTTGGGAGGCTGAGGCAGGAGAATCACTTGAACTCAGGAGGCGGAGGTTGCAGTGTGCCGAGATTGAACCACTGGGTGACAGAGCTAGACTCCATCTCAAAATAAAATAAAATAAAAATAAATAAAAGCTTTTGGTACTTGTGATGAACCATCCTTAAGGATGGCACTGATCTCCCCATTTGTACACTTACATATATTTACACAATTTTACAGAAACTGAAATTCAAACTCACAGCGGATCAGAACTAGAGAGCTCTGACTTCCAAACTCTCAAAGGGTGAGGGCCATGTCTTATTCATCCTTGTATCCCTGGCAAGGTATCCTGAAGGAGTACCATATTGAACCCAGTGTTTACAGGGCCTTCGTTTCATGGGATTGGAGTTGGAACCCAGAATGGCAAAGTGATTCACCCACAGGTGTGCCCCTGATGCAACTTAGGATTCTCTGAGTCCTCTACTGTCTCCTGCCCCTTGGAGTCTGGCCCTTCCAAGCTTCTCCTCGGGAAGGAAACTCCTGTGTATAAAACCCTCTGACATGTTAGACCTTGTGGTAGGTGATTTAAACCTGCGATTTCATTTTATTCTTCAAAAAATAAAATCTGTCAAATTGGGATTATGAATTCCACTTTATGAAAGAGAAAATGTGCTGAAAGTCAGATGGCCAATGAGTGGTGGAGGCTGAATTCAAATTGAGGTTTGTTTGATGTATGTAGTGACTGAAACGGAGCATGAGGCGGTGCTCCTGGGGGCCTGGTAATGTCCTGATTCTTGATCTGGATGTGGGCACCTCAGGAGAGAATTTCAGTGTGTAAAAATTTATCACCATACACTTTGGCTTCCTGCACTCGTCTATGGGTGTTTCTCTTCAGTGACAAGGTACAAAAACAAATCCATGTGTGTCTGGTTTGCAAAATCATGCTCTCCATTATCTCCTCTTGCTTTTTAAAAATAAGAGCTTAGTTCCTTCCCAACCAAGTTTTGGGACAGCTCCATGTGAAGTTACACAATGTGTAAAGGAACAGTCTGAGCTAGAACCCAGGTCTTTTTCTTCCTCAACCAATATCAACTGATACTCTTTTTTTCCCCACTAGTCACCTCTGGGGAAGCCCCAGCAGATGCCTCGATGTGAGTGTTTCTGGGATAGTACAGAAGACCATTTTACACAAGACTAAGAGGCTTTCATTATAGGCCAGGAGCAGTGGCTCACGTCTGTAATCCCAGCACTTTGGGAGGCTGAGGCGGGTGGATCACTTGAGGTCTGGAGTTCGAGACCAGCCTGGCCAACATGGTGAAACCCTGTCTCTAGTAAAAATACAAAAAATTACCTGGGGGTGGTGGCATGCACCTGCAATCCCAGCTACTGGGAAGGCTGAGGCAGGAGAATCACCTGAACCCGGGAGGCAGAGGTTGTAGTGAGCCAACATCATGCCACTGCACTCTAGCCTGCGTGGCAGTGCAAGACCCTGTCTCAAAAAAAAAAAAAAAAAAGCTTTCATTATAATTGACACCTATATCCCTATGTCTTTTAATCCCAGGGTTTTCTTAAAACAAACAGCGTTATTTAAGTGTGTATATTTTATACTTAAATTGAAAGTGTGTAGTTTGGTAAGTTTTGACATATGTCTACATCCATGAAATTAAGATAATGAACATGCCAATCACCCCCAGAATTTTCTTTTGCCCCTTTATAATCTCTTCTTCCAGGCTGTCCCTATTAACCTTCCTGTCCCCTCACCCCCAAGGCACCAATGTTCTGCTTTCTGTCACTGTGATATTAGTGATATTAGTTGTCACTTCCTAGAATTTTATATACAAAGAATTAACCATCATATACTCTTTAGCATGTGATTTCTTTCACTCTGCGTAATTATTTTGCAATTCATCCATGTTGTAGCATGTATCAATCATTCATTCCTTTTTGTTGCTCTGTGGTATTCCATTGTATGTATGTACCATGATTTGCAGATCCATTTGTCTGTTGTTGGATATATGGATTGTTTCCAGTTTTTGGTTATCTCAAACAAAGTTGCTATGAGCCTTCTTGTACAAATTTTTGTTGGACATATGCTTTCATTTGTGAAAATACCCTAAAGTAGAGTGGCTGGAACATGTGGTAGGTGGATGTGTAACTATTTAAGAAGCTGCCAAGCTGTTTTCCGAAGTGGTTGTACCATTTTACATTTCCACTCACAGTGTAGGAGAGTTACAGTTTCTCTACACCCTTGCCAATGCTGAATATGGTTAGTCTTTCCCATGTTAGCTATTCTAATAGGTATGTAGTGCAGACTTCTGCAGTTCTTTGGGCAGCTCTTTTCTGTCTCGTTCCGGGGTCTGTGAGCTCCAGCTACATTGTTCTACTTGGACTCACCTTTGTCTCCCCAACTCAGCCTGCCTGCTGGGCTCTGCCTAGATCCCACTCCCTGTGCTGAGACCTGGAAAAATTCTCGAGGTGGTCATCTGGGGCAATCATAGGACTCACCTGAGCTAGAACCCCCAGCCTTTGCCTTTCCAGTCAACATTCTTTATATTTCCATACCATGCCTCAGGTATGTGTTATTGTCCTTTGTTGCCTGACGTCAAGTGTTTTCCAAACTATTGTTCATATTTTGTCCATTTTTTTTTTGTTAGGTGAAAAGGCAGATCTCATCCCTGTTACTCCAATTTGGCCAGAAGTAGAAGTTTCCTCTACTTCCAGGGTTTTCAAATCTCTCAGGCTCTCAGTGGAGATGACTCCAGTTTCCCTACTGCACAAAGGTATCCATGACTCACAAACTTTTAGAGCCCTTTGTATGCAATGAGAGTTCAAAGCTTATACTAAGTGATTATACTCTTAGGATGAAATGCAAGCATCCACCTGTGGGTATGCTAATTCTTGCCCAATCTGGTTTATGAAAACGAACAAATAAACAAAAAAAAACAGAAGCAGCTCATGAATTTAACAAAGGCAGCTAACACTAATGATTAAGTAAAGCTGTATTGGGTACCACTTTTTTTTCCCAGATGTTGTATTAGACTATGAAGATCTAAACATGAATAATGACTGTATTCAGTGAGCTCATATTCCACTGGCTATAAAAATTCATGGATAAGTAATTACAATCTAGTTTTAGAAGTATAAGGATTTGAGTAGGTGTTAGGGTGGTTCTGTGGACTAAGAGCTGAGCAATCTGCTCAGTGCGGTCAGTCAGAGACCCTAACTGATGGTGCTTATGCTATCTACCTCCCAAAGGTGGCTCTGGAGACCACCCTGGTATCTATCCCAGTGACCTAGAAGGAATAGAACATGAAGGAGGTCACCCAAGGGAGGTTTATAAGGGCCAGGTCAGGAAGTGGTGCCTATCTCATCTGCTCCTTTCCCACTGGGTAGAGCCCAGCCATGTGACCACACCTAACTACAAGGAAGAAGGGGAAATGTAGTCAATCTCTGTGCCCAGGAGCAAGAGGAAACAGATTTCAGTAACCTGTTCACAGAGTCTGTCAGATTATGGATTTCTCTAATGTTAGTTTGAAAAATTTACTTTTTTCTAAGCTATTTGTTGCAGTGAATCTTACACAGCATTTGATGGGGGGGGAACCATCACTGTCATGTGCATTTGACATTGGCATGTGGCATTTCTGAACTCAGAGGTGTGAGGAAGGGAGCAAGCGGAGTATAACCCTGTGTCCAGCTGAGCTGCAGGAGTAGGAATGTGGGGCACACCTGTTTCCCACCTTTTACAGCCATCCGGAATTAGAAGCTTGCCACAAAGGAAGAGTGAGGACCTTTAGTGACGTGGCATTGAAGCCTCATCAGGGCAAAGTAACAAAACCAGAGTCCAGAGAGACAGCAGTCCCCAAATCAGCCCTGTGCTTCAGTATATGACAGAGGCAAAGCAGTTATATAGTTATCCCAAACTCTGACTTTAGGTCATTTTTGGGTCTTGTCTATCTAGCATGTCAAACTAACATGTTATAGATGAACTTTGGAGTAAGGTAGACCTGGGTTTGAAATCCAGATCCCCAGTTGCTAAACTCAGGAGGTTACTTGACCCCTCTCTGTATCTTGCTGTTATTATTATTATTATTTTTTGAGATGGAGTCTCACTCTGTCACCCCGGCTGGCGTGTAGTAGCGCGATCTTGGCTCACTGCAACCTCTGTCTCCCAGGGTTCAAGCGATTCTCCCTGTCTCAGACTCCCGAGTAGCTGGGATTACAGGCACCTGCCACCAAGCCCAGCTAATTTTTGTATTTTTTAGTAGAGACGGGTTTCACCATGTTGGCCAGGCTGGTCTTGAACTCCTGACCTCAGGTGATCTGCCCCCCTTGGCCTCCCAAAGTGTTGGGATTACAGGCATGAGCCAACACGCCCGGTCTGAATCTTGATATTCTTATTTGTAAAATGGAACTAACAAAATGCCTATTCATCACACTGTTGCATGAATGAAATATGTTTATACTCAGAAGATACTTGGTATAGTGCCTGGCACATGCTAAGCTTTCACTCCATGACAGCAATTACTGTCAGTAAATTGGGAATTATAATTCCTGTCTTGCAGAGGTTTATGAGGATCAGTGGGAGAATGTCACAGAGCCTGATCACAGAGCAGGCATTCAATAAATAGTTGTAATTATTATGGCAGTATCACTGGCCACATACACCAGCAAGGCCTAAGATGCCCCAGGGGACACTCGGAGTAGGACCCAGAGATGGTGTTCACATATGGTATGTTGGTGGCTGATTCGTGGTGAGGAGCAGAGAAGACAGTTATTAATATCAAAAGGAAGAAATGAATTGAAGTGTCTTTCAATGGTGACTAGTACACAGCTGAGGTCCCAGGAGGTCTAGAATGGTCCTAGCCATTTCCTCAATCAAAGTTACTCAGCTTACTATATTTTCAGGTTGTCTTCTCAAAGACCAGTGCAGTGGATTTTCTTCTTCATCTTCCCATCAGCTTCCTCCAACTTGTGTTATTCTTCTGGGCCTAGCATCCTGTCACCGGCACTATTGTCACTGGAAGTAGTTCCCTGCATTGTCTGGCTCTTTATCCTCATAAAAATCCTATGCTTGTCACTCCATATCCAGCTGAAATGCTACTGCCTTTTTGAAATCCTTCTTGGTACTCCTGCAGATACAGTCCATTGCCATATCCCACGGTGATTTAGACATAGCCTTGTTGTGATACTCACCACCTTATATTAAAGTCATTTGTTTATGTGCCTGTCTCCCCAATAAGCTAGTGGCCCTGCCACTTTAACTGCAGAGTTCCTCGTCCTAGCTTGATGCATTCATGCATTAGGTGCTCACTCACTGTGTGTTAAAGACATTTGTGGAATGTTCCCATTGCACCTGGAGCAAGAGAGTGAACAAGAGTGGTCACGACACCATGTCCAGGCAATATCAGGTCCTCCTATCCTTACCTCCAAAATATACTCTACTCCACTCTCTTCTTCCCATATGTATCACTCTCACTCTGTTTCAATCAATTCATTCTCCATCATCTCACACCTCCACTCATTCTTTTCTCTACAGCAGCCAGACCTTCTTCATAAGTATACATTATGTACTTCTTGAGTTAAACCCTCCAATTGTCAACATATCATACTTGGAATGACATCCCAACATCTTACTGTTTCTCATAAAGCTGAGCACTCTCTGACTTTCTGACCTCTCCAGCCACGGAGGTTTCCTTTCCCTTCATCTAACACACCAAGCTCTTTCCTCCCCTTGCTCTTGGCAAGGCTGGCTCCTCCTTGCCATTCAAGTCTCAGCTCGGATGTTGCCTTTTCAGAGAGGCTGTCCTTGATTACCTAATCTAAAGTCATACCACACTTTCTCACCTCACCCTTTTATATTTTTTTCAACATTTGACAATATATGACTTCATCTTGTTCATTTCCCTGTTGACTTGTTTATCACCTATCTCCTCCACTTGAATCAAAGTTCATTCTGCAAGAGACCTTATTTTAATCATGGTTGTATTGCCATGGTGTCTAGAACAATGTCCGGCACACAGTATATACTGAATTAGTGTAGGTACTTTTTTAAGGATTTTATCATTCTACATTTCTTTACATTAGGATCTCGGGTAGAACTGTATGTCTTAGGGGCTCAAAGGCTGAGTAGATGCTAGGCTTCCAAGCCAAAATGCAGAGTATTGAATTCTGCTAATGCAAGAGTTATTTTTTGAATTATCAACAGCTTTAAGTCCCATAAAAACAGTGCATGAATGAACAAGCAATAACTACACCAGACAAATGTTCTAATCTTGTATGAGTTGTGTTCTAGCAGAAAATGGCTCCTTCAATGTACTGAGAATACATTTTTCCCTGAGCACTGGTCTTTGGGGACAATTTGCAGAAGGCAAACTAGTAAAGAGACAAAACCAGTGTGGCAGCTTGACTCTGTGGTTATGTTTCAGCAGAGTGAGAAGTGAGGCTCATTGGTGCACTGAAACTGACTCATTGGTTCATAAGAGCCTATTATGCTCACATCTTCCCAGCTCCTCATGTCGCTAACATGAAATGAACATGGTGAAAGTGTTTATGTCCTGGAAACTGGCAGTGTTACAAATCAGGGCTTTGAAGAAATTGTGTGTGCGTGCGTATGTGTGTGTGTGTGTTTGAAGTGCTGTTTCACTAGTACACAATTACAAATCTTCATTGTGTTTTGGTCCTGGGGAATGGGAAAGAATGAGGGGGCAGTGGATGGCTGGGCAGGACTCAGGATTTCTAGGTGCTGTGGTGACTGACAATATTAGCTAAAGTGCTTTATACACACACATAAGCACCCAAGCACCTATTACCTAAGAGTAATTGCAGCATTTTATTCTGAAGCAAATGCTTGGCTGTCATTCTGATTAAGCCACTAAGAGGTTGTTTCTGCAGAGGCAGGCTGGGTGACAGTTCTGTAGGGCTTATAAAGAAATGAAGCTTAGACTTTTTCAAGGAGTTGGTAATCCCTCTGGCTCCAGGATGATTTTTTTCCCCCACTTCAGACGCAGAATATAGAGGTTTGACAATTTTTATCCCTGTGATTGTGACAGATTGTAGTAGAAAAAGCACTGGAGGGGGAGTCAGGCATCCTACAAAACACCTGGATGACATTGGACAAGTCAGTTAATTTTTCTTAGCCTCTGCTTTAGTATCTATAAAATAGAAAACATGATCTGACCTGAGAACTCATTGAATAAAGATGAAGATTTTGCAAACAGGCATGGAGCCCATTGGGATGCCCATAAAACATTAAGATATGAAATAGTGAGGGGTGTGACTGAGACTCCTGGAGAGTATAAGAGAGATACTGAGAAAGTCTTTGAGGAAGCTGGAACATAGACAGATATCAAACTGGTCTCTATAAATCTTGGTGAAGTCTCTGATAGATCACAGGCTTATCAAACAAGTTAATTCCTGCTATTTGTTGCTATAAAATAAACCACCCCAACCTTAGTGGTATAAAACAACACCCATATATTATGCTCACAGATTCTTCAGGATTCCATGGATTTGAACAAAGCACAGCAAGAATAGCCTGTCTGTGCTGCAGGCTATCTGGGGCTTCAGCTAGGAAGACTTGAATGGCTGGGGATTGTTCAAATAACTGAGGGGTGGGATTTCTCTACTAGGTTAACTGGAAGCCAGAAATCAATTGGAACTGGCTACCAGGTGCCTACAGATGGCCCTTAGATGTAGCTTGAGCTTGCTTCAAGCATGGTGGCTTCAAGATGGTCATACTTCCCACATGGCTGTTTAGAGCTCCAAAATGAAGTGTTCCAGCAAACAAGGCAGAAGAACATGACCTTTTATCACCCAGCTTTAAAAGTCACACAGTGTCATTTATGTTCTACTCTATTAGTCAAAGCTATCCTAAACCTGCCCAGATTCGAGGAGAGGGAATATAGACTCCGCTTCTCCATGGGAAGACAGTTTAAGAATTTGCAGCCATTGTTTTAAAATCAATGAGCTAAAAGTCTTCTTGAAATAATAGGAGTTATTAATAAAAGTAAGTTGTGTGCAAAAAGTAATAATAAAAATAATGACAATGATACAATGATAGCTCACACTGTAGTGTTTATGTATGCTAGGAACTGTTTTATATACTTTAATTTACCCAATCCTCATAGTAATCCTAAAAGATAGAAGCATGGAGAGGTGAAGTCACTTGGTCAAACTCACACTGTGAGTGATTGACAGAGTAGGAATAGCAGCAACTAACGTGTATCAGGCACTTACCACGTGCAGGCACTCTGCCACACACTTTTCATGGATTGTCTTACTTAATTCTCAAAAGAATCCCATAATGTAGGTATATTATTTCTACTACCTTATGGGTGAGAAAACTGAGGCCCAGTGAGTTTAAATCATACAGTTAGGAAGAATTTAATTCTCAACACTGCCTTCCCCCAAAGCCTTGTGCTCAGCATGTATGCAACGTAAGAACCCACAAAGGAGAGCAAGTGAAGGGCCTGGGAGCAATGCTGCTGGGGCTGCTGGTGGAGCAGGGTTTAGACAGAGGAGTTCAGTGCTTTGATGGAAATGAAGGAGGAGAGTATTCTGAGATGAGATGATAATAACTCTATGTCTCTGACTGTGTGTTGTGTGTGTGAAAAAGAAATCTCAACTCAATCTAGCACATGTTGATGATGCTCATCTGGTGTGTCCATCCTTGTTCCAGTCTCCATGACGAAGGCAGAGGAGCATCGTCCAGGGGATACCTGACCTGCACCTACTCATCCCTTCACAGGGCTCAGCATGTTTGTATTTCTGTACATTCTCCTGTTGAATCTTCTAGAGTCTCAAGGTTTGGCTATTAGCATCTTCATTTTACAGACAAGGAAATGGAAGCCTGGAGATGCAAGATGAGCAATATGAAGTTAATATGAAGTTACTCAATATGAAGATCAGAGCTCAGGCAAGACAGACCTTCGTCGTTGTGCCACTCCAACCCCCTCATGAGATCCAAAGAGATGAGATGATTTGCTCCAAGTCAGCACAGACAGAGGCAGACTATGCACCAGAACCCAGGTTTCTTGATTCCAGCTGTTCATTCATCTCACTCATCATTTCAAACACATCTAGATTGCAACCTGCTTTTGGAGGCCTTCCCACCCCTCGATAGACCAGAGAAGTTAAACATTTCTATAACAGGGAAGCATCTTCCAAGCTCTTGTTGTTACTCTTATTACCCTCTATTGCCATGTATTTCTTATTCCTATGTGGCAATGAGGACAGGAGTTGAGTAGGTGCAGGTCAGGTCTCCTCTGGACGATGCTCCTCTGCCTTCTTCATGGGGACTAAAACCAGGATGGACACACCAGGTGAGCATCTTAAACACTTACTGGATTGAGTTGAATTTTCTTTTAAACACTGCATCCTAATATCTCCACAGAACCCAAGAATAGAAGGTGCTTAGCAAATATTGGCTAAATGAATGATAGGATGAATCCATAAGTAAACAGACTAGGGTAAACAAATCTGGTCGAACAAAAGGGAACTGAGGGGGTTATCTTTGAAATATGACTCAGAGTCAGAGAGGCAGAGAGAAGAGCAAGAACATTCCTGATGGGGACCACTTCAGGAGCAAAGGCCAAAGGCCACATGGGGCTCCTGATATGGGCATCCTAGAACAAAACTGCAGCCATTTGCATCTTAGTTTGAAACGAGGCTGGAGATGGAAGCAGGGAGCCACAACGGGTCTCAGAAATGTCAGATAGCATGGGCACTGTTCTACTTGTATCTGGGGCTGCTGCTGGTTTAGCTTCCTCTTTGATCTGGAAGTCACCATGCTGAATCATGCCTCAGTCACTGGCAGCCTGGATTCCCCTTCATAAGCACTGGTATTCTAGAACCGCCCCCCCCCACCCTTTAAAAGCAGACACCTCAGCTGCAATTCCCTGCTTAATTAAGGAGTGAGTCAGGGTGGTGGCTTAAGACACAATTTCCACTGTGCTCCATGCTCCCTTCCTCTTCTCTCCCTCCAATGTTATTTCAAGCACATAAACTCACAAGGCTTTGTGAGGAGTGGAAAGAATGTGGGCTCTGAGCTACCAGACCTCCTGGAAAATCCCAGCTCTGTAGTTCACTAGCTATGGGACCCTGAGCAGAGACCACATCTACTCTGGGTCTCAGTTTCCTCAACATAATGTAGGGTTGTTGTGAGAATGGAATGGTGTTAAACATAAAGGACTTTGCAGAAAATTTGGGGTACAGTGATGTGCAGTAAGGACTAAGAGTGCCTTTGGTTTGGGTCTGTGTGCCCTCATTCTTACCCTTCAAGATGTAGATGGCAGGGTCATTTTGATAGAGGTCTCCAGCAGATTCTGGGAACGGTTTTCTCTTTCCTTCTTCCTGGTTGGCTATTGTGGATCATTCCTGCAAAATTACTTTCTGTGGTTCTCCAGGGCTGGAGGGCATAGCTCAATTGCTCTTGAAACTAAACCCTTTCACAACTTCCTGGGCAGCTGCCAGACCCTGGTGCTAGCAGGACTACATGGGCCAGGTTTCTGCTTTGAGGATTTTACTGAATTGTACAGACACACAGTCTCAGGTCTTTTTTCTTATCAACTCTTTGGTGACATGAACAGGCACCAGAGTAAGGTCTCTTTACTGAATGCTCCTGCTCAGAGTTGGTGAATCTGTGGAATTTGTTTTTGCTTCCTGAGTTTTGGGTGGGCCTTCAGACTCGGCTGTAGGACTCGCCGACCAGAGGCCCCCAGATTCTTGTGTGGAGTGCCTACTCTTCCTTCCTCACTCCATTCCTCACCTAATGTAATTTCCTTGGATTCAGACAAGTGCTAGTGGTTTCCTGCCTCTAGTACACCCAGCCTGCCCCAGACTGGGCATGCACTGAGTGTGTGCACTCTTTTTATGAGTATCCTCTGCTCACTCCATTCAAAACTGTCCTGTTTTGTACCTCATCTGCTTGGAGATCCTCTTCTAGCCTTGGCCTTGCTGTTCTTAGGTGTTAATGAGTAAATATATGCTATCTTTCTCAGTAGGCATAATGAACCACTCTCCCTCCACCAAAATAGCTATAACACAGGGCGCTGAGGCACTGAACTGAGAGTCATAAAACTCTCATTCCCAGCCCCACTACTCAGCAGTTTTATAATCTTGGGCAAATCACTTATTGTCTCTGAGCCACAAGTGTTCATATTTGGAAGGGTGGGGCTAATGCTAATTGCCCTATTTCTCCCCACCTACCTCCCCACAGTTCCATTTACTGTGAGAATCAAATAAGATAATGCCTGTGAAAGTACTCTGTAAGCCAGAAGCTGTTATTATACAGAGGCTACCTATTATTATTAAGAACTGGTTTTCCTGATTCTTCCAGCTCCCCGATCCTCTCCATCCCCTGAGCTGGCTCGAGGCTGGAGATCTGTAGAAGCACACCTTTGGGGCCAGAGCCTAGAAATCATTCTGCTTTGCCTACCAAGGAATCTTCTTAATTCCTCTTATTTAAACATGTGGATTCAAAGAAGAAGAGTTGAAAAAGTCTGACACCAAAATATTTCTTTGTTTGGCTTTTTAAAATCCTAGTGCAAGCTACCATGTTAAGACCCACACCAAACCCAGACAGAAAACCCTGTTCATGCAGATGCTCTAGGTTTACATCCAGAATGAATGTGCTTGGCTGACACTGCTCCTAATGGTTTCCCCAATCTGACCACTTTCTGGGTCCCATTGCCACTCTCTTTTTGAAGTCACTACTATTTTCCAGAAGCCTCTCCCTCCAGGCTTCTCTCTTCATCCATTCTTATACCCATATGAGCTCTCTAAATGCTTGTCTCTTCATATTACTTCTTTGCTTAAGCCTCCACACCATGAGTCCACATTCTCCTCACAGTAAAGTGCACTTGCTGTAAAAGGGGCTCCTGATGAGCTTTATGGACTTGCTCCATGACTTCTCACCCCTCTGTGCTTGATCCTTAAGTAATTCTGTTCACCAGACACCTTGTTCTCTGTTCTACCTCTTCTTCCTGTAGGGCCCGGCTTAGATATCACTCACTTATGAAGCCTACTTGAACTCCCCTTGACAAAGTGAGGAGCCCTGCAAATTGTTTCCATAGCATCCCTCTTTTCGCCTATAGTACCCTTCTCATCCTTGATCATTGTCATGTGTTAAGATCTGTCTTCTCCAGGAAGCTGAAGCTCCATGAGGGCAGACACTATAATTGTCTTGCCCATTCATTTCATAGTCATGGCACCTAGCCCAGTGCCCAGCCATGAACAAATGAATGGCACGGGTAAGTCAATGTTTAAGATTTTTGCTCTGGAAGCCAGGCCACTTAAACACTTCATGGAAAAACACAGATGAACTCATTTTAGAGACGGATGAACACATTATGGAACCAAGTATGCAACCCTTAATTTTCTTCTCCTAAACCTCTCAGCACATGCCAACTAGCTAATGTTGCCTAACATTTATTGAGTGCTTCACTTGTACTAGGCATAGTAATGAGCATTTTACATAAGTCAACTCCGTCAACCTTCACAGCCATACTCAGAAGTGAGTGTTATTATCCTGCAGCCACTGATGAGACACTGTGGTTCAGAGAGTCTGAATCACTTGCTTAAGTTTGCCCAGACAGCAAGTGAAGGTTTACTATTGACCTGTGTCTGTTCTCCTCTAAAATCCATGCTTTTAATCACTGGACCAAACTGCATGGGCTTGGGCACCAGAAATGTACAGGTTTAAGTTCCCAAGACTTACTAGCTGTGTTCATTGAAAAAAGTTAGGTTTCCTTCTTGTGCCTCATTCTTTATTAAGTGTCTGTGAACGAAGCGAAATAATGTTGTAGAGCACTCGGTATTTAGTAAGTTCCCAACTTTCATTGCAAGTCAGTAAGTTAGAGATAGAGCTTAGATGCTTAAAGTTCAGGCAGTCCTAAGAATTAAGACCGATTGCTTTCTTCTTTAACATCCCTGCACAGTGGGGAGGTTAGCATATAATTGAGCTTCTTGCATCCTGTGGCATTTATCACTCCTTGAGGCACATTAATCTGTCCTTTGACAATTGAGTCTGTGAGAAAATGTTTTTCATCAGAAGTCTGCTGCCTTCTTGTCCTACTTGCTCAGAGCCTTTGGAGAAAGTCTAGTCACTGTGTCACCAACACCTTCCTGGCCATCTGAGGGCAGCTGTCATGCCACCACTTCAGCCTATGGACTCTCACTTTTCCAGAGAGGAGGATGCCAGTTTTTCCACGTTTTTTTTTTTTCTCATGGAATGAGTCTTAAACTCCCATCATCCACCCAATTACTAGTTTAGAACAAACTCCAATGTATCTACATTGTCTTAACCTATAATGGCTAAGACAAAGACTTAGCAACAAGGATTTTCACTGCAGTATTGATTACATTGTGAACAAATGTCCAGCAACAGAGAACTGGCTGAACAGATTACTGCTTATCCGTATGAACTAATGGCCTTCAAGAATGACTATGGGAATGAACATTTATTGATCTAAAAGATGGTTACAATGTAATAGTAAATGTAAAAACCAGGTTATAAAATAGAATGTAATGCATGATCTCCAATTTTGAATAATAGTATTCATTTATATATGGAAGAGAAATCTGAAAGTGTTTAAAAGAGTAAAAGTGTTTATCTCAGGGTCACGAGATTATGAGGGATTTTCTTGTTCTAAATTTTCTATTAAGGGAGGAAGTAATAACTTGGTGGTTATGAAAATGGACTTCAAAATCGGACAGACTTGGTTTTAGTCTATTTTCTGCCACTTAGCTTCATCACCTGAGTTTCATAATTTGTAAAGTAAGGCATATAATAGAGTTTGCTTTAGTATTGTTGAGAGAGCGATAAAACTAGCTTTGTTTTTGGAGTGCTTGCTATGGGCTAGGCACTTTGTGAAGCAATTTACATGCATGCTTTTTATCATTATTCCCATTCACTATATGAGAATGAGGCTCAGGGAGGCTAAGGAACTTGTCCCAGTGCTACATTCAAGGGGATGGTGACTTTCCCTCTTCTTAGTACTTGAGTTATTTCAATGTTGTTAAAGTGGAAATCTGTTTTCCTGTCATCCACATCTCCCTGCTGACTCATTCTGGAACCACTTTGACTAAAACCCCCAGATATTTTCATACTGGCCATGTCTCCTCTATTCTCCGGTTGTGCTTTGTCTTATTTTTTTGGACTTAAGTGAACTTATTATTGAGCAGACAGGTGGATGACTATGAGGAAGTCCGAGAATAAGCTTGTAATTTGTCAGTAAAAAGTTGCTGATTAAATTCTACTATAATTTGGCAGTGAAAAGTTGCCAATCACACTGTAGAGCCACAGGGGTAGTAAAATGCATGAGCTTTGCATTTTCCTTTTTTTTTTGCTCATCTGGAAAGAGTGAGTGCTTCTGATGGAAGAATGAATAGGGGAAGGTGCCAGGATGGATCCAGCAAGGATGTCATTGGCCAGGGCTCCCAGGAGAAGCTGGAGGATGGAGTCCTTGGAACATAATGCGGGGCACATTTGTAAGAGTGGGAGCCAGACCCCTGGCAGACCAGGAGTCTAATTCCTGCTCTTACTCACCTGCTATGTGGCCCTGAGCACCTCACTAAATTCTCTGAACTTCATTTTCTTATCCTCAAAATGTGATAGGGACTTGGCTGAGTTGATTTCAGCACATCCATATGAACAAATGCTAAGCAGCCATCAAGAATGACTACAGGAATGAAATTCATTTACTTAAAAAGATGGTTATGATGTACTGGTAAATGCAAAAAGCAGGCTGTAAAATAGAAGGACATGTAAAGCACTCATTTATAGATGAAAGAAAATCTGAAAATCAGTGATATGACTTGGATGTTCAGCTTTCTGTAGCCAGTAGCACTTATTTTGTGGGAATTTTAGGAGGATGAAAATGAGATTGTGTAAGGAAATGGCTCAGACAGTGCTGGGATCAGTTTTAGTCTCATCTCTTCCCTGTGAGCCCTTCACTCCCTACTGAGTGACCTGATAAATGTTAAAGAACAAGAGAACAAATTCATGTACCAAGGGGCTCCATGACAAAGGTGGGAAAATTACAGAGTTAGAAACATAAGGGAGCTGGCCCAAACTCATCCTATGTTCTCATTTTAATAAATTTATTACTATTTTTAAATTTCCAACCTGTCCATGATACAAAAAAATCAAATTATACAGCAACACTTAGAGAAAATAGTAAAAATTCCTCTTTATTACTCTTCTAATCTCTTTTGTCTCTCCAAAGACAACCAAGGGTGAAGGGCTCTCTGTGTATCTTTCTAGACATTTTATTAGGGATTTGAAACATGCATGTTCAAATGTACAGACTTCCTCACCAACACTATGAATGGTCCATGACTTGAATGTTCGTGACACTTTTGTGATGAAAATAAAATGCTGGCTAGAGAGAAGAGTCGAATGGGTGCCACAATCTTAATTGTTTTTCCATGACTTTTTGGCCTGGGTTGGATATTAACAAATTCAGATGCCTACTGAATTTAGAAATGGCAGGAATCCTCTTGACATTCTAACATTTCCATATGGCTAAAGCTTTTAGCTCTAGTTATTATACTTCTGCTTTGGAAGACAGTTCCTCAAACCAGATCTCTCTCCTGAAGGACTTGTCTCCTTTAGCCAGAATGATCCTTCCCCATTCAAGGAGAAAAGGGCACAGGCCCAGGAGGAAATATGTGCCTGAATGACAAATTGCATGAGTCAAAGACATTTATGAAAATGACAAACACTATTTCAGAGGAGGAAGGCAGTTGCTTCTGCTTTCTTTTTTCTTTTGAGAATGGGTGGAAGGCCTTCAGAGATGGTGCTGAACACAGCACTTTGCAATGAGTAACATTTCAGGGATAATATTAGCATTAATGCTCCTTTGATTCCTCAGTTTTGGAGAATATTAGTAATTGGGGCCAATCCAAAGCACTGAGTGGATTATTGAGGCACAGCAAAAGCTACAAGGATTTTCATTGCATAGATTCTTTACCTCCCTGCCTTAAGACATTTATTGTGATATGCGATTCTAACAAAAGTCAGAGACACAATGCCTTACACCAAATAGGCACCTAATTGCTATTGATTGATTTACCTCAATTGTCAGCATTCTTGCAGACCATTCATTTATTCATCTGCCCATTAATCAAAATGTATTGAGGTAATACTATCTGCCAGGCACTGCGTTCTTTGTATCAGTGTGGGCACAAAAGAGGAAGTGAACAGTTATCCTCAAGGCTGTGGCAAGGACAGGCTTTCAGAGGAGAAGACATCTGAGAAAGGTTTCAAAATAGGAATAGGAATTTGTTAGGCAAATGTGGGGGGATGGCATTTCATAAACCATAAACGGGGGAACAGAGTTAACAAATGTAGGAAATATAGGAGGAGGGGCAAGATTGTGAGGTTGAAAGTCATGGCCCTGACTGATTGACTTGACCAAATATTCATTAGAGAAATATCACCTTTAACTCAACTCAAAACTGAGTTTCATTGAGCTGTCAATTTACTCAACAAACATTTATTCAACAACTTTTCACTGTGCTGGATGCTAGCAATATAATGCTGACAAGTTTCTAGTGGCAATTTTCCTAAAGGCTCGGTAGACACTATTAGAGCTTAACCTGACAGTGATTACCATTATACTGGACACATGTCAAAGCACACCCCTATTTAAGGGAAATCCACTGTGGGGACAACATTCTTCTGTGTGTCCTGCACAATGCAAAGGAGTTTTTTTGTTTTTTTTTTTTTGAGAGCGAGTCTTGCTGTGTCTTCAGTGGCACGATCTCAGCTCACTGCAATCTCCGCCACCTGGGTTCAAGCGATTCTCCTGCCTCAGCCTCCGAAGTAGCTGGGATTACAAGCACCCACCACCATGCCTGGCAAATTTTTGTATTTTTAGTAGAGACAGGGTTTTGCCATTTGGCCAGGCTGGTCTTGAACTCCTGACCTCAGGTGATCCACCTGCCTTGGCCTCCCAAAGTGCTGGGATTATAGGCAAGAGCCACTGCGCCTGGCCACGAAGGAGAATTTGACACACTCTTTTACTACCTTCTCAAAATACAAATCTAGATTTCAATGTGACTCATTGTTTTATCTATTGCCATATACTCTGATTAAACTCTGTCTTCTGAGAGATAACTTATAAATGCCTTTGTAGGAATCATAGCCATAGCTTTAAGTATAATCTTGGGTTCAGCTCTTTTGTCCCATGACGAAGAAGTGACTTGTCTGATGTTACATAATGAGAGTTATCAGATTGTAAAGGAGAACTAAGGCTGCTGATATCTATGACACTACATTATATTGCCTCCATGAATAAAATGTTAATGTCACCCAATCAGTTCATAACCAAAACCATAGTGGGATCGGCTCTGAGCTCACAGTTACTGTGATTCTATCTTCTGTTCCACCTACCTCTATCTCCTCCCTAATTCTAGAGTTTAAAGGGCAGTAAACTCAATTTTGAACATCCTGCCTTTGGTCTCCCTCAGTTGGCTGTCTGATCTTTTGTGCACCTGTCAGTTTTCCAAAAAGACACACTCAACCTCACCCTAGAATCTTCATTGGAAAGCCCTTTCACTTGCTACTCTATATGTCTGTTTTGGTAGACAAAACCACAAACCCAGATAGGCAATTAGGGATTAAGGGCAACAGTGGTTTGGGATTATTTCAGCTAATTGCTATCCTATGTGAAAGAGTGCATCATCTCTGACAGCTGGCATGAGTAATCGTCACTGTTTTAGCAGTAAGTTTATACCTTCTGTGTGATAGGGACTGCCAATGCTGTTTTGACTGGTTTATCATCAGAGTGGTGAATGTGAAAAGCTATTGTATGTATCCCATTGGTTGTTGTGACAATTAAATACAACAAAGCCATCACATTCTTACTATCTGCCTGTTTATAATATGCATTTGATTTAGCTTGACTGTTTTTACTTTTTAGACTCTGTGTATCTCCGACCCTTGCGAACATCGCACCCTGTGCCATTATTTTCTGCTGTTAATGGCAGATTGGCTACGATGCCTTCCTTTCTTCTGTATTGGGGTGGAGGAGTGATGTGATTTGCATATAGTTACCCAGAATGCTCTGCCAATGGTCAGTTCTCTGCTGGCTGGGAGACTGAGCTCAGGAACAAGCTGCAAGGTGTAAATGGGCTTTTGGGTATGCTGATTTATGTTCTAATTTATACTCATGTGACAAGGATTGAACCCTGACTATCTTAGCTGGGGTGGAAAAGGTCCCTGGACAGGGGCAGGGCGGGGAATTTGATGTCCACATATATCCACTTTTAGAGTTTTAGAGTTCTTTGGAAATAGGGATTTTTTTTCTTTTTTTGGTCTGTCTCAGACTGCCAAGTAGAAGCCCAGAGAAGGAGGAAGTTAATTCACATTCTTAATTTTTTCTAAGGGCAAAAAAAAAAAAAAAATGCACCAGCTCATTTTCCATCTCTGCTTGGGTCATCAGTGTGCATTGTGAGCCTGTACAAAGGCCTTAGACGGGGAATGCTGCCGAGAGCATCACCTTTTATGTCTTCTTTTATATGAAATGTGCCACTTCCCCACTAACCCTGGCTCTGGGCTCTGCCTCTGCTCTCCTGATGGTGTGTTTATGGTGGATTCAGCATTCTGGGCCACACAAGGAAGCTGCAGGGGGTGTCCAAGTTCACATGTCCCCGCATTCCAGGCGAATGTTTCTGACATTGAGCAATGATATGGCTCTGCCAGGTTTAGGTCTGTCTGATTGGAATGCAACCCGAAAGGAAAGTCCCGGAATGATTCAAACACTCACCTCCCCACAACCCCTTCTTGGTTTTTTTTTTTTTTTTAATTCCTTTTTAATTCTCCAGTGACAAACTCAGCCCAGCACTCTCGCTGACCGCATGGCACTTGTTGGTGCTGATAAGTGCAACTTCCCAAGAGATAGGAATGCAAATCGTAATATTTTGTTGAGTCATGTGTACTCTGCGGCTGTTTCCCAAACATTGCATCAGACCTGTAATTGGCAGCTCCCAGTACTCTGCTGGATGACACCAAATGTCCAGGAAAAGCTCAGTCCATTTCTCGAAAAATGTAGTCTCACTCTCTCCATCTGCCTAGTTGTAACATCCTGTTCCTAAGGAAGTAGAATCCCTTGGGGTAGCAAGGGCAAAACCGGTTTTGCGGATAAGTTTGAAAAATATGGCTGTTGGCCTTTCCCACCCACTCTGGTCTCTTAGCAACAAGACAGCTGATGGTATCCACTAGGGGGAAAAAAAAAACAAAAACACAAAACAAAACAAAACAAAACAAAAATCATAGAACATGTGGGGGAGCCTGTCTGAATTGTTGCCTACAGCCTGATTTATTTAAACCTCCACTACATTCTTGGATGTGAAGACCTAGGAGTCAAGTCATGGGAGCTTTCTCTTGCCCTTCTCTTGACCTCTATGAGGCAGATAGAGGAAAATCTCAGAATGAGAGGAACTTTCTTCCTCTTCAAGAGTCTGCGTTATCCGAGATGGCCATTTCCTTTGACCTCAGGAGTAACCACTTGAAAACTTGGACACATTTATAGAAAATTTGGGCTCCTGGGATGCAGTGCTGGGAAAAGCACAGGGCTGAGGGGCTGGAGCTTGGGGTACCAATGGTGACAGTCTCTCCCTCCCTGTGGGAGTACTGGCAGGAAATCCACTGTGCCCTTGTCCCCACCGAGGGTTGATTTTCTCCACTGCAAAGTAAGGAGATTGAATTAGATCTCAGTCTTCTCTTAAGGTACCTTTCACACTGAGCCTATGGGAGTGGTGGTATGTGCATGTATGTGTGTGTGTGTGTGTGTGTGTATATATGGTGTGTATGTATTTATGTAAACTTTATATCATGTTTCAATCCAATTCTCTCTCTCTCTCTCTCCACAGAGCTAAGTGGTACCACAAGAATTCAAACCTAGATCTAGCCAAGTTTGAAATCCTTGTTCTCAGCTCCTACCCTATGCTGTTATGATCTACACAGAGAGGCACCACATAGCTAGTATTTTATGTTATACCTGGTGAACTTTCTATCTATGCTTATCAATTCATAGGAGTAGAATTGGGAATGTTGGCGTTTAGAACATGATACCCCAAAGTATGGCACCATGGCCTGCTAAGTACTTTGAGCTGAAGGACATAGGGAGTTCATAGAAGTGAGATCCTTTTGAACTTCTGCTCCCACTCCTCTTTTTTGCCTAGAACCAGCGACAGAAACTAGAAATGCTACACTAACTTTCTCCCACCTTACTGTGGAGGAGGAGCTGGCCAAAAAGGAATTCTCTGCCCTACCTTATTGGATAGTAGGTCATCAGACTCTCATTTCGGAGGAATCCTACCCCAAACCTGGGAGGAAGAAATGCCACCCAGAGAAGCCGAGAAGAATAGGAACAGACAGATCATGCTGAGATCCCCTCTGTTACCATTAGATCATATCCTCTTGCCTGATCACATTTCTACATGGCAGTCCATTCTTCATTGAATCTAAGCATAAAAATGGATAGTTTTCTGTAGCTCATTGGGTCTTCATTTTGAAGGTTCTTATGTCACACCAAACTTTCATTTAAAAAAATTATCATGCTTTTCTCTTGTCATCCTTTCTTTTGTTATAAGGGTGCCATCCTTACGACGAGGAAGGACGAGGAAAGATATCACACGTTTGTGCTCCTATAGGAAGTTATAGAGGACCTAGGCGTTAATAAAGAAACCTGATTTCACATCCTTGCTCTGCCCCGAACAGTTACGTGGCCTCAGGATTCTTTACTATGAAGTGTGAATAACAGATCCTCTCTGATCAGGTTGCTATGAGAATTAGGTGAAATGATGTAAAATACCTGACACAGTGCCTATAACCTAGTAAGTGCTAAATAAAAAGAGGAGAGAGCTTCAGAGAGACAGAGAGGGAGATGAGATATTGATAAAGTATAGGTTTCTTGATGACAGGAACTTGCCCTGTTTATCCTGTAACCTCAGCACACTGTGTGGCACACTGAAGATGATTGTGTTTTCTGAGTCAAACAGATGTCTCTCTCTCTCACACACACACACGCACGCACACACACACACACGTGATAGAGTGATGAATTCCACAATTTTATGTTGCTGGAACTTCTTAGTAGGGCTCTGCATTTTACAGCAATGCATCACAGTTAAAATAATCAATGTGATCTGGCTGTGATTATTTCTTTCATTATTTAAAAATATCAACAATTGCTTTTCAAAGCACTTTGATTTTTTTTTTTTTTTTTTTTTTTTGGCCAGATTTTGTTAGGGTGTTTCTCTCTTTCTACCGCCACTCTTTTTCTTGAGCACTTACTATATATCAAGTCCTGGGTCAGGTGTCTTATATTCATTGTTTTATCATTATTCCTAATATCCTCCTAGCAACTCTATCAGATAGGTTTTGTTATTTCCATTTCACAACTGAGGATCTTGAAGCTCAGAAAGTGTGAGTCATCTAAGACCACACACCTGGTCAGTGGCAGAGAAAGAATTTGAACCTACATCTCCCTGCTTATTAAAGCAGAGTGTGAGGGCAGGGAGTAATTTATACATCTTTGGTCTTGATAATTGAGCTCACTCCTTCCAAAAAAAAAAATAACTGTTTACTTCCTATCAATACTAGAGAACTTGGAGCACTTCATGTTTTCTTGGCACTGAGCTACATTCATTATACACTATCTTATTTAATCCTATTAATGACCCTGCATGATAGGTAACAATTATTAGGCATAAATTTCAGAGAAGGTAGTTATTGACAAGCAGGTTAAGTAATAAGCCTGAGTAACTGGGATTTAAACTTAGGTAGTCTGACTCCAGAGTGAGCTTTCCTCTTAAGAGTGATCCATTGATTTTATTCACGCTCACGAGATTATGTGGTCTTCATGCACTTGGGGAGCGTGATTGTGGCTTATCTAGAACTTAACTTCCGCTCTTTTTGGAAGTGACCATCACCTCCTTCTCTGCCCTGGGAATAAACAATAGAAATTGAGGATACAGAAGCTGTAGAACCATAGGCCAATAGAGTTTAAAACTTGAAAGACTTCTTCAAGAGATCATCTAGTCTAATAGTTTCCAACTATGGGGCATTGCTTGTTTAGTGGCTTATAAAATCAATTTAGTAGTTCATGGCTGACCTTCAAAAAATGAAGTGAGTAGAATAGAAAACATGAGATTTTGTTGTACTTAGGGTGAAGTAGTCTTGAGAGCAGTAGTTTCAGTTATCTATATGTCAGTGTCTCCTGGGTCACTATGTAAAATGCATTTCTTACTGAGGGTTAAGTTTGAAAAGTTTGAAAAATGTTGATTTCATCCAGTGTTTTTCAAATTTTATTCCATGGCATCTGAGGAGGCCTCAGATATCTTATGGGAGATAAGGATGGAAAAAGTTAAGTAGAAAGAATTTCAGAAATGTCTTCTTATGTTTATCTGCCTTTCATGTTGGACTTTCATAAAATATTTTATCTTAAAAAGAAGAACTTTACTGAAAAAAAAAAAATAATTCAAGAACCACTGATTTACCCCATTGGAATTGTGTTGTTTTGGGTATTGATTCATTCTTATGTAACTTCGTGAGGTAACCGAGGACCAGCTATGTGCTCAGAACAGTGATGGCTGCCATAGGATATGCAGGAAGTCTAAAAAATGTGGTTATCCCTGTCCTTAAATTGTTGATAGAACCAATACGATATCAATTTATTTCTTACATCAACTATGATAAGAAAATACATGAAGAAGTTATTCGGAATATGGCAATTGATTTAAACAGGAATCAAAAGATTGCTACAAGAGGAGATATGAAGGGATCAAAGCTGGCTGAAGCAATGGAGATGAAATTGAATACGAAGGGTTGCAATTTGGTTCTAATCAGCTGCATAAATACAAGTGTAATATGAATTTAGTTGACAATAGTTCATCATTAAAAGTCTTAAGGTTGTGTCTGGGTGCGGTAGCTCACACCTGTAATCCCAGGATTTGGGGAGGCTGATGCAGGCGGATCACGAGGTCAGGAGATCGAGATCATCCTGGCCAACACGGTGAAATCCCGACTCTACTAAAATACAAAAAATTAGCCGGGTGTGGTGGTGCACACCTGTACTCCCAGCTATTCAGGAGGCTGAGGCAGGGGAATCATTTGAATCCGGGAGGTGGAGACTGCAGTGAGCTGAGACCATGCCACTGCACTCCAGCCTGGCAACAGAGCAAGATTCTGTCTCAAAAAAAAAAAAAGTCTAAGGTTTTTCATTGACTTCTCTGTGAGTTAACAGTATGGCATGGGCCAAAACCCAAGGCAAGCTGATTACATTCAATGCATTCATGAACATACAGTATGGAATACTTCTGTTGTGGAATTGCAGAGATGATCACTGCACTTTCCAGCTTCTCCTATATGAGGTTCAGTCTGTCATTTATTCTGGTTTGGCCTCATGACTGGCTTTGGCCATTAGAATATGGTTGAAGTGAGGTTGTGTCACTTGAGCCCATTTTTCAAGCATGCAGTCTCCATTCTCGAACTCGGGGAACGCTGATACAGCCATGTGAATAAGTCCTGGTTAGCCTTCTGGAAGAAGACAAATAGTGTTGAGAGAGATCCCACCTGTTCTAGCCCAGGTCACCCTAGACCAGTCAATCTCTAGCTGATCTGAAGCTGATGCAGATGCATGAAATTACCAAGCCCAATCCAGACCAGAAGAATTGCCTAGCTGACTTCTAGAAGTGTGAGCTAACTTTTGGAATGTTTTGTTAGGCATCAAATCCTAACAGACGGACCCATTGTCTTGCACTGGCAAAGCCACTCTGGAAGACAATACTATGACCACATTTGATTGCTAGAAACATTCATAACATTGGCTACAAATGTTTACAAACTAAAAGATGTTCAGATCAGGGTGGGGAGAAAGGCTCTGAAAACCAAGGAGTTGAGAAAGCTTAGTTTGAAAAGTAAAGATGTTTTTAGGAACATGAACTCCACCTTCTGAGATCTGAAATTAGTAGGAAAAGTGAGTTGAATAATTTGTAACTTCTGTGGTTGGTTGAATATTTCGCTGCAATTCTTGCCCCGTTGCATCCATTTTGTCATAGCCTTATAACAGGCAGCATGCACTTTCCTTCCCCTTTACCTTGGGATTAGATGTGTGGCTTGCTTTGGCCAATGAGATGTAGGTAGATGTTATAGAGTGCCAGTTCTGGCCCCATAAGGAACATCTCATGTTTCCACTCATTCTCCTATACTTCTGCTATCACTGTAATAACCTAGCCCACTTGGCCCACTGGTCCCAGATAAGGTGAGAAACATGGAACACAGCTACCTCCCACCACCCTTCAGCATGTTCCAGAGCCTTCCCAGCTAGCCCATACCTTCGTAAGTGAGAAATTAATGGTTATTGTACATGCCTCTGAGGGTGTGATAATGATTCGTACCCAGAAATTGTTGGCCAACATACTGCTGAGATTAAAATTAGGATTAAAGAAACATAAAATAATTAGGATCAAGGAATAGCTACACCAATAAAGTAGACTTCTGTTGCATTTAAGGAGGAATTTCTTTGCCAAGGAAGAAGAACTGGTGAAATTAGGAATTCTGTATCCTGAGGGATGTTCAACCATCAGCAAGATGTACATCGTCTTTGTAGCTGGAATGAGAATCAGACCTTCATTTCCCGGTGACCAAGATATCAAGTAATTTAGGGGATGAATAGTAGGTCATTTCAGCTGTGTTTCAGCAGAGAGGGAGGATGAGCATGGGAGCTTATGTGTGTGCACAGTGAAGGTGTTGCTTAGGAGAAGCAGAGGCTGGGGGAGGTTTGTATGCCTCAACAAGATGCTGACCTTTGATCTAAACCTGTGTGCATTTGTTATCCAATCTCGAATTCCTCCCTCTTACCAACAAGTTCTGCTCCTGAAGATCCAGCTTAAGTCTAATTTTCTCTGTGACAATTTTCTCTGACCTTTCTAGCCTACAGGGACCAATGCATTTCTGAATTTTTTATCTTGGCTGTAATTTATATGCTGTCTTTGCTTTTCCTTGACTTCTTTTCCAGGCTGTTAGATGTTTTCCAGGTACTCACATAGCATTTCCTCAAATTAAAAAACCTGTTACTCTGATCATGGTCTTGTCTCTTTCCTTAAATGTGTGAACTGGTAGAAGGCCAGGAGTATGGCTTATTCACTCTGGTGCCCCTGTATCAACCACAATGCCCAGCATGCCACAGGGCTTCAGGAAATAGTTCTTAAATGAGTGGACATGGATTTCTTTTGTCTTTCTGACTCAAGTATAAATTCCTTAAAAGGCTACTGGTACTCACATTCTCATAGTGCTCCAAGGCCTGTGCATTTATTCATTCAACACATATTTGATGAATGATCCTTACTGTGGCTTACGAAGTCCTATGTCACCTGGCTCCTAACCATCTCTCTGACATCATCTTGTGTAACTCTTTCTCTGAATCACTGACCTTCGCTAGCCACATTCATTTTTTCTCAGTTTTTTTAGCTCTTAAAGTTCTTTCCCATCTCAGGGTTTTGTAGTTTCTTTGGCTACAATATCTTCCCCTTGATTTTCTGTGGCTTCCTCTTTCTTATCATTCAGGTTCAGTTTGAACTTCTCCTTTTTTGAGAATCCTGTTCTGAATACCCAATTTGAGGTATCATCCAGCCTCTCTCCATCACATCTTCCAATCTCAGTTTTCTGCATGATATGCCTCACTTTCTGATAATTTCCCTTTTTCCTTCTTTTATTCCTCTCTCTCTTGCTCCTTCCCTCCCTCTCTCCCTTCCTTCTTTTCTTCCTTCCATCCTTTCTTTCTTACTTCTAACTTGCTTATTTATTTAATTGATTGGCTTTCTCTGTTAAAATGCAAGCTTCATAATAACAAGCACCTTTTTGGTTTTGTCCACTGCTGTGTCCCTACTGTCTAATAAATATGTTTTGAATGAATAAATGAATGAATATGAGTCTAGGAGTCAGATGAATGTTGGGAATAGACAGGAAAGAATTCAGACAAAGTTATTGTCTTTGAGTATTTTACAATTTCTTGCTGAATGAACAATCAATGTGTAAATGATAAAGCAAAATGAACGAAAACAAAATAAACAAACAAAAACAACCAACGAACCAATCAAACAGCAAAACAAAACAGACTGGATTGCGTGTAGCCCATCTGATGTACTTAAGCCTCAGCTTTCTGTGCAAAATAGGAATAATAATACATAGTTTGCAGGTTTGCCATGAGGATTAACTGAGGCAGTGAATGGGCAGCAGCATATCATTCCTAGAATATCATACCTGGAATTCAGCAGGTGCTGAATTCCCAGAATGGTATTCTTGACTCCCCTGCCTCATCTCCCTTCTGATATGTGAAATAAAGTAATTAAGAAGCTCATATTGGTCTCCCATCTGAACCACTTCAGAGAATTGAACTCCAATTCCAAGTATGACTCCTAGATTTAAATCCCATTATGAAAATCTCTCTATCCCAAGTTCTCCAGAGTGTTAACAGTGGAGGTGGAACTGATGATAGTTCATTTGTGTGGCATGCACTTTGATTCTTTCAGAGCCTTTGTGTGACCTGTGAAGTCTTGTTAGTTGCTGTTCCACCGCAATGTGGTGGGGAACTATGTGATAATTGGCTAAAAGCCACTGAAAAAGCATAAAGTGTCTGGAAATGCTATAGACAGGGCTGGTCTTCTGCAGAGGTGCAGTTGACAACGGCTGGCGTTTCCTGAAACACCACCATTGATGAGTCAGTCCTTTAGGTTATATCATTGCTAGATAAAACAAAACAAAACACACTTTAGTAGTGATTTGCATGTTCATACAAGTTTGCTAAATAGCAGTGTTTAGTTCTAGACCTTTAAATAGATCTTGTTCAGCCCTGACATTCAAGACAATTGAAATATTCTGTGAGCAGAACTGTGACCACAACTATAATAAGGTTAAGTGAATCCATATTTGGGGATAGTTCTTTCTGAGGCTGGCTGGTTGTGTCTAGTGAAGAGGACCCACAAAAGCCCTGGAGAAGGGGCAAGTTTAGCCACTGGAAGGGGCAAGGTCAAGGGCAGTTACACAACAGAACTCCCAGAGTTAACTCATATCTTTTCCTACTGTTCCTAATCTATTTCCCTCCCCCCTCCACGTACACGGATGTGCCCTTTAAATATTTATTTGCCCACCTTTGCAGTGTGCGGTAGACTTTGTCTCACAAGTCAGCTTGATCCCTTTGAAGGTGTTTACTAATTAAATCAGGCTGGGAGGTTAGGAAAGTTCAGATATATTTATCCTGTATAAAGTAGTCCCTGGACCCAGGACCCCTAAACAGCCCTAGGGAGGTCAGCTACAGTTTCCCTGCTTACTTTCTTTGTTGGAGGAAGTCCTAATCATTGCCCAATTAAGCTGAATAACGCTGCTTCTTTTTCTACCATTGGCTCCTGGCACAATTCTAAGACAGACATCGGAATGGCTGGAGCCAGAAAGCTAAATGCTCTTAACAAGTATGTTTATGGGCCAGTTTCCCACACAGCCGTATGAAATTCTCACTCAGTAACACAGCATCTGAGCCACAGACACTGACTCAAATACAATATTGGCTTGGAAGGAAGAGTGCTGCTGTAGCACAGGTCATTTCCCTCTAATATTTTAAAATAGTATTTGTTTCAGAAGAATCTGTGCACATTCATGGATGTATGTGTCTGAGTGTATATGAGTAGTGCCTGTGTGTATGTGTTTGTATATATCTTCAGCTAAGAGAGCTTTCTGAAGAGGCGAAACACAAAGTGAGTGGGAGATCTCTGTTGTATTGGGTCTTAGGGCAGCCTCTGCCTCAATACAACTCCATTGTATTAAGTTCAGGCTTATTTGATTCCCTTCATCCACTTTGTTCATTTTCACTGGTCTGATAGAGAGTGAGAAATAGCTGATCATGATTACATGAAATGTCTGGTTTTGGTCTCAGGGAATCCCCTTAGAGATTCTTGTCTTAAAGGTCTCATCTAGTTCCAACAGCAAGGCCAACCACTTCCCATTTCTGGAGCAGTGGCATGAAGCACTTGGGGGTGCCTGAAAGCACACTGAGAATCATGCAGTTAGCACTGTGACAAAGCTGTGGGTGCCCATGGGCTTTTCTAGGCATGGCCTTCCTCTCATGGACAGAGTCTGGAGCATTCTGCTTTCTGCATCTATGGGTCATCAGTCACAGGGCTGCCATGTCCATAATCCACAGTCTCTTGCTATTTTTACCATGAAACTGGGAGCACCTTAACCCTGTAGACTCAATCCCTAGCTCTGTGCCCATTAACACAGAATAAATAGCTAGTAGTGGTGTTTCTGGTTTAAAGGGCCTGCACTTTTTAAGGTTTTGATGAATACTCCCTAATTATTCTACAAAAAGACTTTACCAAGTTCAAGTTTCTTTCCCAATAATCTATGGCAATAATTTCAATCTCCCTCTTCCCTTTTTTTTTTTAACTTCTAGGTAAACATAAGAAAGGAAAACTTTTGTACGGTGAACTTGGGCTAAAAAGAAGAATGATGTCTCTGGAACTTTTGCTGCTTATAGGAATGAGAGCAAAATCCTGGCATGACCATGATCCTTCAATGAGCACCACTGTGTTGCTGCATTCTGTCTGGCCAATCTAGTCTATAATAGTTTTTTGTTTTGTTTTGATTTTTGTGTGTTTTTTTGTTTGTTTGTTTGTTTTGATGGAGTTTTGCTCTTATTGCCCAGGCTGGAGTGCAATGGCATGATCTCAGCTCACTGCAACCTCCTCATCCCAGGTTCAAGCGATTCTCCTGCCTCAGACTCCTAAATACCTAGGATTACAGGCACCTGCCACCATACCCAGCTAATTTTTGTATTTTTGATAGAGATGGGGTTTCACCATGTTGGCCAGGCTTGTCTGGAACTCCTGACCTCAGGTGATCCACCTGCCTCGGCCTCCCAAAGTGCTGGGATTACAAGTGTGAGTCATCACTTTCGGCTATAATAGTTTTTATGCATCATATTAATTCTGGGTTTTTGCTTTTAAAAAGAAGCCTTTTTTTTTTTTTTTTTTTTTTTTGTAGGGAAGTAAGACTGGATGGTGGGTTAGCAGGGGACTCGAGAAAAGGCAGTCAGTGCTACAGGCGCAGGGATATTAACCTCAGGAGTGACCAGTGGGATGCAACCAGCCGTTGGGGCTTAAAACTCAAGCACATTTCTCGGATGATAATTTCAAAGAAGTAGCTAGTTTTGGTTGAGGCTGCCTCTGGACTATCCCCAGCTTCTCAGTGGAACTCGGTGTTTCTGAATGAATCACAATAAAGAAGCATTACTTGTGGGATGTGGCCAACCTTTCTGTTCAGCTTTTATTGCAGAGCTGATGGCAGCAGCTGGACTTTACAAAGGTGATGGTGGCTCAAAGCCTTTCTGTTCCACTGTGTCTCATAAAGCTTTTATGAAGCCTCAGTCATCTCTTCAGCAGATCCTGTGTCATGAAGAAGGATGCAGAGAACACAAGGAGCACCCCATCCATGGTGCATCCCAGGTTTCTAAACCTTCCAGGGAGGGGAAATCAGCATTTTTGGCTCTGGCCAAGAAGCCAAATTGCTGAAGCTATGGGACTTGTTCCAAACTGCAAGATCTTATTTGATGGGAATGATTGTAGCTTTAGGTAATTCTGCGGCTTATTGGCTTGGGTGAGAGCTCCCTAGTGTCTGCTGGAATGTGATGGCTGTAAGACGCAGGGAGGAGAAATGGAAAAGGAGCGTCTTTATTGACCCAACAGAGCCTTGTAAAAAAGCACCAACTACATATATGCAGTCTGTGCATTTCAAAAGTAACAAACAAACAAAATCAGTTTACCAACTCTTGGGAGAGAAAATGGATTATCATTCACTGCAAATTCTCCTAGGTAAACAGAAGAGTGCTACACCTGTGCAGAGAGAAAAGTTTTATATATGCTCAACTATGGGTCCTCAGTATAATACAGTCCCATCATGTATTTCCTGAGACATCTACTAAGGAGACTTCCTAGAATTGAATCTTTCTCATCTTTTTTTCTCTTTTCTTCCTCAAGTCTTCTGTGACATGTGATAATACAAAACAAAATACAGGTCTTAGAATAAATGTACCTGGAATCAAGTCATTGTGAAATGTTGGGCTTCTTTGACCCTCAGTATTCCCATCGCAAACCAGGAATAATAAGACCTGCATTTCTCCATTGACCATTAGTAAATTGAGCTTCAATTACCTAGTTAGAGAAAAAGTTAAATATTGCCTCCAAAGCTTAACATGCATTTTAATATTTTTGCTTTCTGCTTTTAAAAATATGCTTCTCATTTTCTTCCCCTGACTAGCTCTTTGACTGCCAGAGAGATGTATAAGCATCTTGAGCTCCACTGGTAGAGTTATGAGTTCTTGAATTTAGAGGTTATTAGAAGAATTTTTTCCTACTGTTTTCATGTAAATTACCACTCAGGAAAAAATGGTGGAATAGAATCTTTTTTCCCTTTTATAGTGTCTTTTTCATTGCTTCCAAATTTTTCATAACTTTTCTACAGCTACCAATACCATCTTATATCATCCAGACTGCCATTGCAATACACTCTTAACTCTTTCCATGCTAGCACATCCTATACACAGCATTCATTCATTCATTCGCTCACTTAGCAAACATACCTGGTAGAGCCTGAACATTCTATTAGGCATTAGACATATTAATGAGTTCAAATATCTTCTTCAGATTCCCATCACTTGTCATATAAATGTCAAGGCCCATTGCCTATGATTCAGAATCCTCTGCATTTACTTATTTCAACCTGCTTTGATACCTTTAACCTACTTTTTCCTTTTTTTTCTTTCTTTTAAGAAATAGGGTCTTGCAATGTTACCCAGGATAGATTTTAACCTGTAGGTTCAAGGGATCTTCCTGCTTCAGCCTCCTGGTTAGTTGGAACTATAGGTGTATGCTGCTGGCCCTGGCTCAACATGCTTTTTAATTCTTTCTCTCCCTACATGGTATTATGAACTCTCAACTCCAGGTGGACCAATCTCCTCTTGTGTCTGTGCCTTTGCTTTGGTGGTCCTCTTCTGGGTGTGCCCGCCTATCTAGATTTCACTTGTTCAAACCTAATATTCAGTGGGAAGTTCAGGTATTGCTGCTTTTGTGAAACTCCCCTGACAACAAAGGTTCATAGGACCCTTGTTGTTTAATATCTGAATTTATATAATTAAAACTGCTAGTTATCTTTTTAAGCATATAGGAAAACAACAAGATTTCAAGATACTTAAATGAAAAGAGAGAAAGATACTGGTTTATCTGTTCTCTCACCTTCCATAGCATCTCATACAGTCTTACTCAACAAACACTTGCCTATTTATTTTTTAAGCCACATAATAACACATAAAAATGGAAAGTGATTCACTGTTGGGGTTATTCCAGTAGTTTATTGCTTCCCTCTTATTTATTTATTTTTTGGATGACTTCAGATACCAACCTGGTTCAAACCCTTATCAAAAATGACCTTTCCAACTTGGCTCCTGTGGAGTCTTCATCCTTCTTCTGTCATTGCTATAGAAATACAGGATTCCCTAGTCTAGTCTGGAGAGCACAGTATCAGGTAGTGGAAAGAGCTGCAGCCTTGCACAGCAAACTAGATTTGAGTTCTAATTCTCCCTGCAAATTGTTTGACTCTAGAAATAGCTTGCCTCTCTGAGCCTCAAGTCCCTCTTCTGTAAAGCAGAATTAATAAAACCCATTGCAGGGCTGTTGTGAAAATAAAATGTGATAATATATGAATATAGTACCTATTTTGCTCACTTCACAGTAGGTGATTGCTAAATTATAGCTATTATTTATATCGACCATGAATGCTATAGTGTTCTGCCTCTTCTAGGGCTCTGGAAGAAGCACTGAACTTACAGCAATGCATACCAGCCTACTATGTAGTGGGCTCTCCCAAATTGTAATTTTGGGAGCTGTCCAACATGCAGACTCCTTCCTTGTTGGTACAGAGCCTCTTTTTTGTAGTATGGTTGGAGAATAGTGGCCTCTACTTATCACAGATGTCAGAGACTTTAAATCCTCCCTCTTTTCATCCCTAGGTTGATAGAGTTTAGCAAATGTCCAGAGTCTGGCCCATTATATCCCTCTGCCACCTTGCCTCTGAGATTTTGAATCCTGACTGTGTGACTCTTGCTTCTGGGATTTTGAAACCTGAGAGTATGTCCCAAAGCTAAATACTCACGTAAAATTTATTCACAGCTCAGGCAGCTGCAGTGGTGGTATTCGGCTACATTCTTCCTTCTTCCTACAAGATCATTGTTGAGCTTCCTCCTCTTTAATCACCCAGACTGCTACAGTTCTTGTTCTTCTAAGTTTCCTGTTGCTGAGAACCTCTGATAAACTTCCAGTAAATCACTAACCCTTCTTCCCCAATTTTTCTCCCTATGTTCTTGAAACCAAGAGCTCAGAGTGATATACTACATGTCCCTGGTGCTTCATTCAATGACAGAGGATCCATGGTGCACTGGCCCACCCTTTGATCTTGTCCCCATGACTGACCGTAAGGCTTGGTGAAGTCTTCTGCTGTCATCGTTTTTGTATCATAGTTTCCAGGGAATCCTGGTTTTTAAGGAATCCTGGAATCCTGGAGCCAGAAAGAATGTTGAGCTGCCCTCTAGCTAAGCCATTGGCTTTCCAGTCACCTCCTGTCTATTTTCACAGGATGACATTTCTCAACTTGAATTGTTTCCGTGTTCCGGTTTTCCCCTCCTCCTTTAGAAGAATGGCCCAACCAATAAAATTCTGGCACCTTCTCTTTTCAACATCTGAACATGTTATCAGGAGACACAAATTCTCGTGTAACCTTTGCTGTCGATAGTCGTTGTGTAAGCCAATTCATCTCTTTGTCCTTCAGTCTTCTCACCTATAAACTAGGCTAAGTAGCAGCAGAGGGCCATTTTGAGGGGAAAATTAAAAAATTGTCATGGTGGAATATTTCAAAAACAAGACTGGAAGTAATAAGCAGATGATGCCCTGAATATTTTTCACAGACCAATGATCATAAAATGAATGGTAACAACATTAGGAAAGATGGAGTGACTTTTGGGTTTAGCTATTAGCCATGGAGAATTGTGCGTTGAGTGGCAGTGAGGGGCTGGGGGCTGAATGAAAGCTACTGTTTTTCTAATCAGGTAGTGACCTCTTCTGGGGAAAGAAAGAGTCTAGCAGAGCCTCAGCATTAGGAGACATGTGCAACGTTTGTACCAAGGCAACCAATGATAGAGAGGATGGTCCCCAGAGGGAGAAGCTCTTGGGGTAGATGTTTGCCCTGGGCAGCCAGGTGGAAAACAAAAATAAATGAAATGAAACTAAAAATCACTTTCTGGGTAGCTTTACCCAAAAGAGCTCTCATTGAGAGAGCTAATGAAACCTTGTGGACCTGTGTATGCATTGTGGTGAGGTTACCGTCCGCGCAAGCTGGCCAGATTCAAGAACCCAAGATTGGTTTTTAGGGCGAATGGTTCAAAAAAGGTCCAGATGGGAAACGTATTTGTGTGCATTCCCATCTGGAAGGAAAAAGGACTCTTTCAGAGGGACAAACCAAAATTCAAACGAATGGTGAGGTCTAGAGTGGTGAGTGACTTTTGCCCAGTAGTCCTTTAGGTGGTAGGAAAGGGGCAAGTTCCTATTGCAATCTTGTCAGTTGAACTAGAGTAGTACAAACTGTAAAAGTTTTTTTTTTTTTTCTCCCTCTACCACACACCAGTATATTCATCTGCTACTTAAAGGTCTTGGAAGGAGGAAGAAAGAAAATCTCCAGGAAGTCTTCTGGGTGACTTCAGCAACAATTGCATTACCCTTTTCCAGGTACCCAAAGGACTTAAATTGTGCTAGAGAATGGAACATTAAATCAGACAGGTTCTGCATTGAAGAGTGCTGCATGACATTACTGAAGATACAAGCTATTGCTTTCACTTAGACCCATGGACAGCAAGGTGCAGGGCTGATGAAAATCATATTGTCTTATCTATTTTTGAACGGTATTAGAAGAATGGGTCTCAAAAGGTGAAGAGACTTGCCCAAGGCAGACTCAGAAACATATGGGCATAACTCAAATTAGAGCTGGGGTTTCTGACCATCTTTTTTTTGTTTGTTTTCTGTTAGCAGTCACTCCTCTTCCACCTTTCTCCAGCCCCGCACTGCATATTAAATTGATTAGTCATATTAATATTAATATCACCTGGATATTAGATAGATTAATAATATGGTAGCTACAGTTTAAACAACTACCACATGCTAGTCTCTGTCCATTCATTCATTCAACAAATATTTATTGCGTGCCTACAATGTGCTAGGCACTGGAGATACAATAGCAAGCAAAAATGATAAACTCAGCCATTGTCAAAAATGTCATCAACAAAGATATAACTAAAACTGTGCAATCTCTGAAGGCAAGAGATTTGATGTGGTAAGAGGTTGTGATGGTAAGGGTGGGGCTATTAGGCTAGGGAGAGCTTCCTGAAGGAAGTGAAAATTCTGTTCATGTGTTGATCAGGCCTAAAAATCTCAGCATCATCCTTGACTTCATTCATTTTCTTACACTCTGTATCCTATCCACCAGCAAATCTGATTGGCTCTGCATTTGAAATATGTTCAGAATCCAGTTGCTTCTTACCACCTCTGCTGCCATCCTCCTTTGCCCAAACACTTCTTGTCTCTTGTCTGTATTGTTGGAATATGGTGTCTCTGCTTTCACTCTTGTCTATCCATGCTCAAATATATTTGGACACCGCTGGGTCAAAATTAATTTCCAAGTCTTGTACTGCCGCAGGACTTCTCAGAGGCTTTCACATACTAACCAATGTACTGACTCTCCAAGAAGTGGGTGCAGTATACAGCATATTACACACATTTGACCACAGGGACTCTTTTCTTATAGTGCATTTCACACAACTGCTGTTTCGTGGAAGACATGCTGAAAAACACAGAAAATGTTTATGAAAATATTAATACATCACATAAAGGATTATTATTATTCCACAGGAGTACATGATGGGAAATGGAGCCACCTACAACAGTTTCATGAACAGGGAGTCAGGTTTACTGAGTCCTAGCTGCAGTTACCTTTTTCTGAGCTGGGTGGCATTCAACAAGTTATTTAATATCTCTGGGTTTCCTCATCTGTGAAATACAGACAATAATTCCTGTCCTGTCTACTTTGCCAGGCTATTGGAAGAAACAAATAAAATTAAAAATGTTAAAGAAAGAACTTCCCCTTCCCTCCACTACACCAAACACGAACTAAACCTGACACCATTACTGTGCTAGTGTGGACACTTAGAAAATCATTAGTATTTTCAGTTACACGATCTCTGCACTTAATCAATGAGCAACAAATTAACATTTGGTTTATTTATTTAAGCAACCAGGAGTAAAACCCAAAGAGTTGCTGGCTGTTGGCTGGAAATCAAACAAAACAAAGAATTAATTGGAGCTAAGGCTGTGGAAAGTGCCAGTCTGTGACATGCATGGAAGAAAGCAAGGAAAGCCTGGAGTGACCTGGATTGCATAGCAGAAAGAAAAATCCCTGCAGGGGCAGTGTGAAAAGACTAGGGAGGTAAGAGAACCTGAAAATACAGCACTGTAGGTAGAAGGCTGTAAAGCTGGAATGATGCTAACAAATACTGTATTATTACCTTAGCTGATAGCGGTGACATAGTGGCCCACACAGAATCATTGAATAGCATCGGGTGTGGTAATTCAGGGAGAGCCAGTGGGGCAATGTAGAAACTCTAAGCTGGCAAAGTTCTGTGGTTTTTGTAAAGTGCCTATCCAGAGTACATGGTTCATTCATGCCAGATCAGCAAAAGCAGCTGCTGATGTGATGATGATTTCCCTTTTGAGCTAAACCTCTACAGAGTTCCTTTTTTCTCTAGGGCTTTTGGCTATGACTGATGACGTAGCCTTAGGCTCAGGATTCTAACACCCCACAAAAGCAAAAATTGACAAATGGGATCTAATTAAACTCAAGAACTTCTGCACAGTAAAATAAACTATTAACAGAGTAAACAGACAACCTACAGAACAAGAGAAAATATTTGCAAATTGTGTATCCAACAAATGTCTAGTATCCAGTATCTATAAAGAACTTAAACAAATTTACAAGAAAAAAAAACCCAAACAACGCCATTAAAAATGGGCAAAGGACATGAACAGACACTTCAAAAGAAAACATATATGAGGCCAACAAGCATATGAAAAAAGCTCTATGTTACTGATCATTAGAGAAATGCAAATCAAAGCCACAATGAGATACCACCTTACACCAGTCAGAATGGCTATTAATAAAAATTTTAAAAAATGAGAGATGATGGCAAGGTTGCAGAGAAAAGAGAAAAATTATACACTGTTAGTGGAAGTGTGAATTAGCTCAATCATTGTGGAAAGCAGTGTGGTGGTTCCTCAAAGACCAAAACACAGAACTATCATTTGGCTCAGTGATCCCATTACTGGGTATATACCCAAAGGAATAGAAATCGTTCTGCCATGAAGACACACACACACATATGTTCATTGCAGCACTATTCAAAATAGCAAAGACATGGAATCAACCTAGGTGACCACCAATGGTAGACTGGATAAAGAAAATATGGCACATATACACCGTGGACTACTATGTGGCCATAAAAAGAATGAGATCATGTCCTTTGCAGGAACACGGAAGGAGGTGGCAGCCATCATCCTTAACAAACTAACACAGGCACAGAAAACCACATACGGCATGTTCTCACTCATAAGTGGGAGCTAAGTGATGAGAACACATGGACACAAATGGGAACAACAGACACCGGGGCATACTTGAGGGTGGAAGGTCGGAGGAGGGAGAGGATTAGAAGAAATAGCTATTGAGTACTATGCTTGGTACTTAGCTGATGAAATAATCTGTACAACAAACCCCCATGACAAGAATTTACCTGTATAACAAACCTGCACATGTTTCCTTGAACCTAAAATAAAAGTTAAAAGATAAAAATAAAAATAAAAGGATTCTGATGCCCCAGACTAACTTACACTCAGTAAATACATTTTGATGTATTTGTGGGCCAAAGCTCCTAATGGAGATGATGATGATGCTGCTGCTGCTGATGACGATGATGACTGTATTGATAATGGTAATAAAAAACATAGCTTTCATATGGAGTCAGGTTACATGAGATACAATACTCTTTCAGAGGGACAAAGCAAGATTCAGAGGATGGTGATGGTGAGGTCTAGAGGAGCAAGAGACTTTTGCTCAATAGTCATATAGCAGCTCAGAAACCACACTCATGGCCAGGCATGGTGGCTCATGCCTGTAATCCCAGCACTCTGGGAGGGCAAAGCAGGGCAGATCATGAGGTCAGGGGATTGAGACCATTCTAGCTAACATGGGGAAGCCCTGTCTCTATTAAAAATACAAAAAATTATCCAGGCATGGTGGCACACTCCTGTAGTCCCAGCTACTCAGGAGTCTGAGGCAGGAGGATCGCTTGATTCTCCTGGGAGGCAGAGCTTGCAGTGAGCCGAGATCGCACCACCGCACTCCAGACTGGGCGACAGAGCGAGAATCCATCTCAAAATAAATAAATAAATAAATAAATAAATAAATAAACAAACAAACAAATAAATAAACACACTCACCTCTAACCCCCTTAAATGATGGCCTGAAGTTGGCATTGAAATCCCCATTGAATTTAAAAGGGGAACCCAAACTCCAACAATTTACTGGAGGTCACATGGCAGAGAGAGACAGCACTGGGGCAGGAAGCAAATCTTCTGTCCTTCCATTGTCTTTGTTTTATATGATGTGCTTCTCTGGCCACAACCCGGTGGGACCATTAAATCTTTTGGGCACTCAGTGCTGGGAAAAAATCTCTTGCTGGACTCTTTCATATTTGAAATGAATCCCAATGGATAAGAAGTTTCATGTTTTGGGGCATTTGTAAGTGAAGATATTCTAGGCTGATGGCAAAGTTAAGTTGTCATTCAACCTCTAAGTTAATGCTTAGAAGTTTTACTTGATGAACCAACGTATGGTCATTAAAAACTACAAAGTTTTCCTCCTCAAATGTGGCACTTAAGTGCTGTGTGACCTGATGTGTCCATGGTTCAATTTTCCAGCTGTAAAGCGGGGTTCATAATACTTCCCAACTTTGTAGGGTTGTTGAGAGAGTTACACAAATATGTGTAAGGTACCTGGCATTGTACAAATATATGTGAGCCACATTGTCAGGCACACTCAGGCTTTACGATTCTTGTTTATTTTGTATCTGTTATTTTTGTTTTCCTACAATTCACCATTCTGAATGTTAATTATCTAGCCCTAACAGACTAACAGGTCTTGGAGGGCAGGGAGCGTCTCATTCACTGCTATATCTCTAGTACCTGGAGGATAAAAAGTCTCAGAAAACAATCGTTGATTGAATGAGGGAATAAATAAACATATGAATAGCTGTTTAATGTAGCCAATTAAAAAATAGGTAAAATATTTTCCATTACTTGTTTTCTTATTTGTGAAGAGTCATAATTTCTTCTGACACAGTAAAAAAAAAAAAATTAAAAAGCAAGAGGTAGATAACTTCTTAAAGTCTTGTCTTTTCAGTACTCATACATTGACCAATTCAAATTAAACTACTGAAGGTGACAGAGCCAGTGTTTACTGGTCAAATACTCTGCCATTAATTATTTCTATCGTATAGAATATTCCTTGATTGGGTATTAAAAAAAGAAGACAGAGCCTATGCTATATTCTCTGTTATATTCTGAACAGCTAAGAACTGTGCCTGCCACCCAGTAAGCACTCAATATTTATTTAAATGAATAAAGATATTACTGCTAAGTGTTCTTTCATTTTGTTATAAGCTCATTTATAAGGTAGTTTAAATCCAAAACACTTTTTCCACCTATCCCTGGACCTTAACATTGAGCCTCTAGTGTCACAGGCAAGAACCCAATAGAATTAAAAGGTTTTTGTTTGCACAAAGTTATTTGCCAGGATTACTAAGCAAACAGGAGAAATGGAACAAAAATGATAAAAACAATTTGTGGTGCTTTCCTGTGGGATTTTTGGAGGTTTTTCAAAGCATGACTAGTGAGTAATGTAATTGACTTTTGGAGGAGAAGGGGAAGAAAAATGGGCACATGATTATGGACTTTGTCTCCTGTGAGCTTTGTGGCTGTATCCAGCCTTTGCAAAACATCACTTTTTTGGAATGGCCTGTAGCTAGGTACATAGGCCAATGGCATTCACTGGAAACACAGGGAACTTGGTCTTCCTCAGAAATGAGGGTTCATTACATAACAGAATCCAGGTGGCAGCACAGTCAAGGGACAGGGAGCAGTGGCTGAACTCAGGTGATCAGTCGTGGCACCTTAATTGCCTGGATCAGTAATGGACACAAATATTTAGGTAGCTGTTGGATTTCTCACAAGTAGAAGGACCATAGCTCACAAAACAGGCTGACAGCTCATTCAGTTTGAGGTGAACATTATTGTTCCCATTGAACAGACGAGGAACCTGAACCCTGGAAATTATATTGAACTTGCTTGAGGTTACTCCACTAGTTTACCCAGGTCCAAATTTTGAGTTTTCAGTATTGTGTCATGAGCTCTTTCCTTACAGAAAAAAACTAAATATCCTCAAGGTTGTTTAGCCACTAGCCCAGATATTGACAATGAGTCATTCTCTAATTACTGGTTTACTCTGAAGCTGGTTGTGCAGTGCAGCCTAGTGAGGGGATGCAGGATAGTTGATCCCAGGGGCTTTAAAACCCCTGGAATTTTAACAACTCACAAATATTGAGCACTTGCTAAGAGCAAGGTAGAACACTGAAGGCTCTATGTGCAGGAACTCCCCCAGTCATTGCAATAACTTTTTGAGATATGCATTGTTATCATCTCCATTTAATGTTGATTGAGACTGAGGCTCAGAGAAATTGACCTGCCCAAGTTTGCTCAGCTAGAAAGTAGAAGAGCTGAGCAGTGACTTCAGGTAGGTTGACCAATTCATCCTGGCTGTGCAGTTCTTAGAATGGTGTTAGGACCAGCAGTATCGGCATCGATGGGTAAATTGTTACAGATGCAAATTCTTGGTTCCACTCCAGACCTACTAAATCAGAAACTCTGGCAGTGGAGCCCAGAAATCTGAGTTTTAACAGTTTTCCTATAGGTCTTGTTGCATACTCAAGTTTGAGAACTTCTGGACCATATTAAATCACTGTGCTTTCAGGGAAGAAAGGACTTACACAGAGCACTGAGCATACCAGCGGAGCTTAGAGCCTTGGGAAGATGTTCTTCCAAAAGATGCTATTATTTTGGGCTTCTGGACCACAACTGAGGGAGTAGAGTGGAAGCAGAATCTCTTAAGAAAGAATATGTGATGGGAGGAGATGGTAGAAAGAGGTGACATCACAGCCACCTTCTGAGAATATGATGTGTTTATAGAACAGGTGTTGATTATCCACTAGACTCACTGAGGTCAAGTGACTTGGCCAAGGTTGGGTAATCAGTGACAAATGAATGGACTCAAACCCAGTCCCCTGGCTCCTCAGAGAGTATGTTAAAGCTACATTTCCTCACTAGAGTAGGGTGAGGCATAGAGGTTCAGTGAGCCTCTGAATCATGAGAACCTCTCCTCAGTAACTGTCACAACTTCTGACTAGATGAGCTAGAATCAAAAGAAGAATTAAAAAGATAGTAATTTGGTGGTCCCAGGAGGGAGGGAAGACTAAGGGAAGAATTCAGAGAGAGGCACTAAGGAGGCGAGGATGTCTTCAAGGTACCACTCTGGAACCCATGACTGTCTCCTTATCTTGATCATCATTGTCACCATTTATTGGGTTGCACATGCTCTAGTATGTTACCAACCAGAAAATGCAACACAGGCGACCTTGAGTTTAATTCCCAACTTTGCCAGTGACCCCAAGCAGGTTATTGAGCTTCTCTGAGATTATTTCTTCATGTACAAAATGAAGATCATGAGAGTTCCAACCTCATGGGATTTGAGGGAAGTTTTAAAAGAAAGAATGTATGTAAAACCCCTAGTAGATTGTCTAGCTCATAATAGGTGCTAAATAAACATTCACTATGTTGTTGTTATTATCTTATCCAAAGGCTGGTTCACAGGACAAGGCAGCCATGGACATAAAAGGATGCCTCAGTGAGTGAGGATGATGATTTAGCTGTTTGTGGGCACATAAGTCTCCCACTATTTGTCCGTTCCCATTCTTATCTTTACTCCCTCATCCACCACTTCTGTCCTCTCAGACCCTCACTCAGAGAGAGTGGTCTTAAGAAAGGACCCCTTTAATCTCTTGTTCCCAGAGAGGCCATGGGTGCATCTCATCTGCTTCACTGTGTCACCCAACACTGTGTGCAGCGTCCAGGGCATCAGAAGCTCACTCACCTGGACACCAGCTGCCAGGAGGTGGCAGGTAGATGGAGAAGAATGTTTTCAAGGGATCTCATCTGAACATTCCTTCTGATTGATTGCTTAGCAGACTCGTGGCAAAACAAAGTTTTCTGGACCCTCTTACCTCCTTTGTCTACTTAAATGACAATAATATTTATTGATCAATTGCAATAGGCCAACCATTTTATGATATTTAAAAATGTTATTTCATTCAAATGTTGCAATGATATTTGTAAAGTGAGTATAATTATTTATACTCTATAAATGATGTAAACAGTAATAGATTTTGGAATCAGGATTTAAATCACATTTCTGGCTCCAATTTAGTTTATCAGTTGATGTCTTAAATGGCTGCTTCCTCTTAAAAAAAATGAATATCTTGATAAAGAGGTCCCTTGGCAAGGCACATGGAGGAGTGTTTTTCAGGGAAGGGGCCTGATTCCCTCTAAATTACAGCCATCTTTCTGCTCATGCTGGTATGTGATTTGGCTCCTCTCCACTCCCTGACCATATCTTTGTGATTATGCCTTTTTACTTAGCCTTGAAAATGGGCAATAACTCTACTCCGAGTCAAATTAAGGGGTGGGCTAGACAGGAAGTTGCCAGAGGATTGATTCTATAATAGGCTCTGAGCCATCACTGGAAATTTAATGACATGGAACACAGTTTATTTATTAATATTCCTTCCATGGAGAATTCTGCTTGGAAAAATGTTTGATACGACACTGAAGGTGGAAAGAGGTGCCAACAGAGTTATCTTCTAGGGATAGTGGATCAGGTCAGTGCCAGGAAGATATGCAAGTCTGGGTCAGAGCTGAATTGTTTGAGAGGACAGAGGGGAGGCTGAGGTTGCTACCAACAAGCTATTTTCTCTGATTTTCCCACACAGAATAGGTGGCCAAACAGTTAAACACATATTTCCTTGAAGGAGCACTGAATCATTCCCCTGTCCAGGGTGCTCCCACCCCTGCATGGAGCCCTGACGCTGCTCAGAATGCTGCATAGGCCCTCCTACCCTCATATTCTTTTCTCTTTTTCCTTCTTTCTCTCCTTTTCTGGACATTGCTGTGCAGTGTTCCATTCTGATCTCCAGCTCTAGGTCATTTTCCACTACAGTACAGCATCTGCAGCCTGGACAAGAACAACAGTGTGTGAGGGGCAGTGGTGAGACCTGAAAGGCAGAAACAGAGGGCTGGGTTCCAGGACATTTCTAACATTAAGAAGAGGAGGCTGGGATTTGGAATCTCTTGCTCTGCCTCTGCCTACAAGCCTTGACCAAGATTCTTGGGCTCATCCATAAAACAATATGAAAAGTAAACATTGAGCACTTAACTATATTCCAGGCACTATTCTCAGTGCTTCATGTGTTTATGCAAATAATTCTCATAATAACCCCACAATATAATTACTGTCATAATCCCCACTTTAAACATGAGAAAATGGAGGCACAGAGAGGTTGAGTAACTTGTTCAAGTTCACACATCTAGCAAATAGGGCTCAAATGCAAGCACTTTGGTGCCAGAAGTTTCATTCTTAACCGCTTTGTGATACTGCCTCTCTGAAAGGGACAAAAAGCAATGGTGAAGGTGAAATGAAGTCATGTATCTAAAATCTTTTTGGAAATTGAAGTTGTTTGACTGTGAGTATTATTATTAGCCCTCCCCACCGCCTACATCTCTGCTATTGGCAGAAATAAAAATGTGCATCTAGAGATGCCTAGAAGGGAACGGAACTCACCCAGATGGTGCATGTAGATGGAGAAGGGGCTACCCCTTTTGCCAAAGAGTGAAGAGAGATTCGAGTGTTGCTCACGACTGTGTTCTCTTTATTTAGCCCATGCCCAAGGCACAGTAGAGCATCAGGTAATATTCATTAAATAAGTCTAGGTTTGAATCCTTGCTCTGTCTATTACCTTTGGTGAGTTATTGAAGTTTTCTAAGCTTCACTTTGCTTTCATTTTGGAAATAAGGATTTGGGTACCTACTTCAGAGGTCATGAGGCCTAAATCTAGATAAACGTAGATTTTGAATAACTGATAATTGCTAATATTATTTTACTAGACCAGTGGCCAACAATCTTTTCCTGTAAATGACCAGGTATAAAAAATATTTTAGACTTTGCAGAGTAGACTGTCCCTGTCACAGAAACTCAATGCTGCCATTGTAGTGTGAACACAGTCATAGACAATTAATAAGCAAATAGGTATGGCTGTGCTGCAATAAAACTTTATTTACAAAAAGAGGTGGCAGATGTGAAGTGGCCCTTGGTTTGTAGTTTGCTGACCTCTGCATTCTATGGTCTGAGCAGTGTGAATCTGAAAGGTGCTAAGCCATATTAACAGGCTGAAAATGTTCTTGAACTTCCTAGGCAGATCTCATCTCTTCATTCCTTTCCAGCGTTAAGGAATGAGCAATATTTTCCTGGCAGAGACAGTGTGCTTGCAGGGGAATCTGTTCTCGGAGTTTGTGTTTGTTTGTAATATTTCTTTAACAAGTGTGAGTGGTGAGAGCCCTTCCTCCCACATATTTTCCTTCTAACTCCTTGTTTCCTGGTAACTGCACCTTCTCCACATACCTCTAGAGCTAGTCTGTGGTGAGAACACATAGAATTTGGGAGGCTGGAACTTTGCTTGACTCCCAAATAGAACCTTAGTAAGATGGTATATTTATCTAGAATAAGTGATGTGCTGAAAAATATATTAAAAAGATGGTCCTTTAAAAAAATGTGGTGGGGTCTTGGAAAAAGAACAAGGTAAAAATATTATATTTTATATGTTAAAGAGAATGAACCAAATGTGCTTTGGGGTGTAGCGGAAGAGAGAACATCAGTAGTTTTTTTAGTGTTTACTGTTTCTCAATTATCTAAAAGGGGCCTGAGACACCACAGTTGATGGTTCATCCAGAACCACATGGGATGGGTAACTGTGGCTCCCCATGGGAACATCAAGGGGCTGTTAACACAAGAAGGAGGAAGGATGATAGAGATGTAAAAACTGCATTGGGTTTAGGTAAATACGAGGTGGCTGCCCAATCTCACTTTTTTGAACATCTGTTTGCTCTCCTGTGCAAATGAAAATAGATAATGTGAAAAGCACTTGGCCCATTGCCTGGCACAAAACTGATCTAGAATAAGTGGATACTATAAGTTTTCATTTTGTTCACTGATATTATTAATAAAACCTGACAGGTATTAAATCTTCACATGCATTAGGCCTCTCTGAGCTGATCACATACTTGCTGGATTCCAATGCATGTCACCTTTCGATGTCATCGAGGACCTACATCCTGTATATCTTTCTGTTCTTCCATTCTTCAAGTTTCAGCAATGTTTCTCCTCATGGTTGCAATATGGCTGCCTCACCCCCAAGCATTCTGTCCTCTCAGAACATCATGTCCGACAAGAAGAAAGGGGGAGGGCTGACAAAAAGGGCCTCTTCTCCTATGCTTTTCTTTCTATCTGGGAGGCAAATATTTCCAAGAAGGCCCCTTTCAGACTTTCTCTTACATACCATTGACCAGAAGTGTGTCACATATCCAGCTGTAAACAAATGGCTGGCAAAATGAGTGGGTAACCAGGGTTGGCTGAGAAGACTCAGGATAGACCCATGGGACCGAAACAAGGAAGGCCACTGGGTATGCAGGGTCTGATGAAAAAGGTACTTCCTTTCTCATCCCTCCCTTTACCTCAAGAAACAAGTATGCTGTTTTCATCAGTTCCTAACACAGTGCCTGGCCTAAAATGGCACTCAGTTTATATTTGTTGGGGATAAATAATGACTAAATAAATCATGAATAGAATGTTCTTCTTTTTGCCTTTTTTCCATCTAGAATTCTGATTTCCTCTTTTCCGAGTCTGGGGTAGGCAGCCATGGAGCTATTCTTCCAGTCTGACGATGACTCTTTCTAAATTTGGTAACATGGGAAGAATTGAATATGGCCTGTCACACTGTCCACATTCAGCCTTTGATATGAGTTGGTCAGTGTGGTCAAAGACAGACCAGCATGGGTGAGGCTGATGGTAAACTCAAGGGTTGCATGCACAGAAATGACCAAGACCTTTCTAAGCAAGATTGGAAGTCAGGATAAGCTTGTTCCCTTTAATCATCTCTTTGGGCAGTTTCCTATGGCTTTTCAAGCTCCCCTGTTAGAATGTGAACAAAATAACAGGGATCTGCAGAGAAAAACCTTAAAAGAAATGATTTGAAATGCACTAAGCACCTTGGAAGCATTAGTTGTCAAGCCTTTAATGAGATAATTATAAATGTCCTCTATGTAGCGCATAGCTCAAATGGTCTACAATGCCTTTTTAGGTATCACTTTGTTGATCTAGTTTGAATGAAGCACTGGAAAATATTTCTTTAAATACATGGCTATTCTGGATTATTTGTGGTTTCAGTCTTGTTTACCCACACTGATAGGCCAAAATGAGGATTTTTGTGCTCAAATCTGGAATCCCAGGCGAAGAAGACAGAATGGCAGAGTGGTTGTCTAATCTGACTTGAATCTGATTGCTGTCACTTATTAGTGTGACACACTGGGCAAATGGCTTAATGTCTCCAATGTCAATGTCTCAGTTTCCTCATCTGCAAAACTGGGCAATAATCGATGGTGGTTCTGGCATGGTGTATGGCACATTGTAAGGGTGAAATAAATGCTATTTTTAATGGCTTTTGATAACATGTTACATTCTTCAGTTTGTCATTGAAATGCATACTTAACAACTGTAGTTGTCATCTTTGAAAAATGGATTATGTCATGTGGATATCCCAACTTCAGCCCATCCAACAACAATCCGTCAATGTTATAAGGAGGTTTCTGTAGTCTTGGAATGGTTCTAGGCACCGGGATTATATTGAACAACTGATGAGGCCTCATGCCGCTGAAGACTTTGACCAGACAATTAAGGTGGTTTAAAAACACCCAAGAAATAGATATTTCTTTACTATGCAGAAATGAGTTTCTTTAGGTTCAATGGACTGATTATGTTACTCAAAATAGATACTTGAGGTTTCTTGATTGTGTCCTGCAGTTGGTGTGAAACATGAAGTCATGTAACACTGCAGCGTGGAGTGCCTATAAAATTAGGGGCTGGGCAATGTCAGTTTACCATACCTGTTTACTAACACATGGCACTTCACACAAGTCATCTCACTGTTCTGGGACTCGGCTCTCTGGTCTCTAAAGTGAGCAAACACCCATTCATGTCGTTCAGCTGGTTATTCCAGAGTAAAAGACAAAAATATTTTGTCATAGCAATTATTGCAGTTACTGTGGTATTTGAGGAGTTTTTTCAGAAGCCAGAAATTTCTTGGGCAAGGGGTATGAGAATCATTGTTTTTCTATTATTAATTCTTTCCAACTCTCTGAAGATGAGTTAAAAAAACCATCTTGATTATCTGAAAGTCTGAATGAACTAATGTGGAAGTTTGGGCACTCTGAGAAGCACACACAGAGGGTAGGATTAGCTGTGCAGGAGATTTATTAGAGGAAACACCCATGAAGAAAGAGGAAGTAGAAGGCAGGGAGAGGCTTCAGACCTGCTGCAGGTCTTACACCTGTGAAAGGAGAGGAGGAGGAAAGAAAATTGAGTGGCAAAGAGTCTCAGATTGTAGTATGGCTCTAAATTCTAGAATTTGGCATGATCAGAGGGAGTTCTTGAGCCTGTCTGAACATTTTCATGACTTAAAACAGGGGTCCCTGACCCCTGGGCCATGGACCTGTACTGGTCCATGTCCTGTTAGGAACAGGGCAGCACAGCAGGAGGTGAGTGGTGGCCCAGCCAGCAAAGCCTCATCTGTATTTACAGCTGCTCCCCATTGCTTGCATTACCTCCTGAGCTCCACCCTCTGTCATATCAGCAGTGGCATTAGATTCTCATGGGAGTGCGAACCCTATTGTGAACTGCGCACGTGAAGGATCTAGGTTGCACACTCCTTATGAGAATCTAATGCCTTATGATCTGTCCCTGTCTCCCCTCACTCCCAGATGGGATCATCTAGTTGCAGAAAAACAAGCTCAGGGCTCCCACTGATTCTACATTATGGTGAGTTATATAATAATTTTATTATATATTACAATGTAGTAATAGTATTAGTAGAAATACAATGCACAATAAATGTAATGCAATTGAATAATCTCAAAACCATCCCCTTGATCCCACAAGTCTGGAAAAATTGACTTCCATGAAACTGGTCCCTTGTGCCAAAAAGGCTGGGGACTGCTGCGTTAAGGAATGGGCCCGGACCAGTCTCTTTGTGGTTTTTAGTCATTGGCTGGGGGCTGCCTACAGGAGGTGTGGCCGGGACATGAACACAGCAGATATCAGCAGCTGGGGCATTCATTCAGCTTCTCATGGCAAGAGATCTGAACAGTATATTTTCATGGCCAGGCCCTAAATTTCCTGAAGTTTTCTGTTTGGAACACAGACTTATTGAGTTTGAGAAAAACCCAGAACATGTGTGATGATAGAGATTTTTTTCACTCCAAATCAGTGTTTCATTCCTTCCTTTGATTTTCACTTCCTCCTCTGTTTCAGCTAGGCCAACCATGTTGAAAACCCCACCCAGGTTTGTAGAGTTCCTCATTTCACAATTAAAAAAAAAATCTCTATGTGAATAAGCCACTTGTACTTCCTTTGTTTTACCTGCACAGGGAGTTATGATTACTTTCTTGAGTTTCACAGGTTTTCTCCCTCCACTCCCTGGTGGCAAGGTCTTTGTTTTAGGATGATGACATGTAATAGAAAAACCATATGTTTTGTTCCATGAGCAGGCACAAATAGTTGTGTGACCCTGGGCAAATTACACACCTCTAGGCCTAGGTTAACCCTTTTGTCTAATGAAGCTAATAATAGTATCTACCTCGCTGAGATGTTATAAATATTAGGAGAGATAATAAATATAAAGTTCTCAGCACAGTGCCTGGCACATTGTAGGTGTTTAATAAATGTTGGATGAATGAATAAGCTTGAATACTGGAGGCACATAGGTCTTTGTTCCTTTTCCTACCTTCTTCCCTACCTCTATGTGTTCCTACCTCTATGCAGTCAGAGGATTTAGATGAGAACAGGTGGATGGATAAGAGACTAGAACCATAGCAACAAACAAGCCATTCTTGAGCATTTATTGTGCACAGCCACTGGGTTAAAACCTGCAGGACAAGAGGAGGGCACTGACTGGGGCACAGTCTCTGTCCTTGTAGAGGCTGCATTTCCCCATGGCATTAGGCATTCAAAGATATGATGACTGGGGACATGGGGTGGGGAACAGGGTGATTAAAGGCATGGTCACAGGCTAAGGTGGCAGCTTGGGAGATGGTGGAAAGTCTAATGTGAGGAAACAGAAGATGTAGCTGGAAAGTTGTCTTGGCATCGAACCCCTGAGAGTTCTAAAAGCCAAGCTGAGGAAACTGGACTTGATTCTGTAGATAGTAGTGAGTCAATACAGGCTCTCAAAGAGAGACTTGAAATGGTCCAGCTCGCGATGAGAAGGATTCACTGAGAAAGAATATCCTGAAATGGCATGCCTGAACAACCCCAAGGCAGGAAGTCCCCCTTGGTGGGTTGGGTCAAACACCGTTGTCAATAAATGACGGTTATAATATCTTTATTTTCATTTTCAATACAGGCAATCTCCAATAATAGACCATTGAGAGCTGGCATGTTGCTCTTCCCTGTGGGGAGACACACTGGGAGTGGAAGTTTTAATCTCTGTTATAAATGAGCTTGCTTTAGTAGAGAGGAGAAGAATCACACTCACCTACTAAGTCACATTTGTTCAATCAGTGACATTTGCACCAAGCTCCTACCATGAGTCAGCCCCTATGCCAATGATCGGGGTGTAAAAGCGGGCACCTTGCCTGCCCTCAACGGGCTTTGCATGCTATTGGGATAGCAAAACAAGTAAGTGACTGCAGTAGGACAAGACTAAGGGCCAAAAGGAATAGGACAGAGACAGGGAGTGATATGGAAATTTGCTAGGAGAAAGAGAATAATAGAAGATAAAATAGTGGAGAAAGACTTCTCAGAGGGGACGAGACCTCAACTCGGTTTTAAATTTATTTATTTTTTATAAATAATAGTTGTACATATTTGGGGAGATGTGTGATATTTCGATACCCATATACAATGTGTAATAATCAAATCATGGTAATCAGGATATCCATCACCTCAAAAGTTGATCTTTTCTTTGTCTTGGGAATGTTACAATTCTTCTCTTTTAGTCACATTTTGAAATATATAATAAATTAGTGTTAACTGTAAGTTTCCTTCTGTACTTTCAAATACTAGAACTTATTTCTTCTAGCTAACAGTATTTTTTTTACTCTTTAACCAATTTCTCTTTGGGGGGATTTGAGGTGTAACACAGAAGCTTAGAAATGTAGTATATAAAGAATGAGAGTTTACCCATTGGAGTCTGACTGGGTAGTGTAGACGCTGAATCCACTTTCTAGCTGTGCTCACTAGAGCATGTTATCCTCTGTGCCCCAGTCTCCTCACCATTAAAATGGAAACACTGGTGGGAACTCACATGTAGGGTTGTTAAGTAGACACAGCACAGGTCAGAAGTTCTTTTCTGCAAAGGGCCAGATAATAAATACGTTAGGCTTTGCAGGCCATTTAGTCTCTGTGTCAACTTCTCAACTCTGTCACCACAGTGGAAGGCAGCTGTAGGCCACAGGTTAACAAATAAGTGGCCGTATTCCAAGAAACTTTATTTACAGACACCAAAATTTGATTTATATCATTTTCCTTTGTCACAATCTATTAACTATTGTTTTGATTTTTTCCAATCATTTAAAAATGTAAAATCCAGCTGGGCACGGTGGCTCCTGCCTGTAATCCTAACACTTTGGGAGGCCAAGGTGTGGGCATCACTTGAGGTCAGGAGTTTGAGACCAGCCTGACCAACATGGTGAAACCCTGTCTCTAGTAAAAATACAAAAAAATAGCTGGGTGTGGTGTCACATCGCTGTAATCCCAGCTACTTGGGAGGCTGAGGCAGGAGAATCGCTTGAAGCCTGGAGGTGGAAGTTGTAGTGAGCTGAGATTGTGCCATTGCACTCCAGTCTGGGCAACAAGAGCAAAACTCCATCTTAAATAATAATAATAATAATAATAATAATAATAATAATAATGTAAAAACCATTCTTAGCTCTCTGGCCATACAAAAATAAGTGGCATGCTGGAGTTGGTCCACAAACCATAGTTTCCAGCCCCTGTGATAGAGTAACAGACTCCAAAGGTCAGCTCTCGTTATTTTCAACCTTACTTTTTAGACAGGAAAATGGAGCGTAGAGAATTCATACAAGACTCCAGAAAGAAATTTTTGCCATGTGGGGTCTCATTAAGTATCTTCTATCAGCTATATATATATGTACAAGGGAAAGGCAAAGGATTCTGTAAAAGACTGATTTCTTTTGCTAGCATAAATAATACATCTGAATTCTAAAGCAGCCTCATCTTCCATGCAAGGCTTTATTTAACAGAATATTTAATGTGATACGATTATGCTCTACAAGACCCAAATGAAGAGTTCTGCCCAGCTAAGGGGGAGGCACTACGGCAACACAGGGCACCAGCTCTGAGTCCCTTCCTGTATTAAGTTGTTCTTGCATTGCTGTAAAGAAATATCTGAGACTAGGTAATTTACAAAGAAAAGAGATTTAATTAGCTCATGGTTCTGCAAACTGTATAGAAGCATGATACTGGCATCTGCTTGGCTTCTGGGGAGGCCTCAGGGAACTTAAAATCATGGCAGAAGGTGAACAGCCAGTAGGCATGTCACATGGCAAAAGTAGGAGCCCGAGAGTGCTATGGGAGAGGTGCTACACACTTTCTTTCTTTCTTTCTTTCTTTTTTTTTTTTTTTTGAGACGGAGTCTTGCTCTGTCACCCAGGCTGGAGTGCAGTGGCGCGATCTCGGCTCACTGCAACATCCGCCTCCCTGGTTCAAGTGATTCTCCTGCCTCAGCCTCCGGAGTAGCCGGGACTACAAGCGGGAGCCACCATGCCCAGCTAATTTTTTTTGGTATTTTTAGTAGAGATGGGGTTTCACCGTGTTAGCCAGGATGGTCTCGATCTCCTGACCTCGTGATCCACCCGCCTCCGCCTCCCAAAGTGCTGGGATTATAGGGGTGAGCCACCTTGCCCGGCCGGTGCTACACACTTTCAAATGACCAGATCCCACAAGAACTCATCACTATCACGAGGACAGTACAAAGGGTGATGGCGCTAAACCATTCATGAGAAATCTGCCCCCATGAGCCAATTACCTCCCACCAATCCTCACCTTCAACATTGGGGATTACATTTCAATGTGAGATTGGAGGGGCGGGGGGGCAAACATCCAAACTCTTATCACTTCCTCAACTGAAATTTCTCCCCACTGATCAGCTCTCTTTATGTATGATTTCTAGAGCTCTAAAAATGGCAGCCACAGGAAAGCAGAATATTCCAAACAGCAGAGAAACGTAGCTGAAACGAAGGCACATACCTTCTTCAGCGAGTGGTAGTTATGTACCTGGGGTTTGGCCACAAATCCAAGACAGAAATGAAAGACATATGAGTAAAACAAACTCGTGTTTCTTTTTGTTTGTTTTGCTTGTTTAAAGGAGTTAAACAAAACAAACAAAAACCACTTTGGAATTTTTTACTTTAAAATAACACTTACGTATTGAATGATATGTAACTTACTCTTTTCCCCCAGCTCAGCAAGCTCTGTGCCCTCCTCCTCACTTTCTGGGGAAGAATGCATGTTTCAGCTAAAAACAGGTGTCAATCACTGTGTGAAGAAAATGAACAGGCAGGATGTGCCTAGGAACAGTACTTAATTTGAAGCTTCATTTTTCCCTTAGCCTGACGGAATGGGTATCTTATATTTGTGTGTTGCCTGGATGTTTGGAAGGCTTTTGGGTATAGTTAGCCCATTTGTTTCTCAGAGATTTTTTTATTTGCAAAAAAAGTGCTTGCATGCCATCTAAATTTACTACTTCTCCTTCTCCCACCTAGGGTAAACCAAAAGAGATGGTACATTCAAGGAATCTAACAAACTTTCCCTTAGCTGATCTCCCTGACCCCCACTTCCTGTCCGTCTTTGTTCACAAAGCAGCCAGGGTCATTTTTCAGAGCCTCACTGTTGCCTCCTCTGCTTACCTTCCTTGGGGGGCCCTCAATGGCCATGGGATAAAGTCCCATCTTCTGAAACAGCATGTAAGTGTGTCTAGCATCTGAGGCTGTTCCTATATTTCCAGTTACATGTCTTCTCTCACTGTGGACTCTGAATTCAAGTCACTCTATGGTTTCCAAAAGTCACAGCGGGCTCACATCTCTGTGCCTTTGCCCATGCTTTCCCTTGGAATTGAGTGCTTTCCACCCAAGATCAGCCTAGCTTGGGTGAAGCCTAGATAGAACAAAGGATCCAAACTGAGGAAGTTCTCTAGCAACTAGGCCTCTCAAATCCCCCTCACTCCTTTCAAATAGCAGATGTGTCCATTATTTTGAAGAATGAGAAGTGCAAGAGTGGGTGGAAGAACCCATCCCTGCATCCGCCTCAAATGTCCTGAGCATCCTGTCTGTCCTGGGTGTGGGAATGTAGCAATGAATTAGCCCTCAGTGAACTTGCAGCTAGCAGGGAAGATGAGAGCAGTCCATGAACTCCCAAAACACCAGGCAGGAACTAATAAGAATATGTACAAACAGAAGGCTCCATAGAAAGCTCAGAGGAGGGAGAAACTATATGAAGCTGGAATAATCAGAAAAGACATTTTGGAGCATTTGCCCTGTGACTTTAACCTTGAAAATAAGAAATATTTGAATATGCAGAGAGGGTGGGAGAGTTTTGATGCCAGAGTTCAGTCTGTGCAAAGGCAAGGAGGTGGAAGATAAGCTGGGCTTTCAGAGAACAGAGAGCCTCAGCTTGGCAAGAGCAAGTGGGAGCTGAAGAAAGAAAAGATAGACTAATGGGTCAGGGTCAGACAATGGAGGAACCAAAGGTGTTGGCTGACAACTAACCTGCAGATTCCCTGCTCCCAGCCATCCACAGACTCAGAAAGCTTCTTTCCTGATTCAAATTGGATAAGAGGTTGCTTGGCAGTGGTAGGAACCCAGAGCTTGATCAGGATGCTGCTGGTATACCTTCAGGCCACCAGCAAGACAGCACCAATGTCTTAGAGTTGTATTAGAACCATTTTGTGTATTTTGACTTTCTACTGAGTTTATTAAAGGCATGTTCCCTGAAATGGGAGATAAGGGTCAACTGCTGATAAGAACTCATTGAATTGAAAAGAAAAAGTCAGGCTGTAATCCCAACACTTTGGGAGGCTGAGGAGGGCAGATGATGAGGTCAGGAGTTCGAGAGCAGCCTGGCCAATATGGTGAAACCCCATCTCTACTAAAAATACAAAAAAGTAGCCTGGCGTGGTGGCGCGCGCCTGCAGTCCCAGCTACTCAGGAGGCTGAGGCAGAAGAATCGCTTGAATCCAGGAAGTGGAGGTTGCAGTGAGCGAAGATTATGCCACTGCACTCTAGCCTGGGAGACAGAGTGAGACTCGTCTCAAAAAAAAAAAAAAAAAAAAAAAAAAGAAAGAAAGAAAGAAAAAGAAAAAGAAAAAGAAAAAGTCAGAGGAATATAAAGTGATCAAGTGATCGTGTGTGTGTGTGTGTGTGTGTGTGTGTGTGTGCGTGTACTCACCTTCTTGCAGAGAGGTCAAAGAGCTTTTCCAACATCATTTCTTCTTTAGGGCTCAATGCTTTCTGTGGCTTGGTAAAGGAGGAAATATTTGAGCAGTACAAGATAAATCTGAATGAGAATGAAGGTAACCAAATAATTACTTTTATATCGAAGTTTTCCGTGCAAGACAGTATTTAGTTGCCTAGAGCTGGTCCTTGACTCCTGGGCTGATTGGACTCTGATTAGACTTCTACCACCTGGTATATCCAGTCAACAAACATCTTCTGGGCCCCAGCAAGGCATCAGGAACTGTGCTATGTCTTAAAATAAGGAGTTGAGTGGAGACACAAAGAAATAATGGAAATGACCCATCTTCTTGAGAACTGTGCATCTAATGGAGTGAATACATATGTCCAGACACTTTCAGTTCAATGTATTAAGGGACCAGATGAAAGTAGGCAGTGGATGCTGTGGGAGCCCAGAGGGGAAACACCTCATCCGGCCTGAGGTAAGGATGTTGGAAAGGGCCAGGGAGGGTTATCTAAAGGAGCTGACACATCAGTACAATTAGCATCTTCCAGTGGTTGGTCCAGCTTTAAAATCACAGCACCTCAAAGCTGGCTATCCCTGAGGTCACCGCATCTGTCAAACTTAATAGTCATCACCTGTTTAATTATCTGATGTTCCTCTCAGCTTCAAAGAACAAAGATGGTTTCTGTTTTGCTTATTATGTGTCCCCATCACATAACAGTGTCCAACACCTAATAGGCACCTTAAAAATATGGGTTGTGTGTCAAGGGATAAATATTAGCACATGAATTTTCACCTTCTTTCCAAGTGTTAAGGGGAATCCTGTTGTAATATTTAATGACAGCCTACTGCATTCTTAACTCTGAGCCAAGTCTAGAAGGAAACAACAAAATCAAGAGAAACATAGTAGAATGTTTGGACACAAGAAAACTTGGACATCAGCTGTTTCTATAACTCATTTCTACCATAAAAAACAAGTTCAGAAAAGTTGCCTTGTAACTACTAGCACAAGGTCATCCAGGTAATTAGTAGCAAGCAAGTCTGAAATCCAAGTATCCTGAATTTCAGTCCTCAGTTCCTTCCTTTGAGCCATGGGTATTGTATCAGTTACAGACATGTGCAGAGGAAGCACAAAGGAGTCTGGAAAGGATGTACTTCTTTTGCTGGCATACAGAGTATGTCTGAATTCTAATGCAGCCTCATCTTGCAAGTAAGGCTTTGTTTAACAGAATATTTTATGTGATAGAATTATGTTCTACAAAACCCAAAATTTTAAAGGATGTTTTCTTTGCGCATCTGTAATTGCTTCTGGCGGGTGCGCCTTCTACTTTATAAAAAAGATTCCTTTCCCTCTTTCATCTGTCTCAGAGAGGCTCCAGAGGGAAATGTAGGAAACAAATGCTTGTTCAACCCGTAATGTTCCCTTGAAAAGTGAAGCTTGAAATCCTGTAGGGATCTCTGTGTTCTTTCAGAATTGATTTTGACACTGTAGAACTACATCCTAACTAGCTTTCATGCCAAAATATATTGTGACTAGTGATTGGATAGCTTAAAAACTATTAAAAAATATACTTTTTCATATCAAGAGCGAAAGATAATGACTCATATCCCATAACTTGGGAATTATTCTTAAAGAACATTTTCTATTTTTTTAATGGTCATAGATTCAAACCCAGTAAAGAACGTTTTCTAAAGTAGTGATAGAAATTGTAAGAATGAATTACTTGGAGGGTGTGAAACACTGTCTTAATGGAAAACATTAAATGACAAGGAAAAATGCTTCAGGTAAAAACAAAATAAATTTTTTTTGTTATATTATCAATAATAAAAATTCATAATTATTTTATAATTTTGTTTGTTGGTTGGTTGGTTTTGTTTGTTTGTTTTGTTTTGAGACAGAGTCTTGCTCTGTCACCCGGGCTGGAGTGCAGTGGTGCAATCTCAGCTCACTGCAACCTCTGCCTCTCAGGTTCAATCGATTCTCCTGTCTCAGCCTCCTGAGTAGCTGGGAT